>NC_000016.10:12417567-13621351 GCF_000001405.40 Homo sapiens | reverse complement strand
ACTAGTAGCGTTGCCAATGGGTGAGAAAATAGGATTGGTAGAAGGGAGGCGGTCAAGGATGCTTTTTTCTTTTCTTTCCATATATTTCTTTATGATTTGCATTTTATTTTATGAGTACTTATTGGTTTATTAATTTCTAATAAAAATTGTTAAAGCAAAAAGATTTAAAGTGCTCTTTATAAACAAATTATACATTTTTTCCCCATTTCTTTGGACAAGAGCCATTCTTTAAATAGGAGTTTCTTTCACAGTGACCTTCTAAACAGAAGAGGAGCGGCACCAGGATTGATTCTCTTCCTGTCCAGAGAAAGACAGGTCTTTTGTTTAAGCCAGTTTTCCCAGCTACCACATGAGAAGTCAGAGACTATATCTTAATTATCTTTCTAGTTAAAGAAAAAAATTGTGCTTCAATGGAAAATTATCCATTGTCTAAAGCGTGCTCTTCTAGGTGATTGAATGCTAGCCCTTCAATGTGTCAAGCCATTTGACAACTCTCTAAGTCGTAGATAACTGATAGCAAAGGAAAATAATTCCTGACTGTAGACATGAAAAAATTTGGTGGAGTAGAGGTTCAATTCTGTACAGTGGAGGTTCCCCACTGTAGAAGAGGCCAGTTTTGTCCCCAGTTGCATATTCAACTTGTAACTGTCCCAGGGTTCTTCTTGCCGGCTGCCCAGATAGAGCCTATTTATTGAGACAAGGGAAATGCAATGAAGAGTTTAATATGTGTAGAGTGGAATAAACAGGAGACTGGAGTTTTATTATTACTCAAATCAGCCTCCCTGATAATTTGGAGACTCGGGTTTTTTAAAGATAGTTTGGCAGGCAGGGGGCTAGAGAATGTGGAATGCTGCTTGGCTGGGTTGGGGAAGAAACCATACAGGGTCAAAGCTGTCCCTCTTGTGCTGAGTCAGTTTCTGGGGTGGGGGTTGGGGGACACAAGACCAGATGAGCCAGTTTATGAGTCTGGGTGGCACCAGCTTGTCTATCAGAATGCAGGGTCTGAAAAATATCTTGAACACCAATCTTAGGTTTTGTAAAGAAATGCTATCTGGCTGGGAGCAGTGGTTCACACCTATAGTCCCAGCACTTTGGGAGGCCGAGGCGGGTGGATCACCTGAGGTTGGGAGTTCGAGACCAGCCTGATCAACATGGAGAAACTCCATCTCTACTAAAAATACAAAATTAGCTGTGCATGGTGGCACATGTCTGTAATCCCAACTACTCAGGAGACTGAGGCAGGAGAATTGCTTGAACCCAGGAGGCAGAGGTTGCAGTGAGCAGAGATCGTGCCATTGCACTCCAGCCTGGGCAACAAGAGCAAAACTGCATCTAACCAAAAAAAAAAAAAAAAAAAAAAAAAACCAGAAAAAGAAATGCTATCTACAGGAGCAATTGGGAAGATTAGGAATCTTGCGGCCCCTGGCTGCATGACTCCTGAACCACAATTTCTAATCTTGTGACTAACTTATTAGTCTTACAAAGGCAGTCTGGTCCCCAAGCAAGAAGGTTTGTTTCAGGGAGAAGCTGTAATTACCTTTGTTTTAAAGTTAAACTATAACCTAAATTCCTCCCAAAGTTAGATACCCTATGCCCAGGAATAAAGAAGGGCAGCTTGGAGGTTAAAGGCAAGATGGAGTTAGTTAGGTTAGGTTTCTTTCATCATTGTATTAGTCCGTTTTCACACTGCTATAAAGAATTGCCTGAGACTGGGTAATTTATGAGGAAAAGAGGTTTAATTGACTCATAGTTCCACATGGCTTGGGAAGCCTCAGGAAACTTACAATCATGGCTGGAGGTGAAGGGGAGGCAACACACATCTTACAGGGTGGCAGGCGAGAGAGAGAGAGAGAGCAGAAGAAACTGCCACTTATCAACCATCAGATCTTGTGAGAACTCCTTCACTATTAGAAAAGCATGGGGGGAACCGCCCCACGATCCAATCACCTCTCACCAGGTTCCTCCCTCCACACTTAGAGATTACAACTCGAGATGAGGTTTGGGTGGGGGCACATAGCCAAACCATATCAATCATCATAATTTTTCTCTTTCAGATATTTCTCACTGTCATAATTTTTGCAAAGGTGGTTTTCATTTCAATATTCCTCCCCTATACTTGTGTCTAATATTTGCATTCTCCTTTGAACTGGTGCTAAAGTGTTGCCAGTTCATTTATTAATAAGTTAAATAAATTGTTTAACATGTTTTCACTTTACATCTGTATGACAATCATGATTTTATCTTTTCTGAAAATTTGAAAATAATCCTTTAACAGCTTCTTCATTGCTGGTACAAGGGGCAATGCATGGCTGCGTGCAATAAATATTTGTTGAATGAATGATTGAGAGAATGAATAAATGAAAAACAGGAATGTATAAGATCATTGCCATCAATATACCATCAGACCAAGAATGTGCATTAATTTCCTAACTAATGTCAATGTTTGTGATGACTTGAATTTTGCCCAAGCCATATTCATTCCTTTTTTTCTAATTAGAAAAAAAATTATTCAGAAAAGTTGAAAAGACAAAAATATGTAAAGAATATTAACCATCGCATAATCTCTCTCCAGAGTAACCACTATTAATTCCTGATTTATTTCCTTCTGGTGTTTTCCTGGCATCATTTATGATGTACCTGCTATGTGTCAGGCAGTGGCAGCTATAGCAGTGAAGAAGGCAGACCAGTACCCTGCCCTTTTGGAGCCAACATTCTAATTGGTGGGAGGGGAGAAAGATAAATAAATGAACAAGACAATTGCAGTCTATAAAGAGAGCACGCATGCTTCTCAATGCATATTTTCAATCAGTTCGTGTGAGTTGCAGAATCAGTTTTAACTCATGTATCTTTTAACAACATCCTATGCTCGCAAGCGTCAGTACGGAATTTGGCATTGCCATCACCATCTGACGCTCTCCTTAATGCCACCTGTCTCTTCTGCCCTGCTACATGCTATAAGCAAATCTGTGACATTGAAGGTGGTCACCCCTCAAGGTCAACAGCACTGCTGCTCTGAACTGACTATGAGACTCAGAGTCGGGTTTTCAGTTTTAACATCTTCCCTGGGGGAGCAAAGAGTAATTTTTTCCTTAGGCTGGCAAACAAGAAAGGCATTCCCGAGTTGTGGGGCAGTGATCTTCCAGGGGAAAGGGGCTACCACGTGGAGAGAGTGAAGCAATTATGGCATAGGAGAAGGTGGGGAACTGATGTGCGCCTTTCAAACAATTGTACTTCTGTGTGTGTACCTGTGTATGTGAGTGTGTGTATGTGTATGTTTGTGTATGTATGTGTTTGTATGTATGTGAGTGTGTGTGTGTGTGTGTGTACATTTTAGGCTAGTTCCCATAGAAGAACTTTGCTCTAAGATTGAAAAGAAAGTCCAAAAAATCCAAAACACACACACACACACACACACACACACACACACACACTTACACACACAGAAGTACTATTGTTTGAAAGGCTCACATCTAATTAATTCCAAACCATTGCTTAGTATTAATTGCAATGAATTTCTTATGGACCAAATTCATGAGTCTCTTCTTTCTGTGAACTGGGACATGAGATCCATGACTCTATGATATATTACAATGGCCTTTCATATAGTTATAGGCAACAGTAGTGTCATCTGTAATTTCTCTCTCTCTTTTCTCTCACTTCATCTCTCCTGTTCTACCTCTGTTTCTTCCTGTCTCTGACTGTGATGTCTTAGAATTTTTTCTCCCCTAGTTAGTGGCACACAGAAAAATGTCTTAATTCAGGCATCTGAAAAAAATGCAAAAGGGCTTTCCAAATGTAGGCCTTTGAGGGATATTGCATTTTGATTTTAGAGTAAGTCTTATTCTCTCTCGCTATATATATGTATATGCATATATACATTGCATATTGCATATATGTTCTTTATATATACATTATACAGACATACACGCATGCACGTGTGCACGCGTGCACATGTGCGCACACACGCACATGCACTTTATTATTCCTTCTTTGATATTTCCAGGGGCAAGTCTCAGTTCATTTTGTCCCAGCGTTGATTACTGATCTATAATATGTTTCAGACACATTATCCAACATATTGGATTAAGACTCACTCAGTTGCTATGCCCACAGGACCCTGGGGTAACATAAGCTAAAAAAGAGACCAGTTGCCTGGCAAAATCTTAGGAGGTGTTATTGGACCAAGCACGACCGTGAGAGGCTTTCTCCAACAGTCTCCTGCTACCAACGCTCTTCCACTCCTTAACTGCCCAGGTGAACACCATCAGGACCACTGGATAAATGCATTTACAGCCTTCCCTCCTTTATCCAACAGATTCTCACCCCTCATAATGTCAGACAGATGGAGAGGTTTCCAATTCAGACTTGTTTGGTGGCTATATTCATTTAAATAAACTCTGACCTTGACATCTCTGTCCCAAACCTCTTGAATTTCACATACCTGAAAGGAGTAACACCTGTCTTTCATCTTTCCCTGCCTTTATTTTGTTTCTCCAAAGGCTAAGACAGTGTCCAAGGCCTGCAGGCAGATTATTAAATAGGTGAGTCTTAAGATGATGATCCATGAAAGGAAGAAAAGGACAATAATATGCACCCCATCTCTTCTGAGCCATCTTTCTCTGCAGAGCCTGGGCA
Source organism: Homo sapiens (assembly GCF_000001405.40). Classification (NCBI taxonomy): domain Eukaryota; kingdom Metazoa; phylum Chordata; class Mammalia; order Primates; family Hominidae; genus Homo; species Homo sapiens. The sequence continues at coordinate 13,616,716 of NC_000016.10, read as the reverse complement.
GAGACTCTGGGGGAGGTGAGAGGTTTGAACTTTTCTGTCCAAATCAACCAATGATTTTATGTTATTGCTAAACCTCCTGCAGGATTTATTTTCCTTTCTCTCTTTGTGTAAACATATATCTCAGCTGCTTGGGAGATTGAGGTGGGAGGATCGCTTGATTCCAGGAATTCGAGGCTGCAGTGAGCTATGATTGCACCTGTGATCAGCCACTGCACCCCAGCCTGGATAACACGACAAGATTCCATCTATAAATTAAAAAAAAATTATACCACAACTGACTCTAAGCCCTTTGTGTACAGGGTTTTCCTATGATTTATATGGATTCTTAGGTCTGAGCATGTCATGGTCACTCCATAAATGTATGTTTGTTTTTTGATAGCTGACTACTGGTAGGAATTAGAACATCTCTTTAAGATATGCAGTTGTTTAAAATATACTAGTGCTTGTTACAATAGGATTCAAGCTGCAGTACATGAAACCCCTTCTTCTAGTTAGGGAGCTCAATCAAGAGATGACAGTTGATGACTGAATTCATTTATTCATTCTGCAAACATTTATTTTCTCCTTGGTTTGAGGGGGACTGTGCTTGTCATGGGAATGAGCCAGAAGTGATAAGAAGAAATGCTTCCTTTCAAAGGATACATAGTAAGATACGTGAGCAAAGCCTTTAAAAAAGTGATAAATCTGAAATGAATTGAAGTGCCAAGTTACTGCTCAAACAAGGAAGCAAATAATTGTTTATGACATGAAGAAACACAGGCAGGAAGCTCACCATTCCGGCCGGGTGCAGTGGCTCAAGCCTGTAGTCCCAGCACTATGGGAGGCTGAGGCAGGTGGATCACTTGAGATCAGAAATTTAAGACCAGCTGGTCAACATGGTGAAACCCTGTCTTTACTGAAAATACAAAATAAATAAATAAATAAATAAAAGAAAAAAAAGCCAGGTGTGGTGGTGCATGCCTGTAATCCCAGCTACTCAGAAGACTGAGGCAGGAGACTGGCTTGAATGTGGGAGGGAGAGGTTGCAGTGAGCTGAGATTGTGCCACTGCTCGCCAGCCTGGGCAACAGAGCAAGACTCGGTCTCAAAACAAAACTCATCATTCCTAGCATGGTGATAGTTCAGGCTAGGTTTGGCTGGGAGTAACAATGTAACTATATCTTAAAACAAGATAGAAGTTCAATTCTCACTTTCATGAAACTGTCCAGTGGCAGGCCATCTACAGCTGTGAAGGATGCTTCATCAACATAACTCTTTGTCTTTCTACACCATCATTCTCAGCAATGGCTTCCACCTCATTATTTAACATGGCTGCTTGATGTCCAGCCATCAAGACTGCATTCCAGTTAGCAGGAAGGGGCCCAAATTAGGGAAACATGCAGAGCAGAAAACTGATCAGAGAGAAGGAACTGGAGGGAAGGAGGGGCAAAAAGCAGTTAAAGTCAGAGAAAAGATCCAGGAAATCAGAGAGGCAGGAAGCATGGAGCAAATAAGAAATCTTAGTACTAGAACTATCTTCATACAGGTATATTAAAAAAAAAAGTTCACTTTGGTCATTATGAGGTGGGGAAGGGCCAATGATAGTTAAAAGTATGCCACAAAAATTATTTTCTTTGCAGAAAAAGAAAAACCTGGGCACTATTCCTAAATCATCTCCATCAGCAGCCAGGGTTTTCAAAACAAATTTGGACTATACTATGTCTCCTTCTTCCCATCTCTGCTGAGCTCACCCTTGTCCAAACCACCATGACGTCTCATTGAGATTATTGCAACAGCCTCCTGAATGATTTCACTACTTTTGCACCCATCTCCTGTAGTATATCTTTCACACACATAGAAGCCGGAGTGATTTTTTAAAAGACATAAATCGGCCAGGAGCGGTGGCTCACACTTGTAATCCCAGCACTTTGGGAGGCTGAGGCAGGTGGATCACTAGGTCAGGAGTTCAAGACCAGCCTGACCAACATGGTGAAACCCTGTCTCTACTAAAAATACAAAAATTAGCTGGGCGTAGTGGTGCGTGCCTATAATCCCAGCTACTCAGGAGGCAGAGACAGGAGAATCACTTGAACCTGGGAGGCGGAGCAGAGATCATGCCACTGCAACACCAGCCTGGGCGACAGAGCAAGACTCCGTCTCAAAAAAAACCCCATAAATCACACCAATATTATCCAATTGCTTAAAACCCTCCAATGACTTCCTGTATCCCCTAGAATAAAATGAAAACTCGTTACCATGCCTTGCAAGGTGAATCTCTACCTCCTGACTGTTTTTATTTCCACTGTTCCACTTACTTAATAAGTTTCTAAAATCTAAAATTCCTACCTCAGGGCCTTTTGCATGAGCTGTGCTCTCTTCCTGGAATGCTTTCAGCATTTTGTGTAGCTGATTTCTTCTTGTCATTCAGATCATAGATTAAATTTCGCTTTCTCATCATTAGCAAGTAACCACTATCTATTTCATGCTATTTTAATATAATTGAAAAAAACCACTCTTCTCTATTTTTTTGTTTTCTCCTTCTTCTTTGTTTATCTTCTGTTTTCTTCTATAAAGATGGCAGTTGCTTGAGAGCAAGGATCTTATCTCTTGTTCACCACTATATTCTTGCTCAGAGCCCAGTACATCGCTTCGCTTGGCATATATTAGGTGCTCAATAAATATTTTTGGGTCAAATAGACGTATCTCCCCTCCACCTTAGATTGGAGGCTAGGTGTGATGGTTAATTTTATGTGTCAACTTGACTGGGTCATGGAATGCCTAGATATCTGGTTAAGCATTATTTCTGGATGTGTCTGGGAGGGTGTTTCTGGATGAGATTAACATTTGATTTGGTAGACTGAGTAAAGAAGCTCTGTCGTCACCAATGTGGGTGGGTGTTGTCCAATCCATTGAGGGCTTGAATAGAACAAAAACATGAAGGGCGGATTAGCCATCTTTGCCTGACTGCTTGAGCTGATACTTCGGTCTTCTCTTGCCCTCAATGCCCCTGGTTCTCAGGCAGACAAACAGGGACTGGAATCTATACCATTGGCTTTCTGCCTCTCAGGTGTTGGAACTATACCATGGGCTTTCTGGGTCTTCTGTTACAGAGAGCTGGTTATGGGACTTCCCAGCCTCCGTAATCCCCTGAACTACCTTATAATAAATCTTTTTAAAATATATCTTCTATTATTTATCTTTCTCTGAAGAACCCTGACTAATACACCCATCTTCCTTTGGGAAATAAGGGGTGTTTTTGTATGGACTATGGTTCTTTAAAGCTATTGCAAATGGAACGTGGACTGAGGCATGTGACTTATAGAGACACTGGTTCCTAGGGTTACTCACATTCAGCTGTTCCTGCCTGAGTGACAATTATTCCCTCCCAGTCTAGTCAAAGCTATTGATCTCTGTGAAGCAGGTTCCACAGCCCCAAAGGCAGCTGTAATTAACTGCTTGAGCCTTGAAAAGGTTTTCTGAGCTAAATCATAGCAACCAACATTTGTAAACAGTAGTTAGATGGAAGAAAAGGTAAAATTATATATGTCACCCTGTTTTCTATCGTACACATTTTAAGGTTCAAAGGAATTATATTAAAATGAATATCCCTGTGTTCCCATTCGCACCTGCATTGAAAAAAGCAGAGAAAAATGTTTAAAATATAGTAACACAAGTGGGTACTTCTCTTTATAAACTAAGACCAGGGATGTTTGAGGAGTAAAATAATCATGCCAGTGAGGCCCATTTTTCACCTGTCAACCATGCTCAAATGAGTACCCAGTGAGACATCCTATAGAAACTAGTATAGAAATCTAATTCTCACGATAATTTGGAAGATACACACTGCCAGCCCTGTTTTCCAGAAGAGGGAAAAGTGAAGCTCAGAAGTAACGCACAGTCAAGTCATTCATTCATTCATTCACTCATTCATTCATTCATTCATTCATTCATTCATTCAAGAAATATATATTAAGTATCTACTATATAGCAGAGGCTGTGCCAGGCACTGAGTTTTCCATGATGAGTAAAATGGATGACTTTAAAACACTTATTCTTGTCCAGGCACGATGGTTCACACCTGTAATCCCAGCACTTTGGGAGGCTGAGCGGGGGTGGATCACTTGAGGTCAGAAGTTTGAGACTAGCCTGGCCAACAGAATGAAACCCCATCTCTACGAAAAAGATAAACATTATCTGAGTGTGGTGGCTGGTGCCTGTAGCCCCAGCTACTCAGGAGGCTGAGGCATGAGAATCACTTGAACCCAGGAGGTGGAGGTTGCAGTGAGCCGAGATCATGCCACTGCACTCCAGCCTGGGTGACAGAGCGAGACTCCATCTCAAAAAAAAAAAAAAAATCTGAATTATCTCAGACATACTAACAAAGTGTGAAAAGAAAAAGTATAAGTATCCAGGAACCTAATAAATAGGCAAATAAGTAAAATATTACCGATACAACTGAAGGCCCTTGGGTATCCCAAGAAAAAGTATAAGTATCCATGAACCGAGTAAATAGGCAAATAAGTAAAATACTACCAATAAAGTTGAAGGCCCTTGGGTATTCCCATTCCCATTCCCATTCCCTCCCCTTTCCCTTAGGGATAAACACTACTGTAACTTGGGTGTTTATCATCCTTGGGCATTTCTTGGATTATAGTTAATTTTTATCTTCTTTTTGCATGCCTACATCTTTGAAACATCCTGCCGTGAATATGTATTTCTTTCAAGAAATAAAAGCTGTAAAAGTTATTATTTTTATAGACCCAACAGAGATAGTGGAAATCAGCACTGAAAACAAAACAAAAAACAAACAGGCCTTTCAGGAGCTTGCCACCAGTGGCCCTCCTTTGTCCTGTTGGGTCCTTTGACGCCAGCGGCCCCAGCTATCCCTCCTGACACCTCTCCCAAGACCTAGATAACCCCCGGCCAGAAAGGACTCCTTTTCAGGTCCTCTTGTCTCCTAAAAATATTTAAAACACAATGTTTGTTGACACCTGGAGCTGGGATTGTCAGGCTCCTGATGGGAACTTGTCCTTGATCTCTTGCTACCTCGCAGACACCCACGTTCTTCTGGTCGACACCGACCAAGGGCAAAGAAGATCAAATGTTCAATCCCAGCAGTAGGGAAGAAAGTCATCCAAATGCATTTCCAATACAAAAGCTGAAATTAAAGTGAAACTTCACCTTGCATTTTTCATGATGTGTGTCTTAGTCAACTTCTGTATCTGCAAAGACAAAAGGAATTAATATTTAATATGGCTACAGTGGAAGGAGAGGGGAATAATCCATTCTCTGCAGTGTTTTTGAACCTTCAATTGTCTTAAAATATGAGCCTTTAATCTCTTGATTATGAGATAGACATGTCACTCTTCTATTTCTCATTGCTGTTGGGCAAGAACTATTTTATTCTTGGACTCAGGCAGCCCTGAGTTTTAGTTCCAGCCCTGTCATTTACGTACTATGTGATCATGGGCTTCAGTTTTCTCTTCTAAGAAACAGGATAACAATACCTAGCTCACAGGGGTGCAATAAGGATTCAGCAAAATAGTCTTGGGTCGTCATATTGAAAAAAAAAAGACTCTGATTCCTACAAACCCAGACTATTGACAATTTGCCTCCTGGGGAAGGGGGATGGGGAGACTATTTATGTTATAGGAAGGGTAAAAGAAATCTCTTTCATGTAGACAGGCTGGTGTAGAAGAGAAAAGGAAGAGTTTGAAGTGTGAAAGTTTCTACTTGAAATTCTGTGCTGCTTGGAGGCTGAAGCTCAGGATATTTGAGAGTTGGCCTTAACAGAGATATTTTTTGTGTTTATGAATATGAAGATAGGCCCAAGTCTAGATTGCTCTGCAAAATATGGGAGGGCCTGAGGGTGAAGGAATCTCAGAGAACAGAGAACAGAGGAGGTAGTCTTACAGAAAAGAGACAGCTGATCAACAAGGCAATGTGGAGCCCAGCCAAGAGAAGGCTGAGTTGAGCTGAGATTTTAGCCCCAGTCCATCTGGACCCCTGGTATCTGTTTTTTTCCACTGCAGTCTTACCTTTGTGAAACTAAAATATCTGAGGCAGGTCTCAATCAATTCAGAAAGTTTATTTTGCTGAGGTTAGGGATACACTGTGACACAGCCTCAGGATGTCCTGACAACATGTGCCCAAGGTGGTCAGGGTACAGCTTGCTTTTATACATTTTAGGGAGACGTGAGACGTCAATCGATATGTGCAAGGTGTACAGTGGTTTGGTCCGATAAGATAGGCGGGACAATTGGAAGGGGAGGGGCTTCCAAGTCATAGGTAGATAAGAGACAAACGGATGCATTCTTTTAAGTCCTTGATCAGCCTTTCACTGAATATGCAATTTAGTCAGTGAATCTGCATTTTTACATAAACAACAGGGCAGAGGAAGCAATCAGATATGCATTTGTCTTAGGTGTGCAGAGGCATGACTTTCTGTCCTGCACCTGGGAAGATCAGCCATCAATTTACATTGCCAGGGTGAAATTCAACAGAAATGTCTTAGGATAAAGATCTTGAGGCCCACAAGGAATTTCCTTGTGGACAAATTGTAAGGGAGGTATGTAGCTCTTTTATATTTCTAGCTATCTTATTTAGGAATAAAATGGGAGGCAGGTTTGCCTGACAGTTTCCAGCCTGATTTTTCCCTTGGTTTAGTGATTTGGGGGCCACAAGATTTATTTTCCTTTTGTACCTTCTACACACACACACACACACACACACACACACACACACACACACACCCTATCTTGCATCCATTGTCCCACTGCCTGCAATTTTTTGAAACGCAATTTGAATTTTATGTCTTTCGTATTGCTCATCCCTCTGTCTGGGGAGGGCTTATCTCTTTCTCACAAGTCTCCCTCTGTTAAAATTTCAACCAGCTTGAAGCCTGGCTCAAATGCCAGCTGCCTTCTGAAGCTTCCCTGCTCCCAGGCTACGTCTACCCTTCCCCCATCTGCTCCTGCTCACCTGTGTCCAGCATACACTGTTCACATACTTGGTACTATCAGTGCCAAGAGAAAACTTCCCCTTCACCCTCTGAAGGTTTGCTGAAAATCATGAATAAAAGGCAGATTAACGAGACAAAAGCACAAGTTTACTTTATCATAGTTTCACGTGACATGGGAGCCTTCAGAATGAAGACCCAAAGATACGGGGGAAATTATCCACTTTTTGTTCGTTTGTTTGTTTGTTTGTTTGAGATGGAGTCTCTCTCTGTCACCCAGGCTGGAGTGCAGTGCCACGATCTCGGCTCACTGCAACCTCCGCCTCCCAGGTTCAAGCGATTCTTTTGCCTCACCCTCCCGAGTAGCTGGGACTACAGGCATGCACCACCATGCCTGGCTAATTTTTGTATTTTTTTAGTAGAGACGGGGTTTCATCATATTAGCCAGCGTGGTCTCGAACTCCTGACCTCATGATCTGCCCGCCTCGGCCTTCCAAAGTGCTGGGATTACAGGCATGAGTCACTACGTCTGGCCTGAAGTTGCCCACTTTTATGCTTAGGTTCTGCAAAGGATAGACAGCTATTTAAAAATATGATTAAATAAAAAGACCATGATCAAATGTTCGTAGACTGGGTGGGGGAATCCAGCAAGGCCTCTCTGTCTAGATTCTTCTCAGCCTCTATGAATATGCATTTCTTCCTTCTAGGTGCAGGGCAGGGCTCTCTCTGAAATGGGGATCTTAAGACCCACAGTCAAACAAGGAATGTCAGGTAATTTATTCACGTCCAGTTCTTATAAACAAAGGAAAAATTCGAGTAATATTTTTATGTTTTATGACTGGCTTTGAAGAAAAGGGGTTCTGGTTTCTATGACTTGCCTTGGGGAAGAGGAATTCCCTCTTTATGGATAGACTCGGAGGAGAATGGGAAAGACGGACAGGAGGGCAGGAGAAGAGCAAAGAGAAATTTGTGCTTCTAAGGCCTTCCTTTTGGGGCACTGTTTCTGAGCTCCTACACTACACACCTCTATTATGTTGGCCTCCTACTTCCCAGAATTACTTCTTTGAGCCTTGGTTGTTTTCTTTTCTTTTCTTTACTTTTTTTTTTGAGATGGAGTTTTGCTCTTGTTGCCCAGGCTGGAGTGCAATGGCGTGATCTTGGCTCACTGCAACCTCCGCCTCCCGGGTTCGACCTCCCAAAGTGCTAGCTGGGATTACAGGCCAGAGCCAGCGCGCCTGGCTGATCCTAGCACTTTTACAAGCTCATGTCTTTCCTATAATTCCTCCCTTGGGATTTCCGAATGCGCAGTGCTTTCTGTACCCTTTGGAATTGAACATGCGCAATGTGTTTTGGGAGTTATACGCATGCCCATCTGAGACTTTCTTCCCTTTTCCAGTGGAGTGTATGGGAGATCGTACTTCGCCGTTTTTCTTTTTCTTTTTCTTTTTTTTTTTTTTTTTGAGACGGAGTCTCGCTCTGTGGCCCAGGCTGGAGGAAAGTGGCGGAATGTTAGCTCACTGCAACTTCCGCCTCCCGGGTTCAAGCAATTCTCCTGCCTCGGCCTCCCCAGTAGCTAGGATTACAGGTAGCGCGCACTACCACACTCAGCTAATTTTTGTATTTTTAGTAGAGACGGGTTTTCATCATGTTGGCCAGGCTGGTCTTGAACTCCTGACCTCGTGAACAGCCCGCCTCGGCCTCTCAAAGTGCTGGGATTACAGGCGTGAGCCACTGCACTCGGCCGATTTTAGGAGTTTTATAGGCTTCCTTCTTTCCTGTAATTCCTCCCTTAAAGTGGGCTTTCCGCATGCGCAGTGCTTTCTGTACGCTTTGGGATTGAACATGCGCAGTTGTGTTTTGGGAGTTATACGCATGCCCATCTGAGGCTTTCTTTCCTTTTCCGGTGCTGTATTTGTCTTTTTTTTTTTTTTTTGACGGAGTCTTGCTCTGGCCCAGTCTGGAGTACAGTGGCGGAATCTCAGCTCACTGCAACCTCCGCCTCCCGGGTTCAAGCAGTTCTCCTGCCTCAAGCGCGCGCCACTACAGCCAGCTAATTTTTGTAGTTTTAGTAGAGACGGGGTTTCATCATGTTGGCCAGGCTGGTCTTGAACTCAGGTGATCTGCCCGCCTCAGCCTCCCAAACAGCCAGGATTACAGGCGTGAGCCACCACGCCCCGCGGATCCTAGGACTTTTGTAAACTCGCCTCTTTCCCATAATTCCTCCCTTTGGGCGAGCTTTCCGCATGCGCAATGCTTTCTGTACGGTTTAGAATTGAACATGCGCAGTGTGTTTAGGGAGTTATACGCATGCCCAACTGAGGCTTTCTTCCTTTTCCGGTGGAGTATATGGGAGATCATACTAAGCAGTTTTTGTCTCTATGTTTTCTGAGACGGGGTCTTGCTCTGTGGTCCAGGCTGAAGTCCAGTGGCGGGATGGGGCGATGTCAGCTCACTGCAACCTCTGCCTCCCGGGTTCAAGCAATTCTGCCTCAGCCTCCCCAGTAGCTGGGATTACAGGCGCGCGCCACGACGCCAGGCTAATTTTTTGTATTTTTAGTAGAGACGGGGTTTCATCATATTGGCCAGGCTGGTCTTGAAATCCTGATCTCGTGTTCCGCCTGCCTCGTGATCCGCCCGCCTCGGAATACAGGCGTATTGGGAATACAGGCGTGAACCACCGCGCCCAACCGATCCTAGGACTTATATTAAGTTCGCCTCTTTGCGGTAGTTCCTCCCTTAACGGGGGCTTTCCGCATGCGCAGTGCTTTCTATACTCCTTTGGAACGGAGCATGCGCAGTGTGTTTAGGGAGTTACAGGCATGCCCGTATGAGGCATTCTTCCCTTTTCCAGTGGAGTGTATGGGAGATCATACTTCGACTTTCTTATTGCTCTTTTTTAGACGGGGTCTCATTCTGTATCCCAGGCTGGAGTATAGTGGCGGTATCTCGGCTCCCTGCAACCTCCGGCTCTCGGGTTCAAGCAATTCTCCTGCCTCAGCCTCCCCAGTAGCTGGGATTACAGTCACGCGCCACCACACAGTTAATTTTTGTATTTTTAGTAGAGACGGGGTTTCATCATGTTGGCCAGGCTGGTTTGAACTCCTGACCTCGTGATCCGCCTGCCTAAGCCTCCCAGAGTGCTGGGATTACAGGCGTTGAGCCACCACGTCGGCGGATCCTAGGACTTTTTTTTTTATAAGCTTGCCTCTTTCCTGTAATTCCTCCCTTAGCGTGGGGCTTCCACATGCGCAGTGCTTTCTGTATCCTTTGGAATTGAACATGCGCAGTGTGTTTAGGGAGTTATATGCATGCCCATCTGAGGCTTTCTTCCCTTCTCTGGTGGAGTGTATGGGAGATCATACTTCGCCATTTTCGTCTTTTTTTTTTTTTTTTTTTTCGGACGGAGCCTCTCTCTGTGGCCCAGGCTGGATTACAGTGACGGGATCTCAGCTTACTGCAACCTCTGCCTCCCGAGTTCAAGCAATTCTCCTGCCTCAGCCCCCCTAGTAGCTGGGATTACAGGCGTGCGCCACCACGCCAGGCTAATTTTTTGTGTTTTTGGTAGAGACGGGGGTTTCACCATGTTGGTAAGGCTAGTTTCGAACTCCCGAACTCAAGTGATCCTCCCGCCTTGGCCTCCCAAAGGCCATTTTTGTCTGTTAACACGCATGCCCAGGAAATTGCTTCTCCTTGGCGCCTGCGTTCAATTAAAATTTTAATGTTAACAGGTGTGGACCATCAGGAAATGGCGTCTTCCTCGCGCTGCTGAATTATTTTTAGAGAGGCAATGTGGTAATTGCCGAACCAACACCTGACATTTCCAATGGAGGGTCGGAGAGCCCTCTCCTGTCCTGCTCTCATGCCTAACTACCTTTAACAGTTTAACACTCTGCTGTCTCCATTTTCAAATTCTTAATAAATATTTAACAAGGAGCCCCCACGTTTCCATTTACTGCAAATTATTTAATTGGTCCTAGATACAAGGAAAGACACATTACAATGAAGCCAGTTGAAAATTGGAATTTCTTATGCCTGCGTATAGCACTTGATAGAATTACAAACCGTGTCTCCATAGATTAACTCGGTAGTATTTTACATGAACCTTGTGAAATGGATATTTTCATATCCAGCATTCAGATGAAGAAATTAGGCCTAGGAGCGCTTGAGTGACATTCCCAAGGAGCGCAAAACAAGCTGGTGGTAAAGCGTAGAGCCTTTTTCCTACAAGAAGTAATGGTTGGGTAATTTACAGATTCTTGGGTCCTTCTGAATTAGACCCTCCAAAAGAGAAACTCGGGAATTAGCATTTAAAATAAGCATCCCATGTGTTTTTCTTTTTTAATCATCAATGAAGTTTGGAAAATTTTGGTTTACAGTAATTACTAAACTCATTCGTTCCCAAGTTGACTGCAGAACTTCTTTAAAAATTCATATTTCAAGGCTTTGCTCTGAGATGCTGAATCTGCATCCCTAAGGCAAGGGAAACTTTTCAATCCATTGTGCAGGCCATCTGGATGTTCTTCCTGGGTTTGAAAGTACTGACATCGATGATTGATTTGGACTCTGGCCTGTGAATCACTCAGTGACAGCCATCTACCCCTATTCTTTCTGATCATAAAGACTTACAATTTGTCTCCGGGCAACTGGCCTCTGGATGGTCTCCTAAAAAAGACAAAGATAGAGTCCATATGCTCGTGGAAAAATTTATCATCCTAAAGATCAAGAAAAGGGTAGAAGCAGTGAGATCTGTTGATGCCCTTCTTTTCAGAATCTTATATTCTTTATGCTAACCCTTTCTACAAAGCTGGATGCAAGACAAGTAACTATTTCACTTTTTTTTTTTTTTTTGGGAGACATTCTCGCGATGTTGCCAGGCTGGAGTGCAGGGGTGCGATCTTGGCTTACTGCAACCTCCACCACCTGGGTTCAAGTGATTCTCCTGCCTCAGCCTCCCGAGTAGATGGGACTATAGCCACCACGCCCGGCTAATTTTTTGTATTTTTAGTAGAGACGGGGTTTCACCATGTTGGCCAGGATGGTCTTGAACTCCTGACCTCATGATCTGCCCCCGTCGGCCTCCCAAAGTGCTGGGATTACAGGCGCGAGCCACCTTACCCTGCCTCTATCTCACTTTTGAAGATCCCAAGTTGGCCAACTTTTACAGACAAAAGAGGGATCTAATTCCTTACGGTCTTCCAGGACTCCAGGGAAGGGGAATATAAGGAATTAACAGGGATGTTCTGAAACAGTCAGCTTCCCCAAAGGAAGGACAATAGGAAAGACTGAAGCAAATAGGACATAGAAAAGACAATAGCAAATGTCTGAAGGCAACCTATCTCCAACCTGGGGATCAGGTTAAAATGCAGATTCTGGCTTAGCAGGCCTGGAATGGGACCAAGATACTAAATTTCTAACATGCTTCCAGGGTGCTTAAGCTGCTGGTGCACAAATCACCCCTAGAAGAATGAGATCTTAAACCATTTCATCTTAAGATGACTGACAAGTCCCTGGCAGGGAATGGGGGGTAAAAAAAAAATCTCAAACATTCCTCTTGTCCAGATAATAAATTCCATGTCATTTGTAATATTAAAACACTATATAACCTTAATGCATAGTAGCCCATCCTGTTAGCACCTACACATACAGTCCTGATTAGCTGTGTGAATAACAACTACTGTTTATTTTAAAATATTCTTAACATGCATGGAAACAAAATGAAGCATCAAGAAAAACAATCCCTGCACTAATTCTTCATGATTCTTTGGTCTCATGGTCTGGAGTTTGGGGAACAAACATTTCAAAAGACAAAAGAAAATCTCCATGTATATATGGGAAGAAGTTGTGGGGAATAGGGAGAAAGACTCGAGGTAGAGGCTGAAGTGAAGTTTGCTCTCATAATTTATTTTTATCTAGACCGTCTGGTTAATTGTCTCTCAGATGGACATGCTTGGATCTAAGCCTGGAAAGAAGTCAGCTTTGAAGGTCCTGACTCCCAGGGTGATGGTAAGAATTATGCGGCTAGAGTAAGTAAAGTGCCTTAGCTTATTAATTCATTCTTTGAACATTCAACCAGTATTTACTGAGTGCCTATTACGTGCTAAGTAGTAGCACACAGCAAATAAGGCAGATGAAATTCTTGCCTTCATGGAACTTAAAGTCTAGCAGGGTAGACAGACATAAATCAATGAAACGGGTGAATGAGCAGGATAATGTGGGTGTAGTGGGCATCCTACTCAGAGCCTCTTGGTTGGTGTATTCTTCCCCCAGTTTTGCCCAACAGCTCACATTTATATCCTTGTGCAAAGGTGTGCCGTTGGACAATTGGGGTTGCCTCAAAGTTTTTGTCCTGGACTCCAGGCAGCCCTCAGTTGAGTGACTCACTGATGCAAGAATACAACAGACAAGCTCCCTTTCACAAGGCAGGACAGACTCTGTGGAGCCCTTTATGCGCCAGAGCTCCCAGAAGGAGAAAGGAGGCTGGACGTCATCTGAACTACATCTTTGCCTGGCTTTTCTCATGTCCTGTCCTACCTCCCTCAGCCCCTTATGGGTTTCTGTTGAGAGCATTCCCTTAGTAAGCCAATTAATTGCACAAGAATCCTCAGGCTCTACTTCTAGAGAATCCGATCTGAGATACAAAATAATTCCGGATAGTGATTAGGGATATAAGGAAATAAAACAAGGGAGGTGTGACTTCAGATGACCAGGGAAGAAGATCAGGGGTCAAGGATGACCATTTGAAGGAGGAGGCATTTGAGCTGAGAGCTGAATGAGATCTGAGTGGCAAGGGAGACCTGGGGGAGAAGCAATTCAGGCAGAGAGAATCGCTAGTATAGAGACCTCTGGAAGAAATGAACTGGGCATGTTTGAAGGCCTAGAAGACAGCCAGAGCATGAAGTGCAATAGATGATGGGAGGAGGGAAGGAGACATGGTCAGAGGGGCAGCAACAGTGCCCTACTTTGTGAGCTTGGGAAAGGATTTAGATTGCATTCCAAATGTGATAAGGAGCCGTTGTAAGGGGGTGAGACCTGACTGGGTTTTAATAAGGTCACTCTGGATGCTCTCTGGGGCATAGATTATAATTCATTGCCTGGAAATAATAGTTGCTAAATAAATAATAGCTCAATCAGCAGCTCAATTACCGCCTTTCAGAAGTGTCTCAGCAAAGATTCGTACATTAGGAAGTAAATTTGACATGACTGTCCAAGGGCTATTTGAAATAAATTACAGTTCCCTGATTCAGTGACCTCTCCTGCTAGTACTCCTGGTGCCACCTGACTCGTCTGCTAGGACTTTTTGTTATTATTGTGTTTCACTTTTTGGAAAAACTGAAAAGGCATAGATTTGAACACATCATTATTTCTTTGAAAGACTGTTTTGTTTTGTTGACTTTTAATATAGAAAGATGAGACAGTCTTTTGGAAACGGCATGCACCTGTCTTCTTAGAATGAGAGGCAGGAACCTACTACAGCAGAGAGTGTCTTTGAAAGTAGTAAAGTCCTGGCAGTGAGTGTGATAGATAAGGTCTTAGTATGGGTACTGGTGGTCTGAGTTCTAGTCTTGACTCTTACAGAACTGAGTGACTTTGGGGAAGTGATATGGTTTGTCTGTGTTCCCATCCAAATCTCAGCTTGAATTGTAATAATCCCCATGTGTCAAGGCTGGGGCCAGGTGGAGATAATTGAATCATGGGGGCAATTTTCCCCATACTGTTTTCACGGTAGTGAATAAGTCTCATGAAATCTGATGGTTTTATACATGAGAGTTCCCCTGCACAAGCTCTCTTGCCTGCTGCCATGTAAGACGTGACTCTGCTCCTCTTTTGCCTTGTGCCGTGATTGTGAGTCCTCCGCAGCCATGTGGAACTGTGAGTCCATTAAACCTCTTTCTTTTATAAATTACCCAGTCTCAGGTATGTCTTTATTGGCAGTGTGAAAATGGACTAATACAGGAAGTGACTTGTCCTCTCTGGGCGTTCATAGCTGTCCCATGATGTTTGTTTCTCTCATGGACACCTTGTTACACCACTGTCCAGAAATGGGCTTTCTGCTTTGTTTAGTCCATTTCACTTTCCCTCCTAGGTGATGTGATTGGTAGATTCTTCTGTGATTTAGCATCAACAGAATAATTTGCAAAGCACCAATATTTGACACAACCAAACTGTCATGTAGTATGAGCTTCCTTTTTGCCTCTTTAAGCAAGCATTCAGTTTCCAGGCAACTGGCTCATCCTTGCTCTCTAACAAAAGATTATTGTTTTAAACAACTTCTATGGTGTTTTCTAACTCCAAAAAGAACATATTTATATTATACAAAAAATTGTAAAATCCAAGCAAGCCAAACACTGGTAAAAATAATGGCTACTTATCAAGCACTTCCTATGTGCCAGAAACTGAATTAAGCATATACTTATATAATTTCATTCTCACCACAGTATTACAAGATAGAGACCAGCATTATCTTCATTTTAGAGAAAAGGAAACAGGTTGACTGGGGTCAAATAGCTTGCTTAATTAGGCAGCTATTAGGTAACGAAACTAAGTTGAATGCATGTTATCCTACCTTAAAACTTGAGCTCTTAACCACTCAAACAGCATCCCACCACTTGGATGAATTATCATGAATATTTGTTACATAGTCTGCTATATTTTGTGGTATATGCAGTATGCATATGCATAAATGTGATTTTGTCCAATTTCATTACCCATTGCATATATCTCATTTCCAACCCAAGGCACAGATATGTATGTATGTATGTATGATCTCACATACACACACGCACAGTGAGATATAAACACCATGAGGACAAGGACCATGGCTGTCTTATTCAACCTCATAACCCTAGCACCTAGAACAGAGCACAAAATGCAGCAAGCTCTCAATGGATATTTGTTGAATAAATGCACTTAATAAACAGAAGCTCAGTCAGCATCTTTTACCTATAAATATATAAATGTTTTGTCATCTGCTTCTTCCCATGAAGCACAAATACAACGTTCACCATTTTAGCAATACCTCATTTTTAATGGCTACACATATTATAAAAGGTTATTTTTGGCTGGGCGTGGTGGCTCACGCCTGTAATCCCAGCACTTTGGGAGGCTGAGGTGGGCAGATCACAAGGTCAGGAGATCGAGACCATCCTGGCTAACATGGTGAAACCTCATCTCTACTAAAAATACAAAAAAATTAGCCGGGCATGGTGGTGGGTGCCTGTAGTCCCAGCTACTCGGGAGGCTGAGGCAGGAGAATGGCGTGAACCCAGGAGGCAGAGCTTGCAGTGAGCCAAGATCGTGCCACTGCCCTCCAGCCTGGGCGACAGAGCGAGACTCCATCCCCGCCCCCCAAAAAAAGGATATTTTCAGTCTTTGCTTTTTATTACACCCTGAGAGCTATCTTGAAACAATCTTTCCCTGGCTTCAGTAATGCTACTCTTTGATGGTTTTTCTGTGATCTTTCTAGTTACTTCAGTATCTTTTGCTGCCTTATCTTTCACCTTCCTCTCCAGCACTCCTATGCTGAAGTTTCTCAGGGCTTGGACCTGGGCACTTGTACACCCCACCCGCCTTCACTTCCTGGGTAAGACCATACGCACCTTCGTCTTCAGTCAAGACCCTACTGTCTGTATAATAGGCGCTCCATACCCATTATATAATTTGGATATATAAATTGCATCTCTCACTTACTCTTCACAATAGTGCTTTGAGGTAGGCACCATCAAACTTGGAAGCATAGAGAGGCTGCATGACTTTGCCAAAGTTACACAGCTGTGAAACAGAAGGGCTGGGATTTAAAGTCAAATATGTCTTATGAACAAAACAGAAGCTCTTTCCTCTATATTCTTCAGAGCGCCGAACACAGAACATCTCTTGCTTCTTAATCACTGGTAGTGGAAGCAGTAAATCCTACTTTTTAATCCCCAGGGACTATTTTTGTGAGCTATTTCTTCTGACTAAATATATTCTCTCTCATATTCTCCATTTCCCATCCTCTTTTCCCTTTCCTTCTAAGTCTTTCTCTTCCTTTTGTTTTTGCTTTTGCATCCCCAAACCTGACAATTAGAGATTGCCACTCAAACAGAATTTAGGTTTTCATGGAAATAGCATCTATGTTATAACTGAGTTTTGGCTGTCCAGCAAGACCCTGAACTTAAGCCAGTCAAATTGTTGTAGAACATTCTCAGCTAAAACCGGGTTATTGTCACATAACAACATATGACAGATTAAGAAGGAAATATATATATGATATATTATGATATATATGTGTATATACACATATATACATATATGATATATTATGATATATATGTATATATACATATATACACATATGATATATTATGATATATATGTATATATACACATATATACATATATGATATATGATACATATATGATAAATACATATTAAGATATACATGTGTATATATATCTTTTTAGAGATGGGGTCTCACTATGTTGCCCAGGCTGGTCTTGAACTCCTGGGCTCAAGTAATCCTCCCATCTTGGCCTCCCCAAGTTCTGGGACTACAGGCGTGAGCCACTGTGCTTGGCCTGGAAATAAAAATATTTTAATGCCAAATATGTTTTCTTGGCCATATCTTGCAACAGTCCTGCAAAGCTGACTGGTGGGGGCCGGAGGGGGGTGGATGGTGAAATCTACATTCTATGAGAATCCCCCTCCTTTTCTTTCCTTTTGCTGATCCAGGAGAGAATCTACTCTGATAAGAAACATTTGCAGGCTATTCTCTCTGAAGCCTGCTACCTGGAGGTTTCACCTGCATGATGAAACCTTGGTCTCCACAGCCCCTTATCATAACCCAGACATTCCTTTCTATTGATTGTAGGTCTTTAGATAATTATTTAACACTTTCACCCAATTGTCAATTAGAAAATCTTTAAATCTACCTACGACCGGGAAGCTCCCCACTTCCAGTTGTTCCATCTTTCCGGACGGAACCAATGTACATCTTCCATGTGATGATTGATTCCTTCTGTCTCCCTAAAATGTGTAAAGCCAAGCTGTATCCTGACCACCTTGGGCACAGGTTCTCAGGATCTCCTGAGGGCTGTGTCATGGGGCATTGGTCACTCACATTTGGCTCAGAAAAAAATCCCTTCAAACGATTTTATAGAGTTGGACTCTTTTTGTCAACAGTGGCAATTGCAAATTTTGAATTTTAAAGGTCGGTCTCACTGTAAAGGTGACATCTGAGTAATGCTCTGAAGGGGGCAAGGACATGGTCCACATGATTCCCCGGAGGAAAAGCATTTTGGAAAATAACAACCAATGATAACAACAGCAAGGTAGCCAGTAGAAATTTAAGTCAGAGATGGGATGGGGAGGAGGGCAGATTATTAGACACTGGGAGGTTGGTTCGGCTTTTCATCTGAATGCAATGAGGATCATAGGAAGGGTATGAGCAGAGACATCATGACTTACATTTCACAGGATCACCTGGCTGCTGTATAGATATCACACTTGAGAGGAGCACGGACAGAAGCCAGGAGTCCAGGGTGGAGGCTATTTTTCAAATCCAGGTGATGGATTGTGGTGATGTAGACCAAGGATGGAGAAGACCATGGATTCTGAATGCATTGTGAAGAAAGAACCAACAGGATCTACTGAAGAAGTGATTTGAGATATGACAGAAAGAGAGGAGCCAAGCATGCCTCCAATTTTGGCTGGAGAAATGGAAGAATGCTGTCAGCACTTAGCGAGACTGGCAACGAATAGATTTGGAGGTGCATGATTAAAAGTTTAGTTTTGGAAGACAAATTTTAAGTGTCCATTAGACATCAAGGACAGATGTTGAGCAGGCAGCTGACTATTTGGGTCAGAAGTGCAGGAGGGAATTCTAGGCTGGTGATAAAATCTGGGAGTTGTTAACTTCAAGATGATGTTTAAGGACATGAGGATGAGTGAACAAGGAAGTGAATATAGACTCAAAAGAGAAGTGCAAGAACAGAGCCCTGGGACCTTCCAAAGGTGGCAAGAAAATCGAGCGTGTGGTCCATGTGAAAAGGTGAGCAGGAAACAATATACCAGGCAGGGAGACCAGCACGTGAAAAGGCCCTGAAGTGGGGAAGAGCATGGTGTAAATCAAGTTTGTAAACCGATGGCTGGCAAGCTTCATCTGGCCCACTAACGTGTTTTGTTTGACTCTATAGGATTTTTTTCTAATAGAATTAGTTGTCAGTATTTGAAAATTGAGGCCAGGTGCGGTGGCTCACACCTGTAATCCCAGCACTTTGGGAGGCTGAGGCAGGCAGATCACCTGAAGTCAGGAGTTCAGGACTAGCCTGGCCAACATGGTGAAACCCTGTCTCTACTGAAAATACAAAAAATTAGCCGGGCATGGTGGCAGGCATCTGCAGTCTCAGCTACTTGGGAGGCTGAGGCAGGAGAATTGCTTGAACCTGGGAGATGGAGGTTACAGTGAGCTAAGATCACGCCACTGCACTCCGGCCTGGGCGACAGAGCAAGACAACATTTTTAAAATTTCAGATATCTTCTCTCTGTCTCTCTCTCTCTCTGTCTCAGACAGGGTCTTGCTCCGTTGCCCAGGCTAGAGTTCAGTGGCATGATCATAACTCACTGAAGCCTTGAACTGCTGTGCTCAAGTGATTCTTCTGTATCGGCCTCCCGAGGAGCTGGGACTGCAAGAATATGCCACCATGCTTGTTTTTTTTTTTTTTTTTTTTTTAGATACGGGGTCTCCCTATGTTGCTCAGGCTGGTCTCAAACTTGTAGGCCAAAGAGATCCTCCTGCCTTGGCTTCCCAAAGTGCTGGGATTATAGGTGTGAGTCACTGTGCGCAGCCTTTTTCTCTGAAATAATCAGTATAATATCTGACAATGCTGGGCTCACATTATTCACAGAGCTATGATTGGCCATTGCTAAGTAGCTCCTGCCATTTAGAAAGCATCTTGTGGTTTGCTGCAGGAGTCTTCCCAGTCCGTCTTATTGATGTGTAGTATCAGTTGAAAAAACTATGTCCCAAAGCCTACACATCGGAACTTCTATCTGTATGTGCCCCTCCTCGGGCCACCCAAGGACAAGATGTTGGTAAAAATGACATGATAAAGGCACCCTGTAACCTGGGTGTCAGGAGGCCTGGGGTCATGTGCTGGTTCTGTGAATTACCGTGCAGCCTTGAATTAGTTCTATAGTTAAGATGACCAGCTGCCCTGGCTGGCTTAGGACTTTGGGGTTTCCCAGGAAACGGGATTTTCTGGAAAATATCTAAAACGAAAACAGAGAAGGACCCAGACAAACAGACGAGCTGATCACCCACACTGTCCTCTCTCAGCTTTACACCCACCCAATCCTTAGTTTCTCAAAGTTTTAATGCCAGGCATCAAAACTCCTTGTGTCTTCCCTGAAAACACTGCTGACATGCTCTTTAAAACTGGTTGAAGATGAAACTCGCAATAGAAAATCAAGACTAAAATCTGAAATCAAGACTTGACAGCAATGAAAATGTATAGACAGACTCTGATGATCCTGGTATTATTATTATAGTTATAATAATGATAGATAAGATTAGTTGAACCTTTCCTACATGCCAGACGCTAAACTAAGCATTTTGCATGAATTATCTCACCTAACGCTCAGATTGGCCCCATGAGGTAGTGTTTCATCAGCTTGGGCTGCGGTAATGAAATATTATTAACTAGGTGGCTTATAAACAACAGAAGTTTATTTCTTACTGTTCTGGAGGTTGGAAGTCCGGTATCAGGGTGCCAGCATGGTTGAGCTCTGGTGGAGGCTGTCTTCTGGGTTGTGGACCACTGACCTCTCCCTGTGTCCTCACATGGCAGAGAGCAGAGAGAAGACGCAAGTTCTCTTTTGACTCTTATAAGGCACAAATCCCATTTGTCGAGGCCCCACCCTCATGATCTCATCTACTTCTAATTACCTCCCAAAGGTCCCACCTCCTAGTACCATCACATCACGGGTAGGATTTGATGGGAGAGACACTAACATTCACTCCATAAGAGCTGGCAACTATTGTTATCCCCCACAGCGGTGAAGTTGGGTCTAGTTGTGAAAGGTTCTAAAGACAGAGTCAGGATTCAAACCCAGGTCTGTATGTCTACAAACAGTGTCAGCTCTGTTTTTGCCATTCTGAATTGCTCCTCCCTTGACCAGGTGCGGTGGCTCATGCCTGTAATCTCAGCACTTTGGGTGGCTAAGGTAGGCGGATTGCTTGAGCTCAGGAGTTTGAGCCCAGCCTGGGCAACATGGTAAAACCCCGTCTCTACAAAAAAGTACAAAAACTTAGCCGGGTGTCATGGCACACACCTGTAGTCCCAGCTTCTTGGGAGGCTGAGGTGGGAGGATGGCTTGAATCCAGAAGGCAGAGATTGCAGTGAGCCGAGATCCTGTCGCTGCACTCCAGCCTGGGCGACAGAGCCAGACCTTGTCTCATTCAATCAATCAATAAATGTGTTGCTCCTCTCCTATGAGTGTCGAAAATCCAAACATATTTGTTTTTGTGGCTGATAATTGCTTGGATTGATTGCCTGATGAACACAGTACTTAGTCCCCAAATCCCCCAGGTCCAAATTCCCTCACAAAGACCTTTCTGTGTCTGAGAAGTCAGGGCCCAGCCAGCCCAGATGACAAGCCACCTCATTCTACTGCATTCTAGTTAACTTGTGTTATCATGAGTGGCTTAATATCCTGGCAACAGTAACCCTGGCTTTTCTTATTTTCCCTTTGTCTTCTGAAATTTGCAACCAAATGAGAAGCTGTTGGGGCTTATTATCCAACCTCCCCTCAGCTACAAAGAAGAGACAGGGATCAGAGTGAGCCCACGTGATGGCAGCTACTCCCTTTAACCGGATGCAGATTTAAAGAGGCCTCTGTGTGACACAGGCAATGAGAGCCTGGTGTTTTCTGTTGGGCCTATGCAATGTGCTTCCCTTCTCCCGTGGTCCTTCAGTCCAGGAGAAGGAAACTGCTTCCTGCTCCCTGAAACTTGAGCTATGAAGTAGTTCCAATGATGCTGAGTCCAGGGATCAGCTTCTGAGCTATTTTGTGGGAGTCATTTGACAACTTACACAGAAGCCAAAGTCATGTGCAAGCCTAACCAGAGATGCAGAGGCTTAAGAGTCCATCCTCGTTTTTGGGATTCTGACATCCCTGGAGACCCAGGAACTCTGATTCAAACCCCTCTAGTGAAAAATGTGCCCTGGATGGTTTCTACCTATTGGTGCTATCTGGATGCACCTCTCATTTACCCTTGGCCTTGGGTCTTTGAAGCAGGCCCATGCCTGGCTCCAAATTTTCCTTCCATCACTTGATTCTCATTCACGCATCAAGAAATGTCACGTTTTCAGGGAAGCCATTCCCAATTCTTACACTATGTGAAATCCTTTTCTTGCAGGATAACACACTATAATTACTTCTTAATACCCTTCCCAAATGTAATTTGTTTAATGTCTCTCTCTTAGTAGCCTAGAAAATTCTATCAAAGAATACTTTTCAAAAAGTGAAAACCATGACTCCTGTGCAAATATAAATTGAACACATGCCAAGATTTTATTTCACTCTTTAATGAAAGAATCAGTACAATGGTAAAACTTGCTCAAAGAGCAGTTCGAAGAACTGGGTATTTATAGGCATTTTGTAAAGAAGAACTTTAGGACAAGATTGCTAGGTTAGATACAAAACTGGGCAATGTCCTACAGAGAAATAAAAGTGTACCTGTAGAGCCGTCTTTTCTACTTCATAGGAATTTACAAGAAGAAACATAACTTCATAGTATTTGGTTTCTAATGATAGACTAAATAGCAAAGCCAATGCAGATACTTTTTCTAAGAGAATTAAATAATCCTCGAGTGAACAGGCCTATTAGGCAATGGCCTGGCATGATATCGAGCGTCATGCTGTGTTTTTTGGCCTTATTTCTAAATTTTGCATTTTTTTTTTTTTTTTGAGACAGAGTTTCACTCTTGTTGCCCAGGCCGGAGTGCACTGGTGCGAGCTCGGCTCACCACAACCTCCACCTCCCGGGTTCAAGCCATTCTCCTGCCTCAGCCTCCCTAGTAGCTGGGATTAAAGGCGCATGCCACCACGCCTGCCTTATTTTGTATTTTTGGTAGAGACGGGGTTTCTCCATGTTGGTCAGACTGGTCTCGAACTCCCGACCTCAGGTGATCCGTCCGCCTCGGCCTCCCAAAGTGCTGGGATTACAGGCGTGAGCCACTGCCCCTGGCCAATTTTGGATAATTTTTTTTTTTTATAGCTCATATTGTTCCAGGTAGATGGGCAGAGGGGTTCTCCCCACACTCACTAGGAGTGTCAGGTCATGGTTCGATGATGATCACACCGCCTGTCTAAAAATGATAATTCAGAAGCCCACTGAGGGTGCCAGGGAAAGGCCATTTCCTGATGATCCACAGCTATTAACATTAAAGTGTTAATTGAACGCAGATGCTGGGGAGGAAAACATCCGGGACATACACACTAAGAGAGAAAATGGTGAACTATGACCTTCCAGTGACGCTCCACCAGAAAAAGAGAACTTCAGATGGGCATATGTACAACTTCCTAAACACACTGCATGTGCTCAGTTCCTGAGGGTAAGGAGGACACTGTGCAGGAGGGAAGCCCACCCTCAGGAAAGAATCATGGGAAAGAGGCGAGCTTATGAAGTCCGAGTATCAAGGGTAGACATGCTTCTTTTCTGTTTAACCTTCATGTGCCCGCTTGGGTCTCTTCCAAGTGCACCTTCCTTTCTTTCTTGTTCTAAAGCCTTTTTAAATACACTTCTATTCCTGCTCTGAAACTTGCCTCGGTCTCTTTTTCTGCTTTATGTCCCTCAGTTGAATTCTTTCTTCTGAGGATGGACGGACTGAAGTTGCTGCACATCCGCATGGATATGCTGCTGGTAACTCAGGGTAACTTGGATCTCGTCCACCACTAATCACGTGGTCAGCGTCTTTTCTAAGATGTGGCTCTAGCATCTGACCCGGTGCTTGGCATAGAACTTTTGCTATGGTCAGGATCTGGTAGAGAAGTTGTCAACTAGTTACTGAAATCAAAGAATACTATGAAGCAAATGAACTTGAAGCCCATTTTTTTTTTATATTGAATTGAATGGATCAGGTGTGAGTCAGGTTTATTTTCTTTTATGTATGACATACCGTTAAGATCTCCCCCTTTGAACTTTGTTTTCTCCTTATACCAATACATGGTGCTGTTTTCAACACCTCTCCATCTCTCCAAAACCAAGTGGGTTTCCTGCAATGCAGTTCACTTCTGACACTAACCTCCTGGCATCAGTGTCAGACTCCACGTGGAGTGGAGGTTTCAGGGCGTGGTCCCAGAAACTGCCCCTACTTCAGACACCAGTTGCAAGTATCAGGACTCCAGTTACACACACTTCTGTCCAACTACAAATTCAGAGGTTCCCTCAACCCCTCATCGGGTTTGAAAATTTGCTAGAACAACTCACACAAAGTAAGACAATATTTTACTTACTATTGCCAGTTTATTATAAAAGATACAACTTGCTGGGTGCAGTGACTCATGCCTGTAATCCCAGCACTTTGGATGGCCGAGGGGGGCGGATCACGAGGTCAGGAGATCGAGACCATCCTGGCTAACATGGTGAAACCCCATCTCTACTAAAAAAAAAAAAAAAAAATTTGCTGGGTGTTGTGATGTGTGCCTGTAGTCCCAGCTACTCAGGAGGCTAAGGCAGGATAATCACTTGAACCTGGGAGGCAGAGGTATAGTGAGCCGAGATCGCACCACTGCACTCCAGCTTGGGCAACAGAGTAAGATTCCATCTCAAAAAAAAAAAAAAAAAAAAAAAAAAAGATACAATGCAGGAACAGACAAATGGAAGAGATGCATAGGACAGGGTATGCAGGCGGGGGCACAGAGCCTCCACACTCTCCCCAGGTGTGCCACCCGCCCAGCACCTGAATGTGTTACCCATCAAGAAGCTCTCCAATGGTGGAGCGCGGTGGCTCACGCCTGTAATCCCAGCACTTTGGGAGGCTGAGGAGAGGGGATCACCTGAAGTCAGGAGTTCAAGACCAGCCTGGCACACATGGCAAAACCCCATCTCTACTAAAAATACAAAATTAGCCGGACATGGTGGTGCACACATGTAATCCTAGCTACTCAGGAGGCTGATGCAGGAGAATCACTTGAACCCGGGAGGTGGAGGTTGCAGTCAGCCAAGATCAGACCACGGCACTCCAGCCTGTGTGACAGAACAAGACTCCGTCTCAAAAAAAAAAAAAAGGAAAAGAAAAAAAAAAGAAGCTGTCCGAACCTTGCGGTTGAAGAGTTCTAGTGGAGGTCTCCTTATGTAGGCATGATGATTAAATCATTGGCCATCGGGGATTAATTCAATGTCAGTGCCTCTCCCCTCCCTGGGAGTTGGAGCCTGAGGCTGAACGTTCCAAACTTCCAATTATTAAGGTTGGTGCAGGAGTAATAGCTATTTTCGCCAATAAAAGTAATGGACTAGCCTCGCCCTAAAGCTGTCTGGGAACTCATCAATAGTCTCCTCGTTGGAAGCAAAGATGCTACTATCATCAACCTAAAAGGGTTTTAGGAGCTCTGTGCCACAGAGCTTGTTCATGATAAACTTTGGAGGCTTCACCATTAAACTGGTGCCTACTCCCTCACTAGTAGTGCTCTGTCTTCTGGATACACTATAGTTTAATGCTGTAGAAATCAGCATTAAACAATGCAGTAAAGCTTTTCTCTTCTTATTTGTGACCTCGTAGTTTCTATTGGTATGGCCGACTAAGATAGTATAACAAATATTTGTCATTTTTATCTACTCAATGACCATTGTTCCTTCTCCTGGCAGCAAATGCTGCATTTTCCTCTGGGGAACCACATCTCCTCTATTTTCAGTCCATATGATTCAGGAAGGTGGTTTTTGTTTTGTTTTGTTTTGTTTTGTTTTTGATGGACTCTCGCTCTGTCACCAGGCTGGAGTGCAGTGGTGCAATCTCGGCTCACTGCAACTTCTGCTTCCTGGGTTCAAGCGATTCTCGTGCCTCAGGCTCCCGAGTAGCTGGCATTACAGGCACGCGCCACCACACCCAGCTGATTTTTGTGTTTTTAGTAGAGACGTGGTTTCACCATGTTGGCCAGGATAGACCTCATGACCTGCCCGTCTCGGACTCCCAAAGTGTTGGGATTACATGACTGAGGCACCGAGCCCAGCCCCAGGAGGGTTATATTCCATTCTCACCTTCAGCAGTAGCCAAGAATTCAGGCAAAGATTATCACAGCACAATATCCCCAAAGACTCCTAGATTTAGGGTTGGGCATGTGATTTGACTTGGGCCTATCAAAGCCTTGCGTAGGACTTTTGCTGGTGCTACCAAGAAACAGCTTTTGTTCTTTCGTATAGGGATACTCTGCTTTTAATAACGTAAATCTGAAGGGTTTGGTGGCCACCTTTGCTGTCTAGTGGCTTGAGAATGAGGCTATTGAATGCTGGCTCCTCAAAACAACCTGCTGATAAGACAACGTTGAGTTGAGTTTTACCACGAGAAGAAAGAGCACTATCTTGATAGAGTTGTAGTAGCATCTCAGAGGAGGAAGGACAAAATAGATATATTTATTGAGATTTTGGAGTCTGATGTAAGGTGGGACTTTGATGTAATGACTTAGAATTGGTAAGGATTGCAATATAATAGTTAAGGATTGGTACACACAGGGAAATGAGAGATGTGAGATGAGCAATTCTAAGACTCTTGGCTATAAATTATTGTTTAATGCTGTCAGTTGGAGAATTGATAGGTCTTTCATAAAGTTCCTTGAATGAACAATAAAGCTGTTTGCAACTTTGATCTTGCTGGGCAAGAGTTTCCTGGAACAGTAAAATTATGTTGATGAAAACAGTAGAATAGTAAGTTCATGTTAAGGTAGGCAGTAAGCTGTAAGTGTAGATAACTTTAGTACTTAAAGTCAATATAGTGGAAAGCAGACAGAAGAAAGAAATAGACTCCTGTTGGCATCATTTGAATTTCTGAATCCAGACTTACTGTAGCCAGAATGAGGGAGACTGAATCACTCCTTCTCTAGTACACAAAGTGTATTAGAATTACACATTGGTCGGGAATAGTGGCTGTAAGCCCAGCACTTTGGGAGGCCATAAGCCCAGCACTTTGGGAGGCCTGTAAGCCCAGCACTTTGGGAGGCCGAGGCGGGCGGATCACCTGGGGTCAGGAGTTCAAGACCAGCCTGGCCAACATGGTGAAACCCTGTCTCTACTAAAAACACAAAAATTAGTCAGGCATGGTGATGGGCGACTGTAACCCCAGCTACTTGGGAGGCTGAGGCAGGAGAATTGCTTGAACCCGGGAGGTGGAGGTTGCACTGAGCCAAGATCGTGCTGCTGCACTCCAGCCTGGGCAACCAGCACGAAACCCTGTCTCAGAAAAAAAGAATTACATATTGGTCGGGCATGGTGGCTCACGCCTAGCACTTTGCGAAGCTGAGGCAGGCAGATCACCTGAGGTCGGAGTTCAAGACCAGCCTGGCCAATATGGTAAAGCCCTGTCTCTACTAAAAATGCAAAAAAATTAGTCAGACATGGTAGCATGTGCCTGTAGTCCCGGCTACTTGGGAGGCTGAGACAGAAGAATGGCTTGAATTCAGGAGGCAGAGGCTGCAGTGAGCTGAGATCACACCACTGCACTCCAGCCTGGGCAATAGAGTGAGACTCCATCTTAAAAAAAAAAAAAAAAAAAGGAATTACACATCTGTGATCTTTTCCATGCAACCACAATACCTCCTAATAAATAGGATGGATTTTAATTCTGAACTCCACTGATGTGGTCCCAGTCACAAGATTCGTTGTGGCCAACAGGATGTGAGCAGTAGTGAGGTTTGCTAGTTCCAAGCAGAGAACCTAAAGCATTTACATTTCCATTTGCCCTTTTATCTCCTGTGATTAGCCATGAAATGACCCTACCCAAGTTGCCACTGTCTCTCTGGATGGGAGCCAGACTGAAGACCCAGGGAGCACTCAGAAGCAACCAGAAGTCCTGAGTCCAGCTTGGTCCAGCCAAGCCAAGGTGCCCCATGGACCCAAATGTTTGTTCTTGAGAGCCACTGAGATTTGGAGGTTGGTTGATACATATTAAAACATGACTAATATTTAGAGTTCACTACTGGTCTTTTTAGGTATATGATCCAATAAGTTCTCCATATTACTTTAATCAATTTGATTTGGATTTCTCTCATTTATTAACTGAAAGAGTTTTCTCTATTGGTGTCTTTTTATGGCATTGTATTGCTTTTGGCTCGCACAAGCCTCCAACACATCCCAGGTCTTTCTCATGGGAACCACAGCCAAGCCAGATCTTCTCCATTCTCTACTTGAGCAATTGATTTTTAAAAAGGTAATATTTATCCTGGTTAATGCTCATCTTTTGGCTTGTGCCCAATGTTTCAGTCTAGTGAGATCTTTCTGAATTAGATTCCTTCATTTTGAATATTAGCTGTTCCATTCCGAATTTTGTCAAATACAGATTGGATCAGCATGACCACTAGAGCCTCCACCAAGCCCTTAATTGATATAATGATCCTGTGGCATCACACTAAAGACTCACTTCCAGGCTGACCCCCAAGAACACAAATTATCATTACTCAGGCAGATGTTCTAGATGAAGGCCCACAAGACAAATATCTTTCAGTCCACGTTTTGCCATCATAATGATCTCAGATAAATCAAGAGATATTATAAAGGAGTGGCCTGAAGCTAACTATGTCCTAATAATGTTTTCTAAATTTTTCAGCAAAGGGGCAATCCACTTTTCAAGTCAGTAGGAGGGAATTAGTATCTGTCCTGCCAAAAACAAACAAACAAAAGACAAGACACCTGCCCAGTTCTTGAGTTCTAGGTCTGCACATAATGTCAACCATTGACCTTAAGTGAGTCACTTACAGATCTCCTCCAGATCTGTAAAGACTTCTTCAAACCCAAAGAGAAAGGCAGTTGTAAGCTTTTATTCCATGCACCTTTGCTTCCTAGATTGATTCTGCACATTTTAAAAACTGGGGGAACAAACTTCATATCAAAATTTCTGTAATACACTCATTAACCTATGGATTATTTCATTGCATTGCAATTTTCTATTCAGTTGTATATTTGCTCTACTTGTCCCTGGGCTTTTTGAGAGCAAGGATTAAGTTGATGTTGTCATCAAAACACCTGACATTGTTTCTGACACATAGTAGGTACTCAGTACGTATTTGTTTGGTTGAATTAATAGAACTCATTCTGAAGCCATGGTATGTGTGTGTGTGTGTGTGTGTGTTTATGTGTGTGTGTTTTGTTGGAACAGCTAGTTCATCATTAGCCTGAAGCATTGGCTAATGTTAAATTTAAATTAAAATATGCTCTTGGGTGACTACATCTTCAATTTCATGGTTGATTCCTTTGTGATTGACTTGTTAAACTAAACAAGGAGTTGCAAACTAAAATACCTGGAGGGGCCAGGAAGGAAACAGAATAAATAAGTATGGCTAGGCAAAACTGGAAAATACTCAGCAGTTTCTCAGGAATGGATACTCTGCATTGCTAGATCTACTTTTTCAGAATTAAAAAAAATATATGATTTTAAAATGTGCTTTTAAAAATGTAAATATTCATGATTTTTAGATTTTTGTTTAGAGTTTTGAAACTCTGAAACATAATTTGTAAAACAGTATGTGGGCCAAATAAAATATACTCAGGCTAGATCCAACTCACAGGCCATCAATGCAAGAAAGAGAGCTCAATTTGTCACACGCAAAATGATATTTTAGTTTCCAATGAACATTTAATTTACAATGAACAACCTTGAGTAATATGAAATACCATGTTTATTGTTGAACAGTACAAGCTTAATTACATGGCTAGAGCAAGACTCTGTCTCAAAAACAAAACAGAACAAAACAAAAAACCTGAATGTAAGTATGGTGCAAAATTGAGGTGCCCTGGAAGTATTTGGGAAAAGTGCTATGGGAGCCAGAGAAAGAGGGATGAGCTTCTTCTTGGACAGTCAAATAAGGCCTTACAGGGGATGTGCCTTTGGGGCTTTGGATGATGACTTAGTATTCCCCAGAGAGGAAAGAAGGGAGGGACATTCCCAGCCCATAAAAGTGGGCGAAGGTTATGCACCTTTTGCATATGTGCTTTCCTCTGCTTGGCATGTCCTTTATCCTAAGTAAAATAACTCAGAAACAGCAAATCAAATACTACATGTTCTGACTTATAAGGGGAAGCTAAATAATGAGTACACATGGATACAAAGATGAAAATAACAGACACTGAGGACTCCAAAAGTGGGGAGGGTGGGAGTTGGCAAGGGTTGAAAAATTACCTACTGGGCACAATGTGTACTATTTGTGTGATGGTTTCAATAGAAATCCAAACCTCACCATTATGCAGTATACCCACGTAACAAACCTGCACTTGTACACCCATCAATCTAAAATAAAAATAAAATAATATAAAATTAAAATAAAATATAAGAACAAAATAAAATAATCTAAAATAAAAAATAAAATAGAAAATTAACAAAAGGTGCATAAATATGACAGAGAGTAGTATGTTTGAAATAGGGTAAGGTTAGAAGTGTTGGAGTGGCAGGTACATTGGGGAGAGAGTCAGGGAATTGGGAATAAGATGGGGACCTAGATTAAAGCTCAATTTGGAAACTTGCTAGGATAAAGAAATGGACCTCATTAACTGAGTGGCAGAGAATCCCAGAAAGCTACTAAGGGTGACATGGTCAGATCTGGGCTTCAGAGAAACCACATGGACATTGGTGGAGGCAGGAGAGGCAGGTGTGTATGCTCTTTCCTCTGCCTGCAATGTCCTTAGTGAAATAACTCACAAATAGCACATCAAATACTGCATGTTCTCTCTTATAAGTGGAAGCTAAACAAGGGACACCCGTGGACACAAAGACAGAAATAATAGACCCTGGGGGCTCCAAAAGTGGGAGAGTAGGAGTTGGTGAGGGTTGAAAAATTACCTACTGGGTACAATGTAAACTATTTTGGTAAAGGGTTCAATGGAAGCCCAAACCTCATCATTATGCAATATACATAAATGACATCGTCTTTGGGATCAGGCTTCCCTGGGCTGGGATCTCACCTCCACCATTGACCAGCATGTGGAACTTTGGGTGAGCCATTTCCTTTCCCTAAGCCCTGCTTCCTCCTCTGCAAGGTGAATATGATAATCCCATGTACCCCACTGATTTATTGTGAGGATTAAATAAATTAATCCATGTGATGTGATTAGAGTATCAGGATGTAGTTGAAGCTCAATCAATAACTATTCTTTCTAGAGTGCACGGGGGTAGAAAGTGGCTTAAGATTGAAGGCAGGATGCCAATTTTTATATATTTATTTAAGACAGAGTCTCACTCTGTTGCCCAGGCTGGGATGCAGTGGTATGACCTTGGCTCACTGCAACCTCTGCCTCCTGGGTTCAAGCAATTCTCGTGCCTCAGCCTCCCGAGTAGCTGAGATTACAGGTGCACACCAGCACACCTGGCTAATTTTTGTATTTTTAGTAGAGATGGGGTTTCACCATGTTGGCCAGGCTGGTCTTGGACTCCTGACCTCAAGTGATCCACCCACCCCAGCCTCCCAAAGTGCTGGGATTACAGGCATGAGTCACTGAACCCGGTCAAATTCTTATATTTTTTTTTTAGTAGAGACGGGGTTTCATGGTGTTGGTCAGGCTGGTCTCGAATGCCTGACCTCAAGTGATCCACCTGCCTTGGCCTTCCAAACTGCTGGGATTACAGATGTGAACCAGGGATGCCAGCTGAAAGGAGGTAATGAAACATGACAGGAACATGATCTGGCATAGTGATTGGGTGATGGACAGAAGATGAATTAGTTCCTACCTAAATTGAATTGACTCAGGAAGTTTAAATTCTCCAGACTCCTGGCAGCAAAATATCCAGTTCTCCAAATAGAGGAGCCACCTCTGGATTTCCTACCCCTTTGATGTCTAGACAGTCCCACGGAGGAAGAGTCCACCAGCTACAACCTCCTTGACAGTATGACCCCACCATGTGAGAGCATTTTGTTCGGAAAAAGTTAATTAAATGTGGATCCACCATAGGAAATTACATCTTAATCTCATTCTGCTTTCTGTTTCCCTATTCCTTTCCACAGTTTGATTTCTGTTCTGAGAAAGAGGGGTTACAAATGACCTGCTTGGAGACCCAATAACAATTTAATAGAGTGGAGATTCATTAAGACAGTGCTGATGGCGACTGAAGTATCTGGAAGAAAGAAATGGCCCAGAGGATTTCAATTCTCTACCAGTTTTCTGATCTCAATTTAGGAGGCAGAATTAAGTTCTGGAAAGCTCAGAACAGAACACAATAATGGAATGATTGGCTTTTAATCACTGGTAGAATCATGGGAAGTTGGTAGACTCCTAGCCTTATCATTTTATTTTCCATTTTAAAAGGAAGTTTCTGCGTTAGTAGCACACAGCCTGATGTGGATGCTATTTTGTTTCATTTAAAAAACATATTCGTGGCCAGGCATGGTGACTCACGCCTGTAATCCCAGCAACTCTGGGAGGCCGAGGCAGGCGGATCACCTGAGGTCAGGAGTTCAAGACCAGCCTGGCCAGCATGACGAAAACCCATCTCTACTAAAAATACAAAAATTAGCCTGGTGTGGTGGTGTGCACCTGTAATCCCAGCTACTCGGGAGGCTGAGGGAGGAAAATTGCTTGAACCTGGGAGGTGGAGGTTGTAATGAGCCGAAATCGGGCCATTGCACTCCAGCCTGGGTGAAAGAGTGAAACTCCATCTCAAAATAATAATAATAATAATAATAATAATAATAATAAATAATAATAAACATATTCAAAGATATTTTAAAAATATTAGCTATGTGCCATAACAGTGCCAGGTATTGGGAATACAAATCTAGACCAGGCATTCATGGAGCTTACTTTTAGGGAAATCCAGACAATCAAGAAAGTACTAGGCAAATTGTGACAATTACTAAAAAAAAATGAGCCAACTTCTTGCTTAGCTGAAGGAAATGGATCCCAATTTTAAACACAATTCTCAGAGTTGCTTGTCTTTTTTCCTGGATTGTAAGCACATGGAGCAGCCAGACAATTTCACATCCAACTCTGGCCATTTTTGAAGCTGACTTAGGTTGATTAAGAGCCATGAGTTGATGGCCCAAAGTTATTTCCTTTCTTATGCATCCAGGAAGTCAGTGCTCAGGAGAAGAAAAGAGAAACCTGGCCGGGCGCGGTGGCTCACCCCTGTAATCCCAGCACTTTGGGAGGCCAAGGCGGGCAGATCTCGAGGTCAGAAGGACACTAACTCAACATAATAAAGACCATATAAGAAAAGCCCACATCGGGCCCGGCACGGTGGCTCACGCCTGTAATCCCAGCACTTTGGGAGGCCAAGGTGGGTGGATCATGAGGTCAGGAGATCAAGACCATCCTGGCTAACACGGTGAAACCCCGTCTCTACTAAAAATACAAAAAATTAGCCAGGCGTGGTGGCGGGCCCCTGTAGTCCCAGCTACTCGGGAGGCTGAGGCAGGAGAATGGCGTGAACCCGGGAGGCGGAGCTTGCAGTGAGCCGAGATCGCTCCACTGCACTCCAGCCTGGCCAGATAGTGTCTGTACCACTGACTAGCTGGGTGATCTTTAACCTTTCCACGTCTCTGTTTCAAAACGTGATAATAGTAACTATTCCTCAGGGCTGTTACGAGAATTAAATAAGATGATGATGCATATGAAGTCTTAGCAAAGTGTCTGATACATATGACACACTTAAGAACATAATATTGCCGTTAAAAAGAGGCAGGAGTGTTATATTACTGAGCTGGTTTCTGAGCAGCAGCAACTGGCAGAAGAGGTAGTCGTTTCATACGCAGCTTGGCTAACTCCTAGCAATATGAGCCTGGGCAGTTCAATTCCCTTCTCTAAGCCCCGGGTTCCTCCTCTGTAAAGTAGGGATTAATGATGACTATCTTTCTGGGGCTGTAGTTAGAATATAAACAAATAAGCCAGACACGGTGCCTCACGCCTGTAATCCCAGCATTTTGGGAGGTCAAGGTGGGTGGATCATGAGGTCCGGAGTTCGAAAGCAGCCTGGATAAGATGGTGAAACCCCATCTCTAATTCAAAAAATGCAAAAATTAGCTGGGTGTGTTCCCGTGTGCCAGTAATCCCAGCTACTCAGGAGGCTGAGGCAGGAGAATCGCTTAAACCTTGGAGGCGGAGGTTGCAGTGAGCCGAGATCATGCTACTGCACTCTAACCTGGATGAAAGAGCAAGACTCCATCTCAAAAAAATAAAAAAGAATAAAAAAGAATATAAACAAATATATGTAAAACATCTAGCATAATAGCCAGTCCATATCATGGTCCTTGATACACGGTGTCATCATCATTATCATCATTCTTTGGATTGGTTATTGTTTTTGCTACTTGGCTGGCTTTTGTTATTTTGATCTATTGCAAGCTTTGTTGCCTGGAAGCAGAGCTTGCAACAGAAAATCTTATGCCCGTGTTTTATTAAGGGCATGCTCTCTGGACAAATGAGTAATGCATTAAGGGAAGCAGATGAGGCAGGACAGGAAGGGATGTAAAGAAGTGCTTTCAGGTGAAGTTTGGACTAAGCCTGATCACTTTGGAGCATGAATTATAGCACAGGGTTTGTCCTACCCAGAAGTCAGGTAGCTGCACTTAATATGCCCATATCCATCAGACACAGGTTATTGGCCACTCTCAGGAGAAGGACATAATTCCCCAGGCACAACTGGGTAGAAGGCTCCTATCAATAGCAAGTGATTCTACAGGGAAGAATGCAGTAGGGTCTATGGATCAGGAGCTGGAAGATGGATGCACTGGGTTTGTGTTGAGGATCTGGGCAAGGCACTGGCAGCATCTACTGCACTTTTTTTTTTTAAGCTGGAGTCTCGCTCTGTCGCCCAGGCTGGAGTGCAGTGGCGCGATCTCGGCTCACTGCAACCTCCGCCTCCCAAGTTCAAGTGATTCTCCTGCCTCAGCCTCTCAAGTAGCTGAGACAACAGGAGCTCGCTGCTACGCCTGGCTAATTTTTTGCATTTTTAGTAGAGACGGGTTTTCACCGTGTTGCCCAGGTTGGTGTCTAACTCCTGAGCTCAGGTGATCCACCCACCTTGACCTCCCAAAGTGCCGGGATTACAGGCGTGAGCCACCGTGCCCGGCTACTGCACTCTTTTAATGCAGTTTGATTTTCCCTTGGGAGACGCTTGCCTTACTTTCAACCACACCCCAACCCTGGAGGCTTGTGACCTGGGACCTGGACAAAGAGACTTTGTTCCAGTTTGTCCAAGCTTCAAGATATGAGAGAGGTGATGCATAGGTGGTCACCAAATTAGGAAACCATGTTGAAGAACAAATGTTGCCTATTAGAGGGACTCTTTTAAATGTTCAGGATGCTCACAGTCTTTGCCAACTTGAATGTCCTTGGAAGCTCCAGTCTGGCTGTAAGGAGGTGATGAGGAGTTCTGCGTGTTAGAGGCAATGAAGATTTGCCTGTCCACAGTCATTGGTTCAGGGATGATCATGTAACCTAATGAGAATCAGTGAGATACAAGGAAACTTTGCTAATAATATTGAGAAAGAGCTGCAAAGTCATTTCTGAAAGTATTGCTAGCAATTATTAGCCAGGGGGCAAACATGGATCCTGACACAGAAGCCAGCCAAACAGACAGCAGAGACAAGAGAAAGAGATAAATAAGAGGGTCCTCAAATAAGTCCCTGGATCAAGACGTGCCTGAAATTTACCCTTACACTTTCAATTTTTTTCTCTTTTGCTGAATTCATTGAGCTGAGAGTTTTGGGTACCTGCAACAGAGTCCTGACTGATATTATTTCTTTTCTTTTTTTTCTTTTTTTTTTGAGATGGAGTCTTGCTCTGTCACCCAGGCTGGAGTGCAGTGGCTCCATCTTGGCTCACTGCAACCTCCACCTCCCAGGTTCAAGTGATTCTCTTGCCTCAGCCTCCCAAGTAGCTGGGATTACAGGCGCCCACCACCACGCCCAGCTAATTTTTTATTTTTGGTAGAGACGGGGTTTCACCATGTTGGTCAGGCTATTCTCGTACTCCTGACCTCAGGCAATCTGCCTGCCTTGGCCTCCCAAAGTGCTAGGATTACAGAGTTGAGGCACTGCACCTGGCCTAATATTATTTCTATAATGAACTCAGAAGCACTACGTAAATTAGAAGCAGTCAATCAATTTATAGAATCATTGTTGTTATGTATATAGAGTCCTCTTTTGACTGAGTGAGCAGAGACATCCAAGCCAGGGTAGCTTTTCTAATTGGGTTTTTATTGTCTCAGATAGAGAAGTACATTAGGCAGCTCCAAGGACACTAAGGCTGCCCCTAGCTCTAAAGAAATGTTTTCCCAGCCAGCTTTCCATGACAGCAGAGGTCTGGGTTCTAGCAACGTGACCTTCAAACAAAATGGCCATTGAAAGGCTGACAGCCCAAACCATTCCAGAGCAAGGAATGAAATCACTGCTCAAGGAAAGGCAGGCAAAAGTGGAGTGGGGTAGACAAATCGACAGCATCTTTATGGACAGAAGCTGTTCATTAACAAAATAAAACCATTTTAATCCACACAAACACACTTACTGATAAGGTAAAATGCATTGGTCTTGGTTGTTATTAGCATTATGTAAAAGGTTTATTGTATTTTCATTTACATTTCTTACTCTTCTTAAGAAAACTTTATTTTCTATACTAACACAGTGTACACTTGTGATAGAGAGAGGTAGAGAAATTCTAGGCAGACAGGCAAGTTCCCAGCAAAACCCCATTTTCCAGCTGAAAACCCTGAAACCTGTGGCCCAAAGTGAGAAATTCCATCCCTGTGTAACTGCTCTCTCCCAATTGGTTCTTTCCAAATAATGTCTTCTCACCAATCAGATGTTGCCTTTTCCAAAACTACCTATGGCCTGCCCCACCCCCATCTTTTGCCTATAAAGACCCCAGACTCAGTTGGCAGAGAAAGAGAGAGAGAGAAAGAAAGAGAGAGAGAGAAAGAAAGAGAGAGAGAGAAGCAGCTGGACAGTGAAGAGAGACAACTTGACTTCAGAGGTGGTGGCTGGATCGGCAGAGAAGCAACTTGACTTCAAAGGAGAGCGACCTGCCCTTCCCGTCCCCTCTCCAGCTCCCCTGTCTTCTGAGAGCTGCTTTCATTGCTCAGTGAATTCTTGCATTCACCGTCCTTCAATTTGTCTGCATGACCTCATTCCTCCTGGGCACTAGACAAGAATTCAGGACACACCAAGTATGGATACCCAAAAAACCTTTCACACTGGCCCTTTGCCCTTGCTGACAGAGGGCAGCCACCCTACATGATGAGACAAAGGGCCCACTGAGCTGATCACACACTCCTGTCTGCAGACAGCAGAGCTGAAAGAGCATTGTAACTCACCCTCTGGGGCCTTGGGGTTGCAGGCACCCCTACCTGTATGCTGCTGTGGGACC
Organism: Homo sapiens; assembly: GCF_000001405.40. Classification (NCBI taxonomy): domain Eukaryota; kingdom Metazoa; phylum Chordata; class Mammalia; order Primates; family Hominidae; genus Homo; species Homo sapiens. The sequence continues at coordinate 13,579,247 of NC_000016.10, read as the reverse complement.
TGCACAGAGTTTGCTCCTGCCAGTGCTAAAGCAGTTGGCCAGTTCCTGTGCTTGTTCGCCTACGCACTCCCTCCCGTGAGGGGTTGAGTGGGGCAGGGTGAGTAAACAGGGCACCCCGTCACGAGTCCCGTGAAGAGGTTAAGAAAATATCCTGCATCAATTATGTTTCCCACTGGCCTCAAATTGCAAGATCTCAAAGCTTTACGCATGCAGTCACAAAAGAGACACCCACAAAAATCTGTGGACACACAAAAAAAGGTGTTTTAGTGAGCCATTAACACATTTCCATTAGAATGAGCTTAGTTTGTAGCCTTTCCAGACAAAAGAACATCTTTTCTGTGCATCAGTTTTAAAACGTTTATAATGCTTTTTCTCTTAGTTGAAGGATTTTTCCAGCTTAAGAATGGGGATGCCAAAGGCAATTTGGGAGGATGTTTGGAGAAATGAGAAGTCCAAAGCCACAAGGGGAAGACTTTTGAGGAGGGACAGCCAAAACCAGTGGAGTGATAGATAAGAAGCCTAGCCAAGAAATGACAGGAAGGAAAAAGGAACCTGTGGGTGAGACAGTGTAGAGAGAAGGGGAGGAACAAAAGGGTGAATATGGATTCCAGTTATGTGGGGCCTGCCTGCCTGGCTGATTGGAGCAAACTGGCTGACCATGGCCAGCATGTGGTACTCCAGGCTGGGGCTGGTGTGGCCAAGATATATATTAATAATTTCTTCCCCCAGCATTTTCCAAAGTGCAGTTCAGGGACCCCCTACCTTAGCATGTTCTTAGACCTTACCTACTGCCACTTAATCAGCATCTCTGTGCCTGGAACTGGGGTTTGGATTTTTTTTTACAACTTTATTGAGGTGTAATTTACATATAGTAACTTTGCATATTTGAAGTATACAATTTAGTGTTTTTGGACAGTATCATTATTATCATGCACCTGTAAACTTATTGCCACAATCAAGATCATGAGCATATGCAGAACTCTCAAAAGTTGCCTTGTGTCCTATCCTCAGAAAACTATGAATCTGCTCTCTCTGTATCAGTTCATAATTTCCTAGAATGTTGTGTACATAGATTAATATAACATTAACATGTACTCTATTGTCTGATTTGTTTCAATTAGCATAGTTATGGTTAGCATCTATTGAAATTCGCATACATTATTGTATGTTATAACAGTGGATAAACTTTTTTGCTGAGGTGTCTCCCATGTTATGGACACACTGCACTTTGTGGTGCACTCTGAGCTCTGAGCACTCCGAGCTCTCCTTTAGCTGTATTCCACAAAATTTGATATGTTTTATTTTGTTTGATTCAGTTCAAAATACTCTGCTCTCTCTGTATCAGTTCATAATTTCCTAGAATGTTGTGTACATAGATTAATATAATATTAACATATACTCTTTTGTCTGATTTATTTCAATTAGCATAGTTATGGTTAGCATCTATTGAAATTCACATACATTGTTGTATGTTATAATAGTGGATAAACTTTTTTGCTGATGTGTCTCCCATGTTATGGACACACCACACTTTGTGGTGCACTCCGAGCTCTGAGCACGCCGAGCTCTCCTTTAGCTGTATTCCACAAATTTTGATATGTTTTATTTTCTTTGATTCAGTTCAAAATACTCTGTAGCTTCTTTGAGCAATTTTGTTTTGTTTAGAGGTTTGTTAGTTTTCCAAATATGTGGAGATGTTCCAGGTATCTTTTTTGTTACTAATTTCTTTTTGTTACACAGTTTAATTCAGTTGTGATCAGATAATATACTTTTCATTAAAATCTATTCATCAAAAACATCTATCTAGTTTTTATGGCCAGGTACAGTGTATTTTGGTAAATGTTCTGTGTGTACTGGAAAAGAATGTATATTCTGCTTTTGTTGGCTGGAGTGTTCTATAAATGTCAATTTGGTCAAGTTGGTTCAAAGAGTTATTTCACTTATTCTGTTCTATATCCTTGCTGATTTTCTGTCTACATGTTTTATCGATTGTTTAGTGAGAGCTTTTGAACACTTTCATTACATTTGAGAATTTCTCCTTTATGTTTTGTCAGCTTTTTATTCATGTATTTTGAAGGTTTGTTATAACCTGCATCCACATTTGGAATTTTTATAACTTCTTGTTGAATTGATTCCTTTATCACAATGAATTTACCCTTCTTTTTCTCTGGTAATATTCTTTGTTTAATATTGTTACGGCTACTCAGGGTTTTTTTTGCTTAGTGTTAACCTTGTATATTTTTTCATTTTTTCGCTTTTATCCTATTTGAGCATATATATATATTATATCTTTTTTTTTTTTTGAGATGGAGTTTTGCTCTTGTTGCCCAGACTGGAGTGCAATGGCGTGATCTCAGCTCACCTCCCGCTTCTGAGTTCAAGCGATTCTCCTGCCTCAGCCTCCTGAGTAGCTGGGATTACAGACATGTACCACCATGCCTGGATAATTTTTTGTATTTTCAGTAGAGATGGGATTTCTCCATGTTGGTCAGGCTGGTCTCGAACTCTTGACCTCAGGTGATCCGCCCGCCTTGGCCTCCCAAAGTGCTGGGATTACAGGTGTGAGCCACCACACCCAGCCAAGTATTTAGATTAAGGTGAATTTTTGTAGGCAGGTTTCAGTGGGATTTTGCCTCTTTAGCCAATCTGACGATCTGCGTCTTTTAACTGGGGTACTTAACCCACTTACATTTAATGTGATCATTTACATAGTTGGAGTCAGATCTTCCATATTGCTATTGGTGTCCCATTTATTTCCTCTTTTTCCTATTATTCTGCCTTCTTTTGGTTTAATTGAGTTTTTTTTATGATTCCATTTGTCTCTTTGTTAGCTTGTTAGTGATAACATTTTGGGTTTCCTTTTTAATGGTTGCCTTCAGTTTATAGTATACATTTTTAATTTATCATAGCCTACCTTCAGATAAATCTCCATATAATATAAGAATCTTGGCTGGGCACAGTGGCTCACACCTGTAATCCCAGCATTTGGGAAGCTGAGACAGGAGGATTGCTTAGGGCCAGGAGTTTGAGACCAGCCTGGCCAACATGGTGAAACCCCATCTCTACTAAAAAATACAAAAATTAGCCAGATGTGGTAGTGCATGCCTGTAGTCCCAGATACTCAGGAGGCTGAGGAAGGAGAATTGCTTGAACTCCAGAGGTGAAGGTTGCAATGAGCCAAAATTGTGGCACTGCACTTGTCTGAGCGACAGAGCAAGACTCTGTTGCAAAAAAAAAAAAAAAAAAAAAAAAAAAAGAATCTAACTACAGAATATTTCCATCTCCCTTTGTGCTACTTTTGTCATATATTATAATTCTACATATGTTGTAAACCCCATAATAAATTCTCATTATTTTAATTGTCTTTAAAGAGATTTTGAAAAGGAGAGCAAAAGATAAGAAAAATAAGATAAGAGAAAATAAGTATAGAAAGATAAAGAAATAAAGAAAATAAAGATAAAGAAATAAAGAAAAATCAGATAAGAAAAACATCAGAAATGGTAAATGTATAGGCAAATATACATTTGCCTATACATTTACCATTTCTGATGTTCTTCACTCTTTTGTGTAGATTCAAATTCTTCTGCTATCACTTTTATTCTGCCTAAAAAAAATTATTTAACATTTCTTTATCTACAACATTTCTTGCAGTATAGATCTGGTAAATTCTTTCAGCCTTTGTATCTGTAAAAATGTCGTTTATTTTTGAAATACATTTTCACTGCGTTTAGAATTCAAGGTTAACAAATTTTGTTGTTGTTGTTGTACTTTAAGAATGTTGCTGAACAGTCTTCTGGCTTGAGTTATTTCCACTAAGAAGTCTCCTGTTATTCATATCTTTGACCATCTGTACGTCTTTATTCTCTTTCTGGTTTAATTTTTTTTGGTTTCTCACTGGTTTTAATAATATGGTTACGATATGCCATTGCATAATTTTCTTCATGATTCTTGTGTTTTGGTTTCATTATTTCATTCATCTTGAAATTCTTGGTTTATAGATTTCTTCAAATTTTGAATTTTTTGCTATTATTTCTTCAAATATGTCTTTTTTACCCCCATTTTCTTTTGGGATTATAATTACACATTTCTTAGGCCATATAAACCTCTCCCACAGTATACTGATGCTCTGTTGATCTTCTGTCTTTTTTTCTCTCTGGTTTTATTTTGAATAGTTTCTATTTCTGTCTTTAATTTTTCTCTCTGCTGCATTTAATTCACTAATTGTTCCCTCCATTACATCTAAATTCACTAACGTTTTCCTCTGTTGCCCCTCTGTTGCATTCCCTCTTTTCCTTTCTAGAAGTTTGAGTTGGGTCTTTTAAAATGTCTTGTCACTTCACATAGTGGAGCTTTTCTATGTGGAATATAGCAACAACAGCTGTTTTGTTTTCCTTGTCTGCTTAGTCTCTCGTCTGTGTCATTTTTGGTTCTCTTTTATTGAATTTTTTTTTCTCATTATGGGTGATATTTTCCTACCTCTTTGTATACCTGGAAATTTTTATTGTAATCAGCCACTTTGAATTTTACCTTGTTGGGTGCTGAATATTTTTGTAACCCTAAAAATACTTTTGAGCTTTGTTCTGGGACATAAATTTACCAGTACACAGTTTGATGCTTTCCGGGCTTACTTTTAAGTTTTGCTAAAGAGGTCCCTTCGTCCAGGGCTGACATTTCTACACTATTAATATGATACTCTTTTGAGTACTCTACCTCATATCCCTTGAATTATGAGGTTTTAACTCTCCAGCTTGCAGAAACATAAACTATTCCTGGCTGTATGTCAGCTTGGAGAATTGTTCTGAGGTTGAACTTTTGACAGGACTCCAGAGGACTTTTAGGTACATCTAGTTGTGAACTTTGTCCTTGGAAATCTGAGGATATTGATAGAAACCCAGAGGTGGTCAGGACCAGAACACTAGTTAAGAAAGTTAGGAGACTCCTAAGCTACTTTCGGATCCGAGGAGCCTCAAGTCTGTGGAAGTTGTTTGAATACTATTTTATTATTTAAATAGAGGGATGAGGGTTATTTATCATGTTGTTTCCAGTAGACTTCTGTTTTAAGCCCAGGTGTCAGATAGGCTTCATGAATATAGCACATGAAGTGGCTTAGATAAGACTGGAATAAGCTATTCTAATTGCTGATGCAGTCATTTCTTCCTGTTAAGCTCTTGGGGACCTGTTTTTAGATGGCCTGGGAGGCAGGAGCCACTGGACATGCAGGGACCAAAGGAAAGACTGTGAACTTAGATATGCCATTATTAATACCTAACACTGCATATTCAGCTGATGCACAGAAAGACTCCTTATCATCTGCTTCGCAGTGAAGACTACCTCTTGGGAAATGGCTAATTAACTTGCAATTGAACCACATGCTCTCTAGGCTTTAGGGTCCATGCCTAGACCTTTATTTACCCACCAAACTCAGGTATCATTCTGGAACAACCAATCTGTACCCATTATCCCACTGTCTCCACAGGTCTTAATCACACAAAGAGAACAGTTGATGAGGCAACTTGACTTATTCCAATGTATTAACATCAAAAATGCATTAGAATTTTATTTGCAACTTATTAAAAATGTATTTGATTGTAAGATCCATGAAAGTAAGGATTTTGTCTGTTTTATCTACTTTCATATCTTCAGAAGCTAGAGTGGTGCTTACCACATAGTAGTTGCTTAGCTAATTGTTGTTGAATGACTGATTTTTAAAAGTTACACAATAGTTCATGCTAATTGTTGCAAGTCAAATAACACAGAGTGATATATAAAGAAATTCAATAACTAGTCTCCCTGAACTCCAAATTCCACTGCTACCAAATTAGATAGCCAATGTTTACTTTTGGTATTATTTATCTTTTCTCATTTTTTCACAATGCTCAGACAAATATATGAAAAATACACATTTTCATTGCTTGTTCTCTTACTTATTCATTTCTTCTTTTCTCTTTTTTCTTTTCTCCCTTTCTCCTTTCTTTGCTTTTTTATTTAATACATTAAGGATGTCTATCTATCCTGATGAATCTCAACCCTGATTGTACATTGGAATCACGTGGGGGGGTTTCAAACAATTCCAGTAATTGAGCACATCAAAGACCAATTGAATCACTTTGGGCAGAGACATTTTTCAAAGCTCTTTAGATGAGTCTTATGTATAGCCAGGGTTGACAGCCCCTACTCTGGACCAAATATACACAGACATAACTCATCCATTTTAATACCTGCATAATAATTTATAGTAAGGATATACCAGGATGTATTTACCTGCTTCTGTATTCATGTTCGTTTAAGTGGTGCCTGATTTCTTTGCTTTATGCTGTGTAGTTTGGAGCAGATGGTTTCATTACTAAACTATTTTCTCCAAGGGTCATACCTTTTATCATTTTATGATCTCTCATTTTGAAAACTTTATGCCTTTGGCCTTAAATTGCATTCTGTCTGACGGTACTATTACCAATCATGCTTGCAATTGTTGCTTTTGCATTTTCCCAGTGAATCTTTACCTGTTCATTTATTCAGAAACTTTTGTTGTCATTTGTTTTTGGCATAAACAGCATGTAGCTGGAATTTTTAAAAAGCCCTTATCTGAAAATCTTTGCCTTCTTATAACAGTATTTGCATTTTAAATAAGAATCCAAAAGTACCATAAAAGTCTTCGAGCCTCAAATTAATGGGATCATGGTGGGGGTTTAGGCACCACGCCAGCTTGACAGGGGAGCAGGATGACCACCCCTCCCCACTCTCCCAACCCTCTCAGTTCTCTGCATATGCCGCTGTCTCATAAGGCACTTCTTACTGCAAATGCAAATCGCAAATGTAAACTGTTTCTTTCTTAATTTTATCACTTTTTCCCTCCTAATTTACAGGAGGCTTAAATTATTAGAACTTGTCTAAACAATGCAGCTTCCCCTGGTATCTCTGAGGAGGTGCTGCCGATAACTTTCAAATGGTATCACCCCTGAAAGCACAAGTCCAAAGCACTCACTTCATCGTGGGCCGTGTTAAGAAAGCGTTTGAATAGTTCAGAGCGACCCACACTCCGCCACATTTATAAAGTGCAAATAAAGAAGAAAATCAGAAACTTCTTTTCTTGTCTAGGACTCTTAAAACTCTTTGTATTCCCTAGATACTTGATATGTCACATCCATAGGCATGGGAAGGGATGCGGAAGTTGTTTCCTAAAGGAGCTGAAGCATCAAAATCTCTCCAGGATCTCCTTTTATCATATCCTCAGCAGCAAATTAAGCATCTGTGGGGAAATTATTAACTCCCTGCCTTATCTTTCAGCAGCTCTGCACAGAAACATTTATTAAATACTTAGTGACGGACACTATAGTAAGCACCTGAACACATTATTTTAATCATTGCCAGAACTCTATTAGGTAAGCCCTGATAGTTTCCCATTCTATAGATGAGGAAACTGAGGTTCAGAGAAGTGACATCACTTGCCCACAGTGACCCAGCAAGGCAGACAAGGAGCAGAGATTTCACCCCAGGTCTGCATGAGCTCATCCCTTTACTCCCTAATGATAACCTAATTCAACGTAACATGAATGACCCGTCATGGTCTTGAAACCATCCCTGAAAAAACTTTATAAAATTGATGAAGTGGGTTGGATGTGGTGGCTCATGCTTGTAATCCCAGCAATTTGGGAGGCTGAGGCAGGTGGATCACCTGAGGTCAGAATTTGAGACCAGCCTGGCCAATATGGTGAAACTCCGTCTTTACTAAAGATACAAAAATTAGCCGGGCATGGTAGTGCACACCTGTAATCCCAGCTACTCAGGAGGCTGAGGCAGGAGAATCATTTGAACCCAGGAGGCAGAGGTTGCAGTGAGCTGAGATCGTGCCACTACACTCCAGCCTGGGTGACAGAGCTAGACTCTATCTCAAAAAACAAATAAATACATAAAATAAAATAATAAAATCGATGAAGCGGAAAAAGCAAAATTCACCCAGGCTTGCAGCACAGTCAGCAGTAATCCTTAAGACAGCTTGCCCTTTGGTCCATTTCCTTGTAGTTGGTCACTGTTTACTATCCGAAGGTAACAGACCTTGTCACAAGATCCTTTGTTTCTATTCTGTTCTATAGATGAAATCGAAGACATTGTAAAAAAATAAGCTTTCTGCTCGAGTTTCTCCTTTAGGTTCCACTTAATAAAACCACCCACACCAGATGGTCTGAAGGGCCCAGCAAAGAGATGACTCGTAGAAGAATACAGTTTCCATATCCTGATAATTTCATCCCCATTACCCCAACCAATTGACAACTCCAATTTTCTACCTCCTTGCCCTTCATGATCCCCTTAAAAATCCTTGCCCAGAAATTCTTGAGCAAATGGATCTGAGACTTGAGAATTCCTTCCATTTCCTTGCTTCACGTGGCCTTGTGATTATTAAACTCTTCTCGCTGCAAATCCTACCGTCTCAGTGTATTGGTTTGTTGCTGCCCAGTGGACATATGAACCTGTTAGTCCTACAACAATCTGGCCCCTGCCAACTTCTCCTGTCTAATCTGGGCCCCCAGCTCCCCCTGCAACCTGTGCTCCAGCCATACCTCATGTCCCTCTAATATGCTTTGCTGTTTGACCCTCCTGTTACCTTGTTCACACTGTTCACACTGCCTGGAAGTGACCATTGCACTTCAGGAAGAAGTGTGTTGGAGTTCTCATACACTTTACAGCATCCTGTGCTTCTATATCTCCCCTCCCTAACTCCCTCTAGAGTGTGAGCTCTCTGAGGGCAGGGACTACATCTCACTCACCTCTGTATCCTAAACACCCAGCATTGTGCCTGGCACGCAGCAGATGCTCAATAATAAATTGGATGCTCTCCCTCAAACTTTTTCTTTCTCTCCACTGTGAAAAAAAACCCAACTCCTTCTGAGCTGTCGCTTCTTTCTTCAGACACATAGGAGAGGCACGTTTATTTCTATCACCATATTGGTTTTCACTTATATTGTTGGCCTTCAACACTAAGTTGTCTGTAACACCTGCAAAGCTTTGGGCATGCTTGGGCTTCCTTTCTAGAAATTAAGGAGACCAGCAGGGCACACATATGTTTCCCTGGAGCTGATTTCATCTGATTGCTCTGCTTCCAGAAGGTTTAATCATATGCAAATGGCAACTAGATGGATAGCTTCTGTCAGTCCCATCTTGAGCAAATTGGTAGGAATGAGAGTGATCCACCATTGATCCTGCGCTAGATGCCAAGCATTGGGACTTCAAGCAATGATGAGGGCATATCGAAGCATGCCTTCACAATGCTTGCAGCAGGGCTTGCAAACTCAAATGTCCAAAGGGACTAACTTAAGTGAGAGAGGTAGCCCAGGGAGAGACTGTGGCAAAGAGAATGGGACTGTGTTTCGAGGGGGCAGCCTCCTCTCACCCCAGCCAGCTATTGCCATGTGAGGGTTCTAGTCTGTTGCTGCTAGACCTTTTGACTTTTCAGTACTACTGAGAAATCTGGATCTGTTAGAAAATCTGAGTTTTAGTGATGGCTAATAATTCTACATTTAAAAACAATCATGGTCCAAATAAAACACATCTTTTGGCATATTCTGGTCTAATTTTGCCAGTTTTCAATTTCTGGTTTCGATTTTCACACAGACCTAAGGGGTAAAACCAATCTGGGTTTGAATTCTCATTCCATCACATGTTTTCTGGATCACCTTGGGCAGGTTGTTGGGTATGTCTGAGCATTAATTTCTTTATCTGTAAAATGGAACCTCACTCTAAACCTTCTGACTCAAAGCTCATGTAAATTCAACAAGAGCAGGGATGTGGCCTATTTTATGTGTTGCACTATCCTTCGCATCTACAACAGTGTCTTGGACACAGCAGGGGCTCAATGATATTACTAGAAAGACTGAATGTTACGTTATCTTGTCTTTAGTGTGAGGGCTGTGACAAACAGAACCCCAGGTAGTGTCAAAACAGGATATGAACAAAACAGCCCATTATCAGTTAGGATTCATTCACTTGGCAATGATAGAAACCCAACTCGAAACAAAAAGAAGGACATTCACTGGCTCAGATAAGCCCCCAGGCTTCAGGTATGGCTGAATCCAGGGGCTCAAAATTGTCTTTCTCATCTATTTTCCTCTGTATTGGCTTTAGTCTCAGATAGGATCGCCCTGTGTGGCAGTAAGATGACTGCTGGCAGACTGATTTTAGATTTTCCCAGGTATAAACACTCCTGCCCTTTCCTGTAACAGTCCCAGTTAAATTCTCATTGGCTCTTATCGGGTCACATGTGCATCCCTCACCCAAACCCTGTGGCTGGAAGAATGAGATGCTCTGATTGGCTGGGCCTGAGTCACACCCATCCCTGATTCAATCGGTCCCTCCAAACCATGCAAATTTAGCGCCGAAGAGGGAGTGACTCCCTAAAGGAAGAAGAGAGAATAAATGCTAGTGACAAAAACAGTGTCTGTTCTGGAGGTCACATCTGTACACTTCAGGTCTATAAACAATCCCATGTTACCTTGCCTTTAGAGAGGTCTTGTATTTCTCCCTTCCTAAAGGTGGAGATAGCTACAGAGGGCTAGGTACCAGCGCACACCTCCTACCGTGCAGCAAGCTCAGGGCTGCTTTGGCTTAAGGCTAATGAGGCATAGGGTATTTGCAAATCCTCTCCAGAGAGGTTGCAAAACACAGGAGAAATTTAATAGTATCATCAAGTAATCACACCACACACTGGACTTTTTTAAATGCACTCCTTCTTTCCTTTGATCCTGTTCTGATGGATAATGCCCATGGTATTTGCTGCGACCTAAATCCCTCACAAGATTGCTGGAGAGGAAAACTGCACCATAAGAGAACAGCGGTCCTGAATATCAAATATAAGGGGCCAATTATTCCTCTTCCTTGAGACCCCATCCACCCGGCTTGCATATTCATGGGATCTCAAATGCAGATGAGATGGCAGCTGCTGATTAAAATCAGCTCACTTTGTTGTGGGGAGATATGGGGACTCCGGGGAGGCCTCTTGAAGCTAGCTGATCGGTGGTGAAATGTCCTCTTCAGGGGTTGTTCTGTTCCCTCCCAGTGTGGTCCTGTGGAATAATAAAAAATCTGGATCTTTCAGCTTGGAGAAGCCGTTTCTTGCCCTCTGGCTGGGTTGTGTGGGGTTTGAAAGTCTGGATATAGCTGGAGAAGGGCAGAGCCATATTTTATCTGCTGCAGAACTGTCCTAAATTAGATCTTTCCCCTTTTCAAAGACATGGGAAAGGGAATGGAATAGAAATGGGGGTCTGTGGCAATTTGACTTGGAAGATTGTTGGAGCCATGGTGTTTATTCTCTGGGATGATCTAGGACAGTATTTCTCCAACTTTAATATACACACACTTCACCTGAATGTCTTGTTAATGCACAGACGAGGTTTTAGCAGGCTGGGGTGGGGACTGAGATTTTGCATTTCTTACATGCTCCCAGGTGGTGCCATCACTGATGATCTACAGGCCGCTCTTTAAGTACAAGGATGTAGAGCAATGTTTCCCAAGCTTGGATGTATATTAGAATCACTTGGAAAATTTTACGTATCATAATGCCCAAACCACACCAAGATTAGTTAACTTAGAATCTCTGGGTGGTACCCAGGAGTCAGTTTTTTTTTTTTGTTTTTTTTTTTTGAAACAGAGTCTCGCTCTGTCACCCAAGCTGGAGTACAATGGCACAATCTCGGCTCACTGAAACCTCTGCCTCCTGGGCTCAGCTGATCCTCCCACCTTAGCCTCCCAGTAGCTAGGACTACAGGTGTGTACCACTACACCCAGCTAATTTTTGTATTTTTTGTAGAGACAGGGTTTTGTCATGTTGCCCAGGCTGGTCTCAAACTTCTGAGTTCAGGTGATCTGCCCACCTTGGCTTCCCAAAGTGCTGGGATTACAGGCATGACCGTGCTAGCCAGGAATCAGCATTTTTGTAAAGTTTATCAGATAATTCTTATGTGCAGTCAAGTTTGAGAATCAGTGATGTGGTAGCTCTCAACCTTGGCTGCTATATCTTATAACTGCCTGGGAAATCTAAGAAGTACCAATGTCCAGCCCTACCCAAGACCAAATCTCTTGAGATGTGTGTGTTGTGGGGATTAACTTGAGCATTTCTACATTCTAAAAGCGTCAGAGCTGATTATCTGAAGCCAAGGTTGGGAATCAGAGTTGCAGAAAGAATCAGCCTATGTGGTTCTCTCCAACCCTGAGACCTGGTAAATTTTCACTGTTGTCATTAAGGTCATTAGCATCACTTTTGCACTTAGCTTTGTATCTTCCAAGGCTCGTCTGCAGAACCCAAACCTCTACACTACTTATTTTGCTTCTACTTCCTAATTATGTAAGCAATACATGTTTATTGTTGGAACTTAGGAAATGCAGAAAAGTTCACCAGATCAAATGTACTCTAACCTTACCCACGAATTTAACTTCCGTTCCCATAGCACTCCCTGAATAGAACTGCTGCTTCCATTTTGGCTTATATTATTCGTTTTAAAAATTTTGTTTTATTGTGGTAAGAATACATAACATGAGGTCTGTCCCTCTTAACAAAATGTTAAGTGTGCAACCCATCATTTTTGACTATAGGTATGATGCTGTACAGCAAATCTCTGGAGTTTTTCATCTTGTTTTAACTGAAACTTTATGGCTGTTGACGAGTAATGCCCTATGTCTCCTTTCCCCTCAACCCTGGTAACCACCATTCCACTCTTTGATTTTATGAATTTGACTCTTATACACACCTCAAATAAATGAAATCTTCAGTCTTCTGTATACGATGTTCCGTGACTGGTTTATTTCACATAGCATGAAGTTCTCAAAGTTCATCCATGTTGTTATGTATTGCAAAATTTCCTCCTTTTCAATGCTGAATAGTATTCCACTATATGTATATACCACATTTTCTTTATTCGTTCATGTGTTGATGGACATTTATTTCCACATTCTATATAGTGTTGCAATCAATGTGGAAATGCTAATATCTCTTTAAGATCCTGATTTCAATTCCTTGGGATAAATATCCAGATGAGGAATTGCTGGATCATATGGGGGTTCTATTTTTTTTTTTTGGCTTATATTATTCTTTTTTTTTATTTTGCAAGCCTTCCCTCTTTCTAATATATCAAAATTGCTTCCACACATTATATCTTTCTCATAAGATACATTTTTTAAAAAAATTTTATTATTATTATACTTTAAGTTTTAGGGTACATGTGCACAACGTGCAGATTTGTTACATATGTATACATGTGCCATGTTGGTGTGCTGCACCCATTAACTCGTCATTTAGCATTAGGTATATCTCCTAATGCTATCCCTCCCCGCTCCCCTAACCCCACAACAGTCCCCAGTGTGTGATGTTCCCCTTCCTGTGTCCATGTGTTCTCATTGTTCAATTCCCACCTATGAGTGAGAACATGCGGTGTTTGGTTTTTTGTCCTTGTGATAGTTTGCTGAGAATGATGGTTTCCAGTTTCATCCATGTCCCTACAAAGGACATGAACTCGTCATTTTTTATGGCTGCGTAGTATTCCATGGTATATTAATAACTACAGATTATTATGATTCATTTAGCATTTTTCTACTCTTGATAAATATTTAGATTGTTCATAATTTTATTTTTTTATTTTTATTTTTTGAGATGGAGTCTCGCTCTGTCACCTAGACTGGAGTGCAGTGGCATGATCTCAGCTTGCTGCAACCTCTGCCTCTCAGGTTCAAGCGATTCTCCTGCCTCAGCCTCCTGAGTAGCTGGGACTACAGACGTGTGCCACCACACCCGGCTAATTTTTTGAATTTTTAGTAGAGACAGGGTTTCACCATGTTAGCCAGGATGGTCTCGATCTCTTGACCTCCTTATCCGCCCACCTCGGCCTTCCAAAGTGCTGGGATTACAGGCATAAGCCACCGTGCCCGGCCGATTGTTCATAATTTTGATATAATTTCTTTAAGAAAACTTCTTAGATGTGGAGTTACTGGTTCAGAGGGCAAGAATATTTCTTTAGGAAAATGGACTTATGCTGTTGTATTAGGGCTTTATAATCATAATCTATTTTTATTTATTTATTTATTTTGAGATGGAATCTCGTTCTGTCATCCAGGTTGGAATGCAGTGGCACAATCTCGGCTCACTGCAACCTCTGTCTCCTGGGTTCCAGTGATTTTCCTGTCTCAGCCTCCCGACTACCTGGGATTACAGGAACCCACCACCATGCCCAGGTAACTTTTGTATTTTTAGTAGAGTCAGGCTTTCACTGTGTTGGTCAGGCTGGTCTCAGACTCCTGACCTCAAGTGATCCACCCACTTCGGCCTTCCAGAGTGCTGGGATTATAGGCATGAGCCATCGCACCCAGCCTACAATCCGTTTTTAAATATCCAGGGCCCTTGCACATAGTATCATCTGATTGTTGAACGAATGAGTGAATGAAGCTGAGTCATTGCAACCCCAGCATTTAACGAGGCAATTGACCAATAGGAGGTATCTAACAAGTGTTCCTAGAATGAATGAAGGAAGGAGTAAATGCTGAACAAAACGTTAAAAAGAAAGTTATCCATGGCTGGGATATGTCAGGAGCCTACTCTGGAATATAATTCACGTTCCCCTCATTGCAAGCAGCCAAGCCCAATTACCTACAAATACTTCCCAAAGTGAGGGTTAACGTCGCACTCACTCTTGGTAAGGTATCAGGAAATTAATTGCTCTGTTTCTCAAGACCTTTTCTGTGCAATAATAATTTTAAAAAACTTCATCCACCATAGCAATTATCTATAATTACTCATGAAAACAGGTGTCTTAAATGCCTTTTCACATTGAGACATGAATTGTTCATTATCATAGCAGGCTACTATCAATATCCAATTTTCAGTGGAATGTTGAGATCAAACATAATGTGGAAAATAGCGGGGGCACACAAAGGGAACAGGGGCTTCCTGGATGCTACCCATTAGAAGAAATTTGCCAGAGGGGCAGAGGTTGACAAGCATTGAATAAGAAGCAGAGAGCTTCTTGGGGATGCACAATATTGCGTGGCTGAAAGAAGTATAAAATATCAGTGTAGAGGAGATAAAAATCTCTTATTCCAAAATATTTTTCATGGAGTGAAATGAGCTCAATCAAGCCATTGTCTCTGATCTCAGTTTCTGTATCTGTTGAGAATCAAAACGAAAGCCTAAATTTATTAGGCTACAGAAGTCCTTTTGTATAAAAGATATAGAGTTGTCATGGGGAAGTCACCGAAAAAATGTAAAAATGGGTTAGCATCGTGTCTGGTATGTGCCTAGAGGTCAAGATGATTCAATTCTCCTATTTCTGCCTTAAAGGTCTCTTTAGCTCCCAATTTCTGTGAACTTGTGATAATAAAGGTGGACCAGGTATAACAGGTATCTAAGTACTGTGTAAGTTAGAACTCTGCACTTTTTTCCCTACACTTCCTGCTGCAATGCGTACTGGGAGACTTATGAGCAGATGCAAGAGCAACTTCTGAACTTGGCCGGGATGGCTCAAGACAGAGGCTCAGCCGGGCGCGGTGGCTCATGCCTGTAATCCCAGCACTTTGGGAGGCCGAGGTGGGTGGATCACTTGAGGTCAGGAGTTCGAGACCCATCTGGCCAACATGGTGAAACCCCATCTCTACTAAAAATACAAAAATTAGCCTGGCATATTGGCCGGTGCCTGTAATTTCAGCTACTAGGGAGGCTGAGGCAGGAGAATCGCTTGAACCTGGGAGGGGGAGGGTGTAGTGAGCCAAGACCATGCCGCTGCACTCCAGTCTGGGCAACAAGAGTGAAACTCTACCTCAAAATAAATAAATAAATAAATAAATAATAAGACAAAGGACAAAATAAGACAAAGGCCCCATGTGTTCAGGGAATGAGCACATTTATTTTGGGGCATTGCAGACTCTGCATCTTAGTTTTAGCTGGAAATGGTGAGATGTGATCAATATTTCCTCTAATTTTGTTTCTCAGGGATACCGTATTATAGTTCAGAAGATGCAGCGTGTAGTATTCATCCTACTGACAATACAGCCAGTAAAATGTCCCCCTGAACTTGTGATTTCCACCACATGCAAGGAGCTGTTGTGCTATCAAAGCTGTTCTGCTATCCTAATGCTCTTCTGCTCTTAGATTCCATGACCTCATGCATTTGAGGAATATCACAGACTCGCCTCTCTCTCCTGAGAAATTCACAATGGAAACTGACATATTAATGCAATGAGAGTCCTATGACAGAGAAACACGATTAACACGCAACTCCTTTAATATGAAAGAACACTTTACGTTCCACCAAACGAGTGTTCTGCAGAGCATGTTTTAAGAAACATTGGTTTACAGCTTTTTTTTTTTAATTTTTATTTTTTGGTTTCCCTATCGAGCTTTCAGTTCTTGTGCATTTCTATGAGTATATTAATAAGAAACCAAGCCACGGAGGGCAATTTGTTTTAGGTGCATCCAACAGTCTGGTGGATTTAGCCTTTCTTCTCCGTAGCCTGTGAGTCTGGCAGGTTTCCAACCATAGAATCCTTCTTCTGCCTCCATCGTAAGGTTGCTAGATAAAAAAGGTAAGACACGTAGTTGAATTGGAATTTCATATAAGGAATGAATCTTTTTTTTTTTTTTTTTTTTCAGACAGAGTCTTGCTCTGTCACCCAGGCTGGAGTGCAGCAGCATGATCTTGACTCACTGTAACCTCAGCCTCCCGGGTTCAAGAGATTCTCCCGCCTCAGCTTCCCGAGCAGCTGGGACTACAGGTGCCTGCCACCACGCCCATCTAATTTTTGTATTTTTAGTAGAGATGGGGTTTCACCGTGTTGGCCAGGCTGGTCTCGAGCTCTTGACCTCAGGTGATCTGCCTGCCTCAGCCTCCCAAAGTGCTGGGATTACAGGCATGAGCCACTGTGCCTGGCCAGGAATGAATCATTTTTTAGTCCATACTTACACTGCATTTTCATTTACTAAATCAGGCCACTGTATCATTAGCGTGGATGTGCACTCCAAGGCTGGCCAGTCATAGAACCCAATTTCTCTGATTCATAATACCTGTTCCAGGGGTTTCTGTCCTACCCAAGCTAGGTTAATCAGACAATTTCCCCTGCAATTCCTGATTAGGTGCTGGAAGGAAAAAGGATTTACTTTTCATGTCAGAAAGATGCAAGACTGTTAGTCAGTGACTGAGGACAACCATCTTCCCCTCAATGTGGAGAAAAGTTGTCCCTGGAAGGTGAGGACAAGGCCATCACCTACAGAGAAGCAAACCAGGAGTTAAAAAGAGACAGAGCTCTCACAGTCTCAATGATGCCCCTGGATCCACTCCTGCCTAAAACTAGTCCTATCTTTAATTTGCCAGCTATACCAGCCAATACAGCTGTCTTTTGCTTTTTTTTTTCTTAAGCTAATTTGAATTGCAACCAATATGGAAACATTATCTGGCACCTCTTTTCTGCTGTCACATTCCTACACATAATTTAACACTTATTTACCATCTACTCTATTCCAGGGCTTGTGCAAGCAATTCCCCTAGTCCATCACCTGGCACGTAGGGCCACACAGGTCACTACCTTGACCTGCATGGCACCGCAGACTCATGGAGCTAGCACTTCCTCCAGGGGCCCTTCCACCCTCAGCTCCCCACACCTCGCTATTCTGAAGTCTGGATCTGAGCAGAGTCCTGAAGGATCAGCACGCTTTGGCACAAACCCCAAGTAAAAGTAGCGGAAGTGATTTTGCTGTAAACCCTCTCCCTCCTGACAGCTATCAACGGAACATGGAGAGGTTCCTGCCCACGGCTTGTTTCTCACTTAGAATGCTTCACAGTAGAGTAGCTCTCTGACAGCAGCACGAGAATGAAGTTATGGGAATCTCTCTGGGGTATTGTAATGGATGCGGGGCCAAGTCTTCCTAGTTGGAGATGCTGCAAGTTATGTAAGAAATGCAGAGTGCCTTGTCGGGAGGAGACCACTGATTCTCTCAAAGACAGTCACTGGAAAAAGCCAAACGCTTCTAATATTCTGGGACTAATAACTGCCAAAGGGTTCATTGAGTGCACATTTCTGTCCCTAGTGTACATATGATATTCAAAAAGATGTTAAGGCCAGGCGCGGCGGCCCATGCTTTTAATCCCAGCACTATGGAGGCTGGCTGAAGCGGGCAGTTCACCTGAGGTCAGGAGTTCGAGACCAGCCTGGCCAACATGGTGAAAACCCATCTCTACCAAAAATACAAAAATTAGCCGGGAGTGGTGTCGGACGCCTGTAATCCCAGCTACTCGGGAGGCTGAGGCAGGAGAATCGCTTGAACCCTGGAGGTGGAGGTTGCAGTGAGCCGAGATTGTGCCACTGCACTCCAGCCTGGGCGACAGAGAGAGACCCTGTCTCAAAAACAAAACAAAACAAAAAAAAGTTGTTAAGAATAAATAACACAGAAACAATGTTTTTGTTCTGGGACTGACATGGCCGTGACATAGCCTCTTCTCTTCTCCTTTCTGCTTTTTTTTTTTTTTTTCCTAATTTAGTGCATTTGGACAGATCTTCTCTTTTTTCATGTATCTTATGAACCAACTGTTATGAATTACCTGTGAGCTATTTTTGTGGATGAGGATTAGGAGTTTTTCACCTCTGTATCCCTAGAACCTAGCATGGAACCTGGAGCAATAATATGTGCAGCAATAAATTCTTTAAAACAATTAACAATTTCTCAAATCTCTGTTCCTGCATTGGAAGTTCGTTGGAGGTGTCTGGCCTCATACGTCTATATAGTGTGGAAAACCATTGTTTCTTGGTATTCATTCCCCTCTCCCGTCTTTCTACCATCCCTGAATTTCGATAGAAAATTCTTCAGGTGCTGATACCAATACTTAGCTCCATGATTAGACCATGTGATCCTGCTCAGCCAATCAGCAGCTTACACCCTCCTGGCTATGGTGATTGGTTCAGGGGTGACCACATGACTTAAGCCAGTCTAATTACAGTGAATCTCAGGTGAGAATCTCCAGGTGGGAGTGCTGGACCATAGAAGCTCTTTTCTTCTGAATGCTGTGTTGGGAAGATACTAAGCCTTAGACTCCTGTACACAGTTTGCTAGTGAGAGAAACCAAATCGAGCTAAGAGATTTGCAGAAAAGCAGAGCTGCAAAACTGCTACCCCAATGCTATTTTCAATCCACATTTGAAATTCACCCTAATTCTGGACTTCTCTGTTGCCCAAGTCAATGAATTCTCTCTCTTGTTTATTTTAAAGCAAGTTTATCTTTTCATTACTTGGAACATGAAGTCTTGACTGATAAACAGAGTTCCTCTTTATTCCCCATTAACTTTTTCCTGAGAGAGCTACTGCTGAAAATCAAGTCAATCTTTCCAGTTGATGTGACTGACTTTAGCTGAAGGTGCAGTCTGCCTTTTCATCTTCTAGGAATATCCCCTACCTTTTCTGTAATCCAGCCTGTCAGCATTTATTGAACAACCACTCTGTTCTAAGCCCTGAGCCAGATGCTCTGAGACATCCCAATAATAACAAAGATCATGTCTGTAAGGTGCTGGAAATATAGTAAAATGGAATGGCTTAAGAAATCCATGCTCAGCTGGATGTGGTGGCTCATGCCTGCAATCCCAACACTTTGGGAGGCCGAGGTGGGAGGTTTGCTTGAGATGAGGAGTTTAAGACCAGCCTGGGAAACACAGAGAGACCCTGTCTCTAGAAAAAATATATATATAAAATTAGCCAGACATGGTGTCACATGGCTATAATCCTAGCTACTTGGGAGACTGAGGTGGGAGGATGACCTAAGCCCAGGAGTTTGAGGCTGCAATGAGCTATGATTGTGCCACTGCACTCCATTTTGGGTGACAGAGCGAGAATGTCTCTGAAAAAAAAAAAATAGAAAATGCAGAAAAAAGAAAAAAAAAATCCATGCTTGCTTTGACCCCAGTTTGCTGTGTGATCTTGGGCTAATCACTACCCTTCTCTGGGCTTTAGCTTCCCATCTACAAAATGAGGGCAGTGGTTGACAGTTCTCTAGAATCGTTTCTAGCATTCACATCCCACATCTCTGTGTGCAAATAATTTAAATAAACTCGATACTGTGTCTGGTCAAAATAGATATCTTCAGGCTTATTTATGTCACCAATATTTGTTAAGAGTGTATATATTCTAGGAGCTAGAGAGAAAGTGGTGAACAAAACAGAAAAACACCTGCTTTCTTGGAGCTTACATTGTGGTGGGGAAGGCAAATAATAATTATCTTTGTAAACTATAAATTGATCTTCATTATTCCCAGACTCTGTATTTGTGAATTTGCTTACTTGCTAAAATTTATTTGTAACCCCCGAATCAATACTCGTGACACTTTCACAATCATTCACAGAAATGTGCAGAGCCCTGAAAAATGTTAATCAGGTGATGAAAACATTCCTAGCTTAGGGGAAACGGGGCAACACTCTGCCATCTTGTTTCAGCTGTCATACGATAAACAAATATCTTTTTTTGTAGTCTGTTTAGTGCCATATTTGTCACATTTGTGTGCTTTTTCTTGGTGACTTTGCTGTTTAAAATTGTTCCCCAAATAAAGTGTGGAAGTGCTACCTTGTGTTCCAAAGGCTGTGACATGCCTGAAGAAGGACATACATGTGTTGGATAAGTGTTGCTCAGGAACGTGTTACTGTACTCTTGACTGTGAGCTCAGTGTTAGTGAATCAGTATATGTTACATAAGATGCCTTTAAACACATATATACAAAAAACAAGGTTATGCATTGATTGATTGATAAAAATGTTGTGGTCAGAGGCTTGCAGGAACCCAACCCTGTATTTCTCTTAGGAGCCATGGCTCAGGATTGGCTAATTGGGAGTTGGTGGTGACTTTACTGAAAATAACAAGAAGTGACTATGTACAATGTCACTTTCTTGTTATTGATAAATAAGCCTGAAACTATGTATTTTGACCAGCACAGCATCAAGCTTATTTACATTATTTGCACCCAGAGATGTGGGATGTGAATGCTAGAAAGGATTTTAGAGAATTGTCAACCACTGCCCTCATTTTGTAGATGGGAAGCTAAAACCCAGAGAGAGATAGTGATTAGCCCAAGATCACACAGCAAACTCGGGGCAAAGCAAGCATGGATTTGGTAAGAGCTGTAGAAAAATGCAAAGCAGGGAAGCAGAAAAGGAAGTTTATATTTTATTCTTTTCAACTTTTAGTTTAATTTTTTTTGGTCTCTGTCACCCAGGCTAGAGTGCAGCAGCACAGTTATAGCTCACTACACCCTTCAATTACTAGTATCAGGTGATCGGAAGCCTATAGTTTAAAAGGGTGTCAGAAAAGTGTGTCCATGCAGAGGAAAGGGCAAAAATGAAAACCCTGTGGTGGGAGTGTGTTTTCATGTTTGAGGAGCTGCCTGAGGCTGCGGTGGCTGGAGAGGAGTGAGCCAGGGGGACAGTGGGAGAAGATGAGATTGATGAGATGGCGAATCTTGAATGACAGACCTGCACAGTCACGTTCATCTCCTTCCTGGGTAGAGATTGCTGGGAGTTTGAGAGGCTCTTTCTTGTTGCAAAAGTCCTTGAACTTGAGCAGTAAATTATCCTCAAAGTTCCATTAGCGCACCTTGGCGTGGTTCTCTCCTCGGATGCCCTGTGCCATGTTCCTCCTGAGAAGTGGCTATAAATAACCTGAGATTCTGCTCCCATCAGGGAAACAGTGCCTGGAGTTGTCTCCCGGACACATTAATAACCACCCTCTTCTCGCCCCCAAATTAATCTTGCTATGAGGCAGCTTTGCCACGGGTGTCTTCTAATCATCATTTATTCCAGTACTCAAATGTCCTGTTATTCACCAGGCTGAGCTTCTCCTTAGTGGCGTTAAAGGGACATTGGGTTTGGTTGAAATTCCAGGCAAATACCTTTTTCAGACAAATGCATTGCATGGGAATTTGTAGATTGTATTTTTGGTCTAATTATCTGAATTCATCTCTATGATGGATACTTGATTATATGTAATTTGGGCAAATTTTATGCAAAACCTCAGATTCAAGAAGAGTGCAAGAGATTTGAATTCAAATGTTTCTACCTCCTTAGGGGAGAGGAAGGAAGAGGGAATTAACACTTGTTGAAGAATATTCTGTTTATTCACTTATTCTTCATTGATTATTTCAATATTTATTGAACACTTACTATATGCCAGGCACTGTTTTAAGTGCTGGGAATAGACTAGAGTACCAAACGGTACACTCCCAAGAAAGTTACAGTCACCCCTCAGTACTGGAGGGGATTGATTCCAGGACCCCAGGATATATCAAAATCCACAAATGTTCTAGTCCTTTATATAAAATGACATCGTCTTCGCATGTAAACTATGTATATTCCATATACTTTAAATCATCTCTAGATTACTTATAAAACCTAATACAATGTAAATGCTACACAAGTCTTTTTATACTGTATTGAAAAAATTTGTATTTTTTTGTTGTTATATTATTGTTTTTATTTTTTATTTTTCAGAATATTTTTGATCTGTGATTGGTTGAATCTGAGGAGGGAGAACCCACAGATATGGAGGGCTGAGTGTTTGTTTGTTTGTTTATTTTATTTTTTATTTTTTTGAGACAGAGTCTCACTCTGTCGCCCAGGCTGGAGTGCAATGGCGCGATCTAGGCTCACTGCAAGCTCTGCCTCCCGGGTTCACGCCATTCTCCTGCCTCAGCCTCCCTAGTAGCTGGGATTACAGGCACGTGCCACCTTGCCCGGCTAATTTTTTGTATTTTGTTTAGTAGAGACGGGGTTTCACCATGTTAGCCAGGATGGTCTCGATCTCCTGACCTCGTGATCCGCCCGCCTCGGCCTCCCAAGCTGATTGTTTATTAATCAATTAAGTGAAAAGCGGAATGATTCACTAGTTAAGGCATGGAACTCTGGAGTCAGACTGTGTTCAAATTCCAACGAATCCTGGCATCTACTAGTTGTATGAACTTGGGCAAGTCATATAACCTTCCTGTGCCACATTTTCGTCTGTTAAATGGGAAATAATAAAAATACCCGAGTCACCACTGATTTAGCAGAATGACTTAATATTTAACATGTTTAGTACAAAACTGATTGATGGTGTGTGGTGAGAGAAATAAATAAACACACGTCCTGAAGGAGGAACTCAGGGAGATTTGAAAGGGTGGAATCGGAAAGTGGCTTTGTCTGGTTAGGCTAAGTGCTTTGCATAGCTCATCTCATCTACATCTGTATAATCTCAAGCCCGACCATATTTTCTCTCTTTTGTTTTTCTAACAAATGAGGAAACTGAGAACCAGCAGTGTGAGGTTGTTTGCCACTGAGCATATAGAGTAAGATCTGAGTAGCAGAGTGAGGAACTGAACCTAGATAAGATTTGATTCCCCAAAGTCCTACCTCCCCAGGCCAAACTGCACTGTGGGGCTGAGAGGTGGATAGTTATTTTACCTGTAAATACAAAATACCTTTCCACTTCCCTCCATCTAAGTAACGTGGGACAAAGGGCCTCAGGAAGAGAACAAGGGAGTATCAGTCTAGTAGGTAGCCTTAAAGCTCAGTGGGGCCAGTACTCGCTGTATGCTCCACTATGACAAATGGCCACAGTATGTTTGCTTGCACTTTGGGTGGAGTGGGGAACTTGCTACCTCCCCAGGCAGTCCATGTTATTTGCAGACCTCTGGGTTTGTCTGACACGCTTGTTGTACAAGTTCTCTCTCTTGCTCATTTTTAAACCAATTCGATTGCTTGTTCATTCAAAATTGTTTCTTCTCATGTAACCCCCACGTATCCTTTGTTTTCCTGGTATATAAAGGAACTACCAAATGTTCTCACATTTCGGTGGAAGAATGTGCTGTCTTTCCTCTTTTATTTTTTTGGAAAGCTCTGAGGAAGGTTATACCATCTTTATTCATTATCAAAAAACGCTTCTATATGGAAGTCAGGATTAACGTTTATAAGCCCAGAAAAAATGTTGTGTTCATGATACAGTTTTGTACAGGTAGGTTATTTCAGGGATAATAATAGTTAAAATTTATAAAGTGCTTATGATAACCAAGCACTGTACTAACAGTCTATATAGGTTATTTGCTCATTTAATTCTCTCAACAACCCTAAAGACTTTCATCCTCTCTGACTAGATTTGGAAATTAGGGCTGAGATAAGTCAGGTTCCTGGTCTTAGTTAATACTAATTATATACCAGAAATCTGATGTTTGAAGTTAATAGAAAGTCCAGTTCAAGTTGCCTTGAACGTCAAAAGGGATTTATTGATTTGAGTAAATGAATATTCCACAAGGAGATATGGCCTCAAATGGGATTTAACCCAAGGCACAGGGATGTTTCCCATCTCTTCTCTCCACCTTCTTCTTTTCTTCCTCACCCTAACAGCAATGCCCCTCATGATTCAAAATGGCTGCCAGGAGCTTGCAGGAGTCCTTTGTATTTCCCACATCTTCTTTTAGATGCAACCTGGGGCATTAAGAAAACAAATGAACTGGGCACGGTGGCTCTTTGGGAGGCCGAAGCAGGTGGATCACCTGAGGTGAGGAGTTCGAGACCAGCCTGACCAACATGGTGAAACCACGTCTCTGCTAAAAATACAAAAATTAGCTAGGTGTGGTGGCACATGCCTATAATCCCAGCTACTCGGGAGGCTGAGACAGGAGAATTGCTTGAACCTGGGAAGCGGAGGTTGCAGTGAGACAAGATTGAACTACTGTACTCCAGGCTCCATCAAAAAAAAAAAAAGAAAGAGAAGAAAAGAAAAAGAAAAAAAAAAAGGAAACAAATGTGAGAGTTCTTGTGTCACAGAGATTTTACCATGATTTTTTTCATTAATTTATAATAGAGTATTTATAGCAAAAATAAATACCAGACTTGTAGCATATAAGTCCTCTGTTTCCTTATCCCCATGCCCTTCCCTGTAGTTATCTCAGGTAGGCATGAAAGGTGTTTTTTTTTTTTTTTAATCTCTAGCAACTAGATCTCCTCTCTCATTGGCTCACATTTTATTAGGTTTGAACCAATCAGAATGGCTTCCTGGAGTATGTAGCTTGGTTTAAGCCAATCAGAGCCCACCCCTGGAGGTGAGGAAGAGACTCTGTATGTAAGAGGCAGAAGATGCCCAGCCAAAACCTGTGCTTTTTATTACCAAGAGGAAAAAGGAATAGATGCTAGTTATTTTTTTTTATACTTTTTACTTTCCCCCCAAAATAGAGGAAGCATATTCTCCCAGAACACTCATAGTTGTGGTCTTGTGCTATTTTAGAGGACCTGGTGCATGCTAGATTTTAATAGGATTTTATTTGTAATCCTTTACAGCCGTGACTGGTTTATTTTGGGTCACAATGAGATGTGGATCATCATCTGGTTTGGATTCTGATGTTTCTGGGCCTCCCCAGTTGGAAGATTTTATGCAGCCCCTGTAATAGTGGAAAATATGCTCAATTGTAAGGAGTTAATTGGCGCTAACTAAAGCACAGTGAACAGTTTGGTGGTGATTCACAGCGAAGGGATGGTTAAGGTTTAACAATGAAGCCACAAGAAATTTTCTTTAGAATTCAGTTGCACGATTTTTTTTTTCTTTTTTTTTAAATAGCAGCTCAGTTATTCAAAATCATTGTGCCTGGCTCACAAGCCAGGAAATGCTCAAATGAAAGCATGTGTTTCGGTTCTGGAGTTCCAATCTAATCTTTTCTCTCTGCTATGGTAGTGGTATTTTAGACCTGGTGAGCACTTAGGCTTTAAGTCACATGGACACAAGATCGAATCCCTGCTTTACCTTTTTGCTAGGTGGGCCTCTGTTCTCCCACCTGTAAAATGGTAGTGGTTAGTGGTAGCTACTGTAGAGATTTGCGGTAAAACTTAAAACAGATCATGTAAAGCACAGTGCCTAGCGTAGAATGAGATAGAGTGTTCAATAGTAGTTGCTAATATTGGAAGTGGTAATAGAAGATGGTGGAAAAATATGTGTCATCTTAGTCAAGTAATCTGCCCTCTTGGTGCCTCAGTTTCTTCACTTACAGAATGGGGAAATGAATAGTCCTACTTTCTGGAGTTGTTGGGAAGAGCAAGTGAACTAAAACACATCATTTAATGCTTGGCACATAGCAGGTGTTCAGAAAGCAGGTTGTGGTCCAGTGGTTCTCAGTCAGGGGTGTTTTTGTCCCCCAGGGGTCATTTGGCAATGTCTGGAGACATTTTTTGTTGTCACAATGGATGGAGGGTGCTACTGGCATCTAGATTGCAGAGGCCAGCATTGTGGCTCTATATCCCACAGTGCACAGAACAGGCCCCCACAACAAACGATTATCTGGCCCAAGAGATCAATAGCGCCTGTGGTTGAGAAACTCTGCTATAGTCAACAGCCTGAACATGGTCATCTTTTGCTCCTTTTGTGGCTTTTGTAACTTCTGCTTCCCACAGAGAATTGCTCCCTTGGGACAGAGGCCAATTATTAGAAGTGAAGAGAGCTAGCCTGACCTTGTGAAGTGGGTCTGGCTATTCTCACTTAAAAAAAAACTGTTTAAAAATAAGGCTTTAAAAAAAATCTCATTATTCTAAAGCACCCCAGGCTCCACCACCCCCTGGGCCGGTCTTTTCAAAGCCAACCTGGCTTTAAATAGCAGCGTCATCCGTTGTGACCTCGAGCAAGTTGTTGCTGTTTTTATCCTCAATTTACTCAACTGCGAAATGGCGATATTAATACATTTACCTCCAGGGTTGTTGCAGGGATGAAATCAGCTAAGGTAACAAAAGCACTTGCCACAAAGCCCGATACCATAGAAGGTGCATGAAGACCACTGCCATGTCTTGGTGGTTGCTGCCTCTGAAATGGCATCGTGACACCTGCCCTTCCCACCTCGGTGGAAGCTTAAAAATACAAACGGAACATAGACAGGAATGCATTTCCTCCAAAGTCAAAAGAAAGCACAAATGGAAGGGTGTTGTTAATATTAATTTGTGGGATGATGGGGAACCACCGGGGAGACTCCCTCTGGTGAGGATTTCATGAATTTCAGGAGAGCAGATCCAGCTCCCTGCAGAGCCTGAGCTCCTCGCTCTTGGTTTCTCTGCAGAGATGAACACAGACCTCTCATTCTGGAGAAGCCTGCATCTTATTTTCTGACTACTTCACTTATTCCACTACAACTGATTTTCTATTTTCTAGCAGAAAAAACACAAAGCTGAAGCAAAATGCGTCCCCACCTCTTTACCAATTGTATTTTTTTTTCTTTTCAGATGGAGTCTCGTTCTGTTACCCAGGCTGGAGTGCAGTGGTGAGATCTCAGCTCACTGCAACCTCCGCCTCCCAGCTTCAAGCATTTCTCCTGCCTCAGCGTCCCCAGTAGCTAGGACTACAGGCACCTGCAACCTTGCCTGGCTAGTTTTTGCGTTTTCAGTAGAGACGGGGTTTCACCATGCTGGCCAGGCTGGTCTTGAACTCCTGACCTCGTGATCTGCCCACCTCGGCCTCCCAAAGTGCTGGGATTACAGGCATGAGCCACCGCTCCCGGCCTACCAATTGTACTTTTTTTTCACCTGATCACTCAGGAAAGCAGTATGAAGCCCCTTTGTGTCTATGTTTGTGCACAGCAATTGTGTCTGCCTGCTGTGTGTGGGGAGTAATGATTGTATGCATGTGGTATGTTTGTAAGTACTTATGTACATGAATGTATGTCAGTGCATGTGCCCACAGTCACATATGCTTCTGTTTGTAAGGGCTTGTGTCCTATGTCTTTACATGTATGTGTATCTCAGGATTTACATGCAAGCCCATATGTATGTACTTTGTAACTTACATGTAAGATATATGTATGTGAATAGGCAAACCCATTCATGTACTCATGTACTTACAAACACAAATCCAAAGTGTGTCGGGATGCATACGAATACCCACATATGTGCTTATAGGTGTGTGTGCATGTGAATATTTGTGTATGTGCTGAAGGTTGTGAATATAAGTTTGTGTTGGTGCTTATGTGTATTTTAGTAAATAGCATCAATGGCTGTGCATCTGGGACATTTGTGTGTGTTTGTAGGAGTGTATGTGTGTACGTGTGTGTCTGTGTGTAAGAAAGAAGAGCAAAGATCTTCAGTGGATTTTTATCTTTGTGCCCATCACTTCTTTTTTTTTTTTTCGAGATGGAGTCTCTCACTGTCGCCCAGGCTGGAGTGCAGTGGCGTGATCTCGGCTCACTGCAACCTCCGCCTCCCAGGTTCAAGCGATTCTCCTTGCCTCAGCCTCCCAAGTAGCTGGGATTACAGGCACCCACCAACATGCCCGGCTAATTTTTTGTATTTTTAGTAGAGATGCGGTTTCACTGTGTTGGCCAGGCTGGTCTCGAACGCCTGACCTTTTGATCCGCCCACGTTGGCCTCCCAAAGTGCTGGGATTACAAGTGTGAGCCACTGCACCTGGCCTGTGCCCATCACTTCTTGAAGAAGAATGTGTTCTTCCCACAAATCAAGTTGGGAAAGAAGCAGGGACAGAGACATGTAAACTGAGAG
This sequence comes from Homo sapiens, assembly GCF_000001405.40. Classification (NCBI taxonomy): domain Eukaryota; kingdom Metazoa; phylum Chordata; class Mammalia; order Primates; family Hominidae; genus Homo; species Homo sapiens. The sequence continues at coordinate 13,550,754 of NC_000016.10, read as the reverse complement.
GGAAAACTTTTATTAGTCACTTGTTCCTCCTCCATTCGCAGTGAATACTTACTAACATTTTAAAAACTGAGTATGCATTAAAAATGTGGTAGGGAAGCTATTTTTAAAAGCTTCCTTGTGTATCTGACTTTCTCAGGAAGACCTGGAGTTGAAGGGTCCAGACTTTCACCCACAGAATCTTGCTTCATTTACATTCCAACAAACTGCACATCCAAGAAAACGTGCTGGAAAAATCCCCGGCTTAGCTGTGTGTTTGCTGATCTATGGTTAAGAGTTGCCACTTGGACAGTTTTTAAAATGATGACGAGGACATTTTGCTGGTTCCGGAAAGGGAAGTCAGTGGACTCAATTCTGTTATTTTAGAAAGTTCAAATTATAGAAGGTTTGAGGTGGCGAGGCACTTACGCATCATCTAGTTTAACTTTCTTTCTGCATGGATGAGTAAAACTGAATGGGAGAGTTTCTAGGGGCTGGAGATAGGGCTGTGAACAAAATGAACAAGGTCTTCACGGAGCTTAAAATCTAGAGAGGGGGATGTGAATGCCTCATCCCTCATCCCATCTAGTCCAGCCACACTGCTTTCTTTCCACTGTTCCAACCTCTCTCCTGCCTCGGGGGCTTTGCACTTGCTGTAGTTCCCTTTTCCTGAAATATTCTAGATCTTCCCGGGGTCACTCCTTCTCATCATTGAGTTCTCAGCTCTAATATATATACTTTATTTTTTTTTTTTTTGAGACACAGTCTCACTCTGTTGCCCACGCTGGAGTGCAGTGGCACAATCTCGGCTCACTGCAACCTCTGCCTCCTGGGTTCAAGCGATTCTCCTGCCTCAGCCTCCCAAGTAGCTGGGATTACAGGCGCTTACGACCATGCCCAGCTAATTTTTTGCATTTTTGTAGAGATGTGGTTTCACCTTGTTGGCCAGGCTAGTCTTGAACTCCTGACCTTGTGATCTGCCCACCTCGGCTGCCCAAAGTGCTGAGATTACAGGTGTGAGCCACCACACCTGGCCTCAGCTCTAATATTAACACTTCCTTGTATACACGATCTAAAATACTCCCCACTTCTACAGTCATTTCCTAAAAGATCACTCTGTTTTATTGTCTTCATAACCTATAATGGTTAATTTTATGTGTCACCTTGACTGACCTAAGGGGTGTGCAGATAGCTGGCAAAAAATTATTACTATTAGAGTTTTTTTTTCTTAAATATAAAAGCAACCTATTAGTTTTCTGAAAGATCTTACACTTACACTCTAAACTTTGCACAAACCATGATGCATATATTTTTTGTTTGTTTTTAATTGACACATAATAATTGTACACATTTATGGGGTACAGTGTGCTGTTTCAATACCCGTATTCATTGTGCAATGAATAAATCATATTTACCATATCCATCACCTAATACATTTATCATTTCTTATATAAAATATTGTTAACCATAGTCATCCTACTGTGCAATAGCACACCAGAACTTTTTCCTCCTATCTAACTTTGTACCCACTGACCTACATCTCCCCATTTCCCTAACCTCCTACACTCCCAGTCTCTGGCAACAATTATTTTACTTTCTACTTATATGAGATCAGCATTTTAACATTCTACACATGAGAGAGATTGTGTGGTATTCGTCTTTCTGTGCCTGGCTTATTTCACTTAACATAATGATCTCCAGATTCATCCACATTGCTGCAAATAACAGGAATTTTCTCTCTTTTTTATGTGGCCAAATAGTATTTTATTGCCTAAATGTACTATATGTTCTTTATCCATTCATTCACTGTGGGATACAGGTTGATTCTATATCTTGGCTATTGTGTAAAGTGTTGCAATAAACATGAGAGTGCAGCTATATCTTTCATACCTTCATTTTATTTTCTTTGTATATATACCCAGCTGTGGGATTACTGGATCATATGGTAGTTCTACTTTTAATATTTTGAGAAACCTTAATACTGTTTTCCATAATGGCTGGCTGTACTCATTTGCATTCCCACCAAAAAGGTATGTGTTCTCCTTTCTCCACATCTCTGGCAGTGTTTGTTATTTTTTGTCTTTTTGATAATGGCTATTCTAACTGGGGTGAAGTGATACTTCACTGTGGTTCTGATTTGCATTTCCCTGATAATTAATGATGTTGAGCATCTAAAAAAGTATATTTGTAGCCACTTGTTTGTCTTGTTTTGAGAAATGTCTGTTCAGGTCTTTTGCCCCTTTTTAATTAGAATACTTACTTACTTTGCTATTGAGGTGTTTGAGTTCCTTATATGTTCTGGATATTAACCTCTTGTCAGATGCATAGTTTGCAAATATTTTCTCCCATTCTGTAGGTTGTCTCTTCACTCTGTTGTTTCCTTCATTGTACAGAAGTTGTTTCATTTAATGTAGTTTTGTTTATTCAGTTTTTGCTTCCATTGCCTATGCTTTTTAGGTCTTATCCAAAATATCCTGGCCCAGACCAACGTTGTAAAGTGTTTTCTATGTTTTCTTTTAGTAGTTTTATTGTTTTGAGTCTCACATGCAAATCTTTAATTCATTGTGAGTTGACTTTTTTATATGGTGAGAGATAAGGTCCAGTCTTATTCTCCATGTGGATATTTAGTTATTCAAGCATCATTTGTTGAAGAGACTGTCCTTTCCCATATGTGTGTTCTTGGTGCCTTGGTCAAAAATTGGCTGGCTTTAAGTGCATGGATTTATTTCTTTGTTCTCTATTCTCTTCTATTGGTCTATGTCTCTGTTTTTATACCAGTATCATGCTATTTTGCATATTATAGACTTGTAATGTATTTTGAAGTCAGGTAGTGTGATGCCACCAGCTTTGTCCTTTCAGCTCAAAATTGTTTTCTCTATTCTGGGTCTTTTGTGGTTCTATACTAATTTTATGTTTTTTTTCTATTTCTGTGAAGAATGTCTTTGATATTTTCATAAATATTCACTAAATCTGTTTATCACTTTAGGTAGTATTAACATTTTAATAATATTAATTCTTCCAATTCATGAACATGGGATATCTTTCCATTTATTTGTGTTCCCTTAAATTTTCAGTGAGAGTTTTTCCAAAAGAGATTAGAATTTGAATCAGTAGACTAAGCAAAGAATATCCCCCCTTATCAATGTGAGTTAGCATGATCCAAACCATTGAGGGCCTGAATAGAGCAAAAATGCAGAAAAATGGCAAATTCTCTCCCTCTCTCTCTCTTCTTGAGCTAGGATATACATCTTCTGCCATTGTATATCAGAGATCCTGGTTCTCAGGCCTTTGGACTTGAACTAAATTACAACACCATTTTTCCTTATTCTCCAGCTTGCAGACAGCATCTTGTGGGACTTCTTTTCCTTCCTCCATAATCTCATGAGCTAATTCCCATGATAAATCTCTTCTTACAAATCTCTATATAGTTATTGGTTCTGTTTTCTCCAGAGAACCCTAATATATAGCCTTTCTCACTAGAAAAAAACCCACTGATAATGTGCTTACATCTTTATCTTCAATCTTCCCTAAGCAGAATGGGAGCTCTAAAAAGACAAGAATCATTTTTTTTTCCATTACTGGCATTCACCAATTACTGAGCACATAGTAGATATTCAATAAATATTTGTTGGATGAATTAGTTAAGTAAAGCAATAAATGCATGATTTCCCAAAGTAATAGGCTTTATGAAGAAATTAAAACAACATAATGATATCTCCGAAGTATTCAAGGTAAGATATCAGTGGTTAAGAGTCAGCCATGTAAAGATAGAAGAGATGAATGTTGGCCCAGGGTGAGGATGAGCTTTATGGAGGGCAGTGTGGCTGTAGCACAGCAGGAAATTGGAGAGTTGCATGGATGAGCCAGACACAGGAGCCAGATGATATACCACAGGGGTCAGCAAATTCTTCCAGTAAACGGCCTGATAGCAAATATTTTAGGCTTAACAGACCGTATGGTTTCTTTTTCAACTACTCAAATCTTCTATTGACAGAGAAAGCAGCCATGAACATGTAAAAATGGGTGAATATGGTTTTGTGCCAATAAAACTGTCTTTACAAAAACAGGAATTGGGCTGGATTTGGCCCACAGGTCAGTTTGCAGACCTCTGATGTAGGGCTTCATAGGCAGTAGAAAGGACTTTTACTAATCTTCAGGGCATCAGGAAATCTTATAATCTGATTCACGTTGTTATCCATTTAGCTACTTTACGTCTTTCAATTGGAGAATTTAGTCTGTATACATTTAATGTTACTATTGATAGGTAATGACTTACTACTGATGAGAATACTGCACTCAGCAAAGCTTTTCTTCTTCAAATATGAGAGATAAATTCTTTCCCAGACAAACACAAGCTGAGGGAATTCATCACCCTTACACTTGCCTTCCAAGAAATGCTAATGGGAATTCTTCAGTATGAAATAAGATGATACTAACATGCAAAACTGATTTGCATTTTTAAAAATTGTCACTCTGTAGGCTGAGGAAAATGAAATGGAAGGGTGGGAAGAAGCAGGGAGAACAATAATCTTCTTTTCTGGGTAAGAGATGGTGGTTGCTTGGACTAAAGTTGTAGCACTGAGGAATTTTGTAGAAAGTTGGACAGGGTTGCACATTTCTAACTCCTTTTTCTGATTACTGATTTCCTTTCTTATAGGACAAAGACATCTCCAAAGACAAGTCTGGCTCTAGGCAAGAGGGCTGAATTAGTGAGCCTAGTGTTCTCTGGGCCCCCTTCCTACATTGTTAATTCAGGTGCCATCCACACGACAGGCAAGATGGTCACTGGCAGCCCCAAATTTACGTCCTACCAGTTTGGCAAGAAATCATCCCTCTCTCAAATCCAAATTAAAAGTCCCAGGAAGGAATCTAACTGGCCCAGCTTATGTCACATGTTTCTCCCTGAACCAATCATTGTGGCCCATTGAATGAGCTGCTCTGATTGGCCAGACTTTACACCGTGTGATAGTAGAAGCGGATCGGGACCGGTGTGGTGCCATCATGGAGAGTTCTGATACAAAAGAAGAGGGAGAGGATCCTGAGCAGGTCAGAACTCCAGATGTCCATGTGACAGGCCATGGCGTGAGAGAAGATTCATCTTTGCTAAGCTGCTGGCTCCTGCCAGGGGACGCAACAGGTGGAATGTTCAGGAAGAGAGAGGGAACTATTTCACAAGCAGCAAGACCTCAAGCAGAAGCAATGTTTGAAACAATGGCTGCTTCCAAGACCAGCCTTTCCCATGCTCAGGGGTGGAGGGGCTATTCAACCAATTGCCTGTGTCTGTTGCCAGGGGCAACAGCCAAATCCATAGACTCCCTTGTAGGAAGCCCCCACTTGTTTTAGCTCACTGGCTCAAAGACATATGTGTCCCTCCACTCATCTCTCCTTGATCATCCATGCAGGATTCTTATTTAATTGGATGCTGGCATTTCCGTCTGCTTTTTTTGATCTTGTTTAAAGGGAAACTTATCCTGGTTCTTAACAATCAGACCATTTGGTGAAACTGGCAGTGCTGTGGATTCAAAAAGACCTTGAATAGAATTCTAGCTGTACCACTTCACCAGTGTGCGATCTTGGACAAATTATTCGGCTTCTTTGGATCTTTCTTTTCTCAATGGTAAAAACTGGGTAGGTGTCATCTGTATTACAGCATTATTGTGAGGATGAAGTTGGAAAGTACATGCAAGGCACATGGCATAAGATTTGATATTTGCTAGGCCTTTAACAAATAGTGGTTCTGATGTTATTGTGATGATGAGGAAAATAAGGATGATGATCATGATGTCACCAGATCAATGCTAAACTGTTGACACTATCAGTCTTCTATTGTTTTTTTTTGACGGAGTCTCACTCTGTCACCCAGGCTGCAGTGCAGTGGCATGATCTCAGGACACTGCAACCTCCACCTCCTGCATTTAAGTGATTCTCCTGCCTCAGCCTCCTGAGTAGCTGGGATTACAGGCTCGCCCCACCACGCCCAGCGAATTTTTGTATTTTTAGTAAAGACAGGGTTTCACCATGTTGGCCAGGCTGGTCTCGAGCTCCTGACCTCAAGTGATCTGCCCACCTCGGCCTCCCAAAGTGCTGGGATTACAGGTGTGAGACACTGCACCTGGCCCAGTCTTCTATTCTACAAGGCTCCAAACTCACACCTAAAAAGGTGGTTGCTCCAAAATTTATGTGTTCCTTTTGCTTAGCAATTGGTGAGGGAAATCCCAGCCAGGATAGTAATTTATCAGCCAAGGTTGCTTCTGGCTTCTCAGCTGTGCAATCTCCCTGAAAACTTCAAGAGTCATGTCCGTGCAAAGTGGAAATACAACATCCAGCGGGGAAAAAAAAAAAAAAAAAACAAGAAAAAAAAAAACCCGAAAAAACAAAAAACCGAAAAACTAAGAGCAAGAGCTTTGGAGTCTGTCAGAATGGGGTTCAAATTCTGGTTGTACCATGAATTAACTGGTACTTTACCCTTCTGAGGCTAAGGTTTCCTTATCTATAAGATATATAGATAAAGATACATATATTATATATAATATATCTAGATATATAGATAAGATATATAGTATTATGTATATTTAATACTGCCTCATGCTATTGATTGAGTTAAATAAGATAATATTCTTAGTCAGGTAGTAAGTACTTAGCAGATACTCAAAGAGGTGTTAAGTGTTAAGCCAGAATTTGCAATGGAGACTGCCTCCCTCTAAATGTCATACCCTTTACACTTAACACTTTCATGTCCATGGGGTTGCTACTTCCTCCCTGTAAAATTTTAGGCACGTGACTTCCCCTTCTGGGTTTCTATTTGTTCAGCTGCACAAGGAGCCAGAACATTTTAAGCCTAGCCCTGCAATTCTCTGAGCAAGAGTTACCCAGAAAAAGAGGTAGATATTTGAATAATGTTTCATCTTTAATCTGGAGGGCTTTCTAGGTGACTGTCAGGGAGCATTTTCAGGGGTGTAGACGCCATGGATGCCTTTGGGAAGGAAGGGTCGATGCTACTCAGAGGCGAGCATTATCTGTGGGCTCTGCAGCAGCATTTGGGAGGCAAGGAGTTGTGTGCAGTAGTTTTGGTACAAGCTTTGCCTGAGGTGTTTGTCTGTACTCCTGGGCTTCTGCGGCCCTGGTGTCACGGACTCTGTGCATGAACACTTGAGCATCACTGGTGGAAACAGCACTGGGAGTGTGGGGAGTGATGGCCCTGGGAGGTAACAAAATCACAGTGCTCAAGATCAAGGACTCTGGGGTCAAATCCCAGTTTTATGCTGGCCGTCTGAGTGGTCTTGGTCAGATTGTTTAACTTCCTTGGACCTCAGTTTACTGGACCATAAAATGGATATCATAATGAACTGACATCATAGTTTTGTGCAGAGAATTGAATTAAATGCAGTCATTCAAATATTTGTTCAAGGTCTTCTATGTGTCAGTTACTCTTGAAGTGTAAATACAATGTCCCCTCTTCAAGAGCCCTACCATGACCACTGTATTGAAAATAAACACACCCCTCTGTTGTTACAGTTTATATCATGACCATCTAACATTATACCACATTGTACTGTATATAATTATCTTCTTTTCTCTGCATCCCACACCCCATCTACCTTTAGGCATAACAATGCTTTCAAGGAGGCCAGAGACCTCACCTGTCTTGTTCTCTGCTGTATCTCCAGCATCTTGCCCAGCACCTGGCAGAATGTAGGTGCTCAAAAAATATTTGTGGAATGAATAAAGGGAGAAAACGTTGGAAATCAGTATGCTGCAGTGAAAATGGCAAAGGCAAGCTCTGGGATCAGACAGACTAAGGTTAAAATCACTATTGGAGTTGCTAAGCTGGTAGTGTGTAAACCCAATACTGTTCACGGCCATTGATTCCACTGGAACCTGCCTGTCAGTAAAGCCAACCTGTGGGATGAAAGAGACAGAAACGCTCTCAGTTGATGCTGCTCGAGCCCCAAAACCTCCATCCCTGATGGTGGAATACCTCTTGAATTTTCATTTCATCAGTCAACAAATCCAGCAAATCTCCCTTTTGAGTTCAGTTGCTTATTTTGATTTAAGCGAGTTAACTTACACCACTTGTAGTCCAAAGAGGCTGGATTGAAACACATGTGCATTTTGTTGTCCCTGGGAAATAGGGGTGAGGCAACAGAGCAGAAAGGATAGCTCATTCAGCATAGAGTAGGGGGGGGCATACTTATTCTTTGTGAGTCCCACAATCACACTTCAACTCAGCGCTGATTGAAAACACAGGTGTGAGCTTGATCTATCTCTGCTCTGCCCTCTAGGGGGCTGTGTGATATTGAGTGACTCACTTACCCTCTCTGAACCTTAGCTCCCTCACCTATACAATGAACACGATGTTATCTGTCCCACAGGAGCTTCCTGATGATTCCATGTTAGGATGGTTGTGAAAGTTCAGTGCCTGGTGCATGGTGAGTCCTTATCCCCTTGCACCTAGGCAATCATCTCATGTTATAGCTTTCTGGGACTGCTGTGATAAATGACCACAAATTCAGTGGTTGAAGACAATAGATATACATTATCTCATGGTTCTGGAGGCCAGAAGTCAGAAACCAAGGCGTCAGCAGGGGCATGCTCCCTCTGAAGGCTCAAGGGCAGAATTCTTGCCTTCTCCAGCTTCTGGTGGTTCCAGGTGTCCCTTGGCTTATGGCAGCATCACTCCAACCTCTGCCCCCATCTTCACATGGCCTTCTTCATGTGTGTCTTTATCTGTCTCTTATGAGGATATTCACTGGGTTTAGGGTCCAAAATCCAATAAGATCTCACCTCACTCTTTACCTTAATCATGTTAGCAAAAACCCTATTTTCAAATAAGGACACATTCTGAGGTCTTGGCTGGACATGAATTTGAGGGGCAGCATTCGACCCAGTATACCCCATGAATGAAAAGTCCTGACCTCACGTCGAATATCCTCTTGTCCTTTATTCTGTGAGTTTATTATCCTCTTTGAGTGACTGATCTGCTCACATGGATGAGTTCCCATGAATCATACTCACTCTTTTGAGGACTCTCCCTTTTCAACAAGAGTTGAGTTCATGGGTGATTCAGCTCTCCACAACCTTGTGAAAGGGATTCTGTCCCCGAAGACCCCACCCCTGAGTGTGTTCATAGAAACAACGCAGTATTTAGAATCAGATATTTCATGAGTTTTAACTGTGTGCTCTTTTCTTAGAAGAGTCATTTAAATGTTGAGGTCTTCAATTCCTTGCACTCTAAAATGGAGATTCTGATAATAAATTCCGGCTGACCACACAAGATTGTAAAGAGGGCCAAATGCTTCGTAAATGGTTTGTAGACTGCAACAAAACTTTGTAAACTGTTAAGGCTGGGTTCAGGCAAAGGCGGGGGTGCACATTTTGTGGGGCTATATATGGATTTCTTGGCTCTCACACAGTTTTTAAATATCTTAATTTAAAATTCTTTAGGCTGGGTTCCCATTCTCCAGCTCATCATGTACTACATTACTCTGTTTTTCTCATTCACCTTTTTGCTTGGATTCTGGAGCCACTACTGTTTATGGCCCCTGGAGAGGAAACTGTCATGTCTGGGACCAATAACCTTTACTCTCTGAGCATCATCACCAGAGCCTGCACCCAACAGCACGAAGTGGCTCCTGCTTCTGCTCCAGCCAGGAGGGGGAAACACAGATGCACAGTTACAATACAGAAAAATAACACACAGCTTGTCGCCACTGAGTTCTCCATTGATTTTGCTTCCCAAAGATTCCTGAGGAATCCCGACACCCGGGTAGTAGGTCTGTTTAGAAGCCACAAGTGACTGATGCCAATGAATACCTTCAGGGCTACTGTCCTCCTTTGGTCAGCCTGCATTTTAGTGGTTGGGGATCAAAGCCACAGCTTTGGAAAGAGACAGCAAATGAGATGGCAAGAAGCTGGTAACAGCAGAAGATAGTGATGAAATATACTTTAACAAAAATGGGGGTAGCAGTAATAATAATAAATATTAATGATCATCTACTTGAACCAGGCACTGTGATTGACATTTTACATGCATTTTTCTCACTTAATGCTCACTATGGGAGCATCATTACCCTAAATTTAAGGATGAGGAATGTCTTACTTTGGGTTCCCCAAACTTGGTTTCCGAAGAAAATCCTAAGATAAGGATTCAAGTCAGGTATTTTAGAGATGATCCCAGGAAAAATCAGTAGGGGAATGGGGAATGAGACAATAAAGAGGAGGTAGAAATAAAGTATATATTTTATAACTCATTGCAATGGAGAGCACCTGAAGCTTAATTCCACTGGGAAAATTTCTGAGAAACAGTGTAGGCCCTAAACCTCGGAGCTATCCCTGTGATGGGAAAGGGAGCTGGGGTATTTATATACCAACTCCTGATAGTCCTTGGCTGAGGGCTGCACTTCTAGCCTGCCAAATCGGTGAACAAAGTGCTTTGGTGCCAAAGAAAGTCCTCAGGCATTGAATTTGGAGTTGCAAATTAGGTTGGTCTGCATTGAAGTTATAAGAGTGAGGGAACATGAGGGAGCACCAAGAATGATCTGCTATAGGAGGTTTATGTGTGTGTGTGTGTGTGTGTGTGTGTGTGGGCATGTATGCACATGCATATATCTGTGTATACATATACACTGGACACTGAGTTGAAAGGATTTAAGCACTGGACTGAAAGTAAGACTGTTGCTTTTGGAGTCTTTGTCATGAAGGCAGACATATGCAAGTGTATGTTCATCACAGTATTCTATTCACAATAGCAAAGACATGGAATCCACCTAAAATGTCCATCAACAGTGGACTGGATAAAGAAAATATGGTACTTATACACCATGGAATACTATACAGCCATAAAAAAGAGTAGGATCATGTTCTTTGCAGCAGCATGGATGAAGCTGGTGGCCATTATCTTGAGCAAATTAACACAAGAACAGAAAACCAAACATGGCGTGTTCTCATTTATAAGTGCCTAAACACTGAGTACACATGGACACAAAGAAGGGAATGATAGACATCAGGGCCATCTTGAGGGTGGAAGGTGGGAGGAGGATGAGGATTCAAAAACCATCTATTGGGTTCCATGCTTATTACCTGGGTGACAAAATAATCTGTTCATCAAACCCCTGTGATATGTGATTTACACATGTAGATTGCACATGTACCCTCTGAACCTAAAATAAAAGTTGGAAATTCAAATCAAACCAAATCATGATTTTATTCAAAATAATAGCAAAAAGTATTAGATTAAAAGCCCTTAAATTTCTGCTGAGACTTATCACATGACATGCTAATGTCAACAGAATGCATTGGTTAGGGCCAAGCATAGTGGTTGACACCTGTAATCCCAGAACTTTGGGAGGGCCAAAGCAGGAGGCTTGCTTGAGGCCAGGAGTTCAAGACCAGCTTGGACAACACAGTGAGATCCTGTCTTTATATATATATATCTTTATATATATATAAAGATCCTGTCTTTATATATATATATATGTAAAATTTAGCCAGGTGTGGTGGTACACACCTGTGGTCCCAGCTACTTGGGAGGCTGAGGTAAGAGGATCTCTTGAGCTTGGGAGGTCAAGGCTACAGTGAGCTGTGATCATGCCACTGCACTCCAGCCTGGGTGCCAGAGTGAGACTGTTATCTCAAAAAAATAGAAAAATAATGCATTTGTTGCTGGACCTTATCCTCACTAGATAATCTCTTCTGACCCTCATCATGATGCCAAAGACCCTCAGAAAACATTGGGACTCATGTTCAGAACAGGCTTCTCCAGTGATCACCTTCCAATCGTCAAAGTTCTGGCTTTGCAATTAACTCATTGAAGGCATTCTGTTTCTCAACATGAATCTACATCCTTTTCTTATCATCTCTTTACATATTTCTCATCCAATAGTGTTTTTTTAATCCAAAAAAGATTGTGTTATTAAAGTTTTGTGTGGAGCTGTGATTGCCATTCTTGGAACTGAAGATGCAATCAAGGGGAGAGAATTGATGCCTCATAATTCAATGAATGGATGTGCTTCTGTGGTAATTTCTTCAGTAATTACTTGTGTAAACTATGTGTTTCTGTAATTGAAATGCTACAGTGTGGGGCAATTTATCAAAATCCATAATTTATTATAGCTTTTTCATCTTGTTTCTTGGTTTCTCTGCTTTTCCTCATTAGAATGTTACCTCCTCACCAACACTTCAGTCCATCATAACCATTTAGACTAGGAAGCAAAAACATACATTGCCTTTGGAAAAAAGGTTCTGATGAACTTAGTTGAAAGTTTAAAATCCATTTTCCAAAGGACACAATTGTTATTTTTCTTTGCTGTATGTATTTTATGACAAGCTCTAAGATGTGATTTATGAAATGGCTTTGAAGAGATTGTCTACTTCAAGTGTTTAGATAATAATACCATTTTTCTTGTACTGTTACCAAGTATTCTGTATGTCTTGTGTTTATAAAAGCCCGAGAAAGGAGGCAGGGACTAGAAAGTGTATTTTGCCAGCAGAGGACACGCAATTACAGAGCAATTTGAGAGAAAACCTGTTTCCTGACCTGAGCTATTGCTTTGAGGCCATGGGATCATGAGAGGGGACAGCTTTTTAGTCCCATTCCAAGCCCATGCTAAAGCCACCCCAGTAAATTCAGGAGCTGTCCTTGGTTTTCACTACTCTTTCTAGTAGATCGCAGATAACAAGCAAAGTAGCTTGTGGTGTTTGAAGAACCCTAAACTCAAAAACAATTGAAAGAAAGTTTAGAGAAACTTCAACAGTCTAACATATTTTTAAAACAAAATATACTTATTTTATCATCATCAAAATTAAATACAAAAAAGATGAAAAAAGTAGAAAACACCATTTTTCTCCTCTGTCCAAAAGATAATTTACTATAGGTACAATATTTTGACATAGTTTCTTCTAGCGTTTTTCCTCTGCATAATTTTTATGTTACTTAATATTGTTTCAAGTTGCATAATTTTAAAACTTCCCCATGGCATTCAAAATAATCAGAAACATAGGTTTAAAGTTTCTTGAGGTTTCTGAGATATAATTTACATATGGTACAATGCATCCTTTTTGATGCATAGTTTTATGAATTTTGACAAACGTGTACCATAATCAAGATACAATTGTCCCACGGCCGCCAAAAATTCCTTTGTAAACCTTTGTGATTAACTCTCATCTTCATCCTCACTGCCTGGTAACCACGAATCTTTCTTCCATTCCTCTAGGAATACATCAGTTAATGACTGCATAATACAACAATAAGTAGTTACATCATAATTTTCCAAATCCTTACACCCCTATAAAATATTCCATTTATTCTAATTTTTTCTTCTTAAAATTTTTTCTTTCTTTCTTTTTTTTTTTGAGGTGAAGTTTCATTCTTGTCACCTAGGCTGGAGTGCAATGGTGTGATCTCGGCTCACTGCAACCTCCACCTCCCAAGTTTAAGTGATTCTTCTGCCTCAGCCTTCTGAGTAGCTGGGATTACAGGCAACTGCCACCATGCCCGGTAAATTTTTGTATTTTTAATAGAGATGGGGTTTCACCATGTGGGCCAGGCTGGTCTTCAACTCCTGACCTCAAGTGATTTGCCCCCGTAGGCCTCCCAAAGTGCTAGGATTACAGGCATGAGCCACCAGGCCTGGCCCTTAAATTTTTTTTTCTAGTATAAATTATACTATGTTAAACATTTTTGTGCATGTATGTTTTCCAGGATTTTAGGTCATTACCTTATTATGGGATTCCAGAAGTGGAGCTGGTATGTCAGAGTTATGAAACATGTTAAGCTTGACTCAAGAACCAGACACCAAATTAAGATCCTTGATGCTGAAAGTCCAGAGAAACTAGTAGTGGAGAAAGACTGTGGAATTTTGAGTAGTAGGACAACATTAGTGTGGGATCCCAGCATTTCTGATCATGCCACTATTCTGTTTAGCCATTAATAACTTCTCAACGACCCCAGAAAAGATGTAACTGTTTCACAGTTAAAATCTTTTATTATCTGACTATGCCTATTTCCACCCCCACACCCTGATCTATATCTGTAGCTATATCTATGGTATATTCTATGTGCCTTGTACATGCACATGGTGCAAGCTTCTCTCATGGCTACTGTCTTTGTACATTTTTGTTCTTCTTTCTGAAACACCTTCTTCCCCTTCCAGCGTCTTCTTCTTTGCTAGTCTTTTTAACCATTCCGCAATGCCGAGAAGTGCTGGGTGCCCTTGCTTTGTGTGTTCACAGTTCTTTATGCTTATCTCTATGTTAGGGCTTATTCGTTTGTTCTTATACTCCACAATTATATACTGAGAGTCTACAATGTTCTGGGTACTATAGACATGGCAGCCAATGAGAGAGACAAAATTCCTGTCAAAGGAGAAATGCCATTCTCACTGGGGAGGAGAGGATGCTGCAGCAGAGATTTAAATACTGAAAAGAAGTAGCCACAGGGATATGTAGAGGAAAAGTTATTTAGGCAGATAGAAAAACAAACGCAGGCCAGGTACGGTGGCTCATGCCTGTAATCCCAGCACTTTGGGAGTCCGACACGGACGGATCACGAGGTCAGGAATTTGAGACCAGCCTGGCCAACATAGTGAAACCCCATCTCTACTAAAAATACAAAAATTAGCTGGGGGTGGTGGCACGTGCCTGTAGTACCAGCTACTTGGGAGGCTGAGGCAGGAGAATTGCTCAAACCTGGGAAGCGGAGGTTGCGGTGAGCCGAGACCGTGCCATTGAACTCCAGCCTAGGTGACAGGGTGAGACTTCGTTTCAAAAAAAAAAAAAAAGAAAAAAATATGCAAAGTCCCTGAAGGATGGAAGTTCTTGGTCTATTGGACGAACAGTACAAAGGCTCAGTGCCTGAGTAAGAAGAAAAGTTATAGGAAGTGAAGCTGTAGTTAGCAGATCCAGATTATTCTAGGTCTTGCAGACCGTGAACCAGACTGGGCATTTTATTGCAAATATGATGGAACAATTAGAGCTATTTGATTAAGAGAGTTGTAAGATATGATTTGTGTCCTAAGAACATTATTCTGGCTTCTGGATGCAGAAGGAAAATTATGGAAGAAAGACTACCAAGAAGGAGGCCAGGAAAGCCTCATGGGCATGAAACAACAGGGGCCTAGACCAGGGGGCAGCAAACTTTTTTTGCAAGGAGCCAAACAGTAAGAATTTTAGACTTTGTGAGCCAAATGGTTTCTGTCACAACCACTCAATCCTGCCATTATAGCATAAACACAGCTGTAGAGAATAAGTAAACGAACGAGTGTGACTGTTTTCCAAGAACAGGTTGCTGGCTGGCTTGGGCTCAAGGAGCATAGTTTGTGGGTCCCTGGCTTAGGCTATAAGAGTTATAATGAAGGGAGTAATAAGTGGCCAGATTGAGCATATATTTTGCACATGGAGTGGGTTCTCTCAGAGACATCAAGATTTCTATTTTTTGACCTAAGAAATTTAAGATGCTCATTAGATGTCTACATGAAGATTTTGACTTAGGAACTGGAGAGTTGAGTTGGAAGCAGAATTTTATTTATTTATTTTTTGAGATGGAGTCTCACTCTGTTACCCAGGCTGGAGTGCAGTGGCACAATCTAAGCTCACTGCAACCTCTGCCTCCTGGGTTCAACCAATTCTCCTGCCTCATCCTCCAGAGTAGCTGGGATTACAGGCGCACAGCACCATATTGAGCTAATTTTTGTATTTTCAGTAGAGAGGGGGGTTTTACCATGTTGGTCAGGCTGATCTCAAAGTCCTGACCTCAAGTGATCCACCTGCCTCAGCCTCTGAAGGTGCTGGGATTACAAACGTGAGCCACTGTGCCCAGCCGGGAAGCAGAATATTGTGGAAAGGTTGGCGAGCAATGTTATTTCTGGGATCATCAACATATAGGTGATATTAAAAAGAATAAGAATAGATGTGGTCATCTAGGGAAAGATTTTAGAAGGCAAAGATAAGAGGAGAGGAGAAAGGAAAGGGAAAGAGAAGAGGGGAGAAGACAGATCAGGCTAACGACTACACCTTGGAACATTTCAGCACTTAGAGGTTGATATATGAGGAAGATCCAGCAAAAAAGACTGAAGGAGAGTTTCCCCTGAAGAAGAGTGTGGCATCTTTAAAGTCAGGGACACAGTGTTTTCACACAGGGAGATGTGGTCAAATGTGTCAAAGATTGCTGACAATTCTTGTAAAAAGAGGGTTGAAAATTAATAATTAATTTTGGCAACTTGGAAGTTATTAGCCATCTTGATAAGTCAATATTCTGTGGGCCTGGCATGGTGACTCACACCTGTAATCCCAGCACTTTGGGAGGCCAAGGCAGGCGGATCACCTGAGGTCAGGAGTTTGAGAGCAGCCTGGCCAACATGGTGAAACTCCATCTCTACTAAAAATACAAAAATTAGCCAGGTATGGTGGCATACACCTATAGTCCCAGCTACTTGGGAGGCTGAGACATGAGAATCACTTAAGCCCAGGAGGTAAATGTTGCAGTGAGCTGAGATCGCACCACTGCACTCCAGCTCAGGCAATAGAGCAAAACTCTGTCACAAAAAAAAAAAAAAAAAAGTGAAATGGTGTGGATAAGAGACATATGGAGATAGAATACTCTTGAATGTGGGGCATTGTGTTGTAAATGGTAAAAAGAAATGGGGTGGTGGTTGGAGGGAGATGTGGTATTAAGGGAAGTGTTCTTAAAAATGAGTTACCAGGCCAGGCGCGGTGGCTCACGCCTATAATCCCAACACTTTGGGAGGCTGAGGCGGGCGGATCACGAGGTCAGGAGATGGAGATCAGCCTGGCTAACACGGTGAAACCCTGTCTCTACTAAAAATACAAAAAATTAGCTGGGCGCAGTGGCAGGCGCCTGTAGTCCCAGCTACTCAGGAGGCTGAGGCAGGAGAATGGTGTGAACCTGGGAGGAGGAGTTTGCAGTGAGCCGAGATCGCGCCACTGCACTCCAGCCTAGGCGATACAGCGAGACTCTGTCTCAAAAAAAAAAAAAAAAAAAATTGAGAGTTATGGTAGCATGCATATAGACTTATAGAAATAATCCACAAAGAGGGGGAAATTGATGCAGAAGAGATGGGGGACAATTGAAGCAGTGATATCCTTGAAGAAGAAGGGGCTTTGCATAAGTGGAGGGGTTGGCTTTAGATAGACAGTCCAGCCAATGCAACAGGGAAGGTCAGAATTAGTCCCCACAGAGGCTTGTGTATTTGGTGGTGGGGGTGGGGTGATGAAGAGGTCCTTATACGAGAGGATGGTCATCAATTTTCTAAGATTGGAGAAGCATTGGAGGTTGGGAGAGAAGACACCAAGTAGTCATCTTGGAAAAATAGAAAGGCAAACTTTCTAGGGAAAACAGCAGAACTTTTCAGCAGGACTGTGGTCATAAGGGTAAGGAGAGGCCAGTAAGCTTGGTGTAAGTTTTCTCCAATCATTCTGAGCTGCCTAGGCTTCAGGCACAGAATAGGTGAAGTACTGGGTTTAATCTAGACGTGGCTTGCCTGGGGAACCAAAACGAGAGGAGATAAGAGCGTTAAAGGTGTCCCCAAGTAAGATACAGTGCTTGACTCTGAATCTAAACTGTGTGGGGAAGAAAGTAAGAGCAGACAAGGGATGATGAGTAAAGAGGTAGTCATGGGGGACCATGGATTAGATGTCTCACTGGTGGAGAAGAATGATCAGATGAAGGGGCCTCACAAGGGTGAGCTGGAAAAATAAGAGGATGTAATTGGAGAATGAAATGTTTAGGTTTGAGATCTTGGATCTGATGCACTCAAAGTCCTACAGAGTAATGAGGTAAGTAAGGGGCTGAGGTGGGGCAGAAAACCAGACTTTTGGAGGTAGGGGGCAAAAGACCTGAGAAGCGAGGGGATTGGATGGATAATTTATGTGGATATTAGACTCACGAGGATGGAAGACAGGAATAGCAGGGGACAGGAAGACAGTGATCCAGGTGCTGGAATCTTCAGGGAATGAAAGAGTGAGTGTCTGGGAAATCAGCAGAAGACTTTGAAAGCAGGATCTGTGGATGGTGAAGGTTTGGCATGGCCTTGAAAGAAACTGAAATGTTGGAAGCAGGAAGGAAAAGAAATTGTCAGAAGGCAGCCATGTGAAGCAAGGGGGACACTTTCCCAACTTTTGGCACATGAGGTAAAAACAATAACTGCTCTCAGAGGATAGTCATATTTTAGTTAGCGTTCACACACACACACACACACACACACACATACACACACGCACATAGTATTATTCCATCATACTGGCAAGAAAACTTAGGCTTAGTGAGATCAACCTGCCCACGGCCACAGGGCAGCAGCTTGGATTCAAGCCCAGGTCAGTCTGAGTCTGGAACCTCTGCTCTGGTTTGATGTGATTTGTGGCTCTCAACACCATGCTCCATTCATTTTTGCCAAAGTTTACTTCCTCCAGCTGTGTTTCCTCTGCTCTTATCCCTGTATCCCCCTCCTTCCAAGGTTATCACCTGAGGTTACCCAGAAGCCTCTGGACATTTGCAGCCTGATCTAGGGCTGGGCTTGTCCCAGAATCCTTGAATTTGTTCTTGGGGGTTAACAACCTATACAGGGCATTCACTTCTCCTCCATCCCATATTCTATTCAGAGCAGGGATAAGTTGGTAATGACAACTGGTTTTCATTCTCTTCGTGCTGACAGGGAGATAATGAGTCAAATTGGCCCAGGTTATGAAATGAAACCCTGGAAGGGAGTTATCATCAGACTCCTTAGAGGGGAGGCAGAAAAGGGGATTTAAATTCAAGTGTTAACTGCCGATTTGGTTGGCATTCAATCTCCTTAAGTATTTCTTCTTCTTCGTGTCATCACTAAATGAGACAAAGAAGGCAGCTGGTAAATGGGAGAAAGGTATGAAAGTGCTCGAGTACTGTGATAATTCATCTTTAATAGCTTTCATTTAGGCCCTGTGCCACACACTGAACATGAATTGTTCTAAATCCTTATAATAATTTTAAGAGGTGAGTATTCCCTGCCCCCCACACCGCCCCACCATTTCACAGGTAAGCAATTCAGTCCCGGTGGGATTACGCATCTTACTTGAGATTGCTCATACATCTCTGACTTCAAAATCAGTCCCCTCTCCACCTCATGGTGATCGCTCCTCAGGGACCCTGCTAATTTGCCTTGACTTTGTTTAGCAGCTAGAGGGAGAAAGGGAGGCCAAACCAGAAGGTCAAATCAAATTTCTTTGTGATCTTCTTCTTTTTCGTATCATGGACTCTAGTACTTGGCTGCCTGGGTTTAAACATCACCTACCAGCTGTGTGACCTCAGAAAGATTACTCGACCTCTCTGAACTGAGTTTTCCCCATCTGTAAGATTGGGGGAGTTATTGTGAAAATTAAATAATTTAAATATGGTAAGCACTTAAGATATGTGTCTGGCACATAGGAAGTGTTAGCTGTTACTTTTATTGTGGCTGCTGTTGTTTTTATTATTGCTGGTGTGATGGCATTTGTGTTAAGAGCTAATCATTTTCGGTGCCCTTACTGGGGTCCCAGGTTTGACTGGGACAAGCAATTTACATGTGGTAACTTAATTAACTCTCATTAGTTAGGATACTTTTGGGTACAATAATTGAAATTGCAACCCCAGCTGACTAAATGAGAGGTTATTCATTACTGCCTTCAACAGGAAACTCACAGGTAAGGCAAGTTTCAATGGAGGTTGATTCAGGGCATCAATGATAATACAAGACTCCAGGAAGCTCCTTTTTATCTTTCTTCTCTGCTTTACTCACTGTTGGCTTTACCCCTAGGCTGGTCATGAAGTGGGTGAAATAGTCCCAGGCATCATGTGGAGATCAGACAACATTCAGAAATGGAAGAGATTCCTTGAGAAAACTTTTCCCAGAAGTCTCTAGCAAGCGCCTGTTCTTGTCTCATTGGCTAAAGTTGTGTCACATGACCATTCCTGAACCAATGGAGGGAATGGGATTTTCTCCAGACCAATCAGGTCACCCTTGGAGCTACAGGTCAGGTTGGCCTCCCGCAAGCATCTGCCGACCTGGGAATGGTGCTGCCTGAAGGAAATCATGCTTCTTCTGTAAGGAAGGAAGAAAAAGGGAAGTGGTTCTGGGGGGGCAAAAACAAGGTGCCTAGGGTACACTATAGGTAGGTGGTGTTGTCACAGTCAACCCAAGTATCCCAGTAACGGCACAAAAAAATGATTAGCTCTTATCACGGATGCCATCATACTTATTGTCATTGCTACCAACAAGGATAGAAACAACAGCAGCCACTATAAAAGCAACAGCTAACACTTCCTATGTGTCAGACACAGTCTTAAGTGCTTACCATATTTAAATTTAATCCACACAATAACCCCATAAAACAGAAGTTATAATCATCTCAATCTTACATATGGGGAAAATGAAGTTCAGGGAGATCAAGTAATCTCCCTAAGGACACAGAGCTGGTAGGTGATATTTATTTATTTATTTTTATTTATTTTTTGAGACGGAGTCTCACTCTGTCACCCAGGCGGGAGTGCAGTGCCACG
Source organism: Homo sapiens (assembly GCF_000001405.40). NCBI lineage: Eukaryota > Metazoa > Chordata > Mammalia > Primates > Hominidae > Homo > Homo sapiens. The sequence goes on along the minus strand of NC_000016.10, from coordinate 13,530,254 downwards.
ATCTCAGCTCACTGCAACCTCTGCCTCCCGGGTTCAGGTGATTCTCCTGCTTCAGCCTCCTGAGTAGCTGGGACTACATGTGTTCACCACCAGGCCTGGCTAATTTTTTTGTATTTTTAGTACAGACGAGATTTCACCATGTTGGCCAGGCTGGCCTCGAACTCCTGACCTCAAGTGGTCCACCCACCTTGGCCTCCCAAAGTGTGGGGATTACAGGTGTGAGCCACTGCACCCAGTTAGAAGGTGATATTTAAACCCAGGCGGCCAAGCACTAGACTCCCAAAAGTCTGTAGTAAGCTTCTGCTCTTGTCTCATTGGCTGCAGTTATGTCACATGCCCATTCCTGAACCAATCAAGAGAATAGGATTTCCTCCAGATCAATCAGGTTACCTGGAGCTGTGGGTGGGATTGGCCTCTCACAAGCATCTGCCTACCAGGGAACGGCACTGCCTGAAGAACATCATACTTCTATGAGGAAGAAAGAAAGGGAAGTGGATATGGGTGGGCAAACACAGGATGCCCTATAGGTTGGTGTTGTTTTTTCTGTTTAACAAAGAAGGAAACTGTTGGTGGAAAAAAACAAACTCTGTCACATATTGCAAGGAGGTTTATTCTGAGCCAATATGCGTGACTGCAGCCCAGGGAAAACACAAACCAAAGTAGCCTTGAGTAAGTGGTCCCAAGGCAGTTGGACTGTAACTTTGTGTTATACATTTGAGGGAAGCAGAAGTTACAAGCAAAGTCATAAATCAAGGCATGGAGATTATGCATTGGCCCCAGAATGGTGAGATATCTTGAAGTGGAGATTTACAGGTCATAGGTGGGTTTAGAGGTCCTTTAATTTGCAAATGATTAAAGGAACAAAGCTTTGTCTAAAAACTTGGAGTCAGCAGAAAGGAATGTTTAAGTTGAGATAAAGTCAGCTAATCATCGTGGCATGCTATGCCAGGGTTGAGTTGCAAGATCAAGACACAGTACAATCCAGATTGACCTTTTGGGGTGTGTGAGTTAACTTTTGCCTGGCATGGATTTAGGTCCTGTTTATAATTTGATATCCATTGCCACAAATAATCCATTCTATCAGTCTTACGATTGCTATTTGAACATTCACTCTGGTTAATTGTGTCCAAACTGCAAAACAGAGGGGCTGTCATGAGGCATGTTTGACCTCCTATTCTGTCATGGTGGGAACTCAGTTTTTCAGGTTTTCTCTGGGGTCCCCTTGGCCAAGAGGGAGTCTGTTCAGTCAGCTGGGAAGCTTAGGATTTTATATTTTATTTACAAAACTGGAGGTCTAAAAAGTTAAGTAAGTTTCACAGGGTCATCAAATCAGAAGTGGAACTTGCCCCTGACTGTGTCTGATCATCACGTACATGTTCTTTAGGGCCATACTAAAACTTTATGGGGTATGGAAAGGAGCTGTGACCACTTTTATTGAGCATATGCTAAGTGCTAGACACTACGTAGGCACATTACAAGAATCTTATGTAATTCCTTTATCAACTCAATTAATTAGGGATTTTAGGTCTATGTTACCGTGGGGAGATTAACTGGTGCTGGAACAGGGGACATGGCTTGCTGCAGGTCATTTATGTACGAAGAGGCAAAGCCAAAATTTAAACCCAGAATCTGCCTGGCTCCAAAGCCCCAGTTTTTTTTCTATGACCTCCAAAAAAATGCCTTTCTTTCTTTTTGGGATTCATATGAGGAAAGGTCATACTTTTAATGAGGATCTTGATGAATTTCAATTCAGTAACCCAGTTTTTAAAACAATTTTTGTTTTAGAATAAGACACGTTCAGAGTACATGCTCCAGTGGACTTTTTTTCTTATTTTTTTTTTTGAACTCCAAGTTCTGTGACCTCTTCTTTGCACTTTCCTTCACTGAGAACTTTTAAAATAAAACATCTTAATTGGCTGCTCTGATGCTCTTTGGGTTGCAGGGAGTCAGAAGTGTGGAAATGGACTCTTTAGGTTATATGATGTTATGTCTCCTCTTCTCCTGAGCAAGGGGAAAGGTGAGGGGATTATGATCACATAAAACCCATTCATGCTCGGGTCTATGATCTTGCTGGGCAAGCTTTCAGAAGCCTCTTCTCTTTGTTCCCGGGGATCTAGTTTTAAGACAGGGAAAGGAATTCTGATTAATTGAGGCCCCCCGAAGTGCCAGGCAGTATACTAGTGTTTAATTTTCCCAACAGCCACATGAAATATTGGTATCCTTTATGCAAATGAAAAGCCTGTGGTTCGCAGAGGTAAAATAACTATCCAAGATGACACAGTCTATTGAGTGAGAGTTTGGAGCTGCCCTGTGTCTGACTCCAAATCTTAGATTTTTCTATCACGTTTCCTGAATTGTAAATTCCATTCCTATAGAGCATCTGCCAAAGTCTTATACTTTTTTGAACTCCTTCCCCATATCCTACATATGGTCATATTAATGTAAGTTCCTTTGGTTGCCAGTAACAGAAACCCGCTCAGGCTTGTTTAAGCAAAAAGGGGGAATTTATTATAAGATACTGAGGTTTCTCACCGAGCCCAAGAGCAGATCTGAGTGTCGGGGCAAACAGGGATAACTAGGAACTTGAATTCCGTGTGGGCTTTATCTGTTATATGAACTTCTCTGAGTGTGTTTGCTTCATTCTTCTTACTCACTGCAGACTAGCTTCCTTTACTACCTACACATACAAGAAAAATACTGACTGCTGACGCCACTACCTTATATTTAACTAGACTAGTCACATGACTCTGCAGATCTTTTCTCTCTCACTTTCTCCTATCTCTTTCTCGTTTTCTCTCTCTGCCCCTCTCAACTCTGGGCTCTCAGTGAAGAAGTTAATTAGCCTGACTAAATCTTGTGCATTTTATTTCTAGCCCAATTATCTGCGTCTAAAGACTGGGAGTGGTGTTGTACTAAAATGGCGGCTCCCACTAGAACCTTGTAGATGGAGGGAGGGAGGCGTTCTCCAAAAACGCTGAGGGAGATTCCAGAAGTTGTGGTTGTGCTGGATGGACAACCTAATAGCTCTCCTTTATAAGAAAACTTATAATAATATTTACTCATGATGAGGATCCAGTGAATTTCATGTAAAACCCTTAGAACAGTGTTTGTTGAAGTAAACACTTTATAACCTGGGGCAGGTTATAGTATTAGGTACTCAACAAGCTTCGTTTGTTCCTTTCTTTGAGCCTAGATGTGGAAAAGAATGGGTTGCCATTTGGGGTGGAGAAAAAGTCAGTGTATGAGGTCAAAGGGGAAAGGGCATTTCCTTCTTCTTAGAACTAAAATTGGTGCTTGTTTGTCTCTAAAAAAAGAAGTCATTCGGTTACAGGAAGCTCAAGTATCTGGGGACTTTTTCTCCTTCCTTTAAAGCAGGGTTCTTCACCATGGATGTACGTTTGGGTCACCTGAGGTGCTCTAAAAATACTTACGTTTAGGTTCCATCTTCAGGGGTGGAGTCCATGCATTAATCGGTCTGGGGTAGGGCCCATGCATTAATTTTTCAAAAATATTCTAAGGTGAGGCTAATATGTGTAGAGGGGAGAACCATAGATTTAAAATGAAAAGCAGCCTGGGCCTGGTAGTTCATGCCTGTAATCCCAGCACTTTGGGAGGCCGAGGCAGGCAGATCACTTGAGATCAGGGGTTCGAGACCAGCCTGGCCAACATGGTGAAGCCCCGTCTCTACTAAAAAAATACAAAAATTAGCCAGGTGTGGTGGTGCACACCTGTAATCCCAGCCACTCAGGAGGCTGAAGCAGGAGAATCGCTTGAACCCAGGAGGCAGAGGTGGCAGTGAGCTGAGATCACGCCACTGCACTCTAGCCTGGGCAACAGAGCAAGACTCTGTCCCAAAAAGTAGAAAATAAAATGAGAAGCAGTTGGCTGAGGACCTGAGCCAATTCCAAGAAGACATGAGGCTAAAAAGCTGCATGACCACAGGCAGACAGAGAAGGCTTAATTTGCCAACATTGACAAAGCTCTGGGGTGAAGTCCTCAGGAAGTATTGTGCTAAAGTCATTGATGGTTCTCTTCTGAATGAAGACCCGTTTTGATAACAAGAGAAATAACTGAAACTCAGGTGGATCTTGTTAGTGTTAAGTACACTCCTACTGGCTCCAGTTTGCTCTCCCCTTTTAATTCACTGTCTCCCATTTGAAATGGTATCAAAGTGTATTAGGAAGAGCTCTCAAAGACCAAAAGTGATAGGATAACAGGTTCAGTGGCTAATTCTGATATACAGCCAAGCTTCAAGAGCAGAAGGAAAACATATGCTTGCTGCACTGGTTTACACCATGGAGGGCCACCTTGATGTCACCATTTGCTCACTTTCTAGACAATTACAACATCTGCCCTGCCCAGGCAAGGTTGATGACCACACCTTGAATTTGTACAACACTTTGCAATATCTAAATCTCCCTCATAAATATCTCAGTGTCCTCCAAAGTGTGGAACGTGAACCACAGGAGATATAGATAATTGTAGCTGATACATGGAAATTTTTAATAGTTATTTTAATGCATATTAGGGAAAACATAATTAGCAAGTGAAAATGATGATTTTTACAGATATTTCTTATAATAAAGTAGATAATTAAGATTTTTTTCCCACTTATTTTAGTGAATTAGTTTAAAGAAGTATTAATTTCAAGTGGTGGGTGGATGTGGTAAGAAATTGTAATGTGTTTTGAGGGTGATCAAAGTTTGGGATTGTTATTTCATTATTTCTTTGAGCCACCAACAATCCAGTGTAAATAAAATGTCACTTGTTCTTAGCTCTATTTCATAGATTAGGAAATTGAGGGTTTGAGATTTTAAATAACTCATCCAGTTTTTTGTTATGGGCTTAAATTCATGTCTTTTTAATGTAACTGCAGCTTTTTTCCACTCCCGGACTCTTCGACAGAAAGTCTAAGACAGAGCCTTTCTTTTCCTAGCAAGTGAAAGATGGCATCCGATTCATTCACACTATCTCTACTGTCCCTTTCCAGGATTAATAATATGTGTAGCTCTGACGACATAACAAAATGGATTAGCTCAGTGGTTCTCAAAGGGTGGTTCCCAGGCTAGCATCATCAGCACCACATGAAACTTACTAGAAATGCAAATTCTTAGAACTGACCTAAAATCAACGTCTTGGAAACTACGGTGATAGGGCCAGAAACCTCTGTTTTATCAACCCCTGGTATAATTTTGATGCCCACTAAAGTTTGAGATAGTTTGAGAACTATATTGTGGTTCTCACTGGTGTGTTGATACCCTACCACCCCACCCAGGAGACATTTAGCAACGTCTGGAAACATTTTGGGTTGTCCCAACTGGGGCAGAGGGTGCTATGGGCATTTAGTGATTGGAGGCCAGGGATGCTGCTGAGCATATGGAAAGGCACAGGACAACTCTGCGTAATAAAGAATTATCCTGCCCACTTTGGGAGGCCAAGGTAGGAGAATTGCTTGAGGCTAGGAGTTCGAAACCAGCCTTGGCAACATAGCAAGACCCTATCTCTTAAAAAAAAAAAAAAATTAAAAAATTAGCTGGGCATGGTAGTACTCACCTGTAGTCCCCGCTACTCAGGAGGCTGAGGTAGGAGGATTGCTTGAGCCCAGGAGTTTGAGGCCGTAGTGAGCTATGCTCACACCACTACACTCCAGTCTGGGTGACAAAGCAAGACTGTTTCGAAAAAATTTTTTGACCCAGCCCAAAATGTCAATTGTCCTGAGGTTGAGAAACACTACACTGAACTAATTAATCTTGTCTTGATTAGCACTGTGGTTCAGCCAGTGGAGCTATCTTCAAGAGGCTGAAAGCAGTCTTGAAATCGCTGCTTACTTTTGCCTCTGATTGACTGGGTTGCATACTTTTTATTTGTCAGTGCTCAGACATATATGGCCAGTGGGCAAACATCTTCTGCAGTCTACTCTTGGCCATATTTATGATTCCTAAAATGAATATCAAATTATTGTCAGATGATGGTGGTGGAGTCCAGCCCAAGAAACCAGGACAGCCGGGGGCAATGTGTGAGGCTTGTGTTTTTTGCAAGCTACCTTACCTCTCTTGGCACTCAGGACTTCAAACTATGTCCTGGATGCTAAGATTCCACCTTTCAAGAAAAGAATGCATAACCAGGTCCCTGTTAATAAGGCAGTATAGCATAATGGTCAAGAACATCATTTGGGGTGGGAGGGGGTCAAATTCCTTGGCATCAAATCCCAGCTTCACCATTTCTCGACTGTGTGACTCTAGGTAAATTCTGCATTTTCCTGAGCCTCAGTTTCCCCATTTATAAATCAGGGTGATAATAATAGTAGTACTTTCCTCTTAATATTGTTATGAGGATCAAAGAGGACAATGCATATACAGCTCCTAAAACAGTCCAAGAGCCATGGAAATCGTTCGCCATCTGCTACTTTTAATTACTATTTGATATGGTTTGGATGTGCATCCGCACCTAGATCTCATATTGAATTGTAATCCCCAGTGTTGGAGGTGGGTCCTGGTGGGAGGTGACTGGATCATGGATCATGGGGGTGGTTTCTCATAAATGGCTTAGCACTATCCCCCTTGGTGTGGTCCTCACAATAGTGAGTGAATTCTTGTGAGATCTGATCGTTCAAAAGTGTGTAGCACCTCCCCCATCGCTCTTGTTTGCTCCTGCTTTTCCATGTGACATGCCTGCTCCTCCATCACTTTCCATAACGTTTGTAAGTTTCCTGAGGCCTCCCCAGAAGCAGATGCTGCTATGCTTCCTGTACACTCTGCAGAACTATGAATGAATTAAGTCTCTCTTCTTATAAATTACCCAGTCTCAGGTATTTCTTTGTAGCAATGCAAAAATGGCCAAAGACACTATTAATACTGTGTATTGTCTCTTTGGGTCTTCCATCATTTATTTTATTTTATTTATTTGAGATGGAGTCTTGCTGTGTTGCCCAGGCTGCAGTGCAGTGGCAGGATCTCGGCTCACTGCAACGTCCACCTCCCTGGTTCAAGTGATTCTCATGCCTCAGCCTCCTGAATAGCTGGGACTACACATGCCTGCCACCATGCCTGGCTAATTTTTGTATTTTTTTAGTAGAGATCGGGTTTCACCATGTTGGCCAGTCTGGTCTCAAACTCCTGATGTCAGGTGATCTGCCCGCCTTGGCCTCCCACAGTGCCAGGATTACAGGCGTGAGCTACCGAGCCTGGCCTGGGTCTTCCATTTTTTTAAATGACAAGTCTATCCCCTTAATGCTCAACAAGAACCCTTGATACCCAGTTCTTTGGGGAGCACTGGTCTCCACATTCCTCCCCAAAGCTGATACTCCATGTTGCTTAACCATAATTAGCCCTTTCTCTGTCCATACCTGTAATATAACAGGGGCTGAATTGCATCATATTCCCCCTGTTTCTAGGACTTCATTCTGACCCTGGAAGGTGGATGCTATTACCAATGGGGATGAGGCAGGTGTCTGGCTGTAAACTAGCTGCCCTAAATCCTAAAGAACTAATTTAAAGTGATGGGTTATTAGCATCAGGGAAGACATTTTCAAGGAAGGGATGGCTGTGGCCTACATTATAAGGCTCTCACTGCAGCTTTTATAAGGTCAGCCTAGACCAGGTTAATATGGCTTTCAAAATAATAAAGACGGAGAATCAGAATCTGTCTGCTCTTATTAAGTCTAACCCTTGCCTGAATATTAAAATATGTAGAAATAGGCACAGGTGGAATGACAGCTGGCCTCCAGGTCAAACTAGGGAAAAGGAAATCGGGGGGGGACTCCTCACTGATGGTCGAGGAAGCAAATGAGGTCAACATCATTAATAGCAAAGCATCCCCAATTTGTTTCTAGATGATCAAACCACTGAGGGGGAGGGGCCGATGGGGGAAACTCTGAACATGTCATTAGGATGAAAACTGTTCAAAGTTCTTCTTCTTCCATGTTAACTCAGAAATATGCCAAAGGTCTCCCAACAGGCTTCCAGCTTATACCATCCTCTACCTGATGTAAAACCTTCTTTCTGCCTTTGCATCTGAGCATCACAATGGAAAATCTTCTCCAAGTCAAAACCAAACAAAAGGGGAAATCTCACACAGATACCAATGCAGCCCTCTTGCTAACAATGATCTCCTCTTATGTGGGATTACAGGAAAGCAGTTTGAACAGTCTTAGGATTCCATGGCTGGTGGGGACAGAGTGTGGGGAATTCGAACTTCCCGGGAAGCGCCTGTCAAGTTCGTTGCTGTTGTTTTAGAGTTCCGTTTCTGGACCACAGAGTATATTTCAGGGTATATGTGGGCTTCATGCAAAAATAATAAATTTAACAGTTAAATAATGAAGTTAACTTCAGGAGGAGCTATTTCTTAAGTGTTGTTATGACCCTACAGCACTGATGGATGGTGACTTCCATTTCAAAGGTTTGTTAAATTTTTCAGGGACAAGTGATATTTTGGTGACTTATCCTAATAACAGTTGTAGGGGAAAATTTGCCAAAGGTTAAGAGCATTGAACGTAACACACGTGAAACAGTTACATGGCAAAGAATCTAATACATCAAGTCCTATGCTAGGAAAAAGGGAAGTGACTCTCAACCTTGGTTATGTATTAGGATTATCTGTCACATTCAAAAGCTATCTACTTTTAAAAACCCACTCTAATGCCAAACCCTTGACTAATGAAGCCAGAACCCCTGGGGTTTCTTCAAGGCATCTGCATTTCTTAAGCCTCCCCAGGTGATTTCATTGTGAATTCAGGGTGGAGAACCACTGACCTAAAGTGACAGAGTTGAACAGGATAAAATTGGCTCCCTCAAGAAAACAAGCAGAGTCAATTGTGTAAATAAATATGTGTGATACAGGGCATTAGACGCAAATTGTAATGTGTACTGTATAAAGTATAGGGGTTTTGGAAAAAATAGAATGACTAATTTTCCTTGGGAGGATGAGAGAATGTTTCAGGGAAGAGATGATGTCAGAATAATTTTGAAGAAGATACAGGATTTTACCAACATGGTGAGCAGGGAAGAAGATTCAAGGGAGAAGAAAGCTCACATGCTCTGCACCTAATTAGAGAAAGATCAGGAAGATGCTGGAAATTTTCCACCCAGTAATGATCAGGTGTGGAACAGTTTGTACAGAATGATCACACCTAACCTGGAAGCTGCTCTTCACTGATGAGACATCAGTGGCTAACCAGTGGAGCTCAGAGAATTGAAAATGAGAGGTGGAGGGCAGAACATGCACAGAGATGACCTTCCTAGGTTAACAGGAGTGTATTCTGAGTGTTCTCACGACAATGAAATGATAAATGTTTAAGGTAATGAATGTGCTAATTACAATGATTTGATCATTGCACAATGTGTGCATGTGTCAGAACATCACACTGTACCCCATAAAAATGTGCAATTATTATATGTCAGTAAAAAACAAGATGTGACAGGGCATTGGAAAACAGCTAATCTCTTGCGCTGGTAATATCTTTCAAAGCATTTATTATCACTTAGTCGACTTCTTGTGACTTCAGTCCAGCAGGACGCAGACCCCTTCCCCTCCACATACATATGCCTTTACTCTTCTCCTTGGCTTTTCTGCTGAAGAATTTTGTCTTTGTGATGATGGACTGCTTTAGGGGCTTTCCCTCCCCTATAACTTTTTTTTTTTTTTTTTTTTTTTGAGACAGAGTTTCACTCTTTTTGCCCAGGCTGGAGTGCAATGGCGCCATCTCAGCTCACTGCAACCCCCACCTCCCGGGTTCAAGTGATTCTCCCACCTCAGCCTCCCAAGTAGCTGGGATTACAGGTGCCTGCCACCATGACCGGCTAATTTTTTTTTTGTATTTTTAGTAGAGATGGGGTTTCACCATGTTGGCAAGGGTGGTCTCGATCTCTCAACCTCGTGATCTGCCCGCCTTGGCCTCCCAAAGTGCTGGGATTACAGGCGTGAGCCACCACGCCTGGCCCCCTAGAACTTTTTACGTGCCCAATCACCATCAATGATGGCAGCTCTAGCTTTGTTTTGGTACTATTGATCTGTGCGCTCACTGACCAAGGTTTGTAAAATTAGCAGTGGGGCAGAAGCTGCTGTTTCCTCTTGATGTGGGTTGCCTCATACCAACCTTCCCACATCACGTGGGTGACATTTGTTTTCATGCCTGTCACCAGCATTATCCCAGCATCCAGTTACTCCTGGTTCTTGCAGATATGGCTCTTGCTGTGGTTCTCATGGCCCTGGAGTTTCTGGGCCTTCTTCCATCTGGATAGGTGCCATGGACTGAGACAAGAGAGCTTACTGTTTTTAGGTTGCAGTACATTTTCATGAAGGGGTGTTGATATGATTTGAGTGTCCCCACCCAAATCTCATCTGGAATTGTAGTTCACATAATCCCCAAGTGTCATGGGGGATGGGGACCCGGTAGGAGGTAATTGAATCATGGGGGTAGTTACCTTCATACTGTTCTCATGATAATGAGTGAGTTCTCACAAAATCTGATGGTTTCATAAGGGCTCTTCCCCCTTTTGCATGTCACTTTTCTCTCCTGCCACCATGTGAAGAAGGACGTGTATTCTTTCTCTTCTGTCATGATTGTAAGTTTTCTGAGGCCTCCCCAGCCCTGTGGAACTGTGAGTCAATTAAATCTCTTTCCTTTATAAATTACCCAGTCTCGGGTATTTCTTCATAGCAGTGTGAGAACAGACTCATACCTATGTTATAACTGATAAAAACAAAGATAGCTATAGCTGTAGCTACTGAAATACAATTTATAAAGACATGGTGCTTGGTGCAGATTTTGAAGATGTGGTGGGCATTTTGGCAATGGCATTTATGTTTGGAAATACTTCTTGAAGCACCAGTGAAGCCATCTACCCATCACCCGTTGAGCTGTGAACAGGCTCATTCATCAATTCACATCTCATCAATTGCTACGGTTCATGGTGGAATTACCCATAACAATGCTACAACGAATGCTTCAACTACAATAATTAAAAGAAATTATTGAGGCTTACTATGCCTTCAATATGTTAACTATTTTAAGAAATCTTTGATTATTTTCTGCCATTTACACTGTTTTATTTGATGAGCATTATTCTTAATACTCATCAAATGTTTTACTTGCATCTTTGCTTACTCAAGTAATTAGGGTATTTTGAAAAATTTAGAGGTTTTTTTCTTTCTCTTTTTTGTGATAAATAATAATTGCTATAATGTGAATTTGTCTCCACAAAAGCATATATTGGAAACTTAATCCCTAGTGCAACAGTTCTGGGAGGTGGGGCCTAATGAGAGGCGATCAGCCCATGAGTGCTCTGCTCTCATGAAGGGATTATTGTGGAAGTGGGTTTCCTAGGAAAGTTCACCCCCTTTTTTCCTCTCTCTTATCCTCTCTTACCCTTCCACCTCCCACCATGGAATGATGCAGCAAGAAGGCCCTCGCCACAGGCTGGCCCTTTGATCTTGGACTTCCTAACCTCGAACTGTGAGAAATAAATTTCTGTTCATTATAAATTGCGCAGTCTGTTGTCTTCTGCTATAGCAACATAAACTGGACTAAGAGTATTATTTCAATACATCTTTAGAGGAAGAGGAAATAAAGATGCTACTTTTGGAAACAGAAGGGTGTAGAATGGGGAACATCCTGGGGAGAGAGAGGAAGAAGCAGCTGAAGTCCCATTTCTGTCATTTCAGGTGGGTTGGGAAGGAACAAGTTAGCAGCTCGATGGAGCAGGTAATAAAACACATGCATCTTAATCAAACTCTCTGGGATGAAGTGCAGGGAGGGGAAATCAGCAAGATAGATTGAGGAAAAAGATGATAGCAAAAAAAGAGGTTTTTCTGGTCCTGTTTCCTATTTGGCATCTGAGAGGAGAGGGATTTGTAAGATGTCTCCCATGTGTCAACATGGGGTGACTGCCTCAGGTCGGCGGCACACTGTTGTAAAGTCTGGCTAGTCTGAGATAGCATCTTGAGCCTCCTTTGGCTCTTGTGGGGAATGGAAGGAGCCAGAATTTTTCTGAACCACCGAGAGCATTTGGAGGTTAGCTGAGAATGGCTAGGAAGTTTGCCTTAGGTGTTGCTGCACCAGAGGCAAAGTGATCTATGGTAGTGTGTTGCAGGGCAGCTCCCCTGGCCTAGGAGCTAAGTGGGAGTGGTCAGCGTCAGAGGGATATACAGCTTGGGGAGAAGCAGGGAGAGACATATCACAGGTCCTGACTGGGCTGGGAGAGCACAGAGCGCAATTCACCAGACTGGCTTCCTCCTTGACTGCCAGCAGCTGCTCAGCAACCCGGCAATAAGGGGCATTGCCATGGAGACCAGAAGAGCAGGGATTCTGTAAATGGTGCCTGCCTGGGTGGAAACATGGAGGACATTTATTCTCCACCTTGCATGGTGGGAAGAGGCCAAAGCCCTGTTCACACTCACTAACCTTCCATTAGCTCTCTCGTTTATCTGAGTTGAGGATTAGCTTAGACAAGACACCTCCTCTGCAGAAGGGGATGTCTCCATGAAGAACTTTGAGAGGTTTTTGAGCAGCCTGCCATGTAACTGGGAGGTAATATAGAATCTGAGGTCCTTCTCTTTTCTGCCACCATAATGCCATGTACTTCCACCTCCAGATCCCCATCCAGATACTCAATGAACGGGACATATAAGGAGAAGGGGAGAAAACTGGGAAAGCTTGAAAGAAATTGAGTTGCCTTCAGGGATGGTTTAAAGTATTGGATCATACTGAATTAACTTGATTAAACTAAATTTGAATTTTCACCACTACCCCTCAGGACAAGGATTTGTGAGGATTTTCAGGCTAATTCAGGAGATACAAGTGGTGCACTTTCTTTGAAACCTGGTTATAATGTGCACATTTGTGACCTAACCATATTCGTTTCCTAGGATGGCCACCAGAAATCACCACAAATTGGATGGCTTAGAATAATGATTTGTTCTCTCATGGTTTAGGAGACCAGAAGTCTGAAATCAAGGTATCTTCAGGGTAGTTCCTTTTGGACCCGCTGAAGGAGAGTCAATTTCGTGCTTGTCTCTTAGCTTCCGATGGTTACCAGCAATCCTGTGTGACCCTGGGCTTGTAGATGCATCACTCCACTCTCTGCTTTTTTCTTTGTGGCCTTCTTCTCTATGTGTGTCTCTGCATGTCCTCTTCTCTTCTTAGAAAGATACCAGCTACTGGATTTAAGGCTCACCAGTATGACCCCAACTGAAATAATTATATCTGCAGACATTCTAAATTTGTGGATAGACATGACTATGTGGGGGATAACATCAAATCACCACATCAGCAATACATATTTATTTCCTACTCATTACCCTGTAAATTCTATGAGGACAGTGAACAGGTCAGTTTTATTGACTATATTTGAAACTCACACATACTGTGTACCAGCATGCATTTATTGAACTAAATGAAATAATGGATGTATGTGATCAGTTATGACTTTCTCTCCTTCCCTGTAATTTTTTTTTTTTTTGGGATGGAATCTTGCTCTGTTTCCCAGGCTAGAGTGCAGTGGCACAGTCTTGGCTCACTGCAAACTCTGCCTCGGGTTCAAGCAATTCTCCTGCCTCAGCCTCCCGAGTAGCTGGGATTACAGGTGCCTGCCACCATGCCCAGCTAATTTTTGTATTTTTAGTAGAGATGGGGTTTCACCATGTTGGCCAGGCTGGTCTCGAACTCCTGACCTCAGGCAATCCACCCACCTCAGCCTCCCAAAGTGCTGGGATTACAGGCGTGAGCCACTGCTCCCAGTTACTGGCCCTATAATTCTTCTACTCATCCCACAAATACCTTTTCAGTTCATCTTGGACCAAAATACTCTCTTCGGTCCTGATTACCAAGGACCTGAATCTCCAACTTCTTTCCTTCTTCTGTAGGGGTTTTCTCCAAAAATGTGGTTTCAATCTTAGGAAAAAAATTTAAAAACATGTTCTTTCTGCTTCTAGGTCCAGGGTGATTATGAACCTTCATTCTGCCTCACCTCGTATTTGTTGATGAAGACAGGAATCCTGCCTGTGTGCAAACATGGAAGCCATTTATTTTCCATCTTGCTTCACTGTAAGAAGCCAAATCCTTGTTCACACCTACTGACCCTCCATTAGCTCTGTGGTTTATCTGGGTTGAAGATCAGCTTGGACGAGACACTTCCTCTGCAGAAGGGGATGTCTCCATGCAGAACATGCAGAACTTTGAAAGGTTTTTGAGCAGCCTACCATGCAATTGGAAGGTAAGATAAGTCACAGGCAACTGATGGAATATGGAAAGACATAGGTTATCCAGTCCATTAAAGGTGTTGTGTATCTAATCTATGGTGTACTTTCTCTTCTCATAGAGTTTTTATGAGGATTAAATGACAATGTGTGAAACATGCTAAGTTCAGTGCCAGACATTTGACAATCTCTCAGTATATTATAGCTGTTTTTAATATTCCTAATCTTGGATTTTTCTCAAATTGTTTTTTGTGTCATGTTTCCAAAATAAGGTGGTAAATTCTTCCCTAGAGACTAATATATTTTCTTCTTAATTAACTTATTAAACAAGTATTTATTATGGTGTGTTTCTATATTAAGTACTACAGGGAAGAAGATTTAAAATAGATAAGACAAGGCTTCCTATCTATAAGACCTTGGTGTATAATGAGGAAAGTTGACAAATTTCACTGTTGGGGTCATATATAACTTGTTTGAGAGGCAAGGACTTTGCTGTCAAACATATCTGTGACCCTGGGGAAGTATGACACTCGTATGAGTCTTAGTTTTCTTAGCTCTAAAATGGGGATAATGGTACCCACATAACAGATCTTTGTGAGTAGTATTAGCTTTGCTTTAAAATGTCAATTACATTTTAAATAAATTTAAAATATAAGAAAAAATCATGTATATACACCATGTAGTTACCATTTCTGGTACTCCTCTTCATTCTTTCATGTAGCCTTAAGTTTCTGAGACCATGTTTCTTCTGCCTGAGGAAATTCCTTTAACATTTATTTTAGTGTCATTCTACTTCTGCTGAATTATTTAGATTTTGTATGTCTGGAAAGTTCTTTATTTCACTCTTTTCTTATTACTAGACTTTATTTTTTAGCACACTTGTAGTTTCACAACAACATTGAGCAGGGGGTGCAGACATTTCCCATATCCTCCTTGCTCCATCACCTTCAGTTTTGAAAGATATTCTCACTGAGTATAGAATTCTAGGTTGACAGACTTTTTTCTTTAGTACTTTAAAAAAGCTACTCCACTAATCTTTTTGCTTGCGTTGTTTCTCACAAGATTGCTATAATTATTTTAAAAATTTTCCCCATACCTGATCATCAGATTTCTTTAAAAATTGTCTTTGTCGTTCTTGTTTTTGCTCCTTTTTACATAATGTGTATTTTTTTTCCTCCAGCTGCTTCTATAATTTCCTCTTTTTCACTGGTTTTAAGCAATTTAGTTACGACGTGTATCGATGCGGTTTTCTTCATTTTTCTTGGATCAATGGGTTTATAGTTAGCATAAAATTTTTGGTCATTAAATATTTTTCTGTTACCCATTCTCTGGGGCCTCTAATCACACATGTATTAGGCCAATTAAAGTTGACCACAACTTGCTGATGCTCTTTTGCTTTTATTCTTTCTTTTTTGCCTCTGTGGAAGGTTTCTATTGCTGTTATCAAATTTGCTAATCTTCTTTTGTAGTGTCTCATCTTCTGTTGATCCCCTCCTGTGTAATTTTAACCTCTGGAAGTTCAGGTTAGGTCTTTTATATATCTTCCATGTCTCTACTTAATGTAGTCAACTTGCCTTCCACATTCCTGAACAAATTAGATACACTTATAATATTCTTTTAATATCCTTGTCTAAATAATTCTACCATATGTGTCATTTCTGAGTCTGGTTTGATTGATTATTTATTCTCTTATTGATTATATTTCCTGATGCTTTGCATTTTCTTTTTTTAAATTTTTTCTTTTTCCTTTTTTTAAATTTAATTTAATTGGCTGGGTGCAGTGGCTCAAGCCTATAATCCCAGCACTTCGGGAGGTCTAGGCGGGCAGGTCACGAGGTGAGGAGTTCAAGACCAGCCTGACCAACATGATGAAACCCCATCTCTACTAAAAATACAAAAATTAGCCGAGTGTGGTGGTGCCTGCCTGTATTCCCAGCTACTCAGGAGGCTGAGGCAGGAGAATCACTTGAACCCAGGAGACAGAGGTTGCAGTGAGCCGAGATCATGCCACTGCACTCCAGCCTGCGTGACAGAGCATGACTTTGTTAAAAAAAAATATTTTATTTTATTTTACTTTACATTCTGGTATGTATGTGCAGCACATGCAGGTTTGTTACATAGGTATACATGTGCCATGGTGGTTTGCTGCACTTATCAACCCACCTTCTAAGTTTTAAGCCCTGCATGCATTAGGTATTTGTCCTAATACTCTTCCTCCCTTTGCCACAACAGGCCCTGGTGTGTGTTGTCCTCCTCCCTGTGTCCATGTGTTTTCATTGTTCAACTTCCACTTGTGAGCAACAACTTGCAGTGTTTGGTTTTCTGTTCCTGTGTCAGTTTGCTGAGGATCATGGCTTCTACCTTAATCCATGTCCTTGCAAAGGACATGATCTCATTCTTTTTTACAGCTGCATAGTATTCCGTGGTGTGTATGTACCACATTTTCTTTATCCAGTCTATCACTGATGGGCATTTGGGTTGGTTCCAGGTCTTTGCTATTGTAAGTACTGCTGCAATAAACATACATGTGCATATGTCTTTATAGTAGAGTGATTTATATTTTTGGGGTATATACCCAATAATGGGATTGCTGGGTCAATGGTATTTCTGGTTCTAGATCCTTGAGGAATTGCTGCGCTGTCTTTGACAATGGTTGAACTAATTTACATTCCTACCAACAGTGTAAAAACATTCCTATTTCTCCACAGCCTCGCCAGCATCTATTGTTTCTTGACTTTTTAATAATTGCCATTCTGACTTGTGGTTTTGATTTGCATTTCTCTAATGATCAGTGATGTTGAGCTTTTTCTCATATGTTTGTTGGCTGCATAAATGTCTTCTTTTGAGAAGTGTCTTTTCATATCCTTTGCCCACTTTTGATGGGATTGTTTGGTTATTTCTTGTAAATTCGTTTAAGTTCCTTGTAGATTCTGGATATTAGATCTTTGTCAGATGGGTATATTGCAAATATTTCTCCCATTCTGTAGGTTGCCTATTCACTCTGATGCTAGTTTCTTTTGCTGTGCAGCAGCTCTTTAGTTTAATTAGGTCCCATTTGTCAATTTTGGCTTCCGTTGCAATTGCTTTTGGTGTTTTCATTATGAAGTCTTTGCCCATGCCTATGTCCTGAATGGTATTGCCTAGGTTTTCTTCCAGGGTTTTTATAGTTTTGGGTTTTACATTTAAGTTTTTAATACATCTTGAGTTAATTTTTGTATACGGTATAAGGATGGGGTCCAGTTTCAATTTTCTGCATATGGCTAGCCAGTTTTCCCAACACCATTTATTAAATAGGGAATCCTTTTCCCATTGCTTGTTTTTGTCAGGTTTGTCGAAGATCAGATGGTTGTAGATGTGTGGTGTTATTTCTGAGGTCTCTGTTCTGTTCCACTGGTCTATATGTCTGTTTTGGTACCAGTACCATCCTGTTTTGGTTACTGTTGCCTTGTAGTATAGTTTGAAGTCAGGTAGCATGATGCCTCCAGCTTCGTTCTTTTTGCTTAGGATGGTCCTGGCTATACAGACTCTCTTTTTTTTGGTTCCATATGAAATTTAAACTAGTTTTTTCTAATTCTGTGAAGAATGTCAATGGTAGTCTGATGGGAATAGCATTGAATCTATAAATTAATTTGGGCAGTATGGCCATTTTCACGATATTGATTCTATCTATGAGGGTGGAATAGTTTTCCATTTGTTTGTGTCCTCTCTTAGTTCCTTGATCAGTGGTTTGTAGTTTTCCTTGAAAAGGTCCTTCACGTCCCTTGTTAGCTGTGTTCCTAGGTATTTTATTCTTTTTGCAGCAATTACCAGGGATTTGCATTCCTGGTAATTTTTGTTTAGGTATCAGATACTGTGATTTTAGCTTGTTGGGTGTTGGATAATTTTGTATTTCTATAAATATTCTTGAGCTTTGTTCTAAGATGCAATTAGGTTACTTGGAAACACTTTAATCTTTTGAGGCTTGCTTTTATGCTTTGTTATGGAGACCAGAGCAGGCCTTAATCTAGGGCTAATTTTGCACCACTCTCCAGGCAGTTCCCTTCTAAGTACTCTCCCCAGTGCCCTGTGTTTTATGAAGTTTTTTGCTCTGGCTGGCAGGAATAGGAACTTTTCCTGGCTCTTTTGAACTCTTAGGATTGTTCCCTCTGCCACTCTCAGGTGTCTAGGAAAAGTCCTAGACTTGGATAGTTTTTTCACATAAATGTGGTGGTCAGTATTCAGTCTAGGACTTGAGAGGGATTTCTTCAGATTTCTCTCTCTCTCTCTGCCCCCACCCTCACCTTCTCCTTTTTTGTACTCTTCCCTGTGAACTGCAGTTATCTTGGTCTCTCTGAACTTCCAATTCTATCTCAATTCAGAGAAATTACTGGACTTTGCCTGAATCCCCCCTCCCTCCCTATACTGTAACTTGAAAACTCTTCCAGTAATAAGTAGAGGCAATTTGTGGGGCTTATCTGATTTTGTTTCTTTCTTTCAGTGATCACTGACTTGTACTCCCTGATGTCCAATATTGGAAAACACATGTTACCTTTATTGTACCCCATTTTTAAGTTGTTTCAGGTAGAGGAGTAAATCTGATCCCTGTTATTTCATCTTGGTTTCAAGCAACAGTCTCTGTTATGAGAGTTAAATTTAAAATATGTGTGTGAAAAATGCCAAATGCAGCCAGGAAATAGGTAAACAATATTCATTTACTTCTCCTCATGTTGTATTTGTGATCTTAAGCTGAGGTCTCTATTCACTCTGGGTATTTCCGCTTCTTTGTTTGAAATAATGTTTTGAATATCACAACTGTGTGTGAATTCCCTATATCTAGCAATACAGTTTCATCTCAGTGACTAATTTCCCCAAAGAATTTATGGAGAAGTACAAGGGTCTTATTTCTACTTATGAATGACTTTATTTGGGTGCAACTACAATCTGCTTAATTAATTGATTTATTAGTAGTTACTCTTGATTTATAAAAATTAGTCATATTTGGTCTTTAGCCAAGATACATGGCTAATGTAGTGATGAACGTCCAAACTGAACCATGTGCTAAATTTTGCTTTCTCTAGTTACCTGTGCCTGGAGAAATGGTAATCGGCCTAAGCAGGAAGAGACATTTGTCACCTAGTGGCACATACACAAATTGCAGGCACAGTTCTAATACATAGTTACTAACAGTTTCTACTACAGTGGTTCCCAAGCTAAAGTACGTAGATGACAAGGGTCCTTGATTGCAGAGATGACAATTCTTAGTCTATTACCTTTATTTTACAAAAAAAAAACCCAGAAAATTCACATTTATCAACAATAAACTACACAGAATAAAGCGTCATTTATCATTATTTCTATAGGCTGGAATTATAAAACAAAAATAATGGCTACTAGTTAGCAAGAAAATATTATTTTTTAATAGTCACTTCTAAGCCTGGAAAAAACTGCAAGGAAAGCATTATTACCTACTCCTTTCAGGTGAGAAAAGTGAGTCACTGCTTTCAGCACAACTTGAAAACACTGGTTGTGATGGACCAGTAAGAAAATGTTTGGCAGTTACAATTTTACTAGATGTTAAGATTATGAGGATGAATGAATTATTATGGATGTTTCTCTATCACAGTAGAGTTTGTTAACGTGATATAGTAAAACAGATCATTTTGGGATTAGACAGATGTGGATTCAAATCTCGGCTCAGCCACTAATAAGTTTTGTGATCTTGGGAATATTACTTCGCTTATCTGAATGAGCCTCAGTTTGTTTGTTTGTTTTTTGAGCCAGAGTCTCACTCTTATCGCCCAGGCTGGTGTATAGTGGCACAATCTCGGCTCACTGAAACCTCTACCTCCCGGATTCAAGTGATTCTGCTTCCTCAGCCTCCCGTGTAGCTGGGATTACAGGTGCCTGCCACCATGCCTAGCTAATTTTTTTGCATTTTTAGTAGAGACGGGATTTCACCATGTTGGCCAGCCTGGTCTCGAACTCCTGACCTCAGGTAATCTGCCCACCTCGGCCTCCCAAAGTGCTGGGACTACAGGTGTGAGACACTGAGGCTAGTCTCAGTTTTTCACTAACAAATAATAATAAGATCTGGCATAATCTCAGCACTTACTGTGTGCCAGCCACCATTGTAAGGTGAGGTGGAGGCTACTATTATTCCCACTTCACAGATGAGGAAAATGAGGCTTAGAGAGGTCACTTGCCCTAAATCACATGGGTAATCAATAGAGAACCAGGATTTGAAGCTTGGCTCACAACAGTATCACATAAAAATAGACAAAATGACACCTATCTTAAAAAGTAGTCGGTAAAAATTAAATGTCATAATATATTGTTTCTGACACACAGTGGGTCATTAATAAGTGATATTCCACATTTTCTCATTGCAATCTCTTAAAACAAGGAGTCCATGCAGAGAGACCTGATAATTTTAAAAATATAGTTTTTCCTGGTGAAAATACTTGAGATCCATGGGCAAATTCAAATTCGGAAAATGAAAGAAACTTTCAAGATACCTTAGGAATAATATTACTTTATGTGGGCTCCATGCCTGAGGCTTTACATGGGTATTCTAAGATAATCTTTGCAGCAATTATGTGAGGCAGGCACTGTTATCAGCACCATTCCTACTGAGAATTGTGCAGGACATGTCTGCCTTATTCAGGTTCATCTAGTAAGGGCTGGGAAATGGAGGCATGCTTTGAATCCAGGCAGTCTGAGTCCAGAGTTCTGGCTCTAACCAGTAAGCTTCTAAGCCTCATCATAACTCTTAATATGCCTTATTTTTAACTAATTTTTTCTTTTTTTTTTGCATTTCTGACTGAAGCCAGCTGTGGGCTTGCTGCCGGAATTGTCATAATTATTCAAGAAGATTCTACCCCACTCATGGGTGCAGCATCCTATTTAAAGGTAACATCATAAGTTCAAGACAGATTATGCAAATATTTCCACAGCACCTCCACTGTGTGATTACCCTCCTGCCACAGCCTGATTTCAAATTCCTATTCACGAAAGCTAATTTGGAGCCAAGGAGGGTCGGATGCACAAAATCCTGGAAATCATATGAGAAATCCCTTTTCCTCACAGGTTTATAGCAATTAAATCCTTGATAATGAATTGCTCATCAGTTCTGCAGGAGACGGAAGTGATTGCCTCTACAGGTAGCAATCATTTTGTACAATTGCCACAATTATCAATCCCCTTCAGGATGATTGGAATTTAGCAATAGGAACCAGAAGAGTGGAAGGTTTTTCAAGATATGGAGTAATATTAGCAACCTGCCAATGAGAAATTATGTCTTTCTCCTCATGAAAGTTTCTTAGCTAGTGAACAGTGATGAGAAAATACATCCACATTTCTGAGTCTCTTCTCTTAAAGAGTTTAATGCGTTGTATATACCCAAAAGGCTTAATGGATTTTGAAATCTACAATGAATTTTATCTTTTCACCATTCCCATTAATTTATATGCTGACACATGTACATCTCTGACATGTGTTTAAGTAACTTTTAATGCTGGCAACGCTATTGGAAGTATACACTTCCCACCCCACCCTGGAAAGATAATTTAACAACATGCATAAAAAACCTTAAAATGTTTAAACTCTTTGTCCTTGTCATTTCTCTTTTGGAAATCTATCCTAAGAAAAAATTCAGACATTAAAAAAATAAGATTTAAGTACTCAGTGTTATTTCCAATAGCAAAATATTAGAAAACACTTCAAAGCTCAATAATAGGAGAATAGTTAAATAAATTATGGTTCATTAAATGATGGTGCATTATGCAGCTATTAAAAGTCATGTTTTTGAAGAGTAGTTAATGACACATGGAAAATGTTCATTATAGAATGTCAAGTGGAAAAAATAAACACAATCATAGTTGAATAATAAGTGTAATGTAATTTATTAAGCATCCATTATGTAACTCTAAAAGGTAGGTGCTTTTATTCCCATATTACAGAAAAGGAAACAAAGACTCAGAGAATTTAGATGAGAGATAGAGACCAAGAGAAAGAGAGAGAGAAAAAATGCTAGATGGAAAGATACAAAATTTATTGGTGGTTACCATGGAGAAGTGGGAACCAGAAACAATTGTGTTTTCTTTATGCTTGGTGGTAGTTTCCACCATAAGTATGCATTACAGTTGCAATCAGAAAAGAAGAAATATCATTAAAATAGTGTGTGCACCTAAGGCACGGACGGCTTTGGAAAATAACTTCTTTTTGAGCTGGGCTACCTGGAGCAGGATTTACTACCCCATTTCTAGCCTTCAAACAAGCAAACGAGCACAATCTTGCTTGGCTGCTCTGGCCTCTGGGTAGAGGTTGTTCAGACACAGACATGCCCGACCTGAATCAGGGCTGGCAGTCTCTGTACAACTGTCTCCTCTCACTGTGTTTGACTTCCTGTTGCAAAACAAAGCATCTGGTAAATTCAACCACACTCAGAGTTTTGGCACTAATTGCAGCATTTCTTAAATGCATGGTCCAGGAACCCCCGGCATTGGAATCACCTGGGTTCCTTCTTAATAACATCAATTCTTGGGCCTTTCAGACCTCCCAAAACAAGATGAGGCTGGGAAGTCTGCATCTGGAACAAGAGCTCCAGGTCATTCTTGTCTACGCTAATGTTAGACAATCGCTGCTCCAGGGTACTCTACCACTAAAAGAAAGAAAAGAAAGAAGCCAATGCTTAATCCAGTGAGAAATTCTACAGGGCAGATATCTGGAGGCCCAAAATGCCTCTAATCACATCAGGTCAGCAACTTCCTACTAATACCCTGACTCTGTTCCTCGCCATTTGGGATGACCTTGACTTTGGGAAATTACTTGCACTCTCTGAGTCTCATTGTTCTTATCTCTGAAATGGGAGTAATAACAATAATAATAATATAAAAAATATTATTATTATGGTTGGATCTACCCTATAGAACAAAAGCCAAAGTTACTCTTGCCTGAAATGTAAGTGTGAAACAATCAATGAGTCATCAAACCAGATTTTATATATATATATATACATGGTGGTTGTTGCTGTTGTTGTTTTGAGACAGGATCTTGTTCTGTTACCCAGCAGGGAGTGCAGTGGTACAATCATAGCTCACTGCAGCTTCGACCTCGCAGACTCAAGTGATCCTCCTGCTTCACCCTCCCAAGTAGCTGGGACTACAGGCGCACACCACCATGCCCGGCTAATTTTTTATTAACAAAATTTTTAATAGAGATGGGGTCTTGCTCTGTTGCCCAGGCTGGTCTCAGACTCCTGGCCTCAAGGGCTCCTGCTGCCTCAGCCTCCCAAAGTGCTAGGATTATAGCACCATGCCCAGTGTCTCAAGCCAGATCTTTAAGATGGTGTGCAGATCCTATATGACCCACTTTCTCTTTTCCCATAAGCTCTCTGACACCACCTTCTAATCCCCTTTCTCTCACTTCACGCAGGCGCTCCATCCTCTTTGTTTTTGCTTAAACATGCCAGGCACATTCTCAACAGAAGGCACTTGAATTGGCTGCTCCCTCTTCCTGGATATCCGCATGTCTAAT
The DNA here is from genome assembly GCF_000001405.40 of Homo sapiens. Taxonomy (NCBI): domain Eukaryota; kingdom Metazoa; phylum Chordata; class Mammalia; order Primates; family Hominidae; genus Homo; species Homo sapiens. The sequence goes on along the minus strand of NC_000016.10, from coordinate 13,506,548 downwards.
TCCATCAGGTCTTTTGCTCAAGTTATCTTTTCCATGCAACCGTCGTCTTTGAAATTTCAACCCCGTCCTCCTCATCACACTCCTTGTCTCTCCTCCCCTGCTTTTCTTCAATTTCTACTGCACTTTCACCTGCTAATATGCTATATCATTACCTCTGTATCATCCTTATTGTTGTTGTCCTCACCTCCCACACACCTCTGTTGGGATGGAAATCACACAACTCTAGGAGTCGTTGTCTTTTTGTTGTTCTCTGATGTCCCCAAGCCCCTTGAACTGTGCCTGGCATGTGGCAGATACTCAGGATATAGTTGTCGAGTAAATGCCTGGGTGAAGGAATGAAAAAAGAACTTGACAAATCTTCCCCACTCCCTCATTTACCAGGGAGATTGATAGTTACTTAAGGCAGAATGACTTGAATGTTCAAGGATTTACTTATTTGCTTCTTGTTTTATCTGGGGTTTAGCTAATTCTTTAGAAATCCCTATTAATCTCCTCTATTCTTCTTACCAAACAAGGCTTTGTGTCTCTGAGAGGGACCTAGATATAGGTACAGATGACAGAGTTAGGTACAGATATAGTTACAGATGACTGTTCTCCAGTGGGCCAATGGGCAATGATTTTTGATGAATATTGTTTATGAAAAACAACAACAATCGAATGCCTCAGAAAAAGATGGGTCAACACCTCCCTGCCCAAAGACATGGGGGGACAAAGGTTTCTGCAACCAACCCAGACCCAGGAGGTCATGATTTGTTCTGTTAAGACAAGCTTTAACAATCACAGTCATCTCACCCAAGAAGCCTCTTGACCTCATGAGGTTAACATAATTTCCCAAGTAACTAAAACCATTTCTGAATCTCTGCCCTTTCCAGGTCCCCCTGAAGAACCTCAGAAAACAGAACTACTGACTCACAAATAAAAATGTAAATAAAGGGGAAGTATTGTAGACTGTGAACCACTCCACATCTCAGCAGTGGGTGTTGTTGGCATTTTAATTACTGCTATTGCTATTATTTGTCCTCACCAATACACTTGAAAATCTTGGTAACTGTTGCTACTTCTTTGCTCTGAAGACCTTCCAATTTGCTCCAAATTGGACTGAGTGATATGATTAGCCCACATCAGCCACTTGTTAATCCAGATGAAAGACCAGCTTTCTTTCTCCATTACCCCAGGTCTCCATAGAGGTGATCAATAAGAATATACGAAGCCCCCAGAAGGGCACCATTCCCAGGAGAGAGGACCAGAAGGCAGAGCCACAAAAAGCTTCTTTGCACTGCTTGGACTTTCTTATGCCAGGCCCACTTGACTTTAATGATTGCTTTTGCCATTCTGCACAGCAAGGTGCAATCTATCTTTTCTGATATTTCAGAACAGGTTGCTCCCCTCTCGTGCTTTGGTCTTTTTCAGATAACCATACTGGAATTTGTTAGCAATCACTTGCAGTGAGACAAACAAGAAAGCAGAAAGAGGAAAAAATGGACAACCTATGGAGCATTCAAACCACACCGAGCAGCCTTTCTCTAATTCCTGGCACGTAGTCACAGATAAGAGGGAGCTGAAAGAATCCCATTTCTTTTGGGGCCTGAGGCTGTTATCTACAAAGATAGGGCAGTGGGATGGAAGTGGGGTCCCAAGTGAGGATGACCTTAGATCAAGGTTCTGATACTTTTCATCAACGTGATCTTGAGTAATTTGTTTAACCTTTCTGTGACTCAGTTTCTTGAATCACAGACGAGAACAATAATACTTCTTATAGAGATGATGTGAGTACTAGAGGTAATTACTTTAAGATGTTGATATATAATGGGCACAGAATACATTATTATGGCATGGAGCAATGCCCAGTTGAAATCCTCTGAGGGCTAGTGGTTCATTTGTTGTGAACAGAACTCAAATTCCTCTGTTTCTTAGTCCTTTATATTACTGGTTATTTTTCTCCCTTAGGCAAAGATCTCTGGTGATGGTGATGATTTCCATAATCTTGTCACCTTAATTGCTGCTGTCACTGTAAGTATTGAAATTAATTTTGATTTCTTTTTGTTTCTGCTTAGCACTTTGAATGTGACTAATGGGATTATTTTTGGCTTTGGCTTCGAGCAGTGTTCCCAGGAGCTTGAGCAATGCTGGCCCGTGTTTTCCAAGTGAGGCCACTTTCTTTACAGGGACCTTATGGGTTTTGGAAATCTCCGAAAAGAAAATCAGTTAGTTGTGGTCATTTCAGTTAAATGACGCATAAATGGTGTATACTTTCTGCTTGTAAATTCTCTCTTGTATATCCTAATGAAACCTTACGTGTTGATCTTACTGCAATTTGGGTATTGCAATACAATGCTTTATGTGAATTATGCAACTCCTCATCAAAACTCCAAGGGCTAAAGGTAAAGGTCTTTGATTTACAAATCAGGAAACTAACTAGTAAGCAGCAAGACCAGGATCCAAACCTGAATATGTTGCACTCTAAAGCCAATGCTCATTTTGACACACTAGGCTGCTTCTGCAAATTTGCTCTGATGATTTTTAATATCTACTTTGCAGGTATTTGATTAAGGAATATATGCCACCTGAGGGGGAGCCTTCCTTCTTTTTGATAATTTATATTGTGCTTGGATTTCAAGGTTTATTCTAACTTACCTTTCCTGTTTATTCTATCGTGGGCTCTTTCCAACATGTAAAGCTACATCCCTTATTCCATTCTTGCCCCTCTGCAATTCATTATTCCCATAGTAGTTTTACTGTGAACATGTGGAAAACATAAATCTCATTATATTACATCCACGCCTTAAAATCTTCAATGACTTTCCATTTCATTTAGGATGAATCTGTGGTGGGTTAAATACAGTTACAATTTTTTTTTTTTTGGTCACTCCTTCCATCAAGAACGCTGGCCCTGTGACTTATTTCGATCAGTACAATGTAGCCCAAAAAAGTGGTAGGGGCCCATCTAAAGCTGGGCCTTAAGATATCTGCAGCTCTCAGTTTTGCCTCTTTGGAATGTTCCTTCTTAGAATCCAGCTGCCATGCTGGGAGGAAGCCCAAGTAGCCATGTCTTAAACATTACAACTCCATCCAATATCCAGGTGAATGCATCAGCATGACAGAGCCCAGGTAATGCTAACAAAAGAACCACCTAAGCAATTCATAGAATCATGAAAAAATAATAAATTATTATTGTTTTAAGCCCTTAAGCTTTGGTGTGATCTGTTACTCAGCAATAGATAACCAAAACAAAATCCAAGAGCTTATCATGGACTTTAAGACCCTGCATGATCTGAGCACTGTCTATATCGCTATACTAGTGTCATGCCATTTTCCATATTACTCACTATGCTCCCAGCAAACTAGGCTCCTTAGAGATTCTTAAACACATCAACCTTTTCCTGATTCAAGACTTTTGCTTTATCATTCCAACTACCTGAGACATTATTTTCTTTATTCTTAGCATGGCAGGTTTTTATTCATCCTTCTGGCTTAAATATCCTTCCCTTTGAGAACTGCCATGTCGTCCCTGTTAAGTCAGCCACCAAACTGTGTTTTTTAATTTATCACTATATTCTGATTGTTTTATTACTACCACTGTTATAATTTGCAATTGCATATTTCTCTGTTGACTCATTATCTGTCTTTCCCAGTAGATTTATTTTATTTTATTTTTTATTTACTTATTTTTTTCGAGACAGGTCTCACTCTGTCACCCAGGCTGGAGTGTGGTGGCGTGATCTTAGCTCACTACAACCTCTGCCTTCTGGGTTCAAGCAATTCTTGTGTCTCAGCCTCCCGAGTAGCTGGGATTACAGGTGCATGCCACCACGCCTGGCTAATTGTTTTGTATTTTTAGTAGAGATGGGGTTTCACCATGTTGGCCAGGCTGGTCTCGAGCTTTTGACCTCAAATGATCCATCTGCCTCGGCCTCCCAAAGTGTTGGGATTACAGGTGTGAGCCACCGCGCCCGGCCTGTCTTTCCTAATGCATTTTAAATACCGCAATGGTAAAGACCAGGTCTGCCTTTTTAAACAATGGATATTTTGTATCTAGTACTGTGCCCAGACGCATGGTAGGTATACAATAAATATATTTGTTGAATAAATAAATGATTGGTATGCCATGCATTCCAGCCTCTGTTAATAGGTTGCCTTAAAGTTATTCTAGTGCTGTATCTCTGCCTTCCTAGGTGAAGGCTACGTCTGGCACGTGGACATTTTCCTCCCTTTGCACATTAGACAGATGTTAGTGTGGGATCCTGCATGATATGTACTCAGCCAGAACTTGTAAAATGCAGATATCATGGGTGTGAATCATCTTGATTCCTTTCTTTTTCTCCAAATGCTTGCTTTGGTTTATTTTGTAGGTGGGAATCTGACAGCTATGTAGGCAATCTTTACAAATATGACCTAAAAATATTATACTCTCTGATATACAAAGTATTTTAAAATATATTCCTTTATTTCATCCACCCATTCATTTATCTATATATCCATCCTTCCATCCTTCCATTCATCCATCTGTTCATTTATTTGTTCATTCTTTCAGCAATTTTTTTTTTTTTGATACGGAGTTTCGCTTTGTTGCCCAGGCTGCAGTGCAATGGTGCGATCTCGGCTCACTGCAACCTCCACCTCCTGGGTTCAAGTGATTCTCCTGCCTCAGCCTCCAGAATAGCTGGGATTACAAGCATGTGCCACCATGCCCAGCTAATTTTTGTATTTTTAGTAGAGACGGGGTTTCACCACATTGGTCAGGCTGGTCTCCAACTCCTGACCTCAGGTGATCCACCCTCCTCGCCTCCCAAAGTGCTGGGATTATAGGCTTGAGCCACCGTGCCCGCCCTCTTTCAGCAAATATTTATTGAGCCTCTTTTATGTGCCGGGCACCATTCTAGGCACAAGCATACAATAGTAAATAAAGCAGATGTGGTTCTGTCCCTAATGAAGATTACTGATGTGTGGCCGGCCATGAAAAGACAAACAAAAATGTTAAAAGTATGTAATTACAAATGGAGAATATTGCTGTAAAATTGGTGAAGAGGGTGCTGTCATATGTACTGACATGCTCATGCTTGCCATGAATATATCACACCTCTTTCTGGCTTAAATGCCTTTCAAAGACCCTCCCACTGCCCTTGGCATAAAGTTTATCTTTCTTATACTCCTTTCATGGCTCCATCCTCCCTTTTTCTCTCTTTCCTAAATGACTTTTGTAGTTTCTGTTTTCACACATATGTTCACCTCTAGATCAGAGTTTTTCAACCTCAGGACTAAGTAATTCTTTGTCGTAGGGGGTGTCCTGAGTATTGTAGAATGTTTGCAGTCTCCTTTCCTCTTCCCACTAGATGCCAGTTGCACTTCCCCCTACCCTCAATTTGTGACAAGCAAAAATGTCTGCAGAAATTCCCAAATGTTTCCTGGGAGGCAAATGCACCCTTGGTTGAAAACTACAGTTCTAGGTTAAGAGTATGGGGTTTGGCATTGGGAAGGTTATCCTGTCCTTGTTGAGCACTCTCTACTGTCAATGAAAGTGCACCCGTCCTCCAGCCAAGGGGTGGCTGCGTGACTGACATTAGGCTCCTATAGTGCTCCCTCTCTGGAATTTATTCTTGGGTAAAACATTGGATTGAAAACAGGTGATCCATCCTCCTGCAACTTCCAGAGGAATTTAGTTACCTAAAGCTTCCTGAAACTGCACATTGGGAGTTCTAGTTCATATGTCTTGGTGCTTCTTAGAGCTGCCCTATATTAATCCAATAAGCTTCCTTTCTCCCTTAGTTAGTTAGAGTCAGTTTCTATGATTTATGGCCAAAGAATAACTAACTGGTACATCCTCCTACATGGTTTACAATTATTTAAGACACCAGTAGTTACATAATCCCTGTCTTTTTGTCTCTGGTCTCTCTCTCCCCCAACCCCCTGCCCCTCCTTCTCTCCCTCTCCCTCTGCCTCCCCCCACACTCCACTCTGTCTTTTTCCTTCTCTCTCTATTTCTCTTTCTCTCACTTCCATTGCTGTGCCTGGAAAATCCTACCATTCACCTGGCCCATCATCCTACAAGACCCAGATTAACTGCTATTTCCTTCCATTAATACTGCAGAAACTTTACGCTGGTTCTTCTATATTCCCCATGGGGCTGTGTACATTCCTCGAGAGCAGCACTGTTTTAGTCCTTTCTCACACTGCTATGAAGACATACCTGAGACTGGGTAATTTATAAAGGAAAGAGGTTAAATTGACTTACAGTTCCATATGCCTGGGAAGGCTTCAGGAAACTTAAAATCATGGCGGAAGGTGAAGGGAAAGCAAGCTTGGACCGTCTCACATGGCGGCAAGAGAGAGAAAAGTGAGCAGCAAAGGGGGAAGAGCCTCTTGTAAAACCATCAGCTCTTGTTAGAACTCACTCACTATCACAAGAACAGCATGGGGGAAACCGCCCCTATGATCCAGTCACCTCTCACCAGGTCTCTCCTTCAATACCTGAGGATTACAATTCAAGATGAGATTTGGGTGGGGACACAGCCAAGCCACATCAAGCATCTATCACACCACGCTGCTATATTTGCTTGCTTGTCTGTGTCCCTGCCATGCAGCACTCCTTTGGGGTGAGGATCAAGCCTCTGAGGGCTGCATGTGTGAAGATGAGCACAGTACCAGGCACATCGTTCCTGCTCAACCATTGTTCTTTGTTTGGGTAAGTAGACGGATAGATGCACTGCCCCTGCGCAAGGACAAAAGGTCTGAGAATCATTCTCCATGACTCAGAGAAATTGTGCTGAATTGTCTCAGAATAAACCTTTCGTGGGTTTGCACTCATATGTTCAAAGTGCCCTGGGCCCAAATCAAAGAGTTTATTCTTCCTGATGTGCAGAGGACAAACAGTACAGTCACTGTGACCTTTGAGATTCTGCTTTCCTCAAAAATAAATGTTTTTTTATTATAAAACAGTACAAATATATTATAGAGAATTTATATAATACAAAAAGGCATTAAGAAGAAGATAAGAATCACCCATAACCCCAGAACCCAGAGACAAATGCTGGCTTTTTGAAGTGCTTTCTTCTGATCTTTTTCTCTCTATGTACTCACAATTTGTAGAGGTATTTATTTACATACTATTTTTGTTACATGCTTTCTCTCATTTAATCTTAAATAACACTCATTTTCCTTTGTGTATTCTTACAGAGCACCGCTTTTAGAATCTGCATACTATTCCACCCTATAGGTAAGATAATGTTGATTTAATCCATCTCTTTCTTTGCCAAAACTACGTCATTTTCCTATTTTTGGTGGGTGGTGATAAAATAACACTTTTCTTGTTCCTGCCCAACTTCAGAGCACAATGAGGTTTAGATACAGGAAATTCAGACAGGTGGAGATCAAACTGTCAACTTAGTTACTGATTGGTTACTGATTGGTTTCTACTTTAGAGGATGCTGCATAGGTGGGGAAACAGAGTTCTCTGATACTGTACCCCAGAAGTGTACAGATTTATCCAGGGCAGGCATGAGCATTGCTGGCAAACCTCGGGCCTCCTGCTCAGGGGCAGACCTCTCACCTTATGTCTGGAGAACAGACCCATAGGTATCCTCTCAGCAAGAAGGCAGATTCTTTCCAAAAGGAGGTGGAAAAAGAAGGCAGGACAGGCCAGATCAGTGTCTGCTAAATTCACAAACCAGACTGACTTCTCCCCTTTCCTTGGCACAACCAAGGAGTAATACCCTGGTGGATGTCTTCCATCTTACTACATTGGACATCTTTGAAAACAAATTCATGACTACCTTCTTTTCTTTTATTTTCTTTTTTTGAGATGGAGTCTCACTCTGTCACCCAGGCTGGAGTGCAATGGTGTGATCTTGGCTCACTGCAACCTCCACCTCCCATGTTCAAGTGATTCTACTGCCTCAGCCTCCCAAGTAGTTGGGATTACAGGTGCCCGCCACCATACTCGGCTAATGTTTGTATTTTTAGTAGAGATGGGGTTTTACCGTGTCGGTCAGGTTGGTCTCAACCTCCTGACCTCAGCTGATCCTCCCACTTTGGCCTCCCAAAGTGCTGGGATTACAGGTGTGAGCCACTGCGCCCAGCCGTGACTACTTTCTTAAGGTAGATTTCTGGAAGAATTATTGTGTAAAGGAAACTGAATATTTTTAAGACTTTTGAAACTTAGTTCCAACTTGTTTACTGCAAAGTTTACTCCAACTGCAATGTATGTAGTTGACCATGTCACTGTCTTTACACTACTAGCATTGAGGGGTAACAATTTAAAGCTTTCCTTCTATTTGTTTGATTTTTAAAGGCAGCCTTTTAAAAAAATTTTTGTTTATCTGAATAATAATGAAACTGATTTTTTTGGTATCAATTTGTCATTTAGGGTCCTTTTCTTCTACATTGTCTTTTCACATCCTTTGTCTATTTTTTCTGCTGAATGTTAATATTTTCCCATGGATTCATATGCTAAATACATTAAACTTTTATCTGATTTTTTTAATTTGTTGTTTTATTTTGTTTGTAATTTAAATAGATTCTATATTGTCAAATTTGTTGAGTGTTTGCTTTGTGATTTTTTTTCTATTGCTCACAAATTTCTCCCTCTTCAGATGCTAAATCTTTAATATTTTAAGATTTTATTCACGTATTTGCACTTATTTTAATCTGATTGGAATTTATTTTGGTATTTAAAGCTTGTTTTCTCCTGTAACAAATAGATAATTAATTGTCCCAGCACCATTTATCTTTTCTTTCACTGGTAACTGGTGCATCTTTTATGTTTCATGTATCTGTCTGTCAACTTGTCTGCTAGGATATTTTATGAAGTATCTTATTAAAATTTTAATTTGTCCTCTTCTTTTTTCTTTTTTCTTTTTTTTTTTTTTTTGGAGACGGAGTGTCACTCTGTTACCCAGGCTGGAGTGCAGTGGTGCAATCTCGGTTCACTGCAACCTCCACCTGCCGGGTTCAAGCAATTCTCGTGCCTCAGTTTCCTGAGTAGCTGGGACTACAGGCATGCGCCACCATGCCCGGCTAATTTTTTGTATTTGTTGTAGAGATGGGGTTTCACCATGCTGGCCAGGCTGGTCTCAAACTCCTGACCTCGTGATCCTCCTGCCTCGGCCTCCCAAAGTGCTGGGATTACAGGTGTGAGCCACCACATCCGGCCCCTCTCCTTTTCTTTATTGATTCATATGATGATGGATACCTGGGTTGCTTTTAGACAGATTTGGTAGACAGATATTTGTTGGACAGATTTAATCATTCCACATTGTAAACATGTATCAAAATGTCACACTGTACCCCATAAATATATACAATTATTTGTTAGACAGATTTAATCATTCCACATCGTAAACATGTATCAAAGTATCACACTGTACCCCATAAATATATACAATTATTATTTGTCAATTAAAAATAAAATTTAAAAAAAGATGAATAACAACAAAAATTGTAATATCTGGCAGGACAAGATGTTCCTTTTACTTGCCCTGTTTTTCCTCATATCTCTTGATCAGTCTCATCTGCTTATATTTTCAAATTAACTTCAGAATAATTGTATTAAGCTTTGAAGCAATCCTTTTTAGAATTCTGGTTAGCATTGAATTAAACGCATTAATTAACTTTGGAAGAAGTGACATTTTAATAATACTAAATTTTCCTATTTAGGAAAATGGCATATTGAGCTCTTCAAATCTTTATATATAGATAGACACTGATATATCTTCATCTCTTGGCCAAGATCGTGTGTGTGTATTTTAACCTTTAGTTCTGGATGTTTTGTTTTTATTTCTATTATTTCTACTCTGCATGGATTTTTTTTGTATTTTCTAATTGCTTTATGTCAAATACTACACAGGAAAAATGTAGACATACTGATTTTGTAACTCATCACCTCCAGACGATAATTATTGTTTCCAATTTTTTTCCAGCTCATTTTGTTTCTAAGTAAGCAATCGTATCTTATGGAAGCAGTGATGAACTTCCTTATTTTTTTTTCTCATGACCTATTGGATTTACTAGAAAATCCATAATGGTAATAAATAATAGTGGTTTCCTTATCTTATTAATAAATGAAAACTCTCTTTATATAATGTTGACCATTGACTTGAGATGGCTAAATAATTATTTTGAGACACTTTCATCTTATTCTAGTTGTACTAAATTTTAATTAGTTATGACGGTTGAGTTATCAAGTGCCTTATTGTTACTTAATCATAAGTAGCAATTATGATTACCTCATTACCTTATTATTATTATAACAACTTGGAAATTTGGTAGAGATGCTTAGGTCATAATCTTTCCTTCTCAAAACTTGATGTTATGGAGGAAAAAAAATGAGACTAGTTTGATGTTTTCATCTTTCCAGGTAAAACATTTTTTGAGTTGTTTTGTTTTGTTTTCTGCCTGGCTACATGCAGAATATAAAAGTTGATCTTTGAAATGCTGAAACCTTATCATGTATATTTCCAGACAGTGGCATTTAGTGTATCTATTTGCATTACAAATTCAGGTCATCCATAAATCTGGACAGTGTTTTGCTATTTTGTCTCTGTGATTATTGCTTTTGTCCCATTTTTTAGGATAGCTTTTTTAGAAACACCAGCTAGTGGTATGCTGAATCTTTATGTTTGGTTCTCCACATCTTTTATTTTGTCTCTATTTCATGTCTTTGATCTTTGACTCAGCATTCTGGGCAGGGTTTGTGTGTTTGTCCTACATACCATCGGTTTAGTTTCTAAAGTGTTTTGTACTGTTTCAATGTAGATTTAACTTTGCTATTACATTTTGTATTTCCTTGCCATGTTTTCATATCTTACCAAGTCATTTTCTTTTTTGCCCTTCTTTTTCTCAATTCTCTTTTATAATATTATTATATACTTTTTCCTTTAAATGTTTACTTTTTACATTCACCAAATATTTAAAATCAGAAATGATAAGTTCTTTTCAGATTACAAAAGTAACATATATTACTGCAGAAAGTTTTGGAAGTACAGAATAATACATAGAAGAATATAAAAATGACCATTATCCCATTAACCAGAAAAGAAAAGTCACTGCCAATATAATGGAGTATTTTCTTCTAGTCAAAATTTGGATTTCTTTCTTTATAGTTCTTAAATGAAATTGGGATTCTTTGGTATATATTATCTTTCTTAATTTTTATTTTGAAATAATTATAGGAAATTGCGAAAATACGACATAGAGTTTAATGTCTATTTCACCTAGCTTCCTCAGGTACCATCCTGTGTAACTTTAGCAGAATATCAAAACTAGGAAATTGACCACTACTAAAATACTGTTTTCTACACTACAGATCTTACTCAGTTTTCACCAATTTTTACATGCATGTATTACCACATGTGTGCATATGTGTATCATTCTGTGCAATTTTATCCCATATAGAGATTCATGGAATCACGACTACACTCAAAATACAGAGCTATGTCATCATCATAAAGGTACCCCATGTTACCCCTTTATATTTCCACCCCGTCTTTATACCTTGGCAACAACTAATAATATGTCTCCTCTGTATAGCTTTGTCGTTTCAAGAATGTTACATAAATGCAATCATACAGTATGTAATCTTGTCAGATTGACTTATTTTGCAAGGCGCAACGTCCTGGACATTCATGCAGGGTGTTGCATGTATCAATGTATAGACAGAACAGAGTTTATATAACCATTGACCTATTAAAGGACATTTGGGTTGTTCTCAGTTTTTTGCTATCGTGAATAAAGCTTCTATGAACATTCATGCACAGATAGGGATTTTCTGGTATTCACTGGTTTTAAATCCCCCTTTTAAAATATAGCGTTCTATTGTAAGCATATTTCTACGTCATTATTTAGTTTCTGAAAACATGGTTTATAATGGCTGTAAAATATTCTGCCATATGGATGTATCTCAATTCATTTAACCATTCCCCTATAAGTTCATGTTTTCTTTAATTTTACTGGCAGCATACCAGATGCCTTGTAGAATTTTCTTCTCTTTCTCATAACGAATTCTTTAAAATGTGTGTACTTTCTATGCATTTTGAGTGCAACGTTCCTTTTCATTTATGATTGGAAGTTGTTTCTCAGATTCCAGGTTGTTGGTTTTTTGTTTTAATTTTTTCCTTCTTTTTAAAGATAAAACATTTAGGCAGTCTTGGTGTTTGTCTATCAACACATTGGGTGGAGTTTTGGGTTTCTGGGGTTCTTTAGTGTCCCCAATTGTTCACCTGTATCCTGTTGCATCCTCATCCCTCAGACCTTTGATGAAAGGCTGATTAATCTATTCTGCTGTTGGACAGACTTCTGAAGCCTGCTGGCTATGTTTTGAGTGTGGGCAGAGGAGAAATAGTTGCCCCACTGATGATACAAAGGGAATTTATTCATGGATTGTTTAACATGTGTCTAGCTCTTGTCTCATCAGCACCAGTGCATTAAATCTTACTCAGAGTACACTGTTCCTACCACTATTTCTCTATCCTTCTTTCTTCCCGCTTCAGTTCTCACATCTTGCATCTCAGGTTCCAATAAACATCCACTGTTTACTCTTTTTGTTGCATCCTCCACCATGTCACAACTCCAGCCATCAGAATCTCCAGACCAGAGACCAGAACCTGAAGGCCCTTGGGGTAAACTGAGTCTGGAACTTTCCTCTGGGATCTATGAGCTCTTCTGATTCTCTGCCCAATTATATTCCTGGTGTAATGTATGTATTGATCCACTCAAACCCTTTGAGACCTTCTGTGTCTTCTTCCCTTCTATAATATGCCAGGCAAAGCACTTAGCACATAGAGGTGAATGAAATCTTACCCAGGGAACACTGTTTCTACCACTCCTTCTCTCTTCTTCATTCCTCCCACTTAGTTCTCACATCTTGGCTCTCAGGTTGCAATAAGCATCCACTGTTTTCTCTTTCTGTTGCATCCTCCACCATGTCACAACTCCAGCCATCACAGTCTCCAAGTGAAAAGTAGTAAGAAACACAGTATTTGGGGCATTGGGTCAATAAAAGAGCCATGACCTCATTAGAACGTACCTCCTACCTATCAGAGCCCCGTGTGTCTCAGATATCAGGGGTCATGAAAAACCATTACCTTTTCCCTTCCTGACCTCGCTGTTCTGCCTCAGGTAGCCAAGAGTGAATTCTTCACGGGAATTTTGTCTGGAGTCTGGCCAGTGCTATTGCAATCCTGCATCTTGGTGTGGTTTGAAATTATTTTAACAGAAATAAGGCACTGTAAAAAATCAGGTGCCTCTAGATTTCCACCCTCATTACCCAGAAATCTGTAATAGCTTTGTGATCTAAAAGAATGGTATTGGGGGCAGTGTCTTATTCTCCTCCAACTGATGATGAGTGTCATTTCTGAAACACTTCATTGTTTCAAAAGCACTTGATATGCATTATCTCAGCTCATTCATCCAGTTTCTGAGCACCTGTTATGTGCCAAGCAATAGGGACACAGAGTGAATGACACATTCCCTTCTCCTCCACTTTTCCCCCTTAAAACTCTCCAATAGCTTTACATAACACTTAGAAAAATAATTCAGATCTATCCTCTTGCAGCAGGAGCTGGCCCTTTCTATCTCTCCAATCTCATCTCTGCACACTCTGTTCATTCTCCACTTCTCTCTAGCCACAGAGGCCTCTGGCTGTTTCTCAAACATACTAAACTCCTTCCAACCCCAGAACCTGCTATTCCTTTACCCTGCAATGCTCTTTCTTCATATTCATATAACTCGCTGTTTCTTGTCATTCAAATCTCAGCTTAAATGTCTCCTGCCAGAAAGGTCAAAACATTCTGCTTTAAATGATCAAATATTGGAAACAAAAGCATTTTGCCCCAACCAAAGTATTGTTTGTGATAGCTGCAATCAGTCCATTAGTTGAACAATAATTAGTAAGTTTCCCACTCTGAGTCAGGTGCTATGTTAGATACTGTGGATACAGTGGTGAATGGCTTACATGGCCCTGGCTTCTTGGAGTCTACATGCTTTTGGCAGCCGACAGTCTTCAAACAGACAAGACCTCAACAAAAGGTGGGCAGTAGAGGTGAGATAAGATGATGTCAGCCTAAAAAGCATGCTGTAATGTTCTAAAAATCCCTTGCCAAGAACACCCATTTGTTTCCCCGCTTTGATTTCTAATCTGCTCATTTAGGAGCTCAGATTCTGAAGTAAAAAGGATTAATTTTCAAAGTGACCCAGAGGCTCTCCAAGAACACCGTTAACCTCACCTGTTTAGGAACATGGCCTGCTTCCCAGCTCCAATTCCAGGAGTGATTCACCTTATTTAAGTGAGAACACAGAGGCTCCAGCACATTTTCCCCAGTGCTCGCCCACAGAATGTTGCTGGGGAAGCTGTATTTGACATTTACTTTTCCCTTCCTTGTGAGGAAATTGACTAGGGCTGGTTATCATGGTGACACCGGAACAGAGAGCCTTGCCTGATGCTCCAAGGGAAGGTTTTCTTTGTTCTTCCTTCTTGGTGCAGGAGGAGTGAGGTGGGTAGGGACAAAGGTGGGGTCTGGAATCTAAAACAGGCAGATACTTCTATTCAAAAGGTCACTAGCTCTGGTTTAAAATCCCAGCCCTTAGCTAGACATGGTGGCTCATGCTTGTTATCTCAGTACTTTGGGAGGCTGAGGCAGGAGGATTGCTTGAGCCCAGGAGTTCAAGAACAGCCTGGGCAACATAGAGAGACCCCTATCTCTAAAAAAAAAAAAAAAAAAAAAAAAAAAAAAAAAAAAAAAAGGTCAATAAATAAATATTTAAAAATCCCAGGCCAGGTGCAGTGGCTCATGCTTATAATCCCAGCACTTTGGGAGGTCGAGGCGGGTGGATCTCTTGAGATCAGGAGTTTGAGACCAGCCTGGCCAATATGATGAAACCCCGACTCTACTAAGAATACAAAAAAATGAACCAGGCCTGCTGGCGTGCACCTGTAATCCTAGCTACTTGGGAGGCTGAGTGAGAATAATTGCTTGAACCCTAGAGGTGGAGGTTGTAGGAGCTGAGATGGTGCCACTTCACTCCAGCCTTGGTGACAGAGTGAGATTCAGTCTCAATACCAACAAAAAATCCAGCCCTCTTATGAGTAAGCTACGTAATCTCAACAGGTTACTTGACACTTGTTAGCCTCAGTTTCACCATCAGGAAAGTCTCCAAAAGGTTAAAAAAAAAAAAAAAAGGCTCTGAAAAGTAAATAATTATTCCTTGAGGTGCTTAGGACAATTTCTGTTACACAACATGGTAATCAGTGTTTTCTAGTTTTGTGGCTACTGGCACCGTCATCCTCGTTACCATCATCATCATCGTCATCGTCATTATCACCAATGGATTCCCAGTAGCATCTTTGTAGAGGGAAAAGCCATGGCAAAGAACAAAGAGAGCAGAGTTCAAATTCTGACTTCACCGTTTATGAGCAAGTCTGTTAATGCATCTTTCTCAGTTTCTTTATGTAAAGAATGGAGACAATAGAGCCTATTTTTCAGGGTTTTTAAGATTCAGTGAACATAGTTACATGAAAGTATTGGGTGTATTATAAGTGCTTAACACCAATTAGTTGAACCTGAACTTCAATATACATCTTGCAGCAATACAGCCTTTGATTTTAGGGCTGCTTCCACAGGAAAACTTAAAAGGGCCTTTATAATTAAAGAAAAAATAAGAACATTTCCCTCTCCCAAATAGTGAAAAGCAGAGAATATATTACAACCTGTTTGAAATAAAGTTAACCTTTGGTTGGTTTCTCTGACATGTAATATTATCATCAGCAGTCAGTTGGCCGATCAGCACCTTCTAAGTGCTAAGTGCTTTGCCTGGCACACTACAGAAGGGAAGAAGACACAGAACATCCCAAAGAGCTCGAGTGGATCAATACATACATTGCACCAAGAAGAAAATTGGGCAGAGAATCAGAAAGCCTGTCGTTTCCAGAGGAAAGACTCAGACTCAGTTTACCCAAAGGGGCTTCAGGTTCTGTCCTCATTTGCTTTATGTATGTTTGAGACAGGCTCTTGCTCTGTTGCCCAGGCTGGGGTGCAGTGGCACAATCATGGCTCACTGCAGCCTTGACCTCACGGGCTCAAGTGATCTTCCCACCTCATCCTCCCAAGGAGCTGAGACTACAGGTGCACACCACCACACCTGGCTAATTTTTCTGTTTTTGTTTGTTTGTTTGTTTTGTAGAGATAGGGTCTGTCCATGTCACCCAGGCTGGTCTCAGGCAATCCACCCGCCTCAGCCTCCCAAAGTGCTGGGATTACAGGTGTGCGTCACTGTGCCCGGCCCTCATTTCCCACCATTGTTCGACAAACACCCAACATTCCAGTCAGCATATTGTGTTGTGCTCTTCCATGCCCTCGTAACTGCTCCTGCTATGGCTTCTGCCAACATCATCTGTTCCTAAACTTTCTTTGCCTCTTTATCTTCACAAACTCAGCTGCAGCCAAACATCTCCCAGGGATGCCCTTTTTGACTTACTATCTTGTATGTCTACTATGTTCCTACCATATGAAATTGACATCTTTTAGGTTAAAGTGGTTGAATATTGCCAATTTCATTTGATTTAACCAGACCCCTGGTATCCCATGCATGCCTCTTTTTACACTGTCCACTGCAGTGTCAACACAGGCAATGGTGTACATATGTAGGCTCTGGAGTCTGACTTCCTTGTTCCAATCCCAGATCTGCTACTTACCTGCACTGTGACCTTGGGAATGTTACTTAACCACTCTGTGCCTCAGTTTCCCCATTTATGTAATGAAGATAATAGAATCTATCTCATAGCATTCACGGGGGATTGTATTTGTTTGCTCTCACGGTGCTAGTAAAGACATACCTGAGACTGGGTAATTTATAAAGGAAACAGGTTTAATTGACTCACAGTTCCACATGGCTGGGGATGTCTCACAATCATGGTGGAAGGCAAGGAATGAATGAGAGCCAAGTGAAAGGGGAAACCACTTATAACATCATCAGATCTCATGAGACTTATTCACTACCATGAGAACAGTATGGGGGAACTGCACCCATGATTCAATTATCTCCCACTGGATCCCTCTCACAACACGTGGGAATTATGGGAGCTACAATTCAAGATGAGATTTGAGTTGAGACACAGCCAAGCCATATCAGGGATCAAGTGAGAAAAAAAATATATACACACACAGTCATACATCGCTTAACAACAGAGATACAAGTCTAAAGAATGCATCGTTAGGCAGGGCACAGTGGCTCATACCTGTAATCCCAGCACTTTGAGAGACTGAGGTGGGTGGATCACCTGAGGTCAGGAATTCAAGACCAGGCTGGCCAACATGGTGAGACCCTGCTTCAACTAAAAATACAAAAAAATTAGCCGGGTGTGGTGGCATGCGCTTGTAATCCCAGCTACTTCAGGAGGCCTAGGCAGGAGAATCGCTTGAACCCAGGAGGTGGAGGTTGTAGTGAGCTGAGATAGTGCCATTATACTCCAGCCTAGGTGGCAAGAGTGAAACTCTGTCTCAAAAAAAATAAGCCTGTAATCCCAGCACTTTGGGAGGCCGAGGCGGGCAGATCACGAGTTCAGGAGACCGAGACCATCCTGGCTCACGTGGTGAAACCCCGTCTCTAGTAAAAATACAAAAAATTAGCCAGGCGTGGTGGCAGGCGCGGTGGCAGGCGCCTGTAGTCCCAGCTACTCAGGAGGCTGAGGCAGGAGAATGGCGTGAGCCCGGGAGGCGGAGCTTGCAGTGAGCTGAGATCGCGCCACTGCACTCCAGCCTGGGCAACAGAGTGAGACTCCGTCTCCAAAAAATAAAAATTAAAATTAAAAATAAATAAATAAATAAGAATGCATTGTTAGGTGATTGGATCATTGTGCAAACACTGTAACTTTTACATACACAAACTTAGATGATATCACCTACTACATACTCAGGATATATGGTACAGCCTATTACTCCTAGACTACAAATCTGTACAGCATGTTGCCATATGAAATACTGTAGGCAGCTGTAACAATGGTAAGTATTTGTGTATCTAGACATATCCAAACATAGAAACAGTACAGTAAAAAGAGAATACTATAATCTTATGGGAATATTGTATATGCAACAGTAATGTATATGTAAGAGGGTACTTATAGGATCAGCTATTAGTCATGAGAATAAAGAAGACTTCATATGAAAGCTTCCCAGATGACACAGAAAAATGCAGCATTTATGTTGAAGTATGACAGTGGGTCAATAACAGTTCATAATTAATAACTAAAACACTGTCCTTAAATAGACATTTCACATTCTTTGACATAAAATTATAACTAATTCCTTTTTTTTTTTTTGCATTTTGAGGAATTTTGATATCCTTTGACCATATATATTTAATCTGGGGGGAAGAATGGTCGGGAGGTAAAGCCATTAGGGGCTCAGGTGGAAAGAGTGGGGAAGGATGACTGTGGAGGCCAAGTTCACTGGCTAACAAACCCCCCTGGTGGTCCATTATCTTCCTGAAACATCAGATGAAAGGGTTTGAATGAGCACTAGCATTTACTACTTTGGATATAGTCAAGTTCAAGTATTGACCTTGTTAAAAGTTCTCTTTTGTCTCATTGAGTGAGATCCCTTGCTTTAAAAGAGATTCTCCTTTCTGATTCCAAAGTGTCCCTGCCATCCAGCACTTTCCCAAATAATTGCATTGGCCCAACCCAAACTGTCTTGGCCCAAATGCACATGGAGCTAGTCCTCTGTATCCAAGGGTTACATGTTGCAGATTCAACCAACCACAGTAGCAAATATCCGGAAAAAACAGATAACAATATAACAATGAAAATAATGGAAACTTAAAAACAATGCAGTATAGTATCTATTTACATAGCATTTACATTATGTTAGTATTATAAGTAATCTAGAGATGATTTAAAGTATATGGAGTGATAAAGTTTGGATGTCCCACCCAAATCTCATGTTGAATTATAATCCCAAATGTTGGAGGTGGGGTCTGGTGGCAGCTTTTTGGATCATGGGGGCAGATCCGTCATGAAAGGCTTGGGCCGTCCCCTTGGTGATAAATGAGTTCTCTGTCTGAGTTCTTGAAAGATCTGGTCATTTAAAAGTGTGTGGCAGCCCCTGCCTCCTTCCTGCTCCCACCACGTGAGACAACTGCTCCCTCTTCATTTTCTGCCATGATTGTAAGCTTCCTGAGGCCTCGCCAGAAGCAGATGCTTATGTGATGCTTCCTGTACGCCCTACAGAACTGTGAGCCAATTAAAGCTCTTTTCTTTATAAATTACCGAGTCTCGGGTATTTCTCTGTAGCAATGCAAGAACGGCCTAACACACAGAGATATGTATAGGTTATATGCAAATATTATGTCATTTCACATATGCAACTTGAGCATCTGCAGATTTTGGTATCTGCCAGGGTCCTGGAACAAATCCCTCTCAGATAGCAAGGGATGACTGTACAAGCAATGAAGAAAGAGGTGGAAACCATTCATTCAGGAAAGGAACCAGAAAAATGGGCTGGCAACTACTTAGCCTAGCCTGGTGCAGAACCAAGAAGCAAATATCTTTAAGGGAAAGAAGTGGGCTGAGTGCGGTGGCTCACGCTTGTAATCCCAGCACTTTGGGAGGCCAAGGCAGGTGGATCACCTGAGGTCGGGAGTTCATGACCAGCCTGACTAACATGGAGAAACCTCATCTCTACTAAAAATACAAAATTAGCTGGGTGCGGTGGCGCATGCCTGTAATCCCAGTTACTCTGGAGGCTGAGGCAGGAGAATCACTTGAACCTGGGAGATGGAGTTTGCGGTGAGCTGAGATCATGCCATTGCACTCCAGCCTGGGCAACAAGAGCAAAAATCCATCTCAAAGAAAATAAAAAGAGAAAGAAGGTATAGAGAGGATTATTGCAGATCCCCACTAAGCATTTGCTATGCTAGGCTCTAGAGTAGATTTTTATATGCATTCTACTAAAAAAAAGAATGGTTCCAGAAAATATTTCTTTCCATTTTATAAGTGAGCAAAAACAAATCAGAAATGATATGGAGTAAAAATGTGTTGGCGAGAAGTCTAAAATTATTTCAAAATAATAAGTTAAACCAAGTTGATAGATGTCAGTCTGCCACCTGGATGCTGACTCTTGGTTGCAAGTGACAGAAACCGAAGGATTTTCAGAGAAGTAGGGTACTAGGATTATTCTTGGAAGCCAAGACAGTAATGTGGCTGGGCCTCAGGTCTAATTGGAATCAAGGACTTCTGAGTGCTCTCATGAAAATCTCTTCTCTCAATCCTTCTCCTATCTTAATGGCTGTTTTATTTTCAATCTCTCTACCCAGTCTAGCTTTCACCATTTCGCTGGTCCATGTGAAAGCATACATACATACCAACATGTTCCAAGTCTCTTTCTGAGTTCTAGATCCCCATTCTCAGGGAAGGATTCTGCCTGGATCAGATGCCCATCCATGAACCATCTGGAATCAACTCCGTGCAGGAATGGGGTCCCCTGTTTCTAACATGGAAGCCTCTAGGGTAACCCTCTGGATGACGTGGAGAAAGGGTGTCTAGGCAGACAGTATGGGAGTGAAACAATAGAATATTATTCAACCATAAAAAATAACAAAATTCTGTCATTTGCAGCAATATGAATGGAACCAAAGGTCATTATGTTACATGAAGTAAGTCAGGTAAAGAGAGATAAACATCTCAGATTCTCACTCATATACTGGAGCTTAAAAAGTGGATCTCATAGAGATAGAGAGTAGAATGCTGGTTACCAGAGGCTGGGAAGAAAAGGCAGTGTGGAGAGATGAAGAAAAGTTGGTTAAGGGGTACAAAAACACAGAAGCAATATGTTTTAGCATTTGATAGCACAAAGGGAAATTAGAGTTAACAATAACTTATTGTATATTTCAAAATACCTAGAAGAGAAGAATTGAAATGTTCTCAACACAAAGAACAGATAAAAGTTTGAGGTGATGAATGTTCTATTTACCCTCATTTGATAATTACACATTTTATACAGGTATTGAAATATCACAAGTACCCTCAAAATATATCACAAGTACCCTCAAAATATGTACAATTGTTATATATCAATAAAAAAGGAAAAAGGGAAGCAATATGGTATGAGAACAAGGGCTTACCCTCAATGATAGACTGGATAAAGAAAATGTGGCATATATACACCGTGGAATACCATGCACCCATAAAAAAGAATGAGCTCATGTCCTTTGCAGGGACACGGATGAAGCTAGAAGCCATCCTTCTCAGCAAACTAACACAGGAACAGAAAACCAAACACTGCATGTTCTCACTCATAAGTGGGAGTTGACCAATGAGAACACATGGACACAGGGAGGGGAAGATCACACACCAGGGCCTGTCGGGGGGTGCGGGGCAAGGGGAGGGAAAGCATTAGGACACATACCTAATGCATGTGGGGCTTAAACCTAGATGACGGGTTGATAGGTGCAGCAAACCACCATGGCACATTCATACCTATGTAACAAACATGCACATTCTGCATATGTATCCCAGAACTTAAAGTTAAAAAAAAAAAAGAACAAGAGGCTTAGTGTTGTTACTGCAGCATCACTTGACTGATACACATACCATGCAGGAGCTTACTGATATGGTCTGCCTCTGTGTCCCTGCCCAAATCTCATGTCGAATTATAGGCCCCAGTGTTGGAGGAGAAACCTGGTGGGAGGTGATTGGATCATGGGAGTGGACGTCCCCCTTGCTGCTGTTCTTGTGATAGCAGGTGAGTTCTCCGGAGATCTGGTTGTTTAAAAGTGTATAGCAACTCTTCCCCACGCTTCCTGCTCATCCAGCCATGTAAGAGCTGTCTCCTTCCTCTTCACCTTCCACCATGATTGTAAGTTTTCTGAGGCCTCCCCAACCATGCTTCCTGTACAACCTGCCACACTGTGAGCCAATTAAATCTCTTTTCTTTATAAATTACCCAGTCTCAGGTAGTTTTTTACAGCAATGTGAGAACGGACTAATACACTTACTATACAGCCAGAGAGGCAACATTCACCAATTAACAACTGCTAATTTCTGAGGGCTGGCTGGAAGCATGCTAGGCACTCAGATTTGGCTGTGAGTTGGAGCTACTTGAGAGGAAGAGGAGGAAGACCACCAGTTATGCATGTGAAGTCCATGTCCTGTACTGGTGCTGTAGAGGCACACATCTCATTGAGCTCTTATGCCCATTGTGCTGATGTGGGAACCGAGGCTCGGAGAGGTGAAGTTACAATTGTACAAGGGGTGAAAAAAATTATAAAAGCTATACAATTTCCAAAGCTTTTATCACACTTGTTTCGGAAAAACTCTCAAACTATGTTTCTCCTCTAGTCTCACACTACCACAACAACAATCATCAACATGGAAGGCTTCTGTGACCAAATATATGGGTTTTTTTCCTCCACACGCCAAGCAGGGAATACCAGCTGGGTGTCCTCTAATTTGATTCTTACACTATCTGCCTGGAGATAGCATCAGATGCCACTGATTGACGGCTCAGTTACCAAGACTGCCCCCTCACCCCTACCCCAGACACCAGTCGTGAGCCCAGGCCTCTGAAATTTCTGACTGGCTTCAAACTGGGGTTCCCAAGAATCCCTCCTTGAATCTAACTAATTTACTGGAGCATCTCACAGAACTCAGGGAAATGCATTTATCAGTTTATTGTAAAAGATATTGCAAAGGATCCAAATGAAGAGATGTGTAGGGTGAGGTATGGGAGAAGGGACACAGAGCTTCCATGCTCTCCCTGGGGACCACCCTTCAGAAACCTCTACATGTTCAGTTATCCAGAAGATCTCTGGACCCAGTTCTCTTGTGTTTTTAGGGAAGATTCATGACCTCAACATTCCTTTCGCCAGGATATAAAGCAGGACTCTCTCTGGGGATGGGTGGTCTTAAGACCCACAATCAGAAAGACCGGGGAAGGATTAGAGGGAGAGGAGGGCTGGGGAAAGTCAGCGAGCTTCTGTTTCCTGAGGCCTGGCACACCTGACATTCTAATAAAAGACTGGAAAAAGGCTATGGAAGCTATGAGCCATGGATTGTGGTCAAAATCCAGTAAAATATATATATCAAAACACCACAACCCTGAATGAAGCTCATTTGTGACCCGTTCTCTGCTCCCTTGTATGTTTTTAAACTTAGAAAAAGTTCTCAGAATAAAGCTAGGCAGCAAATATTTTGTTTCCTTCCAATTTCTGTAAAGTGTTCGGATCCACTCTGACCTTGGGGGTGCATGCCAGTATCTCTGAGTCATGAAACCATCCCTTAAAAAATGAAAAACTGCAACCAATCCAGCCCTAAATGATTCATGGTGCCCAACATACATATTTATAGGCTACATCCAAGAGTGAAATCCACTTGAGGCTCTCTTGTTCACACCCCCACGCATCTGCAAGCCTGTATCAGGCACTTGGAAAAAGCAAAGACCCTGACACTTTATTCACCCACATGTGTCTGTGATGGGGTTTGAACTCTCTGTGAACCACCACCACCCCTCAGAGCCAAACTCTAAGTGCCCATCTGTGGAAGCGGAGGTCTGAAATGAGAATTCTGCTCTTGGCTCCCAGTAAACATTGCTCCAGTTAGTTTTTCTCCGAGTTACATCTCAGCCTTGGGGCACCAGCCACACTCTCACCTTAAATATCACAGAAGGGAAGCATTAGCAGTAGAGTTAGACAGATCTAGGTTGGAGGATCTGCTCCTACTGACTCGGTGACCTTGGACACGTCTCTCTCTCTCTTTTTTTTTTTTTTTTAGTGACAGGATCTTGCTCTGTTGCCAAGGCTGGAATGCAGTGGCATGAAAAGGGCTCATTGCAGCCTTGACTTCCTGGGCACAAGTGGTTCTCCTGCCTCAGCCTTCTGAGTAGCTGGGACTACAGGCATGTGCCACCACGCCAAGCTAAATTTTTTACTTTTCTGTAGAGATGGGGTCTTGCCATGTTGCTCAGGCTGGTCTTGAACTCCTGGGCTCCAGTGATCCTCCTGCCTCAGCCTCCCAAAGTGCTAGGATTACAGGCATGAGCCACCACACCTGGCCTCGAAGTGTCTCTTAATCTCTTTAAGACTTAGTGTCCTCTCTTTAAAATGGAGCTATTAATGACATAACTGTTGTTATGAGAAAAGGGTGACAGGATTTAAGGAAACCCACATGGCATGGTGAATACCGCTGGGGTAATAACAGAAGGCAGCTGATACGTCTCTAAGCCTGCAAGGGCAAGAGGAAGAGGTGGTTACTGGCATCCAGAAAAGGTAATTGTATGGAGAAGGCTGCAAGACAGGCACTGTGGTCTTCAGTAGATACAGTTAAATCACCCATGGTGACTTGGCAGGGAAACAGCCAACAGACTAAATAGCCGGACTGCATTTTACCCTCTTCTCTGACTTCTGCTGATGCCTCCCAATGGTTGAATCCATCTAGAAGCTGGAGAGCAAGAGGACCTAGTCAGTCTCTACAGGTTAGCATTCCAGCACCAGGGCAGGGATGGAAAAAGCACAGATGCGGATCTGGAAGGGCCAGTGGAAGACATTCAGCTCAAGTACCCAATGGAGGAAGGAATGCATGTAAAGAGTGCTGTGTCAGTGGTTGGCATGTAATAAGTGTTCAGAAAACATTGGCCCTGATTATTCAATCAAAGTATGTATGAGTTCTCTTAATGAGATCTCTCTTAATGAGATATCTACCATCTTGTGATTCATTTCCACTTCAATTTTGAAATTCAATTTCATAGAAATTTGGGGGAAAGATAGCTTCCATTTTCAGTGTTATTTGCTTTGCAGATTTGCAGATCCTCATCACTGTGGCAATGACCTCTGACACCTTTGACCTTCCCTCCCAGAGAAGGCATTCACTCATTCATTCATTCATTTGCTCAACAATAATTTACCCAGTAGCCTCTATGTGCCGGGCATGGTACAAGGCACTGAGGACACAGTGGTAGACATAAGACTGGTCTCACAGTGTTTACAGGGCAGAGACACATAAGCTGTCAGTTACAAAACAGCGTGTGAATGTGAGACGGAGAAAGGAGAGGAGGCTGTGGTGGAAGCAGAGGGGATGCACCTCTACAGCATGGTTGAGGACAGCCTGACACCATCACTGCTAAAGTTAAAAGTGAATGAGTAAAACATACAGTCAGATGGAAGGAGTACGTTGTAACGTTTGCTAGCACAGCAGAGTGACTATAGTTAACAAAATGAGTTGTACTTTTTCCAAATAGCTAGAAGACCTTCAATGTACCCAACATATAGAAATGATAAATATGATAAATACTTGGGTGATGGGAAAAAATGCAAGAATGTCATGAAAATTCTAAATCATGTAAATAAAGTACACAGAGAATACTGCCTGGCCAAAAACAAATTGGAAATCAACGCTCAGAGGTTCGCAAAGACAAGCTTTTCAGAAAGGAAGATCAGTCTTTAATTGCAAAGGTTTGAGGCTTAGCAAAAGCGGTTGGTCAGCCCCAACTCTGGTGTCTTTCCAACTCTTTGGTGTCTTTCCAGCTTTGTGGTTGGGTGTGTGTTTAAATGAGTAAGATTAGGGTGGTTCCTAATTGCTTATAGAAAAAAGGCTTTTGTTTATATGCTGAGCACATTCTTTTCTAACAAATTAGCTTGACAAAACTGAACAGACTTGTTTCTGACCCTCCCAAGGCAATTAAACATAAGTGTTTTATCCTGTCTACAACCCCTCCACCGCCTTCTGAGTTTCTTCTGCCAAGGAGTGATTTGCAGGGGATGGACTCACATATAGCTTGTCTTCTAGCAAAGGGATCACTGGTTTTAGGAGCTCTACTCTTGGTGTTTTCTTGCGCCATTCTCAGCCCCTTATCTCTGGCTGCCTATGAAAGAAAGCTTCCAAAGCAGCTTGGATGAGAGGCTGATAGGGTTTGCTTCAGAGGGTGCAAAACATTGTGTGGTAGAAAAAGCACAGGTGAAAAATGGCAAGACCCTAGCATGCCCCTTCCTGTGTCATCAGGGAATAGCAGAGGAAAAATGGAAGTGGGGTTGCCCTGACCAATTGTTCTGAGATAGATGTGCCAGGAACCTCAAGGTTCTGAGTGACCAGCAAGGTGCACGCTGACACAGTGGGGAGTGCATTCTCTCCCTGTTCCCCAAGCCTAGAGAAAGAACTACCAAATATTTCCTGTATTCAAGAGAGGCCAAGAGTGACCGAGGCCTGGAGTGGTCCTGGTTTTGACCAGATGAAACAGAGCAGTTCTCAGGAGGAGCTGGCACCGACTGCTAATGACGTCTTCGGCATGATGTCACTCCACATGCCCCAGAACTTGGCCTCAACCCCTTGAGAAAAGAGAGAATAAAAACCCTAAACAGCCCAAGCCTTGTTTTCTCTGCATGTTAGAATTGAGGCTCAAAACAAAAATTAAGGTATTTTAGAGAATAAAAAAGCCCACTACACCGCACACCAAGCAAAACATGGGTGCAGGAGTGAGAAGAGGTAGGCCTAGGGGTCTAGTCTTTGCTGTTAGTTAATAGCTATGAGATCCCATTTTTCAGATTATAAAACTGAGGCACAGAGAGGTTAAGTAATATGCCAAAACCAATGCAGCTAGTAAGTGGCCAAGGCAGAACGTGAATTCAGGTCAGTCCGCCTCCTAAGCCATCTTGTCTTAACAGACGCTATTCTATCTTCTGAGAAGAACATAGGAAATGGAACCAGGAAATGGAACCCCACCACTGTTGGTCCAATTTTCACACACATGGGAATCCCTGACAAAGGGAATAGAACTGAACCAGCTTTACCAAACCACCAGTGAACCTGACAATTGTATTGCGATGGCATGGGATGCATGACGTCATTTCTGGTCATGTCTCTGGTCTCCCTGTTTTCCAATTAATCGCATCCTCATGCAGCCGTGAGGAAGGGAATATAACTGCTGCAAACTAGCTCGTGATTAGCATGTTATGGAGTTAACAGGTGAATAATGAAAGTATATATATATATGTATAAATTAATTGCATGATGAAATGGAGGGTTCTAAATGATGCAGGTGATTGCAGATTACCTGGTGGAATATAGATTATTTTTAGCAAGTGTTTCAGTGACATCTCCTAGAGTCAGTTTATTGGATTTTATAAAAGAAAATTTGCAGCAACAAATTCTGGGGCCCCTTGTATCAGCCTCAGCAAAATCAAGGCAGTATGGGATATAGGCTGAATAAGGGCATCCAAAGCATGTCTTTACCTTAATACCCAGACCTATGAATATGCTACCTACATGGCAAAAGTGGCTTTGCAGACATGATGGAGTTAAGAATCTTGAGACAGGGAGATTATCTTGGATTATCCAAGAGGGCTCACAGTAATCACAGGGGCCCTTAAAAGAGGGAAGCTGGAGAGTTAGATTCAGAGTCAGTGAAAGGGACGAGACAAAGGAAACTGATAGGCGCCGTGCAGGACCATAAGCCGAGGAATATAAGCAGCTGTTAGAAGCTGGAAAAGGCAAGGAATGGGATTCTTCCAGTAGGAGGCCATGATGACACCTTTATTTTCACCCCATGAAAATAATTTAGAACTTCTAAACAGACACAGACCTGTAAACATGACAGACTTGTGTTGTTTTAAGACACAAAGTTTATGGTAATATTCCACAGCAGCAATAGGACACTAATACAATGTGTTACCTGCAGAAACATCAGATGCACTAATGGTGGATCAGAATCGCCCAGGTGGCTTATTGAGTACAGGTCCCCAAGCACCACTCCCAGATATTAGGATTCATTAGATCCAAGTCCAGCCTTCGAGCCCGCATTCTTAACACCCTTTCTTTTCCAATTATCTAGCCTGTACCGATGTAGAAAGGCTTAGTAATACTCATGTAAGAAGATGAAATCCAGAAAGATCTGTTGTTTTTCAAAAGCTGGGTGAAGGTTTATGGAATATGTTTGGCAGAAGTACTAACTAAATCATAAATAAATTTTTTACAAAATCCTAGACTATTAGAGTGGAACAGACCTTCCAGGATGATCTAGTTCAATGCTTGCATTTTACAGCTGCAGGAACTGATGCACAAGGAAGTCCAGTGTTTCTAGGGGGTAAACTATAGAGTTCAAGTCTGGCCCAGAGGAGTCCAGACTTATAGGACCCTAAGAATTAGGTCAAAAGGGATTTGACCTAAACAACAGGGAAAGCCTGGTTCTTAGGGTGTGATCTTTTGCTTTGTGAACACAGCACTGATTTGCAAGTGTATATTTTTTTCTTAAGATTCCAGACAATTCCATAAAGAAGCCCAAAACTCTCAGCACTAAGAGGTGAGCTTTGGAGACAATCTTTGAAACAGAAAGCATAAGAAACAGGAGGATGCCCCTCAGTGACTCAGGATCTCTTTTATGTGTTTTGAAATATACACAGACATGAGATGCCGTCAAGACCCCAACATGTTTCCCCGGCAGGTTCCTTTTTCAGTTAAAGAAACAACCGGATGGAAGAGAGACAGAAAGGATTTCAGAGGAAAATGCGATGTCGCTCAAACAAAACAGGATCCATGATCAGAATGTAGCAGGTCCCCAGAAAATAAGAGGGAGAGAAAACCAACACAGTCTAGTCTTTTGTTCATTTTACTTATTTTCTGAGATGGAGTCTCGCTCTGTTTCCCAGGCTGCAGTGCAATGGTGTGATCTCAGCTCACTGCAACCTCCACCTCCCGGGTTCGGGCCATTCTCCTGCCTCAGCCTCCCAAGTAGCTGAGATTATAGGTGCACACCACCATGCCTGGCTAAGTTTTGTATTTTTAATAGAGAAGGGGTTTTACCATGTTGGTCAGGCTGGTCTTGAACTGCTGACCTCAAGTGATCCACCTGCCTCGGCCTCCCAAAATGCTGGGATTACAGGCATGAGCCATCGCGCCTGGCCCAATATAGCCTTTGAAGTGCACATTTCAGTTGGCATTCTGCATTGGGAAATACTTTCGTTTTGTTTGTGGAAGAAGGAAAGGAGAGAGAAAATGTGTGGTGCAAAGAGGCTTTGAAATGACTTGCCTTTGGGGCCAGGTTGGGATCTCTTTCTCCAGGCTCACCTCCCCCCACCACCTTTTTCACTTTATGGTCCAAACACATCATAGTTCCCTGCACTTGCCATGTTGTTTCAAGCCTCTGTGATTTTATATGGATTGCTCTGTCTGCCTTAGAATTCTTTTTCTTTCCTTTTGCATGGCAAAATCCATTTCCTTTTCCTTTTTCTCTATCACTTTCTCTGAGAGAGCTTTTCTAATAACTTTTGCCCAGTCTGTGTAAGGTACCTTCCCATGTGACCCAACAATGTCCTGTGCCTCTATCACAGCCCTAAGTCTACTGCATTGAAATAATTGTTTATGATTATATTTTCCAACTAGACAATGGGGTCCTTGTAGACAGGGAGATCTATTACTCATTTTTTATTTCTCCAGCGACAAGTCCAGTTCCTGACACCTTGTAGGTATGCAATAAGTGTTTACCAAGACTCCTGCAGTAATCACTGGTGGACCACGTAAGAACATTGTTCAAAAGAAAAAAAGGCTGGGCGCAGTGGCTCACGCCTGTAATCCCAAGTTTGGGAGGCCGAGGCGGGCAGATAATGAGGTCAGGAGATCGAGACCATCCTGGACACAGTGAAACCCCGTCTCTACTAAAAAATACAAAAAATTAGCTGGGTGTGGTGGTGGGCGCCTGTAGTCCCAGCTACTCGGGAGGCTGAGGCAGGAGAATGGCGTAAACCAGGGAGGCGGAGCTTGCAGTGAGCCGAGATCACGCCACTGCACTCCAGCCTGGGCGACAGAGCGAGACTCCGTCTCAAAAAAAAAAAAAAAAAAAAAAAAAAAACACAAAACAGGCGTGCTTGAGGCTGAATGACAAAATTCAGTCAAAGAACAAGAGGGGCTAAGTGGGATGGGAGGGAGGGTCTGTAGAGTCCTGATCCCTGGGTGTCCCCTTTCAAACAGCAGGAAATTCCATCAAACACCACATAAGCCAAAGTATGAACTTTGACTTACCATGACTGACTTTGAATTTCAAATCCTCCTAAGCACTTTAATAATGCAGTAAAATATCCTCTCAAACACCAGGGGTTCAGTCTAGGTCCTGTTACTCTCTGTACAGAAAGCCAATCACTGGGACAATGGTTATTGCTAAGGAAGAAGACTTTAATTGGGTGCTGCAGCTGAGGAGATGGGAGCTTAGTCTCAAATCCATCTCCCTAACAGACTAAAATTAGGGGTTTATATAGCAGGAAGGAAATGTAACTTGGGAGGGGTAAGGAAGCAATCAGGATGAATAAGTGGTCTGGCTTCTCATTGCCTGGATGTGATGATCTGGTGAGTTTCAGCTCTTTGATACTTTTTGAAAGTCTGGGGCAGGGGAGTGGGGATCCTTTCCTGAGGAAGGAACTCTGATAAAACAAATGTAAGCTTCAAGCTTTAAGACCAGAAGGGTCAATTTCTATGTTTACTGGGAGGAAAAAAAACAAACTGTCAATGGCAGGGGTCTCCCCCAACCCTCAGGCTGCAGACGGGTGGTAGTCTGTAGCCTGTTAGGAAATGGGCCACACAGCAGGAGGTGAGCAGTGGGCAAGCAAAGCTTCATCTTTATTTACAGCTGCTCCCCATAGCTGGCATTACTACCTGAGCTCTGCCTCCTGCCAGATCAGCAGCAACATTCAATTCTCATAGGAGCACGAACCCTATTGTGAACTGCACATATGAGGGATCTAGGTTGCCTGTTCCTTATGAAAATCTAACACCTGATGATCTGTCAGTGTCTCCCATCGTGACCATATGGGACTGTCTAGTTGCAGGAAAACAAGGTCAGGACTCTCACTGATTCTACATTGTGGTGAGTTGTATAATTATTTCATTATATATTGCAATGTTATCATAATAGAAATAAAATCCGCAATAAATGTGATATGCTTGAATCATCCCAAACCATCCCCCAACAACCTGGGTTTGTGGAAAAATTGTCTTCCATGAAACCGGTCCCTGGTGCCATAAAAGGTTGGGGACTATTGGTCTATGGGACTATTGAGTTGGTTTCAATTCCATGAGTGACCATTACTGTCTTGATCACTCCTATTTCTGCTATGCCTGACACATATTTGTCAAATGAATAAATAAATACATAATAAATGAAAGTCATGGGATACCTGTATGACCTTTGGCAAACTTCATAATCTCTTTCATATATAATTGTTTCATATATATATAAATATATATGTGAAACATATATATGTGATATATATTAAGCATATATATGTTTCCTCATTTTTGACATGGGGATAATTCCTTAGGCAAAACCCTAACATCAATCCTTGATTCCTTTTTCTCATCGCCTGTAAGCCAATCCCTAAATAAGCTCTGAGAACTCCACCTCCAAAACACAGTCCAAATTCATCTCCATCCCTTCATCTTTCCTATCACTCCATCCCAGCCAAGTCCTTTCATCTTCTGAATGGCTGCAAAGCTTCCTAATTCATTTTCTTACTTTCATTCTTTTCCCCTACCCATAATCTATTTATTCACTAAAGAACAGCCAGATTGATTTTGTAAAATATAAAACAAATCACAGCACTCCTCTTAGAATGGAATAAAACTCCTGAGCTTGGTTTACCCAGTCGTTTATGACTGTCCCCCTACCAGTACCTACAGCTTCATCCCCTTTCATCTTCACTCCCCAAACACACAGGACCTTTTTGCTGTTCCTTCAACTCACCACGATCTTTTCAATTCAAGGCCTTTTGCACTCACTGTAACCCCTGCCTGAAATGCCCTGATTTTCACATGGTTGTCTTATTCTTGTCATTCAGACTTCTTACCTTAAAAGGCACCTCCTCAGAGAGGCCTTCCCCAGTGAGCTGCTCTAAAATAGTCACTATCTTTATCACATCAGATGATTTAATAATCTTCAGAGATTTGTTCACAGTCTTCTATTTTTATTTTATTTATTTGTTTGATGTTACAGGTCTCCCTCACCAGGCTGTAACTCCATGGATAGAAAGTACCTTGTAATTCATGGCTAGGTCCACAGTACCTAGAACAGTTCTAATAATTCATAAATATTGGTTGGATAAATATATCAATCCCTGCATCTTACTGTAGTTTTGAAGATTAAACGGTATAATTCATGTAAAGCACTTCTTAACCCACTATCTGACACATACATAACATGCAACAAATATAGTTTCTTAAATCGTATATTACTTTGCATTAAATAAAAAGTTCCCACCTTGAAGCTTCTATTTCTATATCAATTCTGTCAAAACCACTGGGTGTTGAGATCGGGGAGGTCCTCCAGGCAGAATTGATTTGTTTCTGCTTTCTATGTTTTGAGGAGTGCTACATGCCAATATTCTGTTACCTGTAGAGGAAAGAAGAAGAGGGATGTAAGTCAAGATTATGCTCAGCTGCAAGTAACAGAAACCAAGAAAAAAATGATTTAAACAGGCAAGGGGTATTTTTTTCTCACACAGCAAGAAGTCAGTCTAGTGCTCACACCCAGGGCCCTTCTATCTTCCTGCATCTTCATCCTTCTTGTTAGGGCTTCTGAGTATGGCCACATATACTGCACATTGCACAGCATCAGGCAGTGGCACATTCATTTCTTACTGTATATAAATAGCACTATCTGGTATTACACAATATGTATCATATATGTGCTTCTGGTTGCAAGAATGATGTTGCATCTCCAGGCATTGCATCCAAATTCCAAACAGTAAAAAATCAGATGCAAGAATAGCTGTGTTATTTAAAAAAGAACACACACAAACAAACAACTTTCCTGTGGCTACTACTAGATTTACTGAAGTCCAGAGAGGTAAGACTTAGCTGAGGAAAATTGCTTCCCTGAACAATATAAGAGTTTTATTACCTAGCAAACAAGTGGGAGGGATAACTGTTAGGTAGGCAATTGGCAGTATCTTCTGGAGAAAGACTGCATTAGACAGTTGACAGCTTAATGAAGAGTGTTGGTGTGACAGAAGAAACTGAGGAAGGGTGGGTATTTCAGGGACTCTGGGAAAGGTCAGAAAAAGGAAAAATCAATTATTCAACTCAGTGGGCCAAATCCAAGAAGGCATGTTTAATCACAAATTCCAAAGGGAACTTTGATAAGAATTAAAATCAGTCACAGTTCTGCTTCCAGTCAACATGGATTAACAGGGACTAGGTTTACTTTCTCACCTGAAACATACCCCCTCAAAAAAAAAAAAAAAAAAAAAAGAAAGAAAGAAAGAAAAGAAAAAGTAAAAGGAACAAAAAGAACAAAGAAAATAAACCTTATCAGACATGTGAAGTAATTACTTTAAAGAGAAGTATCTTGCCTTGGTAATGGAAAATAGCCCAAATCA
Source organism: Homo sapiens (assembly GCF_000001405.40). Classification (NCBI taxonomy): domain Eukaryota; kingdom Metazoa; phylum Chordata; class Mammalia; order Primates; family Hominidae; genus Homo; species Homo sapiens. The sequence goes on along the minus strand of NC_000016.10, from coordinate 13,473,221 downwards.
GCCCAAGACTGAGCACTGTTCTAGTCCTGCCTAACAAATATTAAAAGCAAAATCTGATAGAATAAAACTTTTCCAAGTAATTTAACTGTGCCCCATAACAAAACTCAAGAATACTTACAGAGACAGAAAGTTAGTCAGAATCCAACAAGGCATAATTTACAATGACTGGCATCTAATCAAAAATTAACAGGCATATAAAGAAGCAGAAAAATATGACCCATAGTGAGGAGAATAATTAAATAATCAAAACTGATCCAGCACTGGCCTAGATGTTAGAATTAACATGCAAGGACATTAAAATCGTTATTATAACTGTATTCAAGATATCAAAACTTTGAATAAATACGTGGGAAATAGTAAAAAGACATGGACATTCTTAAGATGAAAACTACAATGTAAGAGATTTTAAAAACAGTAGATGGAATTAATGGGAGATTAAACATGACAGAAGAAAAGACTTGAAGACATAGCAAGAGAAACTATCAAAAATGAAATTAAAAGAGAAAAGATCATTTAAAAATTTTAGCAGAGGCCGGGCATTGTGGCTCACGCCTGTAATCCCAGCACTTTGGGAGGCCGAGGTGGGCGGATCACGAGGTCAGGAGATCAAGATCTTCCTGGCTAACATGGTGAAACCCCATCTCTACTAAAAATACAAAAAAATTAACCGGGCTTGGTGGCGGGTGCCTGTAGTCCCAGCTGCTGGGAAGGCTGAGGCAGGACAATGGCATGAACCTGGGAGGCGGAGCTTGGAGTGAGCCGAGATTGTTCCACGGCACTCCAGCCTGGGCGACAGGGCAAGACTCCGTCTCAAAAAAAAAAAAAAAAAAAAAAAAAAAAAAAATTTAGCAGAGCGTTAATAAGCTCTAAATGAAGGGATGAATTCAAACAGGCAAATATATGCTTAATTGGATTCCCCAAATGAGGGGACAGAGGAGAAAAATATTTGAACAAGAGTTGCCAGAGCCAAAATTTCAGAGCTAGTTTAGATAGGAAATTGTAGTGAAAGCAAATTAGAATAAGCAAGGGTGGGTGACATTGCTTCAATTATTCACATCTGTGGGCCAGCAAGTATATGTTTTCCAGATCAATGAGCCCACTTAAAGAGTCAGAACAGGGAATGAAAACACAGCACTAAGCTCTCCTTTTCAAGAAGAGTTTACTCATATCTGCTCCCATAAAATGGAACACGCTCCTCTAGACCATCTCATTCTCCAGAAACAAGACACTTCCATGTAGAGCTTGGGTCACTCACTGACCCTTTCCTCCCTTGTCTTTGTGATTCTCTGTGAGTTACACTAAGAAGAACAGGCAATGGTCAGTCTTTCTTTGTCCTCTCCTTGTTTTTCTTGCTATAACACTAGCTGACCTGTATCTGATATTCTGTGTAAGGAATATCTTAGATTACAGTGACTTTTGCTTATCTGTGGCTGTGTTCTCTAAGGCTGCTGTGTTACTCACGGTGGGCTAGGCTTTGCTGCAATTAAGAGAAAGCCCTAAATTCTGGTGGATTGACACATAAAAGCTGATTTCTTGCTCAAAGTCCACTGCAGGTCAGGTAGCTCCCTGGGGCATTCTCTTTCATGTTTGCTCAGGGATCTGATCTACTTTCTTCCTGTGGCCACCTCAATTGATGCATTCCAAGGTTGTCACTGCAGGGGAAGCAAAGAGGGAGAGTTGTGCAGAGACTTTTTCCACTTCAGCTTGGAAGGAACACACACTCATCTCCTCTTAATCTACTGACTAGCATTTGTCAGTGCTTATATTCCCATGAGGAAAAAGGAGAGAGTCGGATCTAGAAAAACTCGAATAATTTAAAACAGAGTGGTGTTTCCTAAATGATGGACATAGACTGCAAGTTTGCTTGGATGTTAATAAATTAGCATTTTAAAACATTTAAAAAATGTTATACAATGTAGCAAGAACTTGTGATGACCACAACACAGCCCTTCAGTCCTCCATATTTCAGGACTGCTGTGGCGGACAGTTCCATGCTGCACTGTCAGCCCCATATTAAGGGTGTGTTGTGTTTTCTCTCCATCAGCTGATCAACTCAGACATACACAGAAAAACAAACAATAAGATATGTGAGTCCGTGGATAAATGCCTCAGCCTTTCTATCCTCCAGAAGGACAATTCTGTGATGCATTCTAGATGGATCTTTAGGGTTCCAGCAAGACTGAACCCCAGTTGTCCACAGCAGTAACTATTTCATTAATACACTTTGATTGTCTTTCCTCCTATCCTGCCTCATTTTTCCCACTTCCTCACTTCTGTTTCTTGAAATCTTCTCTCAGCAAACTAACTGTGCTAAAGTCCTTGTCTTCAGGTCTCATTTTGGGGGCAAGAAAACTAAGATTTACGGTGTTTTTTTGCCCCTGAAATGAGACTCTGAGACAAGGACTTTAACACAGTTCAATGTGTAGTAAAATAAATGTGGAAAATATTGGATTAACTGTGTTTGGTTAATATGTTTTCTTTGTTACAGAATTTTCAGAGCCTTTAATGTATGATTCTTTGATATGGTTTGGCTGTGTCCCATCTCAAATATCACCTTGAATTGTAACAATCCCCATGTGCCAAGGATGGGGCCATATGGAGATAATTGAATCACGGCAGCAGTTTCCCTCATTTTCTTCTCGTGGTAGTGAATAAGTCTCATGAGATCTGTTGGTTTTATGAAGGGCAGTTCCTCTGCACAAGCTCTCTTGCCTGCTGCCATGTAAGATGTGCCTTTGCTTCTCCTTTGCCTTCCACCATGATTCTGAGGCCTTTCCAGCCATGTGGAACTGTGAGCCCATTAAACCTCTTTCCTTCATAAACTACCCAGTCTCGGGTATGTCTTCATTAGCAGCAAGAGAACAGACTAATACACTCCTCATACATTAAATTCTATAGATATTAAATTCAAAAGAAGAATACCGAAATTAGAGTTTCTCTACCTTGGATTGCAAACTTTTATTCCCCAAAGCAACTTTCAGAATTAACACTTCATAACACACATGTGAGGGATGTCTAATCTAAAGCTTTTATAACTTCTCTTATTTTCTTTTCAAATCTCCTATTCTGAGAGGCAACTTTTCTTATTTTTGAATAAATAAAAATATTAAAAACTTTAAAGGTGTAGAAGAGTAAATAGGGGAAAGAAAAGGATTTAAAAATGCATCAAAATACAAACACCTCATTTGATTCCATCACGAAGAGAGAACTGGCTACAATATTGGTGCCTAGCCCCAAGAAGGAGATGTTCAATAGCAGATCCCAAGAGATGACAATAAGTGGCCAAACACTTCCTGGAAAACTTCATACAGCTTCTATTGGAGAATGGTACCATGTACTCTTTAGTTGAAAAGAGCAAACTTCCCACCCACCCCTCCCCTTAATTACTGTGCTTAATGGTGAAATTCAACCCAGCAGGTAGATACCTCCTATATAGATTTCTGAAGTTATCTCATACTCTGGTTAATTGTGTCAGCCTGTAGAGGCTGATTAGCATAATTAATCTTACCCTGTGATTACCCTGAGGAGGAAGATGTTCTGGATGCACAGGTGGGATGTGAGGGAATGAGTGACTGCCTCTGTCTCCAAGGGGCAAAGAAGCATGGGTGGGAGAAGGTTTGAGAACAAGAGCCAGAGTCATTTGGATGAGCACAGAACTGGATTTTATAGGATAGAAGAAGATGAGATGATAGGAAATCTGCACAGGTCGAGGCTCAAAGGCCAGGTTGTGCCCACCCCACATATCTTTATGTATTTGCAGAATTCCAGTTCTTTCTCTTTCTTTCTCTTTCTTTCTTTTTCTTTCTTTCTTTCTTTCTTTCTTTCTTTCTTTCTTTCTTTCTTTCTTTCTTTCTTTTTCTTTTCTTTCTTTCTTTCTTTCTTTCTTTCTTTCTTTCTTTCTCTCTCTCTCTCTCTCTCTGTCTTTCTTTCTCTCTCTCTCTCTTACCTTAAATTACCTTACTTTCTTCTCTTTTTTTTTCTTGGCAGAGTCTTGCTCTGTTGCCCAGGTTGGAGTGCAGTGGCATGATCTCAGCTCACTGCAACCTCCACCTCCAGGTTTCAAGCTGTTCTCCTGCCTCAGCCTCCTGAATAGCTGGGATTACAGACACCCACCATCACGCCTGGCTAATTTTTATATTTTTAGTAGAGATGGGGTTTCACCATGTGGCCAGGCTGCTCTTAAACTCCTGACCTCAAATGATCCACCTGCCTCAGCCTCCCAAAGTGCTGGGATTACAAGTGTGAGCCACAGTGCCCAGCCTCTTTTTTGTTGTTGTTGTTTTATATATATAACAACACATATATTTTATATATGTGTTTTATATACACATATATAAAAAGCAATATATAATGCACATACATATATAAAACAAAAAAGAATACATATATATTTTATTTTTCTTCATAGAGACAGACAGGGTCTCACTATGTTTCTCAGGCTGGTCTCAAACTCCTGATCTCAAGCAATCCTCCCATCTCAGCCTCCCAAAGTGCTGGGATTGCAGATGTGAGTCATACACCTGGACGCTTCTTTCTGGTAAGATTTCTTTGAGGACCAGTCTACAGATTCACCTCCTAGAGTTCTCTTATTACTTGGTGCAGGAATGGACCTCCTATTACTTCTGAGTAGAGCAAGATATTTAGGATAAAATGGTAAAAGCCAATAAAAGAGAAACATAGGATAGAATTAGAGGAAGAAATGAAAGTATGGAAGTATTATATTTAAAAAGTTGGAGGCAGATGGATGCTTGGGTAAATGGATGGATAAGTCTGTGCATCACATTTATATCTGTGGTTATTGGATATAAACATATGAGAAGGAAGAAAAAGCATAGGCACCCTGACTCACTCTTGGCTGTATGACTCTGAGTAAGTCAGGTCTCCTCTCTGAACCTCATCTCCCTGCCCCTCTCCCTGGGCACCAATAATCCGGGTCCAGAACTCAGTCAATAGTTGTTGAATCAATGGAGATAAATATATTTGGTTTCCAGCAACAAGCTTTCTGTGGAGTGGATCTATTTTTCCCCCTTTAAAAGGCCTCTTGAAATATAAGAACATCTTTTAAAATGAGATCTTGCTGCAGATTGATAGGTTCCAATATTAGATGAGAAAGGGAATAAAACTATATCCATTTAAAATCTGACAGAAGAACAGGAAGAATAAAACCCTCTCAGTCTAATGGTAAGACTGAGATGAGTTTTGTTGTAATATCCATTGCTGTTAAGTTTTTCAGTTCTTTTGAAAGGAGATAAAACACCATGAAGGATAGCGACATGTACAATGGGTAAATTTCAGGAGCACTCACACATGAAATTTGTTTTGCAAGTATTCCTTCCTGAAGTGTTTCCACTTTTTAACCACAGGCTTCTTCTAGGGGAGACAAATGAACCTGGTGTTAGGTGAATAGAAAAGAAAGCAAGAAATATGGCTGGTGGCCCAAGATCCTACATGGGAGTGGACGAAGGAGGGAAATGAGGCAAGCTCAACATCTTGCTGCCCCTTGGCTCCATCCAACAGGCAATTCTGGAGAATATCATTAGAGATCCATTCTCTAAATCATGGATGGGCAAATTGTGAGTGTCAGGGTTCTTCCGAGAGATGGAAACAATCAGATATATGAGAGGGGATTTATTAGGGGAAGTGGATCACGGGATCATGGAGTTGAAGAAATCACATGATAGGCCACGTACAAGTTGGAGAAGCAGAGAAGCTGATAGTGTGGCTCAGTCCAAGCCCTGAAGCCTCAAAACCAGGAAAGCCAATGGTACAGTCCCCAGTCTGAGTCTAAATGCCCTAGAACTCCCAGGAGGTGGCTAGTGCCAGGCTCAGAATTCAAAAGCTGAAGAACCTAGAGTCTGATGTCTAAGGTAGGAGGAGAAAAGTGTTCTGCTCTGGGGGAGTGGGAAAAAGAGAGAAAGAAAGAGAGAATCCTCCTTCTTCTGCCATGTTGTCCCAACTGGGCCCCCAGGAGATTGGATGCTACCCCCCCACATAGAAGGCGAGTCTTCCTCTCTCAGTGCACTGATTCACAGGTCAGTCTCTTCTGACAACACACTCACAGACACACCCAGAAACAATGCTTCACCATCCATCTAGGCACTCTTCAATCCAGTCAAGTCAACACATAAAACATTAATCAGCATAAGCCCACCCCTTGTCAACGTGGCAGCCATATGCATCTCTTTAAGCCATACTTAATTTCCAAATAAAGATCATAACAAGGTCATAATTCCACTTAAGATGATACAACTATCCTGAGTACAACCAAAACTGCACTAATCCCATTCCCAGAAGAGGAGGTAAAGTTCTTGAGTGACATTTACATTTCTCCTGATATCCTATAACTTAAGTACCATGATGTAAAATTAACAATGCTTAAGTGCTGATACAAAGTCAGTAAACCTAAATGCTATAATGTAAAATTAACAATGCTTAAATGCTGATACAAAGTTAATCAACATTATGTTACATGATAAAGGAATAAAAGAAGAAAGAAAATAAAGATATTTGCTTAACATATGTGATATATGCACAAATGTATTTTTAACAAAATAGGTGGAAATACTCATTACAGTTACAATCTTCATTTTTGAAACTGGTCATGTGGCTGTAGCTGACATTTATAATTACTTTTTTTAAAAAAACAACAACAACAACAACAACTACCCATTCTGTATTTCCTTTGCCCTCAATAAGCAACTCAGTTGGTCATGGCTTGTTACTTGGTGGGATGACCCAAACCTTCATTCCTAAAGAGTGTGGGCCATTTGTAGTCCTACCTGGATTGAGATGTTGTAGTTTTTCACTGACCCTAATCACAGGGCATGGTAATTTTAAGGGATGCCCTAACGGATCTCCTGTATTCCAGACACACTCTTCCTTACTGCCATTGCGGAGCAGTATTTAATTTCCCCTTGATTGTCCAGATCAATCATCCCAGCCAGCACCATCACTCTCTTCTTAGCCTGTTGACTCAGAAGCATAGAAGCCCCAAGTGGCCGCGTGGCAGTCTTAACTCCCAGTTCAATGGGATCATTGTAGTGTTTCCTAGTAGAAGCATTTCTCCTTCTGGAACTAAGACCTCTAGGCCAGCAGAACATAACATTGTGGGAACAGGAAGTACAAATTTTGCTAGTGGGTCACTAGGGGTAATGGTTAATGGTGCACATCCCCCAATCCACTCAAGCTGATGCCAAAAAAATTAGCCATCACACAAACTTTTTCCGTAAAGGGGCAGATTGCAAATCATGTGGGCCTTTCAGGCCATGCAGTCTCTGTTACTACTAGCCAACTCTGTGGCTATAGCAGGAAGGCAGTCATAAGTAATATGTACCTAAATGGATTTGCCTGTGTTATAATGAAACTACTTGTCAAAACAGGCAGTGGGCCACATTTGACCCATTGGCCATAGTTGGCCAGCCTCTACACTAAATCGTTGCAGCAGCTTTTTCTTTCTGGAGAGGTAGAGGGGGGAGAGAGACAGGTCCATGGAGTCAGACAGATTGGGGCTTGAACCTGGATCTGCCTTCAAAGGTGTATCACCTTGAGATAAATGACTCAGCTTTCTGAGGCTCTGTGGAGATTTGTTGACTTTTCTCCCTAGCATCCTTCCCCTTCTCCTTCCTGAGGTAGCAAGACAACAGGTACCATTTGATATCTTTGTTCTATATTGCAGTTCAACTTCTCCTTATGCCAAATCCTGTGATTCTCATGCCCTTATGGGTATTGTTTCTCCCCAGTCAACCTGGCTTAAGGTGATATCTTTTCAAATCCATGCCCCACAACCTACTAGAAATCCTAGCCTCGTGGACGAAATCTTATTGGACTTTTCCTTTGACCTCCAGTTCTGCCAAAATGAACCTGCCCCACGTTCAACTTCATTTGAGGGATGATTTCTAGCATTATTCTGTGCTTCAAAGCAGCAGTCCTCAACTGGGGTGACTGTGTCCCCAAAACACATCTGGCAATGCCTGGAGGCATTTTTGGTTGCCAGAGTTTGGGCAGAGGGCTGCTGGCATCTAACAAGTAGAGGCTGAGGATGTTGCTAAATGCTCTGCAAATCACAGGAGTAATGCAATGCTCCTTCCTCCACCTACCCAGCCCCCTACCCCCAGAATAGATCATTATTTCTTCCAAAATGTTAATAAGACTGAGGTATAGAAGCCCTGCTACAAGGTTAATGGCAAATAGTAGCCTTTTCTTTGGTAAAAGGTATGTTTTAGGATAATGTCTCCATTATCCTTCCTAAGAAAATCTTTAATCCACTAGGCCCCTAAATATCAACATTAGAAAAAGCTGTCTATCTGTTTGAGGGTTTATGGAAGTCTATCTAGATGTAGGATTTAATGAATTACTCATGTCTTTATTTTTCTGAACTGTAAAAGGTGGGGGGTGGGGGTGGGCATAGAAATAGAACATATCTCGGGAATTTTATGAGGACCAAGGGCTACTAACTATGTGAATTCCTCAGGATAGCGCCCAGTACTTAGTAAGCACTCAACTTCAGCCACCATTTTTATTTACTTTACTGTATATTTGTAGTAAAGGTAGTAGTGGTAGTAAACGGGAAAATTTCCGGTTGCTCTAATCAGGGAAAGCAAATCAGTGGTTTTGGGAAAGAGGGAGGCAATTTCAGCTTGAACCAAAACAAAATTGACATGAAATTCCAAGAAAGGGGCTTTAGCTTTAGACAAGAAACTCTAGTTCAGACTCAAGTTGCAAAATCAAAATACACATTCAAAGCATCTGAGCACTTAGGCTGATAGGGAGAACCAGAGTTGGAGGAAATAGCACCAGTTTTGGGGCTTCAGGATTGTAAGTTTTGGACTGATTTTGCACAAAGCTTAGCAGCCATCCATGAGAAACCCATGGTAAGACAGGCCAGTGAAAGAATGGTGGCATCGACCAAGTGTGATTCTCAAACTCCTCCAACAGGTCAGGGAGGCCTTGGCAACATCTCCCTGCAGATGAGGTGATTATTCTTTAGAGCTACCCTTAATTAAACCCTAAGTGCTAGGTAGCACACTTACCTGGAAAGCTTCCTCCAATCCTCACAATTACTCTATAAAGAAAGTCACAGAGTTAATCTAATTATGCCCATTTTAAAGATAAGGTAACTGAGGCATGGAAAGCTTAAGAGATGAAACTTCTGTGTAATTCTCATGACAGACAAGTAGTGGAATGAGGAGAAAAGAGGATGCAGTTTGAGTCTGAGAGAACCTGGATCTTTCTGTTAATTAGCATTGCCTTTGGGCATAACGTAACTAGGAAAAAATTTTTAAAGAACAATCCTGCCAACTAAATAGTGAAGCAATTAGATGAAAGTCAATATTAACAAGCTTCTGCAATTCCAGGGAGCCAACGGCAGGGATTCAGAAGCCTCTGCCACTTGGCAATTTTGTAGACTTGTGGCCTAAGGGGAAGGGATGTGACACGGGAATCAATTCTTTGCCTGCTGATTAGCCCATTTGCTCGATATTTCCTGAGCAGCCAGCAGTCCTGTCCCAGCCACAACCATGAGGGCGCTGCCAAACTGGAAATGATGAAATAAAGAATCTGCTAAGGAAGCTCTTTCTTTAAGGCAACAGAGCTTCCTGGTTTGTACCTATTCATGACTTACAAATGCTATTTTTTCCTTCTTTTAGACCTTGGCTACCAGAAGCACCAAGCCAAGATCAAGATTATCACTCTCAATAGGTGACGTTTAATTCCTTCATTTCTGCAACTGAGAAGGCAACAGAGCTCCCGAGCAACTCTTCAGAGTAGGTGAAGCCCTCCAGCCACAACAGTCCCAGGAATCTTTCCAGACTCCTCTCTGTGTTCCACAACTTTCAAGAACTCTTTCTCCAAGTACTGCTGATTCCACCTGCACGCTGCCTCTCCTGCCCACATGGTCCTCTCTCTCTCCACACCTGCTACTTAGTTCCCATCCTCACTTTCCTCAGGATTGAACTATTGCAATAGCTTCCTCACGGGTCATGCCATGCTCTTTCTTCCCAATCTATCCTTCACATGAAAGCTATAGTGAACTTTCTACACTGCAGGGTTTTTTGTTTGTTTTTTGAGACAGGGTCTCACTCTGTCACCCAGACAAAACAGAGTGCAATGGCACTATCACAGCTCACTGCAACCTTCCCCCCCCAGGCTCAAGTGATCCTCCCACCTCAGCCTCCCTGGTAGCTGGGACCACAGGCATGTGCCACCACACCCAGCTAACTTTTTTGTATTTTTATTTTTTATTTATTTATTTATTTATTTTTTAAGATGGAGTCTCCCTCTGTCGCTCAGGCTGGAGTGCAATGGTGCGATCTCGGCTCCCTGCAACCTCTGCCTCCCGGGTTCAAGTGATTCTCCTGCCTCGGCCTCCTGAGTAGCTAGGATTACTGGCGCCCGCCACCACGCCTGGCTAATTTTTGTGTTTTTAGTAGAGACGCGGTTTCACCATGTTGGCCAGGCTGGTCTCGAACTTCTGACTTCAGGTGATCCCCCCGCCTCGGCCTCCTAAACTGCTACGATTACACGTGTGAGCCACTGTGCCTGCCCAACTTTTTTATATTTTTAGTACAGACAGGGTTTTACCATGTTGGCCAGGCTGGTTTCGAACTCGTGACCTCAAAGCCATCTGCCTGCCTCTGCCTCCCAAAGTGCTGGGATTACAGGTGTGAGCCACAGCACCCAGCCTACATTGCAGTTTTGCCTGTACCTTAGATGGTCCCAGAACAATAGAATGAAATTAAGCTCATTAACGAGACATAATATCCTCTGAAATCTAGGCCTCACCTAATCCTTCACCCTCATCTCTCACACCTGTTTTCTTCAGGCCTCTGTATTGAGTGATCTGTTAGTTTCCTGAACTTTTTTTACCTTTATACATGCTGTTTCTTTTGTCTGAATTACTTTTTCTTCCTTCTCCAACCTGAATGAGATTAAATAAGTGGTTTGACTCTATTTATTTATTTTTAAAGAATTTTTTTTTTTGGTAGAGGTAGGGGTCTCACCATGTTGCCCAGGCTCATCTTGAACTCCTGGGCTCGAATAATCCTCCCACCTCAGGCTCTTGAGTAGCTGGGACTACAGGTGGATGCCACCATACCCAGCTATTTTTTTTTCTTTAAGCAGAGATGTGGGTCTCACTATGTTGCTCAGCCTGGTCTTGAACTCCTGTCCTCAAGTGATCCTCCTGCCTCAGCCTCCCAAAGTGCTACATGAATAGATTAATAAGACTGGAAAATACTAGGTATGCAACAATTCTTCTTTATTGAATGGGTGAATACTTCCTGGGTGAATACTTCCTTAAGAAAGTAAGTCTAGGCCGGGCACGGTGGCTCACGCCTGTAATCCCAGCACTTTGGGAGGCCGAGGTGGGCGGATCACGAGGTCAGGAGATCGAGACCATCCTGGCTAACACGGTGAAACCCCGTCTCTACTAAAAATACAAAAAATTAGCTGGGCGTGGTGGCGGGCGCCTGTGGTCCCAGCTACTCGAGAGGCTGAGGCAGGAGAATGGCGTGAACCTGGGAGGCGGAGCTTGCAGTGAGCCGAGATCATGCCACTGCACTCTAGCCTGGGTGACAGAGGGTCTCAAAAAAAAAAAAAAAATTAAAAAAAAAAAAAAAGAAAGTCTATAAATCTTTTTTTTTTTTGAGAGGGAGTTTTGCTCTTGTTGCCCAGGCTGGAGTGCAATGGCACAGTCTCGGCTCGCTACAACTTCTGCCTCCAGGGGTCAGGCGATTCCCCAGCCTCAGCCTCACGAGTAGCTGGGTTTACAGGCTTGTGCCACCACGTCCGGCTAATTTTGTATTTTTAGCAGAGACAGAGTTTCATCATGTTGATCAGGCTGGTCTGGAACTCCTGAGCTCAGGTGATCCACCCGCCTTGGCCTCCCAAAGTGCTGGGATTACAGGTGTTAGCCACTGCGCTTGGCTGTAAGTCTATAACTCTTTAGAGAACCACTAAACCTGAAGGGCTAGGTGTCTTGGGTTCAGCCACCAGGACAGTGCCTCAGCCAGTCTTTGAGGACACTAAGAGTTGCCCAAGAGAGGCAAGTGTGCACAGGTTGGGAGAGCTGTCAGAACTGCAGGCTTGAGTTTCTATTAATATTATTGCCATCTCTGCAAGGGTGCCACCTTCATTTGCCAAAGATGTTTGAGCAAATCAAAACTGTCTCGTTGATATGTTGTCTATTGGATAAATGACATGTTGAGAAATGGATTACTGCCTGAGACAGCAAAAGACACAAGTAGAAAGCTGAAAGTGGTTTTAACAAGGAGCGATGAAGGACAAGGATGGGTGTGCTCATGCCATACTGAGCGGCTGGTTGGCAGAAGGTGATGACTCTGGAAGGCAAGTCCAGTTTCTCTGAATGTGGGGCAGGATTTGCCACAAGACCTAACCGTAGTATTCTGCATCATTACAAATCCAGACCAGCTGTAGTCGACCTAGGACAAGTCACACCAGAGAGAAGGAAGGCAGATTCTGCCCATAATATGAATCTCACTAACCTTGGGCTGCTTTAGAGTTAGACCCATGGATCCTCATGAGCACCCTTGTTCTAAGATATCCAACTGATAAGCTCTATCATATCCTTTTAAGCATCAAACAAGTTCTACTCGAACCTATCCATCCATATGTGACAGGCACTGTGGTTGTCCCTAAAAACACAAACTACTAGAAAACTCATGGGCTTTGGAGGAATTACACATTCTTGAGTGCCAGGCCTGATTCTGGCATTTACCAACTGTGGGACATTTGTCAACTCACATAACTTCTGATCTTGGGGTTCCTCCTCTGTAAAGTGGAGCTAATATGATGGATCGGGGGGGCTTGTTGTGAGGATTAGAGAAATGAGCATAAAGTTTCCAGCACACAGTAAATGACTGATATATAATGAGTCTTGATATCATTATGATGTGACCCTGATGATACCATTCTTCTCCATGAGGTGTTCATGGAGCAGCCTCATTTTGAGGTTGCATGTGTGTGTTCTGTTTGTATATCATATAGACCCCCATCTCCCAGAGGACAGGGATGATATTTGTTCTTCTGGTATTTGCCATGAATCCAGGATTGATGGGTATGCAGTAGACACTCAATCACTGTCCATTGAATATGCAAATGGATATGTTTAGGGATAATACTAATAACCATATAGGCTGCGTGTGGTGGCTCGTGTCTGTAATCCCAGCACTTTGGGAGGCTCAGGTGGGAGGATCACTTGAGCCTGGGAGGCAGAGTTTGTAGTGAGCAGAGATCATGCCACTGCACTCTAGCCTAGGCGACAGTGTGAGTGTCCCTGTTAAAAAAATATTCATAATCATATAAAGCTTGATGCTGACTATAAAAATATCTCAGGACTCATACACACTTGTTTCTTTTCCCATACCCCTTATCTCAAGGCAGAGTAGCTTCTAATGGCCAGATAACGGCATGATGCCTTTCCTTTTGTCCTTTGCTTCTAAGTTAATTGTGTTACAACACTTCCATTAAGGTCTCCAGGCATGATATACAGGGTCAATTACAGCCTCCTGTTAGCAAGAGCCAGGCTGGAAAAGGTGAACAGAAATGCACAGTTCCCTCTCTGTGATATGCATACTTTACCCATCTGATAAAAAATCTTCAGTGATATCTGTTTTTGAGGTGGGTCCTAGAGTGCCCAATAATTTGACTAAGGCTGATTTGGAATAACAAAGGTGATAAGGTCCCCCTGAAAAATAAGAGCATTAAAAATAAATAGGCTAGAACATTCCAGGCAAAAGATAAAAGTTATTCAGTACTGTATCTTGCTTCTACTGATACCACTCCCTTTGTATCCTTCTACCCTTGTCCTGTGCATGATGACTTGAGGGGAGGAAGGTGGTATTGAGAGATCTCTATACCACCCTCCTCCCCCCATGTCACCAGAGGAAGAGTGAATGTTTGCTTTATAAAGTTTTTGTCAAAATCCTCTGTCACTAAGTCAAGGCTACACCAGGGCTGCACGTGACTTGTAAGGTACGGGCACATCCTACAAATATCTAGGAATCTTCATTTGGAGTTTCAATAATTTTTTTCTCATTCTATAGAAGCATTTGGCCTGGCACAGTGGCTCACATCTGTAATCCCAGCACTCTGGGAGGCCGAGGTGGGTGGCTCACCTGAGGTCAGCAGTTCGAGACCAGCTTGACCCAACATGGAGAAACCCCATCTCTGCTAAAATTACAAAAATTAGCCAGGCGTGGTGGTGCATGCCTTGGGAGGCCGAGGCAGGAGAATCTCTGGAACCTGAGAAGCGCAGGTTGCAGTGAGCCGAGATCACGCCATTGCACTCCAGCCTGGGAAACAAGAGCGAAACTCCGTCTTAAAAAAAAAACAAAAAACAAAAAACAAAACAAAACAAAACAAAAAAACCCGAGAATTTATTGGAAGTCCACAATAAATATTCAGATATTAAATGTTTACATTCAGTTTGACGAGAATTCAATTTTCACAAGTTAACTGAGCCTCTGTCTTAAATGTTCATCTATTTGAGTTTTATAAATTTTTTTTTTACATCCTCAAGATCTAATCAAGGTTATTCTGCCTCTTCTGCTTTTTCTCCATACATCTGCATAATAGTGTTGTATCTTTGATCCAAATCTCTTAGCTGGATTCTAAGTCTGGGTATCTCTTTCACCTTCTGTTCAAGTTCATCATTTTGATTTGTTAATTTTACTAGTTCTTCAGCCATTGTTGATCGAGTTTTTTCTAGATTACCAATTTCTAGCTGTAAATGAGTAATTTCCCCTTCCCTCCGCTTTATCTGAGACTGAAGGTTTTCAGTAATGCTTGACCCTGCTCCCATCGTTACAGCATCATAAAGTTTGCTTCCATTTGCTGATACAGACACTGGTCCAAATCAGTGATCACGAGACTCATCCTGTGGAGTCTCAATAATTTTTATGATCTCCCATGATCCCCTGAGAGCCACATTTGTTGAAAGAGGAAGGTGACCCATGACAGTCAGTGTCCATAAGAGGTTATTCTTATTCTCCTTTGTGTTTCCTCCAGATACTGCTTGGTTTGATAGGTTGACTGGTACATCGCACTTGGAATGTCTATGTTATCCTTCACTGTTTCCCAAATGCCTAGCATGGTGTATACAATATGGTAGGTGCTCAATATAGGTTCATCCACTCATTGAACAATACTGCAAATATTTACAGAGTTTCTAGTCCATGTCAGACATTGTCATTGAGATAATTGAAGAAGGAAGGAAGAAAGGAAGGAAGGAAGGGAGGAAGAAAGGAAGGAAGGAAGGAAGCAAGGAAGGAAGGAAGGGAGGAAGGAAGGAAAAATATTTTACTTTGGAAGAATTATTTTTAAGGTCTTGCCTAGAGAGGTCCTAGCCATATTTACTATTTCTCATATGTGATTATTCATTTAATTTTCTTCTTGTTTCTCACGTAAATTACCTGAGCCTTCAGTTCCTGTTTGAGGACACTCCTAAGCATAAAGGGTGGCAACAGAAAGTTCTGGGGACTGTGTTTGTTGGTGGCTGAGTAGCCAGTGCAAAGAAACTCAATGCAAGTGGGATTAATCTTACGGATGGTAAAATGGCTCTAGGTAATACAGAAAGAACAACAGAGAACAAGCAGAAGGTGGAATGGTCAAAGGCTACACAAAGCTGGCGTCTGCATAAAGAATCAGCCTAAAGGGAGTCATTCAAAACTTAGGCTGTGAGCTGCAAGTGTGTGTGGGATTTTCCTATATAGGTGGTGCTATGGGGCAGACATGTGGCTGTGAGAGTCTGATGACTGTACAGTTAGAGGGAACACAGTCCAGGCAAGACTACTCTCACTTCTGAACTGGAAGTTCAAGAGAGGGGAGCAAAAGCACCCTGAGTTTTGATAATTACCTAGGACTCACAGAACTCACCAAAAGCTGTTTGTTTGTTTGTTTTTGATAGAGTTTCACTCTTGTTGCCCAGGCTGGAGTGCAATGGTGCGATCTTGGCTCACTGCAACCTCTGCCTCCCGGGTTCAAACGACTTTCCTGCCTCAGCCTCCTGAGTAGCTGAGTTTACAGGCATGTGCCACCACACCTGGCTAATTTTGTATTTTTAGTAGAGACAGGGTTTCTCCACATTGGTCAGGCTGGTCTCAAACTCCTGACTTCAGGTGATCCGCCCGCCTTGGCCTCCCAAAGTGCTGGGATTATGGGCGTGAGCCACTGTGCCTGGCCACCAAAAGCTGTTACAGTTACAGTTTATTACAGAGAAAGAATACAGATTAACATTAGCCAAGGGAATAGGCCTGTGGGCAGAGTCCCGGAAAAGTTCCAAACCTGAAGTTTTGTGTTATCCTTTCCCCATGGAGTCATGGATGGTGTTACTTTCCTGGCATCAACATGTGATGATAAGCATGGAGTATCCCCAGCTTTGGACAATTACCTGGGACTTGGTGTCCTGAGTTTTTACTGGGGCTTGATCACACATTGCCTGAATGGCAGCTTCTTCAGAGTTAGAGTTGACAACATGGCGCTGATCATTAGTCTTCAGCTTTTCTGGAGGTAGAACTGATAACGTATGGCCTAAAGCCTCCATCATAAATCACACTGTTAAACTGTCCAGTGGCCAAGACCCTCAGGCAAACAAAGACACTCTATCAGGCATGACATTCCAGGAGTTTGGAAATTACATCCCAGTAGCCAAGGGCAAAGACTGGACCTCACTTTGGATATGATTAATTCTTCATGACGCAGTGGCATTAAAGAATGGACATCGGCATCCCAGAATTGCCCCAGTGAACGATTCATTCATTCATTTCTCTGTCCAAAATATTGTACTAGGTATCGTAAGGAAAATAAATGGTGGAGGAAAAAACATGATTATTAAGCTGACTCAGGTGTCAGCAATAATGGGGAAATACAGCAGGTGGGAGTTGGAGAGGTGGTCTAGCTAGCTAGAGAGGCTAGCATTCGAGTGGGAAACAGGTTGAAGTGCACAGTCTAACGGCTTCCAGTTTTCATTTTAGAAGGATGAGATGAGAAAGTCCCGTCATGTGTCCCGGACATAGTGACGAAGTCATTCAGATTCACAAGAAATTGGCAAAGAGGAGTCACTAGCCAGATTTCAATTCCATTTGATTTTCTTCTTAGCAGTCCTTACATCTAAAATGATTTTGTTTAGTGTATGTCTCTCCTAGGACAATGGAGAACAGCATTTGTTTGTCTTTCTCAAGACACCTGCCAGGTCCTGAGAGTCCTTAGCCCAAGGTAGCCACGTTTTATCTCCTCATTAAGTGAGTCTGATTCCAATTCCAGGCCACAAGAAATATCTCTAAACTTTCTACTTACGGGGCTTAGGTTTCTCCAGCTAAATCTTAGAGAAAAACTCACAGTCATCAACAGAGTGGCTAGCTCCATATCAACTTCCCTTCATTTCTTCAAACAGGAGAATGATGCATTGTACTGGGGGAGGGAGGCTGCGGTTAGGGTGGTTCACTTGCCCTTTTAGATCCACTAAAAAGCTGAGGGGTAATTGCAGATGCAAACCTGGCACCGTTAACTGCAAAACTCCACACCGAATTAATAAAGAATTGGGCACTTAGCTTCATGTTTTTGCATCTTAACACATGAAGGCACTTTGTAAAGGGTTGAATGAACATAATTATCAATTTCCACATGCATATTAGGATTCAGCCGGGGCCAGGCAAATGCTTCCTAAACACAGGCTGTCAGCAATGACAATGAGCACTTTTACTCTCTTCTCTCATCCACCATGTGAACATTTGTGTCACTTTTTTTCTTTGGACTCCTTTTTACTGGTTTCTACATAAATCCCTGGTGAATGCAAAACATTGAAGGTGCACTTGAAGCCAATATAATTGGGAGTGGAGGACAAAATGGACTTTGACTTTGCTTTCTGTGGAAGAAATAAGAGACATATCCTATGGGATGGTGGAATTGGCAGAGAATGACTTGGGACAATGGAGAGGAAGGCTGCTTCATTTACTGGGAAATAACTTCAGACAGAGGCTGAGGCAGGGGATGATGTGAAATAGGGCATAGAAGGGAAATCTCATTCTGGAGAAGGAAAAATACTAAGGTATGTATATAAAATGAATTTTGGATACATAGTGTATAAAGGTATAATTATGTGGTTATATATATTTGGGCATACTCTGGTGTAGAAATTGAATAAACTAAAATAGTAGAATTAGAAAATGACTTAGGGGATATGATAAAAAAAAAAGAAGGTAGCTGATTATGCTTTTGTGATTGCAATAGTGAGATTGGCCAAGGACACAGATAGCATTCCACTAAATAGAGTGGGGTGAACACTCAGGCAAGTCTTCACATGGTCTGGCCATGAGACTGCCCTTCCCTCCGCTAATGAGTTTGTAATGAAGGAAGCCACATGAATAGAAGTAAATAGTAAGCAGGGACAGAGTAGCACAGGTCTGGTATCTCCAATTTTGGAGAAAGTCTAAGATGGAATATAGAAAAGATGATTCTCCTTCCTTCTGTCCATTTCTATTGATCCACGTCCAAAGCCTAACACCACATAATGGGCTTCGGGGGACAGTCTGGCTTCTTTTGTAGAGGCCAGGTGAAGCACAGGTGTTAGAGCAAGTCTGCCTATATTTGAATCGCCATTTTGTCACTATCTGTGTGACTTCGGGCATATTTCTTCCTGAGTCTTCCTCCCTCATCTGTAAAACAAAGATGACGACAATGGTACCAACCTATAGAATTATTGTGAGAGATAGGTGAATTTGCACAATTCCTGGCATGTAGCAAGCACTCATCAAGCACTTTCTATTACGATATTTAATACGTTGACAAGAGGATCCATGCGTGTGAGTCAGAGTGAGAAGTGGAGAGGTGTCAGTGAAGGCAAACACCTTTCGTAAAGTGCTTCTCCTACTCTGCCTGCATCTTTTAGCTCTTCTTCCTTCTGCCTATATCCTCATCTCCATTTTTTCCTTAATAATTTACATTGACATAGTATCTCCTTCATGTTCCGAAACAAACCCACGTTATAGGAAAACAAGGTATACAATGATTCTCAAAAGGTCAACCTTTTATAATTGTGCACGGTTGGTTAAATTTGTCCTGCAGGGGGAGCCCTTTCCCTCTCATCTCCTTACAGCTAGCCCATAAAAGAGAAATTTCTGTCCTCTAGAAAGGATCAAGTAGATATGTCTGCCTTCTCCTTACCTCTCACTGGTACTCTTCGAAGAAGGAGGAGTTCTTTAAATGACATATGAGATGAGGGTATTATTTGATGTATGAGATGACGGTATTATAACATTTGATGTATGAGATGAGGGTATTATAACATAGATCGGACAAGCCTCTGTACTGGAAAGAATTCATGTTCTAAAGACAGTGGATCCCTCTTTTTCTCATCTCTTACTCTTGATTGGGAGTGAGGTGAGCTGCAGTCTTCCATGCAGCTATCAGACAACAACCAACCAGACCTAAGCCTTCTCCTATGTGGTCCCCTATATCATTTAACAATGGGCATAAAACAAAGTAGTTTAAAATGTAGTGGCTTAAAACAACAACCATTTATTATGTTTTACTAGTCTATGGACTATCAGGATAGTTCTGCCAATTCGGGTGGGCTCGTTCCTGCATCTTCAGGCAGCTGGAGGGTTGTCTGGGGGCTGGCTGGTCTAGGATGGCCTGGTCTGGGGCAATTTGGCTTTGTTCCATGTGTCTGTCATCCTCCAGTAGGCTAGCCCAGGCTTGTTCTCATGACCATGGCAGGGATTCAAGAGTGAGCAAAGCCAGTTGCATTGAGAAGGCAAGAAAAAACTCACACAGGTTTGCAAGCTTTTGTATGAAGTTTGTGATTGTCTTATCTTACAAAATAGCTCACATTTCCAAGCCAGGGAGTTACAGAATTACAGGCAAAAGGTGTGGATAAAGGTAGGCCATTAATTGGGGTCATGAATGCAATCAATGTATCTCGATCCCAAAGTTTGCAATAAGGAGCCTGGGACACATATCCCCATATTGCAAGGGCAAAAACAAACGGTTTTCCCTGGGGATGCTAGAAAAGCTATACAAGGCTGGGCGCGGTGGCTCACACCTGTAATCCCAGCACTTTGGGAGGCTGAGGCAGGCAGATCACAAGGTCAGGAGTTCGAGACCAGCCTGACAAACATACAAAATACAAAAATTAGCCAGGTATGGTGGCACGTGCGTATTGTTCCAGCTACTCGGGAGGCTGAGGTAGGAGAATCGCTTGAAACAAGGAGGTGGAGGTTGCAGTGAGCTGAGATTGCGCCACTGCACTCCAGCCTGGGTGACAGAGTGAGACTCTGTCTTAAAAAGAAAAGAAAAGAAAAGCTATACAATGTGAGGGATTCTTGAGCCAACCTTTAGAAGATGAGAGTATATTCTTTAAGAGGGAAGAGGGCAAACCAGCTCAAGCAGAAGATCAGAGGCCCCAGACAGCTTGGTGTATTGGAAGACCTAGTAATAGCTCAGTGGAGTAAGTACAAAGAGGCAACATGAGAGCTGAGGTTGAAGAGGTTGAGCCAAATAGCTTAGGTTTTTATCTTGCAGTCTACCAGAAGCCACTGAAGATTATTATGCTATTGAATGATGTGATCAGCTTTTCTTTGGAAAGATAACCCTTGCCCAAAGTAGTAGGAAGAGGATGCAGAGACTAACACCCATCCGATCTGTAAGTTGGGAGACTTTTGTTGTCAAATAATGCTCCATCTTCCACCTACCCACCTTTGTTTAGCTCTGTTGTTTCTCTCAGGAACACAGCCAAGTGGTTGTAATTCACAAACCTGGAAGCCAGCTCTTTTCAGAGTTGTCAGACAATAAGGTATATGGACCGTGGCAACAAAAAAAGAACACTGGAAATAATGGCTGGAATAAGAAGCAAAGCCTCAGTTTGAGGCTCTTTCTTGCATTTTCACCCTGAAGCATCTATAATTAAGCTGGAGAGAAATGATTTACTTAATTCATGTTATTTTATGCAATATCATTAGCAGTATTCAGTTGTTTCTTTATTACCCCTGTGCACCCTCCCTCTGTAACAGTTGAGAATAACAATTGGGCTTTACTTGTCTTCGGGAAGCCAGCCCATTCATTGAAGGAAAAATGGCCCCAGCCCCAGGTTGCCATAGACACTGGAGAAGGCTGTCACCGAGCTGCAGCACACCTATTTCCTGGTGACATGCAGAATTAGAGGTATTGGGGAATCAAAGGGAAAACTAACTTGATGAAACAAAGGGTCCCTTCAGCATCTCCTGACATACTTCTTTGCAAAAGCAGTCTCTCTGTACCCCTTCTCCCTTCCCCTTCTCCTTGAAGCCAGGTGAATGAATTTGAATCCGAAGCCCTGAGAAGAATGAAAGCAGTAACTTCCATGCATGGCTCAAAGTTATGCACAGGGCAAAGACCTCCTTTAAATCACATCGGCGACTTGCCAGGATTCCAAACTTCTTGACATGTCCACAGTCCTCAAGGATCTGTCACATGCCTATGTCTCTACATTCCTCAGTTACTCTGTTATCATTATGCTGTCCTCCTTTGAGAGCATAAATGTGCAAAGCATTTTCCCAACTAGGGGATCTTTGTCCTCCATGATTCCTCTTGCTAGAATTCTCTCTCTCTTGCCCTTTATGTGGTTGGCTCCTTGCTCTTCAGGTCCTCCGATCTTCAGTTTGAAGGCCACTTTTCATGATCACCAGGTCTGCCCATTATATCTAAAAGTAATCCCTCCACCTTATTCTCTATCACAGCATCTTGGATCTTTCCTGGTGAATTTGAGGATCTATAATTGTCTTTATTTGCTGTTGGCTTATTTATGACTTAGTCTCTCCCAATAGGGAGCAGGTTGCATAGATAGGTACCTGATAGATGTGTGTGCTTATCTGTGCTTGGTTTCTTCCCAAAGCAGACGCTGAGTCAGGGATTCAAGTGCAAGTGGTTGATTTGGGAGGTGAAGGCAGGACAGTGAGGAAAGGCAGACCATAAAGGGTGTGTTATCCAGTGAGTTACCACGGGGCAGCTGGAGAATAATCCTCCCGGGGAACTCCAAGAGCCAGCATGGAACACGCACCTCAGACGTACCACCACTGAGAAGTGATAGGGCTGGGGCAGCTATACACAAATTCCCATCCATCACTGAGGGCTGTTCCCGGGAAGCAGGCATTCTCCATCACGTTCACTCTGGCATGTCCAGGGGCAGAGCAGGCTCTGGTGGCCGGAGAAAGTCTTTAGGTGAACAGTTGTGGATGATACCACTGGGAGCTGGGTTATGTGTACCAAGATCTAAGAGGAAAAAGAGGGGACACTGATAGCATCGGTCACAGTTCTCCGTGGGTATTTGTTAAATGAATGAATGCATGATTCCTATGCCTCCTGCCGCCATATCGGATCCTCAAGAAATTTTCAAGCCTAATAGGGCAGATCGCTAGCACATGTTAAAGAAGAAAACAACAACAACAACAACAACAACAAAACAACAACACAGATTTTGAGCTCAGACAGAGCTGGCTTCAAATTCAGCTGTGTGACCTTAGACAAATTCCATGACCTTCTCTGAGTCTGCAGTTTTCTGTCTTGTAAAATTGGAGATAATAATTCCACTTCATAGGACTGTTGTAAAATGGTTGGAGACAGTGTGTATCGTTTATAATTGTGTCTGCATATAGCAGGTGATCAATAAATATCATTTTTATTTGCCATGAAATAGCAGCAAGTTCTACACAGCAGTGGGTGATGAAGGGCTAAATTAGGCTACAAAAATGAGGAGACCCATGAAAGTTGAAGTGGCCATGAATGGCTTCTAGAGGAGTTACTTATGCTTTGAAGAATTAGTGGGATTAGCATAGATCAGTGGGAGATGGGAGACCAGTTTGGCTAAGAGTAATATTCACTTCGACTTATCAGATGCTCACCATGCCTTAGACCTTGTTGGGAAGTACTTTATATATGTAATTCCCAATCTTCACAATATAACCCTACGAGGTAGGTGTTCTTAACCCTACCCTCAAGTTTTAAGATGCAAAAAACTAAAGGAAAAGTTAATTACCTGAGGTCATTCAGCAAGTAAGTAGTAGAACATGGACTAAAAGTAGGAATTGCCTTTGGCGAGCTTTGTGTGTATTTTTTTTTACACAGAGTCTCCCTCTATCACTCAGGTTGGAGTGCAGGGGTGCGATCTTGGCTCACTGCAACCTCCACCTCCCAGGTTCAAGCGATTCTTCTGCCTCAGCCTCCCGAGTAGCTGGGACTACAGGTGTGTGCCACCACACACTGCTATTTTTTTTGTATTTTTAGTAGAGACAGGGTTTCACCATGTTAGCCAGGATGGTCTCAATCTCCTGACCTTGTGATCCACCCACCTCAGCCTCACAAAGTGCTGGGATTACAGGCATGAGCCACAGCGCCCAGACCTGTCTTTGGAGAGCTTTGTAGAAAAGAGACAATGAGGTTCTCCCCAGAAGATGTCTACAATATAATGGTGAAGGTGGGACATATGGGTAGAAGCAACTTTTAAAAGGAGTGATGGGAGCCATATGGAAATGGGGTTTGCCGTGAATATCATGGAAGAAAGGCAAGTGGGGGCTTTACATAATGAAAGGAATGGAAGGGCAAATATGCTGTATTTTAAAAATTGAAGAAAAATTTACCTACAATGCAGTACACACACATTGATGGTACAATCCAGTGGATTCTCTCTGTATACAACCATCTAGCCACCACTCAAATCAAGATATAGAGTATTCCCATCACTCCAGGAAGTTCCCTCATGCTCCTTTCCAATCAATAGCTTCCCCTTACCCCCAGGAAGTTACTCTTCTGACTTTTATCCCCAAATATTAGATTTTTAAAGTAACACTTTTCTAATGTATAGAAAGAATAAGTGAGTGTCATAGAAAATTTAGACAATGACAAAAAGATAGAAGAGAATAAGTTAAATCACTCATAATCTTATGGCCTGAACATTTTGGTCTATTCCTTGAACATTTTGGTCTATTTCTTGCTGTCTTTGTTGTACATTTTAAAATTTTAACTTGAGACTATATTGTATATTTAATTTTATACTCTATTTTTTAAGGGAATCATTAGGACATTAGCATTTTTCCCAGGACAAATTCTTTGTAAACTTCATTTCACATGGCTTGAAATATTTCATTGAGGAATTCAGCTAAAAGGACTTACTGGTTCCCTAAATGTTGGCTATTTTAGTTTGTTTCCAAGGTTTCACAGTAATGACCACCTTTTTCATAAAGCTCTGTCTGAATTTCAGACCATTTTAATAGAATACGGGTGACAGTACTGGGCTAAAAAATTACATATTCTTCAAATGCTTGAAACCCATTGCCAAACAGCTTTCCAAAATATATAGATTTACACTCTTATCACCTGGATACACAAAGGGCACCCACGGAGCCACACACTTACTGGCATTGAGTGCTAATTTTTATTTGACATTTGAGACTATCCAGGAAAGTTTAGAAAAGCTCTTGAACTAAACGTTCTGTTTGGTATTCACTCTGAAGAATAATACTGGCTTATTTTCCTGTGATATTCTGTAATGTTTGGATATTCTGAATAGGCGACCTCAGAAATCACTATAGTTCAACATCTGGAGCCATCAATGAGAAATGAGTAGGGAGGACATATCAGGAACATGTAGGCTCTGCCTTGGGGCAGGGCCACAGATGGCTTCCTGTTATATAACTGTCTGCAGAAGAGTACGGTCCGTTCACCTCTTATCTCATTCTGGGCATCAGGAAGAAGTTGACAGACCCAGTCTGTGACTTGTGCAGCTTGAGAGGGTGTCTTTGTGATGATTGGGGCAGCATGAGAATGGATTATTATAGCGTAGGGCACAGCTAAGAGGCATAATGATCAGGGCCAACCTAGTGCTTAGGTCAGACTCGATAATGGCCTTTGAAGGCGTGTTCCACTATTTAAAATTACCCTCCCATCACCAGGAAATCTGGCCTTTTGCACTGGAATAAAAGACCAGGGTACATGTGCATGCTCTCTATAGGACACCTCCAAACCTACTTCCAGGGAAAGCACTCCAATGAAAATTTTTCTCCAAATGAGTGGGAAAACTCACCTCTGGCAGACTTTCAAAAGGCTCAAAGCAGTAAGTCCGATGGTGTATGTGTCTGGCAGCAAGAGGTTCATGTGGACAGGTGATTTCTAAACCCACCCTGGAAGTAATGCTTCTGTGACTAACGATAGACACCCTGGGCCTGTGTTTGTTGAAATGGTTTTCCTTTTCAGGTTTCTCTCTAAGTGACTTTGGAGCACATGATCGTCACCCTCACCTAATGACTTTTGTATGTCTTTTCTCAAGTCCATCATGCGTTCAAATGAAGGGCATGCAATAATTTTTGTTGCAAATGCATTTTTTTCAGAAGACCTTATTAGGTGCTGTGATGTTTACCCACTACAGTAATCACATTTCTGTGACGATCTTTCAACATGTGGGATAGAAAAAAAAGAGTTTTTTGTGTGTATGCAGTATGCAGCTGGCGAGTTGATGGTCTCCGAGTCTCATTAGCCTGGCCATTCTTGGTTCCTCTGTGTTTATTCCATGATTTGCTGATTATAATGCATGTCTATCTCCCAAAGAAAATGATTCCAACTTCCATGGAGATTAGACTGAGACTAAAAAGGCAAATGCCTGGGTGCTGGACACTCCTGGTAGCTTGGATCTGCCCACATGTGCAGCATCTGTAGTGGGTCTAGCAGGTGCTCTGTCTGTCCCTGTCTGCCCCGCATTGCTGGGTAAGCTGCTCCACCTTTCAGCCACACTGTGCAGCCAGAGATGGGCCAACATGTGACCAGCCTTTCCACCTATCAGTTATTGCTCTCAGAGTTCCTGCCACCTCCTTGGAACACTATGAATGTGTAGAACGCAAATCCGCAATCCATAGGGAACCCCAAACCACCACTTTCTAGACTTAGGAACCCCCCTGTTGTTCCTGCAGCTTCTGACTACTGGGACTCAAAACAGCTCCCTGACACAATTCAGAAAATCTCTTTAATGGATTTTTCAGAATGAAAATGTGAAAGGGACAGGGTGGTGTCTTCAGCTTCTGGGTGAACATTCTCAAGCCAAAGGCTCACATGTGCCAAGATGCCATCTTTAAGCAGGGGTGGAGAGAAAATATAGAAAACAAAATACAGATGGATTTTATTCTTTCTTTCTCTCTCTCTCTTTTTTTTTTTACAGCCCCACACATAGTTTTACCCTGTCCCTTTCACTTTTTTTTTTTTCTTTTTTGAGATGGAGTTTCGCTCTGTTACTCAGGCTGGAGTGCAGTGGCAAGATCTCGGTTCACCACAACCTTCACCTCCCAGGTTCAAGCGATTCTCGTTCCTCAGCCTCCCAAGCAGCTGGGACTACAGGCATGTGTCAGCGTGCCTGGCTAATTTTTTTGTATATTTTAGTAGAGACAGGGTTTCATCATGTTGGCCAGGCTGGTCTCAAACTCCTGGTCTCAAGTGATCCACCCGCCTCGGCCTCCCAAAGTGCTGAGATTATAGGAGTAAGCCACCGCGCCCAGCATGGATCTTATCCTTTCTGATTCTCCCACAACCAGAAACACACACACACATACACACACAGTCTCAACAAGTTGCCTTGCCATACATATGCTCTCTTGCTTAACTCCTATTAATCCTTCTAACCCCCAGCTCAAAATCTCATTCTCTAAGACATCTTATTGGTCTCACTGCAGCAATTGAAAGCAATTCACTTCCCCCTCTGCTGACCCTGCTTTATTGGCCTCACTGAACTCATAATACCAAATTCAATTTTTTATCTTATAGACTACAAGTGACTTGTGGGCAAGAATTTTTAGTTCCAACATCTTTGCCTCCCTAGGACATAGCCCAGTGTCAAATGCATATTAGGGACTCAGTAAATGTTTTTCATTATATTGAATGTTACAGTAAACCTGCTCCTAGTTAATATAAATAATAATAATACAATGAGCTCTTAAAATGTGCTAGGCACGGCCAGGCACGGTGGCTCACACCTGTAATCCCAGCACTTTGGGAGGCTGAGGCTGGCAGATCACGAGGTCAGGAGACCGAGACCATCCTGGCCAGCATGGGGAAACTCCGTCTCTACTAAAAACACACAAAAAAACTAACTGGGCATGGTGGCGGGCACCTGTAGTCCCAGCTACTTGGGAGGCTGAGGCAGGAGAATCACTTGAACCAGGGAGTCGGAGGCTGCGGTGAGCTGAGATCGCAGCACTGTACTCAGGCCTAGCAACAGAGTGAGACTCTGTCTCAAAGAAAAAAAAAAGTACTAGGCAATATTCTAAATGCCTCTTTGACTCTCAAATGAGGGCAAAACTTCTTACTAGTCTTGGAGGTAATGTTATTAGCCCCCATTTTAAAGGTAAGAAAACAGAGGCTCAGAGAGGTTTAGCAACCTCCCAAAGTCACATAACTGGTAAGTGGTAAAGTCAGGATTTGAGTCTAGGTCGTCTGGCTTCAAGTAGAACCCATGAGTTTAACCTACTGCTTCAGTATATTGTCCCTAGATTAATCTCATAGCACTGTGAATTAAAACCAAAAGTTTCAATCAAAGGAAATGGTAGTGAACAAAATAATTTCAAATTTACCTAATAATCTCATAGCGCTATGAATTAAGACCAAACATTTCAAAGGAAAGGGTAGTGAACAAAATAATTTCAAATTCACCTCTAAGAATAACAGCCTCTTTTCACTATCACTAATATTTAAGCCAATATATGCTCATTCCTTTGTGTCTTCCTTCGTTCTTTCTGCAAATATTTATTGACCACTAGGTTCCAAAGACTATTATAGGAATTGGGCTTCAGTAATGAACAGAAAAGGACACAACCTTTATCTCCACAAAGCTTAACATCTAAATTCATTCAAATTTAACTGTTTTTCAGCAAACATCTCTTGAGAACCTCCTTTGTGCTGAGATTGTGTTAGGTGCTGGAGATGCAAAGAAGGATCCACAAGACTCTGTGGGTGCCTTGACAAACTTATAAATAGGAGGGAGACAAGCACATAACAAGAATTAAAATGCAAAAGGATGAAAAAGAAATCTTTTCCAGGCTGAGTGCAGTGGCTCACACCTGTAATCCTAGCACTTTGGGAGGCCGAGGTGGGTGGACTGCTTGAGCTCAGGAGTTCGAGACCAGCCTGGGCAACAAGACAAGACCCCTGTCTCCATCAAAAATACAACATATATATATATATATATATATATATATATATATATATATATATATAGCTAGGCATGGTGGTGTGTGCCCATGGTCCCAGCTCTCTGGGAGGCTGAGACACAAGAATCACTTGAGCCCAGGGGGGCAGAGGTTGCAGTGAGCTGAGGTTGCACCACTGCACTCCAGCCTGGGTGACAGAGCAAGAGCAGAAAAGAGGAGGGAAGGGAAGGGAAGGGAAGATGGAGGGAAGAGGGAGGGAAGAGGGAGGGAAGAAAGAGAAATCTTTTTCCAGATCTGGGAGTCTTTCTGGAGGAGACATGGTGGCACTGAATCTTGAAGAATGCACAAGGGTTAACCAGGTGGAGAACACTGGTGCAGCTGTTGCAAAGGTGTAGAGATGAGGACCCACAACCTTCTGAGCAGCTCTCTACAAACAGTTTGGTGTTGCTCACACATAGTGAGAGACAATCAAGACTAGTAGATAAAGTTGGAGAACATAAAGGACACAGACAATAGAACGTGCTGGAAAAATGAAAATATTTCCAAAAGACCTGCAAGACTTTCCCCTTCCTCCCTTCTTTCCTTCCTTCCTTCCTTCCTTGTTTCCTCCCTTCCTTCCTTCCTTCCTTCCTCCCTCCCTCCCTCCCTTCCTTCCTTCTTTCCTTCTTCTCTCTTTCTTTTCACAGAGTCTTGCTCTGTCACTGAGACTGGAGTTCAGTGGTGTGATCTCAGCTCACTGCAACTTCCACCCTCTGGGCTCAAGCAATCCTCCCACCTCAGCATCCTGAGTAGCTGGGACTATAGGTGCGTGCCACCTCGCCTGGCTAATTTTCATATTTTTTGTAAAGACAGGGTCTGTCTATATTGCCCAGGCTGGTCTTGAACTCTTGGGCTCAAGAGATCCTCCAGCCTTGGCCTCCCAAAGTGCTTGGATGACAGGCGTGAGCCATATTTTCTAATATTTAACAGCAATGAAAAGGAAACAAACCAGTCTTGGTGAAGGGGAGGGGTGAGGAGCTTCCTTCTAAGATGGTTTTGTAAAACACAGATCCTGGGAGATGGCTATTCCATGACAATTATTGCCTTGCCAGGCCAAGAAGTACTTTGGAAGTAAGTTACTGGACTTCTAGGCTGGACTTCTACTTTGTACAAGAAGGAAACTGTGTTTAAACAAGATTGATGTCCAGATGATCCCATAAGAGACAGAAAATAATGTCAAGGGGGAGAAAAAAGAATAAAGAGAGGCCTAAGAAGAATAATAAAGGGGCATTAGATTAGTGGATGGTTTATGATGCGTGCCATTTTGTTAATGTTAATCTTTCCCAGGTGTGTCATAGAAGTCGCAGAACAAGGCAATAAATGAAAGTTTTATTTTCTTGTTTAAAATGAGCCCCTATAAACTAAATAAAAACATAGGGGCTTGGGAACATGCAGAATTGATTACAAGGACATAAAATTGATCAGAGGGGTATGTCCCAGCACGTAGTAACGAAAACAATCACTGTCATTTATGTTGGATTGCTACTTTAAAGATTATCAGGGCTTGCACGGTGCATTACTTCCTAAGATCTTATCTCAGCTCTGGGAAGTGGAAATTGTACCATCCCCATTTTATAGATAACAGATAATAAAATGGACAAGTATTTCCCAAAGTCTTTCAGTAAGAAGCCAAATTGGAATTCAAACTCAGATGCACTGACTCTAAAATGAATTCATTTGGTCTATATGACATCCTCTCCCAAACCTCCTCTCCTAGAAAAAGTTCTC
The DNA here is from genome assembly GCF_000001405.40 of Homo sapiens. NCBI lineage: Eukaryota > Metazoa > Chordata > Mammalia > Primates > Hominidae > Homo > Homo sapiens. The sequence continues at coordinate 13,443,282 of NC_000016.10, read as the reverse complement.
CGAAGATTAGTTAGAATTTCTTCATTTCCCTGGTCCCAAGTCACATTGAACCATCAACCTCAATAAAATCTCTTCAACACAGATGATGTTCATTATATTTGGTACAGTTGGATTCCTGAAACATTGTTTTCCACTTTTGTCCAGTGAACTTTCCCAGAAAAAACAGTATGTTGTCTCAAAATAAAAGAAGTGTAATGGAAAGTCCTTTTATGGGCCGTCTTGTGAGTCTGGTCTGCTTTTGCCCCTCAGTGAGTTATGGCTCTGATGAAGGAAAGAAGTCTCTCAAACTAAAGGAGAGTAGGAAACAGTCAGCTGCCAACCTATTTTTATTTGGTGTGCAAAGTATTTTGTTTTGAGCAGCTTGTTTTCTTTTAACTATTAATGTTGAAATAGGTATGGACTCACTGGAAGTTGCAAACTTAGTATACACTCCCATGCACCCTTCCACCAGCCATCCAACAGTAACATCCTTTTTTAAATTTTTATTTTTTTGTTGAGACCAAGTCTCACTATGTTGGCCAGGTTGGTCTCAGACTCTGGGGCTCAAGTGATCCTCCTGCCTCAGCCTCTTGAAATGCTGAGATTATAGGCATAAGTCACCTTACCTAGTCCCCAACAGTAACATCTTGAAAATCTGAAGTACAATATTATTGCAGGATTTTTTTAAATGAATTTGTTTGCTGGGTGAGATGGCTCATGTCTGTAATCCCAGCACTTTGGGAGGCCAAGGTGGGCGGATCACCTGAAGTCAGTTCGAGACCAGCCTGGCCAACAAGGTGAAACCCTGTCTCTAATAATAATACAAAAATTAGCCAAGTGTGGTGGTGCATACCTGTAATCCCAGCTACTTGGGAGGCTGAGGCAGGAGAATCACTGTACCTGGGAGGTGGAGGTTGCAGTGAGACAAGATCGCGCCACTGCACTCTAGCCTGGGCAACAGAGTGAGACTCCATATCAAAAAAAAAATTGTTTCCTTGTTAACATTTGCAGACACATCAAGATTCAGGTGTCTCTGTGTCTCTTCCAGAAAGATTTCTACAGCTGGAAAAAGATTTATTTTGTTTCTCATCCTTTTACCAAACCAAAACAAGCAAAGAAACATCAACAACAAAACTAGGAGGTCTAACAGAAGAGTTATATTTCTGCCCTTTCTTGGAGACTTGGAAGATCTGGCAATGTGCTCCCACTTGGAAGCTATTGAGGCTAACTACTGGCTGCTTCTTGCCAACAGGCAAGCACTCTTCAGATCTAAGAAGCTCCATCACTTTCATTATCTGTCAGGCCCTGGAGGCAGCTGAGTTTGCATTTGCAAATACAGAGTAGAGGTAACTGCATTTTTTGGAAGGGAAAGTTTTGAGTCATCTTGGGTTACCTTTTCAGCACATCCCTTTGGGTTGGGAATTATATGGCTACGGCCCCACACATAGTTTCAGGTCAAAACACATCTGAAACCAGAGCTCTGAGGCTGGGGTGCTGTCATGCTTAAGTCATCCCAGTTTTAAGCTGGGGTGACTTCAATAGGGACGGCACCAGGTTTGACAGGCTAACGAGACCCAGAGCCAGTGAATGAGACATAGGGTTCATTGAAGACTTACATACAGGGCAGTCCAGTGGGGGCAGACTGGACAGGGGAATCACAATCACTTATAGAAAACATGCAGTCTATAGAGCATTTTCACTTAGCACCCTCCCCTTAGCAACCTACACCTAGCAACCATCATTTAACCCAAAACAAAGGGCATTGATCTCCATGCATGGCCTGTGTTCCATGGGATAGGCTGGGGGATTTAGATGTTCCTCATAGATAGGGAATGGATCTCTAGGTTGGCCACTCTTGGATTCCTTCACTTAGAACTCCAAACACAGATTCTTAGATGATAGGGTCATTCTCAGGTATGCTTAAGTTAAACTCTTGCTCTCAGGTGTGTCTGCCAAGTAGGTGCACAAATTTCCATTCTTGGGATTTGGTGACTCCAGGAACCTCCTGACAGTGAGGAAAGTTTTGTGTCCCTCTGAGCCTGGCAGGTTTAAGCATTTTCATTTTAGAAGGATGCCATATTGTTGTTTACGTTTCCTTCTCTACAATTCAGCTTCCTCTTTCCCAACAGACAGAAATGGAGTTCTAAGCACAGTTTGCGTGTATTTTTCTTCAACTGCTTTTATCTTCTGCTTTTATTTTTCCTCAGGTCCCTGTGAAATCAAATATATTTCTTCTCTGCTATCTCTGTCCTCTCCACTCCCTTCCCAGACCCCACCTCTTGCTCTCATTATTGCCATGTGAGTTGGATTAATTTTCTCGACTCCCAGATTATCCCTCCCGGGATCTGGAATATATCAATGACTTTTTTTTTTTCTTTTTTTTTTCCCAGAGTCTTGCTCTGTCACCAGGCTGGAGTGCAGTGGCACGATCTCAGCTCACTGCAATCTCTGCCTCCCGGGTTCAAACGACTCTCCTGCCTCAGCCTCCTGAGTAGCTGGGACTACAGGCACGCGCCACCACGCCTGGCTAATTTTTATATTTTTAGCAGAGAAGGGATTTCACCATGTTGGGCAGGATGGTCTCGATTTCCTCGTGATCCGCCCGCCTCGGCCTCCCAAAGTGCTGGGATTATAGTCGTGAGCCGCCGCACCCGGCCACCAATGTCCCTTTTTTAATCAAAGCACACACAGGTTTTAGGCTAATAGAAAAGACATTTAGAAAAGAAGCTCAGAGCAGAAGAGACTCTGTTAACAGAATAACTAGGAGACATGCAAAGGGGGCGTCAGTCTTGACATTTTGAAATCTGGATGTCTCTGCTCTGTTTTAAAGCCAGTCAATGGCAAGGTGCTTTCTCTTTCCTTCTCCCCCTTCAATAAACGAGCTTAAACTCTATCCCTGATTCCCAACACAGCAGCAAACCAAATAGATGGAATCAAATGACTGACAACTCTTCCCTAAAGCCAAAGAGAAAAGCAGATGAGGCTCTATTGCAGAAACAGAAGGCATTAACGGGATTAGAGTTCCATGGATGAAGACTGGGAATTAGAGGGTATACAAATGGGAGAGGCTTCCTTCTGAGGAAAGGGAGCCCCCAAGTATTCAGAATGAACCTTCCACCCCCACCCACATACCATTAAGAAACCACCTTCAAATTCATGGATTCTGTGGGGGCATTTGACTGCGTGATAGTAAGACTGATAATTTACCAGACCTCCCCTCCTCCATTAAGGAGATAAACTTACCAACGAGTATAGGAAGGCTTTGACCCTCCCAGAACGCACGTCCTCTTGAGGCGCGGCTGCCTGAGTATTAACTCAGTTCCTTAACAGCATTTTATCTAATCACAGGCCCAGCTGCCCATGCTGGTAAATCGCTGAGATCACTGCCCTTCTAATGGAAAGTTTGGAGGTCAGAAGAAGCAGAGTTGACTCCCAGCTGGGCTTTTGAGAGCTGACCTTTTATTTCCCTCTATGGCTCTGTGGCAGAACCAAGTCCTCATTTCTCACGAAGGCCCTTGTAATTGGTTTTCACACGCTGGCAGCAGCGGAGACATTTAATGAGGGGGAGGCCAAGGCTCACATTCAAGGTATTAAAGATTTGAGAACTTGAAGGGTCACCAGAAGCCATGTCTCCTGCCTTCAGTTTCTGCCATTTTTTTGTGCCATTTTTGGTTTCTTCCACCAACCCCTAGGTCCCCCTTCCAAGCCATTACATCTGAAAGACAGGCTTTCCTGAATATCCAATTCTAGAATCACTTCAGGTAACCTCTTCCCTCCTTCCAGATGTATTAGGGTACAATAGACAAACAAAAATTGTATATATTTAAGGTAAATAACCAACAATTTGATACATGTATATGTTGTGAAATGATTACCACAATCAAGTTAATTAACACATCCATCTCATTCCATAGTTATGTGTGTGTGTGTGTGTTTGGTGAGAATACTTAAGATCTACTCTTCCAGCAAATTTTAAGTATACAACAGAGCCACCATGCTGTACCTTAGAGACTGGGAACATAATCATCTTAAAATTGAAAGTTTGTTCCCTTTGATCAACATCTCCCCACGTCCTTCTCCCCCTGGCCCCTGGAAACTACTCACTGTTTTGATATCAGTCTAGGGGAAAAGAGGAGACATAGGGTCCATCTCTTGCTCTTATGTGAGCTCTCTGCTTCTATGAGTTTGACTTTTTTAAGACTTTTTTTAAGTTGTAAGTGAGCTCATGCACTATTTGTCTTCCTGTGTCTGGTTGATTTCACTTAGCATGATGTCCTCTAGGGGCATCCATATTTTCACAAATGGCGGGATTTTAAATGTTTGCTCTCTCCCGTAAAATGTCCCAAGAATGACCTACGTTTCCCTTGCTTTCTTTTAGGGTCACTTTTTCTAGTTTTCTCATTATCAGAGACAGCTGGGATGGAGCGGACCTCATTTTGCAAAGGAATAAAGACAGTAATTAAGTTGCCGTTTAGTCTTTTCCTTTCTGGGCTAACTAATCCCAATTATTTTTAACCTTTTCACATAGGCCTTTTATTTTCTGACCTTTTAATGAATTTTCACTGCTTACTTCTGGTTCTTCTCCAGCGGTTACATAGTCTTCACAGTTTGCCAAAACTTTTCAGTAGTCATAATGAAATGATTATTTTCCCCCTATTTGCAACAGCAAACTCCCATACATTTTTGAGAAATACCGAATAACAATGATATGTCTAATTTTTCAGTTACATTTCTGTAAGGACATTTTCTCTCCAAAGTGTCAGCTATGCTCTCTCCTTTTCTTTATTTTTGTAGCTTAATGTCTTATGTACAAAATAAAATGATTATTTAAGATTTGTTCAAATAGCTATCAAAGCACTACTAGATATGTAAGAGTGTGCTAGCTACTGTTAGAGATAGAAAATAGGTAGATGCTGTTAGGTCTCTGTGATACAAACGCCACAATGATGGGTATTGGGGAACTGATACTGTTTGAGCACCTCCTATGTGCCCAATGCATACTTAACCTCGTCTAAACCTCCCAGAATCTTAAGAAAATGATTTCATTGCCACTTTCCAGATGAGCAAACTAAGGGTCACACAAGGTGAATGCCTTGCAGATATTCTCACAGTTATTGAAATGGTATAAAAAGTGCTGAGGCCGGGTGCGGTGGCTCACATCTGTAATCCCAGCACTTTGGGAGGCCGAGGTGGGTGGATTACCTGAGGTCAGGAGTTCGAGACCAGCCTGGCCAGCATGGTGAAACCTCATCTCTACTAAAAATACAAAAATTAGCTGGGCCTGGTGGCGGATGCCTGTAATCCCAGCTACTTGGGAGGCTGAGACGGGAAAATGGCTTTAACCCAGGAAGCAGAGGTGGCAGTGAGCTGAGATCACGTCACTGCACTCCAGCCTGGGCAAAAACAGTGAAACTCTGTCTCAAAAAAAAAAAAAAAAAAGAAAAAAAAAGTGCTAGGAACTTAGACTTGCCTTCTCTTAGATCCACCACTTGGAATTGTCAAGCCTTTGATTATTTTTGCTGTCCTCACTGATAGGACCTTGGATCCCTTTCCCCATGAGTCAAGGATCATCTGGGGGAAAAAAGCTGATATCAATAATGACTTGAGAAATGCTCTGGGCCCCCAGAATTCAGTGGGGGAGTTCACAGCAGAGGGAATTGCAAGCTATCAGGATCTTCTCAGTAGAATCACAGTAACCGAGTTGTTTATGGCTTGGGAGGTAACACAGAAGAGGGTAAACACACGGGCCCTGGGGCCAGGCTGGGTCTCATCCGGGCTTCTCTGCTTACTGACTGCTCAGCCTCGGGCAAAAGGGGTCACCTCTCTCCACTTCCAGTTTTTCATCCGTAAAATTGGAATATTGATAATGTCTTTTTTACTGAGTGGTTGGGCATATTAATATGTTTAAAGTGCTTAGATTTCAGGCTGGAATAGATAAGTGCTGAGTAATTAGTAACCATCATCATCACAGAAATCTCTTTTCTCCCCAGGGTAGAGTGGGAGGGGAGCCTTTTAATGTCCATCTTTTTTGAAGCCATATCATCTTACAGTAACCATGGCAACCAATCCCCCCAGATGTTTCCATGACATTTTTTTTTGAGTAAAAACTTGAAAATCTTTTTTGTGAACCAAAGATCCCTAATTTTTCTGGAACGATGTGGTTTGGTTGTGTCCCCACCCGAATCTCATCCTGAATTGCAGCTCCCGTAATGTGCCATGGGAGGGACCCGGTGGGAGGTAACTGAATCATGGGGTGGGGTTTCCCTGTGCTTTTCTCATGAAAATGAGTAAGTCTCATGAGAGATGTCGGTTTATAAAGGGCAGTTCCCCTGCACATGCTCTCTTGCCTGCCCCCATTTAAGACTTTGCTTTGAACTGTTGGTGAAACCAAAGGTTACCCTGATTAAGCCCGTCAAACTTCACTGCCTTGCTTGCTTTTAATCATTTACTTCTGGTTGATCTTAAAAACTCCCACTAGCAAATCACGTGGCCAAACAATACGTGACTCAACTCCCACTAGCTTCCTGGGGGGATAACATCTCTGACTGTGTGTCACTATAGTAACAGGTGCCTAAAGTTGGTTTTCAGGAACTAGTATTACCAGAAATGGATCCCAATCCAGACCACAGGAGAGGCTTCTTGGATCTCATGCAAGAAAGAATCCAGGGTGAGTCCACAGAGTAAAGTAAAAGCAAGTTTATTAAGAAAGTAAAGGAATAAAAGAATGGCTACGTCATAGGCAGAGCAGCCCCTGAGAGCTGCTGATTGACTATTTTTGTGGTTATTTCTTGATCATATGTTACACAAAGGGTAGATTATTGATGAGTTTTCTGGGAAAGGGCTGAGGGATTCCTGGAATTGAGGGTTCCTCTTCTTTTTAGGCCATATGGGGTAATTTATGGACATTGCCATGGCATTTTAAACTTCCCTGGCACTGGTGAAATTGTCCTTTAGCATGCTAATGCATTATGGTTAGCATATAATGACCAGTGAGAATGGCCAGAGGCCACTTTTAGTCGCCATCTTGGATTTGGTAGGTTTTGGCTGGTTTCTTTACGACACCCTTTTTTACTAGCAGGGTCTTTGTGACCTGTATCTTTTGACCTCTTGTCTCATCCTGTTGACTAAGAATGCCTAACCTCCTGGGAATGCAGCCCAGTAGGTTTCAGCCTTATTTTACCCAGTCTGTATTCAAGACGGAGTCACTCTGGTTCTAACACCTCTGACACTAGGGGGCAGCTCTTGTTCTGTTCAAGCCAGTTCAGATAGCTGACCCTTCAACTGGGCCTACAAGGGTGCCCCAACAGTGACTTTTGACAGCAGAGGTCCAAAACTCCACCCTCAAGTTATGCTAAAGCCATCATTTTCTTCACATGAGTCCTGTGAAGAGCCATACAGCTCACTTATGCTTGCACAGAAACCTGATTCCCTCACCTTTCCTACCACACAATCACATTTCCTCACACTTTAGACCACCTTGCTTCCTATCCCAGAAGTACCCCCAAGCCCTATGTTCAGGGAGAGGATTTGAGATTTGTTCTTCTGTCTCCCAGCACAGCAGCCTTGTGAATCAAATCTTCACTCTTTTGCAAAACCTGTCACCTCAGTGATTGGCTTGCTGCGTGTGGGCAGAATGAACCTGGCTTGATAACATCAGAGGCTGTAGGATGTACTCTTTTTTTTCCCCTCAGGTTTTTGCCAAGGCTGAGCCCAGCAGAAGTAATTTTCAAAGGGTTGGGATAGTTTGTGTATTAGCTGACTCATTGAAAAGTGCCTTTTCCAGTCATATTCCAAAGAATGTAAAGTTATAAAAACAAAAACCCCCACTGGAACAAGTGTCATTTTCCACCAAGGTGGGCTTGATCACACACAGCTTTCTGTCCTTTCTTGTGACATAGTTTACTGTCATTTGCCTGATGTTTTATTTAACTTTGTTATGTGCATCTATCTCATCTTTTCAACCACATTTCAGATTCCTTGTGGGGAGAGTTCTTGCTGAACCTCTTTGAAGTCTTTGCAGTTCTAAGTGCTCCTGACATATAGTTATCTCAGTTACATTTACTGAAAAAAAAAAAAGATTCTAAGAATGGGTACATCTATCCTTTCAGGGAATAAATATGGTTAAAATGATAGAGGCTTTACTACAAAAATCAAAAACAAATCCTTGGGATATTCCTGGAAGCTGGTGTTTTCCTTAATTAACATAATGGATTCAGTAAATAGAGAGGAAAGTATGTTTGAAAAAAGAACAGATTACCTACAGGGCTGAAATCTTGTCACACAACACATTTGTAGTTTTAGTGTATTTTTCATTTTAAACAGGGATTATTAATTAAGCCCCAAAGGCTTTCTCTGCTCACAGTGCATTCTGAAAAGCACCAATCTCTTTCTAAACAAAACAGGCTCCAACTACTTTGTAATCAGAAGACTGGCTAATGGGCTGGTTGAATGCTACCGACTTGCTTAATTGAAGTTCCACTAAAAACCTGAAATACCAATCCTCTCCTATTCATTTATTCGTTCATTTATTCTTCATTCTAATGAGAATTATTGAGTACTTACTATGTATAAAACATAGCTTTTCTAGGCCTGGCACGGTGGCTCATGCCTGTAATCCCAGCACTTTGGGACGCCGAGGTGGGCGGATCACGAGGTCAGAAGATTAAGACCATCCTGGCTAACACGGTGAAACCCCATCTCTACTAAAAATACAAAAAAATTAGCTGGGCTTGGTGGCGGGCGCCTGTAGTCCCAGCTACTCGGGAGGCTGAGGCAGGAGAATGGTGTGAACCTGGGAGGCGGAGCTTGCAGTGAGCCGAGATCGCGCCACTGCACTCCAGCCTGGGTGACAGACTGAAACTCGATCTCAAAAAAAAAAAAAAAACATAGCTTGTCTAACACAGTGTGATGGTTAATATTGAGCGCCAATTTGATTGGATTGAAGGATGCAAAGTATTGTTCCTGGGTGCATCTGCAAGGGTGCTGTCAAAGGAGATGAACATCTGAGTCAGTGGACTGAGAAAGGAAGGCCTACCCTCAATCTGGGTGGACACAATCTAATCAGCTGCCAGCATGGCCAGAATAAAAGCAGGCAGAGGAATGTGGAAAGAGTAGACTGGCTGGGTCTTCTGGCCTCCATCTTTCTCCCGTGCCGGATGCTTCCTGCCTTTGAACATTGGACTCCAGGTTCTTCAGCTTTGGGACTCTTGGATCTTAGACCACAGACTGAAGGCTGCACTGTTGGCTTCCCTACTTTTGAGGTTTTGGGACTCGTACTGGGTATCTTGCTACTTAGCTTTGCAGACGGCTTATTATGGGACCTCACCTTGTGATCGTGTGAGTCAATACTCCTTAATAAACTGTCTTTCATACATACATCTATCCTATTAGTTCTGTCCCTCTAGGGAACCCTGACTAATACACACAAGCAATATCACCAAGCTGACAAAAATCAGACAATAGATGGTCAAAGCCAAAGCACACCAGGGCTGCCTATCCTGGGGATACAAGGTAGGTTAGTCAGTGGACAAATCCTTCCTCCAAGCTCAGTTCCAATGCTACCTCTTCTATGAATCTATCCATTTCCCCTTGCATTCCCAGAGTTTTTACCCAAAGCCTCCTTTTTCACATATTTCCTTTTGTGTTATATTAATATTTCTTACCTTGTATGCAGTGACATGTGGTGGTGAGAACATGAATCTTAGAGGCAGGTTGAGATTTGCATCCTTGCTTTAACCATTACTTGCTCTGTATCCTTGAACACATTAATCTCTCTGACCTCTTTCTTCACCCATGAAATAAGGATAATAGCAGTTTGCCCCAAAAGACAATATATGTGATGTATCTCATGCACATAGAGATAATAGCAATTATAACTAACACACACAGCACTAACTACATTTTTCTAAGTACTTTATGTGTATTAACCCATTTGATTTTCACAATAACTCTTTTAATACTTTGGTTACTTCAGATTTACAGACGAGCAACTGAGATGCAGACAGATTGAGGAAATCTCTCAAAGTCACACCGTGAGTTAAATGGTGGATCTGAAGTTTAATTGGAGGCTTATTGCCTCCTGTGTTTATCATCTTGCCACTCTGCACTACTGATTTTTCTAGAAGAACATGGTAAGCATTAATAAGTTGTAACTATGACTATCCCTATTATAAACACAATTTATTGTCTTTTTTTTTTTCATTTTCAAGCTTTAATATAGCATTTTTTAAAATTTTTATTTTAAGTTCAGGGTTACAAGTGCAGGTATGTTACTTAGCTAAACTTGTGTCATGGGGGTTTGCTGTACAGATTATTTCATCACCTAAGCATTAAGCCTAGTACCCATTAGTTATTTTTCCTGATCCTCTCCCTCCTCTCACCCTCCACCCTCCGATAGACCCCAGGGTATGTTGTTACCTTCAGTGTGTCCATGTGTTCTCATCATTTAGCTCCCATTTATAAGCGAGAACATGTAGTATTTGTTTTCTTGTTCCTGTGTTAGTTTGCTAAGGATAATGGCCTCCAGCTTCATCCATGTCCCTGCAAAGGACATGCACTTATTCTTTTTTATGGCTGCATACTACTCTGTTAACATCTTGATACCAAAATTATATTATAATCACTTATATGCCTTTCACTCCTGTGCTTTGAACATAGTAGGTCCACAATATTTGTTTGTGGACTTGAACTGAAATGACTGCCATAAAAAAAAGCAAAAACAAACTAACAGAAATCTAAAAAATATACTGTTAAATTTGGGTTGTGTCAATTTTTGTGGATAACTATTTTTTCTATGACTCTAGAGCCTTGTCTAGAATGCAAACTCTGGAATACTTTAGAATATCACCCTCCGTTTGAATCATTTCACAGCTCATTGGCCTCCAATTCTCTTCTTTCTCAACGCATCACCATAAGTCATTTTTAGAAAGTAATTCTCACCCTCCATTCCAGATTTGCAACTTTTATTTATTTACAGGCTTGCAAATAGTCACCTGCCCAGTGTTCCTGGGGAACAGGCATCTATGCTAAAAGGGACAAAGAATACAGATATCCTACATCTTCTGAACTTGGAAGTGTACAGATAAGAGGAATGAGGGTGGACTTACCAGCCTTTTCAATTGGTTGGGTGACTTTTTACCTATCAGAGATTATAGCCTAGAAATTCATAACAGAATTTACAAGTCTGGGTATGACATGAAGAGAGGTTATTTTCATTTTGTTATTTAAGCTTTTTTGTTTGTTTCGAAATGAAGTCCCACTCTGTCAACCAGGCTCCAGTGCAACGGCATGATCTCAGCTCACTGCAACCTCTGCCTCCGGGGCTTAAGAGATTCTCCTGCCTCAGCCTCCTGAGTAGCTGGGACTGCAGGCGTGTGCCACCAAGCCTGGCTAATTTTTGTATTTTTAGTAGAGATGAGGTGTCTCTATGTTGGCCAGGCTGGTCTCGAACTCCTGACCTCAGGTGATCCGCCCGCCTCAGCCTCCCAAAGTTCTGGGATTACAGACGTGAGCCACTTGCCCGGCCTATTTTGTTATTCAAATTAAATACATATTTTCTTACAGGTCTTAATTCTCCAGCAGATGTTTGTCTAAGCACTCACTATGAGAAGGCAGGGAGCTGAGTCAGTCCAGAAGCTACTGTTGAGGTCAGTGGATTCTCAGATTAATCCATCAATGAGAAAAATCGTGTAAACTACAAAATGGACCACTGGGCATTGTGTTGGAAAAAAAATAAAAAGACAAGAAAACAGTGGACCAAATGTTTGTTTGTTTTTCCCTTTCTTGCTTCAAGCTGTTGTTTTGATGCTGGCCATTTAGCCTGATAAGGCCTTGATAAAAATAAGTTGCATGTTGAAAAATATAAGCAAGAAAGCATCACATATTTGAGTTCAGTGGAAATTTCCTTAACTGGAAGTTTATAGGTAATGAACTTCAATAGAAATTGCTTTTGGCCATCAGTTATTTTTTTCCCTATTCGACCCATCTGAGTATTTGCCCACTCCAAGACATGATGATGGGGTCCATGGCTACAAAGGTGAACAACTGAGTTTCTGTTTTAGAAGAGCTCACCATTTAGTTGGAGAAAAAGGCACCTAAGCAGTGAAGGTTTTGTGTGTGGGATGAGGGGAGGTCAAATTCAAGGAGCTGAATTTAGGGTGGACCATGCAGCTTATCTGGGCAGGCTTCCTCAGTTAGGGTAATCTGAGATGGGTCTTGGAGGATGTGTAGGAGATTTCCCTCAACTAGCTGAAGAGGTTTCCCAAACAGCCTCTGCTCAATCATATCTCCTGAGGAGACCTTCTCTGCTTCTGCAGTAGTTAGCAATGTCAGAACAGTCAACAACCTCCATTTTCAAAATATACATCTTTCTTTTTTTTTTTTTCTAGAAACAGAAACTAGGTCTGTTGCCCAGGATGGAGTGCAGTGACACAATAATAGCTCACTGTAGCATCGAACACCTGGGCTCAAGAGATCCTCCCACCTTGACCTCCCAAGTAGCTGGGACTACAGGCATGTTCCACCACCCTCAGCTAATCAAAACAAAATTTTTTTTTTTTTTGTTTAGAGATGGGTTCTGGCTATATTGCCCAGGCTGCTTTCAAACTCCCGGCCTCAAGTGATCCTCCTACCTTAGACTCTCAAAATGCTGAGATTATGGGAATAAACCACCATGCCTGGTCTGTCTAATCCTCTTTTCTATCCAACTTATTTTCCCTCCTGATGAAAGATAAAGTATTCTTTCATCAGATGTAATGTCGAGCAGACATTACGTCTGAAAACCCACCGGGTAAGGGTGCCAGGGGCAAACAACTTGGTGGTGTTTAGGATACTAGGACTTGTTACAGTGGAGTGTCCTATAAATGCTTCTTCCTCTGGGCTTCAGGCCCACCGGAGTTTGCAAATCATCAGATTCCAAAAGGCAACATGAAATTTGTCCCTAAATACATAAGAATCAAGTTACATGGAGACACAGGATGGTTTCCGCGTCCAAAGTTTTGTCTCCTGCACTGGTCCCCACAATACTCAAATGACTGTCATTAGATTATTAAGGACTGTATTCATCAGTTAGGGGCTGCCTTAAGAAAGTATCACAGACTGGGTGGCTGAAACAACACAAATTTGTTTTCTCACCGTTCTAGAGACAAGACGTCTGAGATCAAGGTGTCAGCAGGGTTATTTTTTTCTGAGTTCTTTCTCTTGGACTTATAGATGCCTGTCTTTTCCCTCTGATTTCACATGGCCTTTCTTCTGGGTGTGTCAGTGTTCTAATTTCTCCTCCTTACAAGGATATTAATCACGTTGTATTGGGACCTACATTAAGGATCCCATTTAACCTTAATTATCTCTTTTAAGACTCAATCTCCTAATATAGTCACATTCTGAGATACTAAGGGTTAGAACTTCAACATATACATTTGGGGGAGACACAATTTAGCTCATAACAAGGACATTGTCGCTATTGTTTATCCTTTGGTAAACGGCAAATATCATCTTTATATGCTGATACATCATCTGCAAACTGTCTTAATTCATAAATAACCAAGCACATTCAATTAGTTATCAAGTCATTTTAACTATAACTCCAACATACTTTTGAAATAGGTCCTGTCATGATTTGAGTTATGTAACCCCCAAATTCCTATGTTGAATTCCTAAACTCCAGGTCATCACAGTGTGACCTTATTTGGAATAAAGCCTTTGCAGATATAATTAGTTAAGAAGAAGTGATGCTGGAGTAGGGAGGGCCTGTAATCCAATATGACTGGTGTCCTTATAGAAAGGAGAAATTTGGACATAGGGACAGACATGCAAAGAAGGAAGACGATGTGAAGACACCCAGGAAAACACTATGTGAAGAGGAAGGCAGAGATCAGGGTAATGCAGCAGAAGACAAGGGATGCCAGCAAACCACAGAGAGCTGTGAGAGAGGCATGGAATACATTTTCCCTTACAGCCCGCAGAAAAAACCAACTCTGTTGGCTTGCACTTCTAGCCTTCAAAACTGTATGACAATACATTTCTCTTATTTAAGCCACCCAGTTTGTGGTATTTTGTTATGGTAGACCTAGCAAATTAATATAAGTTTGCTCCTCTATATTCCTATCATTACTACTAAAATTGAGATCTTTGTTATTTCTCACCTGGTCTATTGCTATCAACCTTCAGTGCCATCGCCACTGCAAAACTATCCCGTCATCCATCCTCCACCCAGCTGCCTAGTGATCTTTCTAAAATTTAGCTGGGTTTGGTGGCTCACGCCTGTAATCCCAGCACTTTGGGAGGCTGAGGCGGGCAGATAACTTGAGGCTGGGAGTTTGAGATCAGCCTGGTCAACATAGCAAAACCCGGTCTCTACTAAAAAACACAAAAATTAGTCAGGCCTGGTGGCATGCACCTGTAATCCCAGCTACTCAGGAGGCTGAGGCAGGAGAATCACTTGAACCTGGGAGGCGGAGGTTGTAGTGAGTGATCACACCACTGCACTCCAACCTGGGCAACAGAGTGAGACTCTGACTCAAAAAAAAAAAAACAATAAAACAATAAAATAAAATTTGAGTGTCCCCTTTTAAGGAATGTTCACCACTAGTCTCAGGATATATTCCAAGATCATCAGCCCAACAGACAAGACCCTTCATTAATAAAATAACTTCTCTTCCCTGAGCACTATTTATCCAATGTTTAGGTCTTCTAAGTTTCTTCTTAGTGTGCAGAATTCATCTGGGCATGAAATGAAAAGAATGACCCACTTCAAGGAAGCTATCCATCAGGAGGTTTTATGACTATCTTCAAGGTTGGAGATCACCAAGTTTCCCAGAGCAGAATTCTCTCTCCACTTAGAGTTTGTGTCTATAAAACCCAATTTTTTTGAGCTCTTGGTCAATGTATTTGACAAGCCAGCCCTTGACAGCTTTTTGGTCATCCATTCAGGAGGGCTCCACTGATGAAATTCTGCCAAGGATGTAACTTAACTCCAATGTTTTTGAATGAATTTCTCTCTCTCTCTCTCTCTTTCTTTGTTTTTCTTGCTAGTTATTCTAAGCACAAATAATCAGCTTCATTATGCTAGGTTAGAAGGATACTCTTCCACAGAAAATTACCCACAACAAATAAAAACAATCCCATATGGCAGTCCCTTTCATCACAAGACTAGTTAAACCTTGACCACACAGTTTGCATCTTCTTATTGGCTTGGATGTTTGCCAGTATGTTGATGTTCTGTGTCTTCAGTGACAAATTCAACCTAGAAAATTCTTTGCAGGGCTTCCTTTATGCTTAGATTTTTCGTAGTTCTTTCTGTTTTGTCCTCGGAGCAAACTCTAAACCTCATATACACTTCTGGAAATCATTCAATGCGCTCTAAATATTTATCAAACATCTGCAATGTGCCAAGCACTCTGTAGAACTCTAGGACTACTGTGATTCTATAGAAGATAAGGCTTTTGACCCATTATTGAGTGGGTTTGTGTTTCAGTGCATTTTCTAGTTGTGGGTTTCAGTTATTCTGGAATAATACCCTGTTTGCCTCTCCTTACAGCTAGGAGAATAAAACCTGTTGTCTGTTGCCAGTCCACTTTTTGCCTCATTTCCTGCTCTGTCTCTACTCATCTCTTTCTCTCAAGTTCCCTCTCTCTCTCCAGCCACACTGTCATTCATGTCCCAACTTATCCTCTGTTCTTCCCTCTCTATGCCTCCACTTCCCTCTACTTTTTCCTGGAATGTCCTTCCTGTCTTTCATCATTCAACTCAAGCCACATGTCTTCCACAAGGCTTTGTTTTTTTCTTTTTTAAATCTTTCACCTCCCAATTAGAATTGTTCATTCCCTACAGTTCTTTTGAGCTTTAATTTTTGTTTAAAATGCTGTTGCGTTTTAATCTTCTTTTATACTGTAGAAACCTGTTTACACTTCCATCTGTAACAGAGAGGGTGAAGAGTCAAGTCAGAAAGTCAAATCTTGCCTCAACCATTCATCTAGCTGCATAACCTTGGATAAGCGCCTTAGCTTCTCTTTCCTCTTTTATAAAAGGCAGGATAAGGATGACATTTGCCTTAGAGCAAATATTTTATTTCTTTCTCTTTGACGTGTGACTCTGGCTGATGAGTTTGTACAAAAGCAACATGTGACATTTTAAGCTTAGCATTTAATTGATGAAGTCATATGCTCTCCAGAGCTCCCTTTCCCCTCTTGCAATGCCAGCCAACAATGTTTCAGATACCAATTAGGAAAGTTCCTGATAAAACATTCCAGAATATTCTGCTAGCCTGGTCCCAGAGCAGCAAACTCCCCAGCTGACTGTAGTAGACAATCGGCATGAGTGAGAAATAAACCTTTCCGATTTTAAGCCTCCAGGATTTGGGGGTTGCCTGTTACTGCAGCATAGCCTAGACTGTCCTGACTAATGCAGAGAATTATTGTGAAAATTAAGTATGATAATGTAAATAGAATGCTTGGTGATACTTGCAGCTGAGAAGTGTTTAATTACTGTCAACGCCATTCATAAACCACACTGCGAGGTGAGGATGATGTCAATTCTGACTTATTTATGTACAGCCATTCAATTTCAGTGTTATTTTTTGATGTGGTCTGAAAGATGCCCTAAGTGAAGAAGCTTTATTAAGTTAGCCATGTGGCCTTTGCTTCCTCTTAATGTATTGTTCTGTCTGAAATTAAGCCCTCTAGCCTGTCTTGAACTTATTTACTTCGAACGATCAATAGAAGTACTTTATTAAGTGGCCTTGGTCTAAAAAGAATGTCAAGATTCTCTGTGGCGCCCTCTATGAGGTGGGCCATAAACTTCCATCACCCTGATGGCAGGGGAAAGGTACACAGACAGTGCCTCCCAGTGGGGGCTCTATCTCCCAGATGCAGACGCTCTTTGGTGTCATGTTTGGGAGAACTCCTTTTGGAGTGAGAGAGATCTGCATTCTGAATAGACTCCACCACTTTCTGGCTCCGTGTACCTAGGGAAGCTGATTAACCTCTTGACACTGCAGTTTTCTGTGCATAAAATGGAAAAAGGAATGGGGCCGATCTCATAAAATTGTTGTGAGAATTAAATGAGATAACACATATAAAACACTTCGCAAGGATCCTGACGTGTAGTAAGCTCCCAATAAACGGCAGCTATTATGATTACAGCAAGTTGCAGCTTAAACTACATTTTCTGCCAAACTCTCCGCAGAAGCCTTTGAACTGTGAAGTTCCTATTACAAAAGGAAGGAAAAAGAAGAAGGCAAGCAGGGACCTTCAGAGTGGGCTCAGAAAGGGGAAGATAACTGTTCTGTGTTGTCTGTTTCCTGTTCGTTAGCTTACCCTACAGAATGACTGATAGGAAGCAAAGCACAAGTACTTGACCTTGGGCAGCCCCCAAGAACTCCATCTAGGCTTGCAGGATCAGGCAAAGCCACAATAACAACTACAGTATCAGAGTTACTCTGGGGTCTTCCTGTGGCTTGGGGATCTTCTCTAGGAAGAAACAAACAAGCAAATAACAACGACTCTCAAATGAGTTTTTCCAAGGTAGTGCAAAATCCATAATGACAAAGTTCAGGACAACAGGAAGTTAAAACTCTTTTTTATGTTCATGTGAATGAGTGGTTCTTTCTCTTTAAAAAGGTATTTATTTTTACTTTATTTTAGATCGAGGTTACATGTGCAGGTTTGTTTCACGAGTGTATTGCATAATGCTGAGGCTTCTAGAAAACCCCTCACCCAAACAATGAACATAGTACCCAGTAAGTTGCTTTGCAGCCCTTACCCCCATTCTTCCCTCCCTGCTTTTGCTTATTTATGTTTGTTTTAGTTTTTGTTTTTGTTTGAGACGAAGTCTCACTCTGTCCCCCAGGCTGGAGTGCAGGTGTGCAATCTCAGCTCACTGCAATCTACACCTCCTGGGTTCAAGCAATTCTCTTGCCTCAGCCTTCTGAGTAGCCAGGACTACAGAAACGTGCCACCATGCCTGGATAATTTTTGTATTTTTAGGAGAGATGGGGTTTTGCCATGTTGGCAAGGCTGGTCTCAGACCTCAAGCCATCTGCCCACCTTGGCCTCCCAAAGTGTTGGGATTACAGGTGTGAGCCACCGCACGCAGCCCCTCCCTGCTTTTGAAGTAACCAATGTCTATTGTTTCCATCTTTATGCCCATGTATACCAATTGTTTAGCTCCCACCTATAAGCGGGAACATGTGGTATTGGATTTTCTTTTTCTGCATTCATTCGCTTAGGATAATGGCCTCCAGCTGCAACTATGTTGCTGCAAAGGCCATGATATCATTCTTTTTATGGCTGTGTAGTATTCCATGGTATATATATGGAGTGGTTCTCTTTGAATGAAGAGTTTATTTGGATGTTATGATGATTTCACTTTCCTCTCCTGGCCTGGGACAAGAGTTTCCTTCATCCAGGAGGGTAAAGAAACAAAGATACCTGAAGACTCCATTCTGGGAGAATAGGCCAAAGCCTTAAAGCAGCCAGGGTCTAAGCCAGAAGCAATCAAAGGCTGATTCTGGTCTACGCTTTATTTTATAAATAAATTTTAACCGAGACATAGCCATGCCGATTTGTTTACATATCATATATGACTGCTTTTGCATTACAGGTGAAAGTTAAATAGCTGCAACAGAGACATTATGGCTTGCAAAATCTAACATATTTATAAAAGTTTTCTGAGCTCTCATCTAAGGTGAGAGACTACCAGTAAGGGACTTCTGACGGGATATGATTTGGACTTAAGGAGTAGTGATGCCTGGTACCCAGTTTCGCATGATTTCATTTTTCCCTGTTTTGTGATGGCCTTCATTGGCCTTTTCCTCTCCCAATCTTACTGCAGTCAGGCATTGACCTTCTGCTAGTGTTGCCTTGGAGGGCTGATGCCTAGGGGTTTGGAGCAGAAGAGACAGGCAGAGAAGCCTGGAATGTGATGATAAGGCCAGAAGTGGCCAAGAAGTGGGCAACATTGGAGTAGCAAATGAGAGGGGCTGGCCACAAGGTCATTACATTCAGGAGCACTTTGATTCATTTATCAGTTGCTTTTTGAGCCCAGCTCAATGCGGAGCACTGTAACAGATTACTTCCTAGTGAGATATTCAGGAGAGGACTGGATTTCCTGCAGTAATGCAGAATTGGCGTGAGTTAGGAAAATTCTAAGAGACCCTCCACAATTCCTGCCCTTCCTGTACATACTGTATAGAATCCCCTCTCTTGGGACTGTGTGGGGCCAGTGAATGGGATTGGATATGGCTTCTATGGTTTGGTTACAAATCAATTGCCTTCAAATTCATCAAAAGAGATATTACCTGGGTGGACTTGACCTAATCAGATGAGTCCTTAAAAGGGACAGAGCTCTTCCTGACATAAAGATAGTAGAAGAATGAAGAGAACTCAATGCGTCCTTGTTGGCTTGATAATGGGGTGATGGCAAAATGTGGCAAGGATGCAGGTGGCCTCTTGGAGCTGAGAGCAGCCTTTGGTTGACAGCTAGAAAGGAAACAGGACCTCAGTCCTACAGTTGCAAAGAACTGAATTCAACAGTCTGAATGAGTTTGGAAGTGGATTTATCTCCAGAGACTACAGGTTGGAACACAGCCTTACTGACACCTCTATTTTAGCCTTGTAAGACCTGAGCAGAGCACCCAGGGATGCCATGCACACAGACATATAGAACTGTGAGTGGGTGTTGTTATCAGCTCCAAAATGTACGATAATTTGTTATGCAGCAATAGAAAAATAATACAGGGGAAATGAGTTGTTTTATTTGGATATTAAAGAAAGATTAGTCCCCGAAAGCCAAAGAACTTAGGGATGATTTGGATAAACGATGGATCTCTCTCGGAGATACTGAAAACAGGTACAGAGGTTATAAAATGAAATTGAACTCTTGGTAACTTTGGGGGATAAGGTAGATTACAGGGGTTATTTCTTCTTCTTGCTTTTCTCTTCCTTTGAACTTATCTCCCTTTTGTAATAAAACAAAAATAAAGAAAACAATCTCCAGGGTAAATACAAGGCAGATGTCAGATGGCCAGAGGCTGGTGGTTTCTCTACAAAGTAAGTAGACAATTTCTGTACTGCCTGGAATATTGAAGCCTTCACTCTTCTCAGGCAAACATTCAGATATCTGACCTCTGGGGCTCCTGGATGCCACTGTTCAGAGAAGATGCCCAGATCAATACCATCTTCAAGTCACTGACTCATAAAACTTAAAGCTGATCAAGCTCCTTCCTCTCATTTTAAGGTAAGGCAGCTGGATTCTTAGAGACACTAAATTATTTGTGCAAGACCATGCACCTGATTAGTGGTAAAATTAGGATAGGAATCCAAGTTCTGTAACTTTGAGTCCAGGTCTCTTTCCTCCTTTCTCCAAAGATACAACAGGAACCTTTCATTTTAGAGTTAGGAGGAATCTTAGCTCTCACGTGCAATAAGACTGTCATCAGAAAGATGAAGAAATGGAGACACAAAGTTGGGGACTGAATCTCACTAAGATCACTCACAAGGTCATGAAAATTACAGGATCAACATTCAGATGTAACTTTTTAACCCAATTGTTTGTTGTTGTTGGTGGTGGTGGTTTTTGTTTGTTTGTTTCTTTGTTTTTGTTTGTTTGTTTTGAGACAGAGTCTCACTCTTTCACCCAGGCTGGAATGCAGTGGAGTGATCTCAGCTCACTGCAACCTCCGCCTCTCAGGTTCAAGCAATGCTCCTGCCTCAGCCTCCCAAGTAGCTAGGACTATAGGCATGCACCACCATGCCCAGCTAATTTTTGTATTTTTGGTAGAGATGGGGTTTCGCCATGTTGGCCGGGCTGGTCTTGAACACCTGACCTCAAGTGATCCACCTGCCTCACCCTCTGAAAGCACTGGGATTGCAGGCATGAGCCACCACGCCCAGCCTAACCCAATTGTCTTATATCAGTCAGTGCCAATGTAGTTTTCTCCAGGCTATGTGAATGTTGATGGCATTAATAAATAGCTTTTGAATGTTGAAGGTATTCAAAAATAACTTTTTAAAAAAAAATCCTGACACTTGTAGCAAGGACAGGAACATATTTGCTACTTTGTGCTTTAGCCTGGAAGCCTGTTACATCCTTGGAGCCTCACTGAACCTCTGTGCTGGCTCCATGGGGAGCATTTGCCATCAGACATCAGCCCGTATTTTACGAGTGGGTTGGTCCTTGGAGGTGACCTGTGTTTTTGAGAGTGCTCTCTCCTGTGGCCACAGAGGCAAGAAAAGCTGACCAGCTCCACTTGTGTAGTGATTGGGTATATGCATTCAAAGCTGGTTCTGCAAAACCAACCATTTATATTAGAGGATGCAGGCAGAAAAGAGCCCCACAAAGGGCTTAGATCACCACATGGGCATTTCCTGTGCTCGTCACCAGGGAGTTAGCATCTCCTCCACATCCTGCTGATCAGACATTTCTTTTAGTGTGGCTGGAAGCATTTACCCCAACCTGGGATTCGTTTGGGAAAATACGGCACATAAGAGGTTTTATGAGATTTCATGTGAGAGTTGAAGACTAGAATGGCCTGGAAGAAGGGGAAGAGGACTAATATTTGTTGATACTTACTGTGTGTCAAATATTGTATTGGGTTCTTTTATGTACAACAAAATGACATAAATTAAAATTTACTGAGTGTTTACTTTGTTCTATTGGATGAAGTTTGCATCTTAGTTAATTAGAGACTGATATGGTTTGGCTCTGTGTCTCTACGTAAATATCATTTTGAATTGTAGCTCCCGTAATTCCCACATGTTGTGGGAAGGATCCAGTGGGACATAATTTGAATCATGGGGGTGGTTTCCCCCATACTGTTCTCGTGGTAGTGAATAAGTCTCACGAGATCTGATGGTTTTATCAGGGGTTTCCGCTTTTGCATTTTCCTCATTTTCTCTTGCCACAGCCATGTAAGAAGTGCCTTTCACCTCCTGCCATGATTCTGAGGACTCCTCAGCCATGTGGAAATGTAAGTCCAATTACACCTCTTTTTCTTCCTAGTCTTGGGTATGTCTTTATCAGCAGTATGAAAACGGATTAATACAGAGCCCAAGGATGGTATATTGGAATTATATGGAATGCAGAAAGTACTTGTCAGTAATAACACAGAGAAGAAATGGCACTGTCTCTAGGACATCTGAATGCAGCAGATCCTCTCTTACCTGGCCTGAGGGATGAAGATTTTCAGCCAACTGCATATTTTTATTGAAGGGAAAGGGCCAAGGATCACTTCAAATGCTCCCTGGGTTTGCATTAATTGGTGCCAGTTTAATTAGTATTGAAAATGATGTGGAAATGGACTTTTTCCTTGCATGGTATGTGTGAAGAGTCCAAGTTGGATCACTGCTTTCCCCTGAAGCAAAATCTAGCTGTTTCGCTGGGAGCAGCTGTAATACCATCATCTCTTGAGTGGAATCAATGTCTACGTGAGAGGATTTCATAGTGTTTGTCATCTGCAGAATCTCAGCTGTTCCTAAACAAGGCTGATTATTAAATGCCCTGACACTGCAGAAGAAATGTGCACATGCTGAGGGTCAGGGGCATTTGTGCGTTTCTGGGGATGTTGGTGGGCTCCCAGTCAGCCCTCCAATTCCATCTTGGGTTGAAGGGTTGTCTCATTCTGGCTTCATTAATCAGGCTGCCTCAGCCATAATGAATTTTTCTGTTTCTTTAAAGAAAGACACCCTCCCTTCTGTGCTTTGAAATGGGTGTTTCTTCTATATGGAACATTACTCTTGCCTTTCCTTACCCCCCATCCCCCACTTTTATAACCTGTCTGTGCTAAGAACAAGCTTCTTCCAATCTCAGACTGAACATCCCTTCCTCAGGAAAGACATTTCTGGTTTCTTCATCTCCCAAGACTGGGTTAGATCCTGTGATAGCTTCCATCCCCATCTCCAGGCTTTTTACTCCTAGGCTGGAAGCTTTCTGTGAGGGGAGGATCATATTTATCTGTTCAATATTAGATTTCACTTGACTGGCACAGCACCAAGCACACAATCAGCCTACAGTAAACGCCTGCTGAGCAAAAAACCTTTTTTTTTTTTTTTTTTTTTTTTTTTTGAAACAGATTCTCACTCTGTTGCCCAGGCTGGAGTGCAGTGGTGCGATCTCCGCTCAGGGCAACCTCCCCGCTCCAGATTCAAGCAATTCTTCTGCCTCAGCATCCAGAGTAGCTGGGATTACAGGTGCCCACCACCACACCTGGCTAATTTCTGTATTTTTAGTAGAGACGGGGTTTCGCCATGTTGGCCAGCCTGGTCTTGAACTACTGACTTCAGGTGATCTGCCTGCCTTGGCCTCCCAAAGTGCTGGGATTATAGCCATGAGCCACTGTGCCCAGCTTGAGCAAACAACTTTTATCCCATGTTCTTATTCACAGTGATTAACGCAGTGTAGATTTCACTAAACATTGATGGAATAAATTGAACATCTAGAGTGGAGGTCAGCAAGCTATATGGTTCATGGGCCAAATCCAGCCTGCCACCTGGCTTTGTAAATAAAGTTTTATTGGAACACAGTTATAGCCATGCTTATTTGTTTATGCCTTGTTTATGATTGCTCCTGGCTACAACAACAGAGTTGAGTAGTTGCTATAAAAATTGTGTGACCCACAATGTCAAAAAGTACTTACTATCTGGCCAACCCTGGTCTTCAAGTTCAGGAAGAGACGTAAGTAAACAGCCACTCTAAATTACCTCCTCTACTTTTGATTTTTTAATCCTCTCTTATAACCACATCTAGACTTCCCACATGTCTTCAAACTCCAGAGTTCTAGACATCACACGCTAACAAAGGCTAAGGTTTAAAAACTAAAAATGCTTAGGAAAAAATAGTTGTTCTTATGAGTTGTTTTATTTAGATATTAAAGGAAAGATTAGTCCCACAAAGCCAAAAGTCTTTCAAAAATATTTCTAGTTTTGAGATTTCATTGTCTGCCTAACTTAATTGCACCACCTTCCAAAGCACAGATCAAATTTCCAGCTTCCAGGAGGCCCGCTGTTCTTTCCATCTCTCAGAATGTCTTCTTTCTTGGAGCTTATCCCTATAAAACTTAATGTTTGAGTCATTTATTCAGGGCTCCCTGGTGACAGCTGTTACATTGTCTTACGCCATTATTTAATGTATATTAATTTTATTTTTCCAATTAGATACTAAACCCTGGAGGGTGAGGTCATTAAATACAAAGCTTGAACTAAAAGTTTTGTAAAGTGTAATTTGCATCTTCACAAACCAGTTCATACACGTGGGTTTATATAAGATTAAATATCCACATTTTACTAAAGTTTTCTTCAACTACTTACATAGAACCTCCAGCCCCTTTAGGATGTCCCCACTTTATTTCTGGGAATGCCCCAAGGTTGTTTCACCTGTGCCTCATTAATCAGGCTATTAGCTGTGGTCACTAAGGAAGGTGCAATGTGCTGTTCTTGTCCTGCACTGCTAGCCCGTGTTGTTTATTCTGCCTGAGCTGGCTGAGGGTATCAGTGCAATCACACCAGCATGCTATCTTCTGTGTTCTCAAGGTTAGATTATTACTTATAGTCCTTATGGTGCTAGAGCCACATTGTGTAACTGTGAATTCATGCAGGAGGTGAATAAAATCATGCCATCTCTTTGCTGCTTTGCCATCTGGGCCACAGAACATCCCAGTTTGCCCCACATCATCAGAGCTCCAGCAGCTTCTGCTCTCTCCATGGGCCTGGGCAGGAGTCTCTGGGTTGAGTAACATAAGACCGCCATACTGGGGGGAAGTCCATGTGGTCATACGGAGGAGAAGCAGTGCCAGTCAGACCCCAAGTGTTCCAGCCACTTCAGCCCACACACCATGCATATGAGTGAAGTAGTTCTCTTGCATATGCGGTTTCAGCAGATGCCACATGGTGAAGAATGGAGGCGCCAGATATACAGCCCCAGGTGAGCCATTCCAACCATCTCCAGCCTTCATTACCCTAGACATTGTGGAACATGGACATGGGCTTTCAAATTCCTGATCCATAGAATCATAGGCATATTAAAATGCCATTCTTTCATGCCACTAAGTTTGGGGCTGTTTTGATACTTAGCAATAAACAATTGGAGCACCTCTTTTTTTTTTTCTTCAAAGATCCTGCTAATAAATACATGTAGGTCAACCACTGTACTGACAAACCTGAGATGCCTACACAAGTCATATTCTCAGAGATAAACATAATCTAGCTTCTTTCAGGCTAGGCCTCCCCTCCAAAACATGACAGGTGTCTGTTGAATGAAGGAGCAAAGGAAGTAATAAAGGAAGGATTTAAAGAAGAAAAGGAGGGAAGAAGAAAATAGGCTCATGGTTTCAACCAAGAAAATGTGAGATGGGGTTTAGGTAGGGTATCATTGGCATAAACCTTCCCAAGAGATTTCAAAAAGTTCCACCAGCTTCACCACACCAAAGCTTCAAGCATCCTCTGTTTGATGCCAGCATTCGAGCATGTTGATAGGGTCACCACCATGCCCTTCTTCTCTGCCCGTTGGCATTAACCTGCCCATTGTCTCCACTTAGGGAAGCTACAGTGAGCTGTTCCTTGAGCAGGGATAGATCTCATCATCCAGGCACAGGCTGTCTTTGCAGACGATATCTGCTGAGGTAGCCTCCAATGGTGGGGTCTGCCCAATGTGTGTGATTCCCACTACGATGACATTCAGTCAAGCCACTTCTGCTTTAGGAATGAGGGATCCAGTGGTGTTCAGCAGTTTGCAAGACACTGACAGTGAAGACTTGAAGAAAGAAGTGAGTACACTGTAATGAAAACTCAATAGCTAACAAGAGAGAGGAAGCAAATAAACTGAGCAAATATCTGGTTCCCAGCCTTGCTTCTCACTCTGCCCATTTCTTGGCTCCAACCCAGTTCTCCCTTCTCCTTTAGTGGACAGATTCAGTCTCTGCTTATTTTTTTTTTTCCAACTCAAAACATCCCAAATAACGCAAGTGACAAAAAGAGAAAGTTGGCTTCCATTTTCACTATCAAGTGCCTCCACTTCTAAATTCCCTCGAGTGACAAAACATATCATAAAATATGAAACATATCACCTTTCCTTTTGCGGGTGCCAACCACCCTTCAACACATCATCATGAATCCCGTGCTGATGTTAATAGTCCTCTAACTTCCTGAGAACGACTGCATCAATCCACGTCTTCTCCAGTTGCCATGCAGTGATATAAGCAGCAATTCATCCAAAAGGTGCCTTCGGCAAGCAGGAAGTTATAGCCCTTGTGATTTTCTGTGTGGCTCCTTAAATTGTTATAAACAGACTTTCTCCATCTCAGTGAACACTGAGTTTTTATTTAAACATTTTGTTTTCTTCCAGAGGTAATTTTAAGAAATTTATTCAAATTTCTTAGGTTTTATTATTTCTTCCTTTTTCTTTCTCTGCCTTTCTTTCTTTCTTGCTCTTCCTTCTTCCTTCATTTCCCTCCCTCCCTTCTTCCCTCTCTTTCTTTCTTTCTCTTCCTTCCTTCATTCCTTCCCTTCCTTCCTTCCTTCCTTCCCTTCCTTCCTTCCTTCCCTTCCTTCCTTCCTTCCTTCCTTCCTTCCTTTCTTTCTTTCTTTCTTCCTTTCTTTCTCTTTCTTCTTTTTCAGAGACAAGGTCACCCAGGCTGGAGTGCAGTGGTGTTACCATCGCTCAGTGCAGCCTCGAACTCCTGGATTCAAGCAATCCTCCTGCCTTAGCTTCTCAAGTAGCTAGGACTACAGGTGGGCCCCATTGTGCCTGGCTAACCAATTTCTTGGGTTTCTAAGTGGTTTCCACAGGAATAAACTTGTGAATCTAAGTACCCTTGGGTGTCTCACATCCTCCCAGTGTTGGAGAACTGGTGTCATATGATGGTTAAAATGACATATGATGGTTAAACTGGAGGTGGGCTGCTCCTGTTTGAATATGTACTCTAGTGCTTATGTGTTATATGGTCAGGGGTAAGATAATTAAGATTTTGAGCCTTGTTTCCCTTCTAAGAATGGGGTAACAATTGTGTATACTTTGTGATGTTGAAGGAATTAAATTAATTACTGCATAAACTTACCAGGTTCTAAGTAAGCCAATGGTAAATGTCACCTACTACTGTTATCATTTATAACTCTTTCTATAAGCCTTCAGCTAGCTTGTTTCTTAACTTTGTGTGAATTTTATTTTTTACTTTTTGAGGTTTTTTTTCATGTAGAATATACCTACAGAACGGTGCATAGGTTATGAGTATAGCTTGGTGAATTTTCACAAACCAATCACAGTCATATATCCTGGCCCAGAACAAGTAAAAGAGCATCACCAATGCCACGAAAGCACCTCACTTATCTCCTGTTCTAGTCACTACTTCCCAAGGGTAACTGCTATTCTGACATCTAACACCAAAGATTAGTTTTTACCTGTTTTTGAATTTCATATAAATATAATCTTCCAGTATGTACTCTTTTTTTCGTTTCATACAATATTTACTCTTGTAAGCAAATCAAAGTGACTTTTTTTTTTTTAACGAAAGAAGGTTAGGTTACTGGATTTTCAATTAAATCAAATCTTTAGATTTGTATATTAGTGAAATAATTCAGTAAAATAATCATATCCATAGCTATCCAAATCTTTCTGGATAATCCATTCTGTTTTCTAGATATTAGCACAATCTTAGGCTCATAAACAGAGCTCCACATCATTTCATTCCTTTTTGTCATGTGATTTAGGTTTTATTTTATTCGTATTTAACCTTTAAGTTCAGGAGTATGTGTGCAGGTTGGTTATATAGGTAAACTTATGTAATGGGAGTTTGTTGTACAGATTATTTCATCACCCAGGTATTAAGTCTAATACCCCTATTACTTATTTTTCCTGATCTTCTCCCTCCTCCCACCTTCCTCCCTCCAATAAGGCCCAGTGTGTGCTGTTCCCCTCCATGTGTCCATGTGTTCTCATCATTTAGCTCCCACTTAAAAGTGAGAACATGTGGTATTTGGTTTTTTGTCCCTGTGTTAGTTTGCTAAGGATCATGGCCTCCAGCTCCATCCATGTTTCTGCAAAGCACACGATATTCTTTTTTATAGCTGCATAGTATTCCACGGTGTATATGTACCACATTTTCTTCATCCAGTGTTAAATCAAGTTTAGCCTAAAGCTGCCTCCTTACATATTTAAGTTCAGCCTAAAGGTTTTTCTGTACATCATGAACTATAACAAGTGGAGGTGTAAATCGATTGTAGCCCATACCTGTGGCAATCCTGAGTTTTGGCCAATCAGATGTATCCAACAGTTCGAATTGTGTTCAAATAAGGCAAACAGTGAGCTATAGCCAATCCAGTTGTTTCTGTACTTCACTTCCATTTTCTGTACATTGCTGTCCTTTTGCTGTCTATAAATCTTGTTCCTGGCCAGGCACAGTGGCTCACGCCTGTAATCCCAGCACTTTGGGAGGCCAAGGCAGGTGGATCACCTAAGGTCAAGAGTTTGAGACCAGCCTGGCTAACATGGTGAAACCCTGTCTCTACTAAAAATACAAAAAATTAGCCAGACGTGGTGGCGCAAACCTGTAATCCCAGCTACTAGGGAGAATCGCTTGAACCCGGGAGGCAGAGGTTGCAATGACCCAAGATCGCGCCACTGCACTCCAGCCTGGGCAAGAGGGCAACACTCTGTCTGAAAAAAAAAAAAGAAAGAAAGAAAGAAGAAAGAAAGAAAGAACGAACGAACATGGTAATTAACAAAAATTTGTTTTGAGCCCCTACATGTCCGCTTCCTAGCTATATGACATAGCCAGTCTTTTTACTTCTCTGAGCCTCATTCCTTGTCTTTTAAAATGAGGCCAATAATATCCCCAGGGAATTCAAAGCCCTTGTTTCCAGGAATGCTGTGTGGGCATTTGTGAACTCCTACTCCATCCTGTTTTCAAGTCCATTTTCTCCCTGTGTGCTAGAACTTACTCATCTGCTGGAGCTGAGCACCAATAACAAATTGTAATCATTAGGTCAAGGTAGTAATTTTTGTGGTTTGAACTTCAGGGCTTAATGGGTCATGCTGCTTTCACAACAGGACTTTTCAATACAAGATTACAACACAGAGGGGTGGCATAGGGTTTGTTTTCCTCCTGTTTACTAAATTAAGAAGTAAAAAAAGAACCTGGTGATAATTTTAAACTGTATACATATTTTAGTACACCTAACTCCATCTCATTTGTTGGCCAAGTGTGATTTCCCAACCATGAAAAAGCAAAATTCAACTCATGGGGAAAAGACCATCAGAAGGACTTAACAAGATGAACCTCAAGTGGTGGGATTTGGGAAAAAATTAATCTGGTTACAGGAATTTCCTGTTGGCTCTGCAGTTGACATTGGTTCCAGCCATTGCTACGGTTGCAGGATGAGTTTAGTCAATGGAATAAACTGACCCACGTTTAACTTAGAAGTCTCATTACTTCTTTTCCTTAGTGTCCACAATAGCAACTAGCTGATTCACATATCTGGTAAACCAGTTTCTCCCAATATATATACTCAACTCTCCAAAGCAACAACAACATGTCTTTTTTTTTTTTTTTTTTTTTTTTTTTTGAGATGAAGTCTTCCTCTGTCACCCAGGCTGTAGTACAATGGCACAATCTCAGCTCACCGCAAACCTTCGCCTTCCAGGTTCTAGCAATTTTCCTGTGTCAGCCTCCCTGAGCAGCTGGGATTACAGGCACCCACCACCACGCCCGCCTAATTTTTGTATTTTTAGTAGAGACAGGGTTTCACCATATCGGCCACGCTGGTCTTGAACTCTTGACCTCATGTAATCTGCCCACCTCGGCCTCCCAAAGTGTTGGGATTGCAGGCGTGAGCCACTGCGCCTGGCCAACACTGCAAATTTACCTAGAATCTCAGCATCAAAGACCCTTCCATTCACTGTACAACCCATGGGTCTTCATCCTTTCAAATGGAAATTCCTTGTTTTTAAGAGCAGGAAGGAGCTTCATAAATAGCCCCATCTGCTTATCTTACAAAAGATAAAAACTGATGACAAGAGTAGACGAATGACTTACAGAAGGTTAAATTTAGTGACAGGCTGTGTCTACTCAAATTCACTGATATTTGATCATAGAATTTTTCTCCAAGTTCCATGTGAAAATTCGAAGACCCTAATGGTGGTTTTATGAGGGTCTCTTTTTGTTGGAAAATGTTATAAACTCCTCCTCATCCTTCAGAGTCAGATTAAATATTTCCTTTGTGAAAAGTTCCCCGAGTTTTCATCTGATCTAGGTGAGTTAATCCCTTCTTTTTCTGTTCACTTAGAGTACTTTGTGTAATTCTGTTATACCATTTTATTCATTCATTCATTCATTCATTCCTTTATTTATTTATTTATTTATTTGTGTATGCATTTCCAAAGCATATCACATTTTACTGGAGTTTGTTATTTAATTGTCTTTCTCCTTTTTGTTTTGTTTGTTTATTTGTTTGTTTTTTTGGTTAGGGGGACAGGGTCTTTCTCTGTCGCCCGGACTGAGTACAGTGGTGTGTTTGTTGCTCACTGCAACCTCTGCCTCCCGGGCTAAAGTGATCCTCCTACCTCAGCATCCCAAGTACCTGGAACTACCAGTGTGTGCCACCACACCCAGCTAATTTTTTGTATTATAGTAGAGATGGGGTTTTGCCATGTTGGCCAGGCTGGTCTCAAACTCCCGGGCTCAAGCAATCAGTCTGCCTCAGACTCCCAAAGTGCTGAGATTATAGGTGTGAGCCATCATGCCCGGCCTCCTTTTTGAATCTGAGAGCTGCCCGAAGTCAGGAACCACAAGAGGTTCATCTATGTGTCTTGCACAGTGGTTATTAGGGAAAGAAAGTGAGAGAAGGAGGGGAGGGAAGGAAGGGAGAAAGAACGTAGGAAAGGGGAAGGAATAGAGAAGAAAGAAAGAGAATTGAAGAGATGGTATGAACATCTGTTGTTTGTTCACACTAAGCACTAGCATTCCTTCCTCTGTCTCTAACATCCCTATTTTCATCGGGGAAATCAGCCCTCCCTACTCCCAGCCCATGTAACTCATGTGGTGCTGACCCCTCACAGGGCTCAAATATTTTAGCATCTGTGGACAGTCTGGAAACATTCCCCAGGTTGGATATCATTTCTCATTGAGCAGAGAATGAGACACTTTGCAGTTGAGAACCCAGAAAATGATTTGATGTAATCCACATGTGGATCTCAGAAACGTGTCCCTTTCTGTACTTACATTCGAGAATAGGCCTTGTGTGTGTTTAGGGTGAGACTACTCAGAAAGGTAAAGAATTTGGTGTACCAGGCCAGACATGGCAGAGATGAACTGGGATCATCCCCCTCTGAAAAATTTTTTCACACCTGCTGACTATTGTAGATGGTAATAGCTAAAATTTATTGACCCTCATGTGTGCTAAGAGTTTTGGATGCTGTGATGGACCTACTTCAGCATCCTTCCTGTAAATTTTCTTCCTCTTTCTGGTAGCAAATAACCCCTGAGTTTTATCTGGGCTCTGGCCTCCTAGAATAAAGCTTGTGTGTCTTGGAGACACAGGCAGCCATCTCTCTACGTTCCAACCAATGAAATATGAGCAGAAGTGTCTTGTGTAACTTACAGAGTGTATCCTTAAAGAAAAGGGCTATATCCTGATTCTCCTTACCTCATCTTCATTTATTCTGCTGCTTGGAATTCAGAGATACTGCCAAGGCATCCTTGCCGATGAAAATGAAAACAACAGGCTCAGGATGGCAGAGCAACAGCAAGAAGGATCCTGGATCACTGAATGACCCCATGCAGCAGACAGGCCCTCCCGGCCTGGACTGCTAGCCTTTAGATGAACTGCTAGTCCATCTTCTTTGTGTTTAAGTCATAATTATCCTGTGCTTCTGATACACACAG
Organism: Homo sapiens; assembly: GCF_000001405.40. Classification (NCBI taxonomy): domain Eukaryota; kingdom Metazoa; phylum Chordata; class Mammalia; order Primates; family Hominidae; genus Homo; species Homo sapiens. The sequence continues at coordinate 13,411,439 of NC_000016.10, read as the reverse complement.
GTGAACAAATTAACATGTATTATTGCATATGGCCATTGCTACAACTGTTGAAGAGAAGTTAAAGAAGAGAAGTTCATTACTCTGCCCAGGACCACACACCTGGATAGTGGCAGAGCTTCTTGCAGAGTCTAGTTTTGATTCACACAAAATTTGGGCTCCTAATCATCATGCTCAACTGCCATTCCCATTTTTTCTTTTATGTAGTGCTGTCTAGCTTTCAAAGTGTTCCACTATTCATTATCTCACTTAAGGAGGAAGGAAACATCGTTGTCCTTACCAGCCACATCAAGTTAGGAGATTGGCTAAAATCATCCAGTGAATCAGGGACGGATATGGGATGAAAACCCATGTATCTAGACTTTCAAATCTTGCCCTTTTCATTCAATTCCATTAGTATGAATCACCTAGAAGAACTCTGGTACCTATACCCAGTACTCTACCAGCTTCTCCTAATATTTTTTTAACACTCCAAGCAACTCATTCTGGTTTTAGATTTAATGATATTAATGACAATTGCTTCTTTTGAATTAAGGTGTATTTGACAGAAAAAAAATTGTCAGTTACATACAAATCAGGCTATGGTCAATTTCCGTCTCCCTCCCACAGATAGTATCCTTTTCACTAGGTGTATTCATAATTTTTATCAGTGAAAGGGAATTTACTTTAAACACCAGCTCTTTGAGCAAACAAGTGATCTAATTCAGGCACAACCTGACAGGCTTTGTTTATTGAGATCTCCCAATGTTATATAATTCTTATAATCAATTTAGCGTCCTTGAAAGAGCCAACTTAGCTCTCCAGTGTTAAAGTTTCTGGCAAACACTTTTTTTTTGTTTTTGGCATATTTTCGAAACTGTAGGTTCTAATTCTGTGTTCCAGTTAATTAGCACCGTCTTTAATTTTAGACAACCCATATCTGTTAAGCCACCCAAAATGACATCTTTGTTTCCAAAGGTGGCTGTTTGTTGTGCCAGAAGGTGCTTAGCTGCTGAAATAAATACATGACGTATCATTTATGAAAAGAACTGTTGCCTCATTGGGCAGATGTCTCTTGGTGATGGTGACTAAATATAACACGCCGATTTTAGGGCAAAGATGCCTGTAAATTTAAAGCATAATAATAAAACTATTGATTGGAAAGATGTCACTTTGATGTCCTCATCACTGCAATTATAGAGATATTCAACATTTTCAGGCATGAGAATGTTTAACTCCTCAAGACTAAAGACCTATCCTGAACAAATTTCATACTAAAAATCAACTTCAAAGCTTTGTTCACCCAGAATAGAAAACTGTGGGTCAAAGACTTGTTTCACTGCTTTGCTTGCAGCAATGAAAACATATTCAGGAGAAAAAAGGAAAGTTCTATGGGAGATCCCATCTTCCATGCTACTAATACTACTAAAAATATAATCATTGCCACCATATTTCAAGGCTTGTTATATGCGGGACACTGCGCTAAGCAGTTTACTTACATTATGTATTCATCCCATTCTCACAACATGCCTATGATCAGAGAAGATGTATTTACTGCAAAGTTTAAGTTTTGGGGCCCCTTCAGGTAAACAAACCCTTTCTGAAGCCCTAGCAAGGTGTTTACATGTTCGCATATTTTTTGAAAGTTTGCAAAAGTAAAATATCTTAACTGCAATGGTATATGGCTGCTAATTCTTTCCACCTGAACTTCTCTCTTGTTACACATTCCCTCCTGATAGTTGGTGCTGCAGAGGCTGGGGGCATTTTGAGATCCAGCTAAGACAATACATTAGGAATAGGGTTGGTGAGATAAGTTTATGTGATTCTCAATTATTTCCATGTATAGTTAAGTCACTATAAGCTGCCCTTGTGTAGCTGAGACTGGAGAGTTCCCTGATCCCCATCACAGGATGTGTGACAGGGGCGTGGGGTCACCACCACTGCTCAAATCCGTTACAGGAGGTGGAGCATGCAGAGGGACAGGTGCAGGAGCCCAAGTGGGCAAGTGTTACACTGGGCTCTTTTAGCCTTGCTGTCTGCAGATGGCTTAAGTGTTAACCAGCTCAGTGGACCCTCCACCTTTCTGCAAGGACAGAGGGCCAGTGTGATAGCTTTCTGTACCCCAAGCTCTTGTCCAGTGTCCTGGAAAAATTGGGTCACACAAAGACTTGAAGGATGAATGCAGGGGTTTTACTGAGTGGTGGAAGTGGCTGTCAGCGGAATGGATGGGGAACTGGAAGGGGGATGGAGTGGGAAGATGATCTTCCCCTGGAGTTTGGCCATCTAGCGGCCGAACTCCTCTCCGACTACCCCCAGCCAAACTCCTCTCAGTGTTCAGATATTCCTTCTCTTCGTCTTTTCCTGTCATACCATTCTACCACTTGTCTGCTTGTCTCCTCATCTGGTCATCTCCTGCTTCCGGAGCCTGGGGTTCAGGGTTTATACGGGTACAGGATAGTGGGGTGTGGCAGGCCAAAAGACAACTTTTTGGACATGAAAACAAGAATACCTGTTCTCTCTTAAGGCCATGGGTATCCAGGCTTGAGGGTGGGGCCTTTGCCGGGAAACGGCCCTCTTCTACCCAGTATTTCCCTGTCTCCTGTCTGTATTACAGGGATGACTTCTAGGAATACTTCTGCCACCACTCTGCTTACTCACTTGGTATCTTGATATCAACAGCAGGACTGGGGGTGGTATTGCAATGGGAACTGTAGAAATGTACGTACAGAGGAGAAAACAGGTTTGAAATGTATGAAGGCAAAAGTTAGGCTGTGTGTGGGAAATTCTTCTAAAGTATACAACTCATATATGAAACAAGCTCATTAGAGCTTTTCCTAAGTTTGATGGCAATCATAAAAATTTATACAGCATTAACAACAATGAATTGTGAAGCTGAGAGAAAGTTTTCTGAGTCATTGATAATAATATTAAATTTTTATCAGTTATGCTAGAAAAAATTATTTTTTATTCTCTCTATAGAAATAATACTACAAAATTATTGTCATATGAAGACAGACCATCCTGCCTGAATAAAAAGGATAAGGTGTTTATTTTATTAGTCAATTATTAATAAAAACTGGTATTTAAAAATGCTTTATGATGTTTGGCATTTATCAGCTTTTAATATTTGTAACCTGCTGTGGCTTTCTTTCCTTTTTATTCTAAGTAAATATTCATTTTTATATCAACTTTTATATTTTAATTTTGTGTTCTTTTACTTAAAAAGTGTCTACAACATAATATAACCTTCATACCCCACAAGTGTGTAAAAATGGCTTAAACAATAGAGATTTTTCTTCCTCATATAAGACTTCTATCTAGAGATGTCTTAGGTAGACATCTAAGAAACCCTAAAGAGCTTCTGCTAAAGAGCTTCTGCACAGCAAAAGAAATTATCAACAGAGTAAAGAGACAACCTACAGAATGGGAAAAATCACAGAGAAGCCATCCAGAACCCTGACCATGTGCACATGTTGAGTTAACTCTCTCATATAATAAGACATCTATCTCTAGATCTGTAAGACATCTAGATCTCTACATGGCTTCTCTGTGGTTTTCTTTGCTTTCTCCTCATGGTTGTAAGAAGGTTGCTGTAGCACCAAACATCACTGAATTACACAATAATATCTACAATTATGAAGAAAGTAAGATGTGCTTCCTCTTCTCAAGTTTCTTTTTTTCATCAGGGAGGAAAACCTCCCCTCCACGGTCCCTTTAAATCTCTAGTTCAGAAATGGTCATATGGCCTAACCTAAAGCAGTTGTTGATAAATGGGTAGAGGATTATTATGATCAATGTAGCAATACAAATTCATCCCCTTAGACAGGACACATTACCCTGAATATCTGAATGAAACACTCTACTGTCAAAAAAGAAGGAATGGTTATTGGTTAGGAAACCAACAGTGTTCATGACAGCATCATTGCTATAAACTGAACACTTGTGTCCCCCTCAAAATAGATATGTTAAATCCTAATGGCCAGTGTGATGGTATTTGGAGGTGAGGCCTTTTGGGGTTATTAGGTCATGAGAATAGAGCCCCCATGAGTGAGATTACCGCCCTTAAAAAGAGGCCCTAAAGAGATCCCTTGCCTCTTCCACCACGTGAATGCACAAAGCATCCTTATAAGAAGCAGGAGAGAGACCAGCGCTGTCTCTCTCTGCCACATGAGGATACAGCCAGAGGGAAGCCATCTACAAATCAGGAAGCAGACCCACAACTGACCTTGAACCTGCCTGCACCTTGATCTAGGACTTCTTGGCCTCCAGAATGGTGAGAAATAAATTTCCATTGTTGATAAGCCACCCAGTCTATGGTAGCTTGTTGTGGTAGTTTGAATAGACTAGAGCAGCCCAAGTCATGGTCTTTTTTTTTTTTTTTTTTTTTTTTTTTGTGAGACAGAGTTTCACTCTTGTTGCCCAGGCTGGCATGCAATGGCACGATCTCAGCTCACTGCAACCTCTGCCTCCCAGATTCAAGCGATTCTTCTGCCTCAGCCTCCCAAGTAGCTGTGATTACAGACACGCGCCACCACACCCAGCTAATTTTGTATTTTTAGTAGAGATGGGGTTTCTCTATGTTGGTCAGGCTGGTCTAGAATTCCCGACCTCAGATGATCTGCCCGCCTCAGCCTCCCAAAGTGCTGGGATTACAGGCATGAGCCACCGCACCCGACCTGTGGTCTCCTTTTTGTACATGAACATGTGAAGGCTTAGTGATCTAAAATGATATACCCAAAGTCACACACCTAGAAAGTGATGAGGTCAGAAAATCCTAATGTGTTTGACTCCCAAACCCAACTAATGCCTTACACTATGTGACAGCCTTCCCAACCCGCAGGGTCGTGTTTCTGGTGCATACTCATAAGTTGTAGAAGTCTGAGGGCATAGTCAAGTGCTCTTGAAGAAGGAGTACAAGACAGTAGAAAGCGGAAGAGAATGTTCTACAGGAGCAGGTAAAAAGAGGATGCCCTGGACCTGAGTCTAGAGAGCACATTTCTTAGGGATTAACATTCTAGAGAGGACCCCAAAGTCATACTGAAAATGGGAATCTATTCCAGGTAGCCAGGCAAATAACATGAACCTGGGTTCAGAACCAAAAAAGGGGTTGAGAAGACAGGAAAGTTAAGAGTAACATTGGCACTGATTCTTGGTTAATTAAAGGATTTTAGAGACAGAGTGTGAGCTATCTGATTTTCTACAAAGCACTAACAAGATTATACTCACAAGCCTCCATAATGTCTTGGTTTCCTACTCTCTGCCTCTTCTTATTGTCCAAAGATGCTTGGAAAATGCACAACTTTTGGTGAATTTTTGCAAAAAGTCAAGGAGTGGCACATCTGGGCAGCTGTTAAAAAGACGCTGTTGGATGCAGAGTTTGCAAATACTTTCTCCCATTCTGTAGGTTGTCGTTTATTCTGTTGATTATTCCTTCTGCTGTGTAGAAAATTTCTTTTTCTTTAGTTTAATTAGGTTCCACTTGTCTATTTTTTGTTTTGTTGCAATTGCTTTTTTTTTTTTTTGTCATGATTTCTTTGCCAAGGCCTATATTCAATAGCAAAGACATGGAATCAATCTAGATGCCTATCAGTGTTATACCAGATAAAGAATATGTGGTATGTATACACCAAAGAATACTACACAGCCATAAAAAAGAATAAAATCATGTTCTTTGGAGCAACATGGATGAAGCTGGAGGCCATTATCCTAAGTGCATTAAAACAGGAACAGAAAACCAAATACCACATGTTCTTGCTTATAAGTAAGAGCAAAACATTAGGTACTCATGGACATAAAGCTGACACCAACAGACACTAGGGACTACTACAGTGAGAAGGAAGTGGACAAGGGCTGAAAAACTAACTCTTGGTTACTATGCTTAGTGCCTGGGTGATAGGATCAACTGTACCCAAAACCTCAGCATCATGCAATATACCTAGGTAATAAACCTGCGCATATCACCCCAAACCTAAAATAAATGTTGAAGAAACTAACAAACAAATGTCTTCCAGTTCTGGGGTTCCTTCTGTCAGAAAATCTCTTGCAGAGCGGCTGATTTCCAGGGAGCATCTTTCTATCTTCTGGGTGAGTGCACACTGCACAGAATGCTTTGGAAACACTTCCACATCTGATTTCCCAAGGCTGCCTCCTACCCTGTGGTCCCATGTAATTAAGGGCATGAAGGGGTCTGCTTCCTTTCACTAGGACTGGGTTTCTTTTGCACCATGAAAATAACATATTCGGAATTGACTAGAAGATTAAATCCAGATTTCATTGCAATTATTGACAAATGAACCAATTATAGGATAATAAAGATTTGTCTACTTTTGCTACACTATAGCCATCCCTATATTTTCTCTGAGGGGCAAGACCCTTTGCCCAATGTGTGTCTTCTCCATGACAGGGTAATTCCAGGTAACCACCATCCACCGTGGAAGCTGAAGGGACGCAGTGTCTTCCACCTGCCTTAGGATAACTAGGAGGTAACGTTTGAATGGATTCAGAAGTCCCAGGCATCACATCTATGACTGTGTCCAGAGGGACAAGTAGACTATCTCTTTCAGGATGTCCCTCTTAAGAACATGGAAACCTACCTTAAAAGCCCCCTAGAAGATGCTCTCTCGTGTCTTAATGTCCATTGCTGGATCACATGTCCATTTCTAACTAGTTACTTATAACAGAAAAAGGCTTTAACATCATTGGCTTAGGCTGGCCACTTGAGATAGAATGGATGTTTGAGAGTCATCCCTAAAGACAATTACAGAATCTCTTTCAGTGATTTTCTATTTGTGTCAGGATATAAAATACCTAGCATAGCTCACAAGGATGCAGTCCCTATATCCCTACCCATCTCTGCAGCTTCATCTCATAACATGTCCTCCCTCCCATTCTCTGTGCTCTGGCCACCTGTAGCCTTCGTCCCATAAACTCACCATATACTTTCTACCACAGGGCCTTTGCATGTGCTGTATCTCTGCCTGGAATTACCTTCCCTTCTCTCTTGGCCTAGTTAACATCTACTTATCTTTTACCTCTTCACTCAGGCTTCCCTTCCTCAGAGATTTACTTCCCCGATGAGGACAAATTTCTCTAATATATGACTTCAAAGCATTGAAAACTTTCAAAATTCTCATTGTTTCATTTTCGTATTTCTTTTCATGCTTATTAGATTAACATGTAACTCCTCAACTAGACTGTAATCTCTGTGATAGCATAGAAGCTGTCTATTTTATTCCTACGCTCAGCAAAGTGCCTGGCTACATACAGATACCCTAGATACGTCATTGTTGTTATTGTTGAGTGAAGAAGGGAATTTTAGGTGGTGGGGGATCACATAATTAAAATAATAGAGAAATAACAAAATAATAGAGGAAAGTTCCTGACATGAGCTTAGGGTAAGCAGAGCCTGAGTTCGAATCACGATTCTACCATTTACAAGACGTGCCTTTTGGTTATTTGCTCTTGCCATATCTTGTGTTTTTAGAGAAGAAACATCAAACTCTGACTTGATAGGGTCACAGAAACATCAGAGGACCCACCCAAACATCAGAAGACCCACCATGTTTATTCCCCTTCCTTTCCAGGGGAGGAAACTGAGGCCAATGCAGGTAAAGTGACTTGCCCAAGAATCCATAGCCAGCTGGTACCAAAACGCTCATCTACAAAATTGCATTTGTCATTTCTCCATCCATCTTTTCAAGAGTGCCATTTCAGACCCTGAATTAGAAAGGCGTCACTCTGTCCTCAGATCCTTACACAACCTACTCAGAAGATGATTTAATGTTAATAATGTGTTTCCCTCCTTGTGGAGGCATAAGTGTGATGACTCTTTGCTGCACCCTCTAATACTGTGATTCAGTGCTGCTTTTGAATTACTATCTCCATTTCCAGCACTGTGTTTTGAAGGTGTCAAACCCAATAGAGATTAGGGATAACATTCCACATGGGATTAGCATGGTTGCTACTTGAAGTGCATTCTGCAGGGGATAGCTCCTCACTCCTGATCCTGCAGAGTCACTCATTCATCCAATCATCCATCCATTCATTCATTCCACAAAGATATACTGCATGCTAAAAATGCTGCTCTGAACTCAATTTATGACTACAATCAGGAATAAAAGAGCTATTTAAAAATTAGGTCCTAAAAGGCTGTTCAAATTTATTTCTAGTTTATTTCTGATCATGCAGCAGGGATCTGAGGAAATAGACATAGGGCAGGCAAGTGTTGATAATGGAATCAAGAAATCCTCATGGAACACTGTGGGTCCGTATTAGTCTTCTCAGTCATTTATGGTAAAATGCAACAAACTAGGTGACTTAAACAACAGAAATTTCTTTGGTTTTTTTTTTTTTGTGTTTTTGAGACGGAGTCTCACTCTGTCCCCCAGGCTGGAGTGCAGTGGCACGATCTCGGCTTACTGCAACCTCAAGTGATTCTCCTGCCTCAGCCTCCTGAGTAACCGGGACTACAGGCGCACGCCACCACACCTAGCTAATTTTTTGTACTTTTAGTAGAGACGGGGTTTGACTGTGTTAGCCAGGATGGTCTCAATCTCCTGACATTGTGACCTGCCCGCCTTGGCCTCCCAAAGTGCTGGAATGACTGGCGTGAGCCACTGCACCCAGCCCAGAAATTTATTTTGTAACAGTTCTGGAATGTGATGGTTAATTTGATACGTCAACTTGACTGTGCCAAGAAAAACCCAGATAGCTGGTAAAACATTATTCCTGGGTTCGTCTAGCGGGGTGTGATGGTGAAACCCCATCTCTACTAAAAATACAAAAAATAGCCGGGCGTGGCGGCCTGTGCCTGCAATCCCAGCTACTGGGGAGGCTGAGGCAGGAGAATTGCTTCAACCCGGGAGGTGGTTACAGTGAGCTGAGATTGTGCCTCTGCACTCTAGCCTGGGTGACAGAGTGAGACTCTGTCTCAAAAAAAAAAAAAAAAAAAAGACCACCCTCTCCAATGTAGGTGACATCATCCAATCCACGAAGGGCCCAAGTAGAACAAAAAAGCGGAGGAAGGGTGAATTCACTCTCTTCTGGCACAGAAATGTCCTTCTTGTCCTACCCTTGTGCATCAGAACTCTGAGTTGTTGAAACTTTGTACCCTTGGACTTACACCAGTGGCCTCCCCAGTTCTCAGGCCTTAGGTCTCAGACAGGGAAATTTACCATTGGCTCACCTGGTTCTCAAGCATTCGAACTCAGACTGAATTGCACTCCAAGGCTTCCTGGTTCTCCAACTTGCAGACAGCATGTTGTGGGACTTCTCAAACTCCATAATCACGTGAGCCAATTCCCATCATAAATTCCCTTTTCTATATCTATGTATATCCTATTGATTTCATTTCTCTGGAGAACACTGATTATATGGTTTGGCTGTGCCCACACCCAAATCTCATCTTGAATTGTAGCTCCTATAATCCCCACATGCCATGGGAGGAACCCGATGGGAGGTAATTGAGTAATGGGGGCAGGTTTTTCCCATGCTGTTCTCGTGATATGGGATGAGTCTCATGAGATCTGATGGTTTTATAAAGGGCAGTTCCCTGGCACAGGCTCTCTTGCCTGCCACCTTTGCTTCTCCTGGCCCTCTGCCATGATTATGAGGCCTCCCCAGCCATGCGGGACGGTGAGTCCATTAAACCTCTTTTTCTTTATATATTACCCAGTCTCAGGCATTTCTCCATAGCAGTATGAAAACATACTAATACACCTGACTAATATATAGAGGCTGGGAATTCCAAGATCCAGATGCCAGACAATTTGGTCACTGGTAAGGTCCCTCTTCCTGTCTTGTAGATGGCCTCCCTCTAGCTAAGTCCTCATACGGGGGGAATAGAAAGCTGTAGTGTCTCTTTCTCTTCTTATAAGGGCACCAACCCTAAAGGATTAGGGCCCCATGCTTATGACTTGTTTAATCTTTATCACTTCCTCACAGACCATATGTTCAAATACAGTCCCACTGGGGGGTTAGGCCTTCACTATGCAAACACTGGGGGAACACAGACATTTAGCCCATAGCAGGGTCTTTCTAGAGAATGAAAGTAATATGCGTGGGCCTTGCTCAGCCTCAGTTCTATCATAGTGGGAAGGGCGTGGCTCTGGAGTCAGACTGGCAGTTTAAATCCTGGCTCCTCCAGTGTGCCTGGATGTGTGGCTTCAGGGAAGTTCCTTAGCTTATCTGTGCCTTGGCTTTCTCATCTGTAAAAATAAGGCTGAATAACTGTACCTAACTGAAAAGGTTGTCACAAAAATCAAAGAAGTGAATGGAGGTAAAGAGCTTTGAAGAGTTTCTGGCACATAGGCACTCAACAAATTCTATTTAATCCTTGGGAGATTCTGTGGGATGGTCATCTCACTCTCACAACTTATAGCACTTTCCCAAGGTGGGATCAGAGTCTGTGGGTGGGCTTGGAAAAATGCATTCCAGCACACTCCCTAAGGGCCCAGGATGCATGCTTAAGCTGGAGAATCACCAGCTCACCTGCTAGGAGAGGTTGTTTAGATTTGTCTGGAGCAATTTCATTCATAATGCCAGGGTTCACCCATGCTTTCTTTATTTGGTTCTCAAAGTTTCTTTCTTCCATGGAGTTGAAAGAAGTTAGTGTCCATAAGGAAGAAGCTTCCTCCCTGCTCTGTGCAGCTGACATTTAGGGCCTCCTAAGCTGTGTCCTGCAGCACCTGGCTTATTGGGGGTCAATGTGATCCAACAACTGGTTGTCCGCATAAACTAGAAGCAGACAGACTGATTTGTTCAGACATGGAGTCAGGGTTATTGGAATGAATCATCCACTTGTCCTCTGATCGAGACAACATTGTGGGGACCCTGGCAGCAACTGTCTTCCTGATTTGATATGATGTCACTGGGAAGGTAAGGGGAGCTGTGGCTGAAGCCCTCCTGTTAGACATGGTGGGCATTGTCTGGACGTGGCTTACAGGATGACACTTGGTCTTCTGCAAAAAACAGTGATTTTATGGTAAGACGATTTGGCCTTGAAAGAAACCTTTGGGAAGCAGACCCAGAGGTAAAGATTCAGATGCAAAGAGTTTACTTGCTAAGTAGTTCTAGGAAATATGTGTGTGTGTGTGTGTGTGTTGGAACAGAGGGAAGAGAGACAGGGAAGAGAATAAAGTAAATTAGCAGGGTGCTATCAAGAAAGTTACTAATGCCAGTAGCTGGGCCTTCATTTTCTGGGTCACACTGGGAGCCTGTCTAGAACGCATGCCTCAGAATGGTTCTACCGGAGAGGCAAGAGAAATGGGACATTTATTCCCCAGTTTCCTGTCCACTGTGGGTTGAAGGTTGCTCTAGGAAGCATTTAATCTCCAGTATTTCTAACCTGCTTCACGTGAGGGCCAACAATGTTTCCATGGACTGTAAAAGTAATAAGTACTCACAGTTAAAGCTTTTACTTGTAGAGATGAGTTCTGAGATGGATAGGCAGGGTACTGAGAGCACCTGATACGCTTGAAAGCATTGGCAAAATGGCAACCCCTGTGCTAGGCACCTTCCAGGTGTAAACATCATAACAGCCAAAATGGACTGAGCATTTACTGTTCCCACTACAAGTATCTTCTACATTCATGCTACTCAGAATGTGGTCCATGGGACAGCAAAATTGCATCACCTGGAAGCTTATGAGAAATGCAGATTCTCAGGACCCACTCCAGACCTACTGAATCAGAAACTGAATTGTAACCAGATCCCCAGGCAAGTCAGATACACGCAGGCACCCTTCTCATTTCTGTGCTGGAAGACCATAGCCACATTTAGCTGGCCTGGGATAAGCAGCGGTGAAGAAGCAGGAGCTTCCTGTGCCCAATGAAATGCAAGAAAGCCACGGACCCATGGAAAGAACAGAAAGCAATAGTGCCAGGAGCAATGTGGCAGCATGGCTAGAAGGGGTGACGAGAACATGAGTGGACCGGTCTTGAAGCACAGGAGAAGCATCCCTGGGGACTCACAAAAATAACTGAGAGAGATCTTGGGGGACAGTAAGTTCATGTAGTTCTGTGGTAGAACAAAGAACCACTACAATTTAAGTGTTGTGTTAATTTGGCTCCATTTGTGGTTAAATCAGGTAAAACCTTGGCCATTTATTTAGCTTGAATATATGGTTTGTTTCAGGACTAAACTGTGAACACTTAGAAGGAAGGACCCAGGTCTTACATAATTTTGTCTTTCTAGCTTCTTTTTTTTTTTTAATTGAGATGGGGTCTCACTCTATCATTCAGGCTGGAGTGCAGTGGTGTGACCTCAGCCCACTGCATCTGCCTCCTGGGTTTAAGTCATCCTCCCACCTCAGTGTCCCAAGTAGCTGGGACCACAGGTACGCACCACCAAGCCTGGCTAATTTTTTGTATTTTTGGTGGACACAGGGTTTCAAGATATTGCCAGGCTGGTCCCAAACTCCTGAGCTCAGGCATTCCCCTGCCTCAGCCTCCTAAAGTGTTGAGATTACAGGTGTGAACCACCACGCCCTATCTGTATTTCTAGGTTCTAATGCGTATAACTGGCACTCAATTGATATTTGCTGAATGACCCAATGAACTCCATTCATTAATTCATTCATGATTCATTTAACAAATAATTGATGATTGTTTTAGTCCAGGTACTGTGTTAGAGTTGAGTTAAGATTGGTGAATAAGGCCGGGAGTGGTGGCTTACACCTGTAATCCTAGCATTTTGGGAGGCAAAGGCGTGTGGATCACCTGAGGTCAGGAGTTCAAGACCAGCCTGGCCAATGTGGTGAAACTCTGTCTCTACTAAAAATACAAAAAATTAGCCGGACGTGGTGGCAGGTGCTTGTAATTCCAGCTACTCAGGAGGCTAAGGCAGGAGAATCGCTCGAACCGGAGGTGGGGTGGGGGGCGGAGGTTGCAGTGAGCCAAGATCATGCCACTTCACTCTAGCCTGGGCTAAAGAGCAAGAATCTGTGTCAAAAAAAAAAAAAAAATGGTGAATAAACCACATTGGTAGCTACCCTTGTGAAGCATGAGATCAAGTGGAAGACGAATAAGTAAATAAACAAATTCCTATATACAGCTGACCCTTGAACAACATCGGGGGTTAGGAGTATCAACTCCCTGTGCAGTCAAAATTGGCTCCCCAAAAACTTAAAAACTAACAGCTTACTGATACAGAAGGGGGACCGGGAAGTGCTGGGAAGGGAAGGGTGTGGTCCTTGGCCAGGGCTCCACCCCCGGGTTTGTGCCCACAGACAAGGTGAGGATGGGTATTTCTGTTTTCCTGCCCAAATGTTGCATTTCCCAAGAACACCCTGGGCCACCACGCCCCCATCCTGTGAATATAAAAACCCAAGACCCTAGTAGGCAGAGACACAAGCGGCTGGACTAGTCTAGGGGAACACATCTGCAAAAGAGCACACCGACAGATGCCACAGCAGGTCATCGACTGTCGGATCCTCCTGGAGTTTGGCCAGGGCAGTCAGAGGAGCACATGGGCTGCTAAGAGGCCTGACTCCAGGGAAAAACCACCTTCCCACTCCATCTCCCTTCTGGCTCCCCGCTCTGCTGAGAGCTACTTCCACTCAATTAAACCTTGCACTCATTCTCCAAGCCTATATGTCCTCCCATTCTTCCGGTACACCAAGGCAAGAAACCCTGGGATACAGAAAGCCCTCTGTCTTTGTGATAAAGCAGGGGTCTAATTGAGCTGGTTAACACAATCTGCCTGTGGATGGCTAAACTAGAAGAGCACACTGTGGCCGGGCACAGTGGCTCATGCCTGTAATCCCAGCACTTTGGGAGGCCAAGGTGGGCAGATCATGAGTTCAAGAGATCAAGACCATCCTGGCCAACATGGTGAAACCTCGTCTCTACTAAAAAACACAAAAATTAGCCAGGTGTGGTGGCGTGCACCTGTAATTCCAGTTACTCAGGAGGCTGAGGCAGGAGAATCGCTTGAACCCAGGAGGTGAAGATTGCAGTAAGCCAAGATTGCACTACTGTACTGCACCCCAGCGGGGCGGGCAGCAGAGCGAGACTCTGCCTAAAAACAAACTAACAAACAAACAAACAAACCAAAAACACTGTAACACATGCCCACTTGGGCTTCAGGAGCTGTAAACATTCACACCTAGACACTGTGGGTCACAGCCCCACAGCGGACCTGTCTGCATGCTCCCCCTAGGGGTTTCAGCAGCAGGGCACCAAAGAAGCGAGCCACACCCCCATTACAAGCCCTGCCAGGGGGATAAGGGAACTTTTCCCATTTCACTACTATTAATTAGCAGACTTACTGATTACGTAGACAGTCGATTAACACATATGTTTTATGTTATATGCATTATATACTGTATTCTTACAGTTAATTTAAGCTGGAGAAAATAAAATGTTATTAGGAAAATCATAAGGAAGAGTAAATACATTTACTGTTTAATAAGTGGAAGTGGATCATCATAAAGGTCTTCGTCCTCATTGTCTTCATGTTGAGGAGTATAAGCAGGAGGAGGAGGAGTTGGTCTCACTGTCTCAGGGGTGGCAGGGGTGGAAGAAAATCCACATATATGTGGATCTGTGCAGTTTAAACTCATGCTGTTCAAGGGTCAGCTGTAATTGCAAATTATGAAAAGTAGTATAAATGGTGTGCAGTGATGGGGACTCATGGGGAGGGAGGGTGCCCCCAGACACCCTTTCAGGAAAGACTCCTTGAGGACTGATGTTTACATCAAGAAGTGAAGAATGAGAAGGATGGAGTCACAAGAAAGGGAAGAGCCTTTCAAACAAGCATCCCAGTACGTGCAAAAGCCCTGAAGCAAGAATTCATGGTGTGCTTACATGATTAATAAGGAATACAATCCACATGCCAGATTTCTGCTCACTGAACAACCACTCTATTTAGGCAACAGAAACCTGAAAGAGGATTTGGGTCTAGTCTGTCTGAGAGAAACCAGGTTATGCCATGAGCCCTTAATATTGATTTCTGGTTGAGGGTCGGGGAGTTGGCTAGTGGAGGACACTGTCTCACCATGGCATAATCTCAGTTCACTGCAACCTCCACCTCCTGAGTTCAAGTGATTCTCGTGCCTCAGCCTCCTCAGTAGCTGGAATTACAAGTGCACACCACCCTGCCCAGTTAATTTGTGTATTTTTAGTAGAGATGGGGTTTCGCCATGTTGGCCAGGCTGGTCTCAAACTCCTGACCTCAAGTGATCCGCCGGCCTCGGCCTCCCAAAATGCTGGGATTACAGGCGTGAGCCATTGCATCCGGCCGATTGATTTAGTTTGTGTTTCTATTAAGAGGAGACTCATCCATTTGGAAGATTCAGGTACTGTAGAGTTTGAGATTCTATGCAATGTTAGTATCTGAGGCCTCAACATAAAATCACATCTTATAAACGCTTCTAATTCATTACATCTTCCCCCTCTCTTGATCACAGAAGATGAAAAGTATGAGTCATACGACTTAGAATGTGTCATAGTGTTACATTTCAGGGCCGTGTTTCAAATAAAAAGAGATTAATTTTTTTTCTGAATATAATGAAAAAGATCTAGCTCTGCTCCTACCTTTGAAGTGACCCTGAACACGTTACCTAAACTCCCCAAACCTGGTTCTTCCTCTTTGAAACAGCTGTAGTGATACCCACTCTGCACAGATCACATGGCGTTTATGAGAACTGGTTCCATTTAGTTCAATAAGTGCATATCAAGCACCTAAAAGTCAAGCACTCATTTGACAAATATTTATCGACTCCCTCGCTACAATGTTCCAAGAACTGTCTTAGGTTCTGGAGGCACAACAATAAGCAAGACAGAAACAGCCCACCTTGCAAGAGCTTATGGTCTACCAGGAAAGACAGAACATTAAAGTATAATAGACATACATTTAAAAGCTAAATGAGATGATATAAGAAATAGCAATGCCATTTATGTGTGTAGACCTAGTTAAGTTCCATTGCCAGCCTGGCATCTCTGCATGTCAAGCCATTCAGTCTCAGACACTATTAGGGCTCAGTCCCTTAATGTCGGACTTTGCAGAAAGGAAACCTCAATTTCAGCCATATGAGACCTTGAGCAGAGGACTTATGCTGTGCATAGACTCTTGCCCTATGGGCTATCATGAGATAATAAGTTGGTGCTGTTTTAAGTCATTAGATTGGCAACCTTTCTTTGGTCTACCCCAGTTTCTGTTGAGCACTGTATAGTCCAAGTCTGCACGGTTCCTGAAGTTCATTTGAGCTGTTGTTTCCATGACATGTGGCAACAGGCATTCTTGATACCCAAGAGCCCAGAAATTGGGACTCAGCTCCTCGAAGGTGCACCAGCCCTCCAAATTCTTATGGCGAGCACAGGTCTGCATATTCATGAAACCTGCCAACCTCTGTCCACACTCATTCTGGAGGAACATTTCATAGCCAGACTGCAAAGCCACATTCTTCCTCATCATTCCCCTTCTGGGATTTCACTAGAATTTCTTAGGATTTCATAAGATAAACCAACCCCCTACACATGCACACACACAAACAGCCACACACACACACACACACACACACACACACACACACACACCCCAGATACTGCTTTTGCTTTAAAATGACAGTGGCAGAGGAAGGGAGGGGCCCTATGGACTCCTTGGGATTCGTTTGTGTGCAAGTGAGGGGCAGAGTATAAAAAGCAAAGCATTGCTGCCTCTCATTCGTCCTGATTCTTCTACAGCAATTAAATACAAATAAATATCTCAATATATTTCCCCCACCATATTAGCAGTGACACAATACTGTCCTAAGTGCTATGGTGTGGAAGAACACGGCACAAAGAGAGTACATTGCAGGGCCATTAGTGTTTCCTACTGTGCCTTAAGGAAGATTTACTGGTAGAAGTGACACTTAGACCGAGAGCTAGAGAGTGAGAACGAGAAAGCCAAGTCAAAGGATCCTGAGTAGGGCAGGGATGGAGGAAGAGAATGTGTTATTGGCTCAAAGCTGAGAGAGAACATAGAACATCTGAACTGAGTGTAGAATGGACAAAGAAGAGGGTGGGGGGTAGGAGATAAGACTGAGCAAATAGAAAGGTCCAGACCAGAAAAGGACATGAAAGCCCACCTAAAGAAATCACATTATTTCTTCATCAGTCAGCTTTGGCAGCAATAATTCTGCATAGCAAAGACCTCTCAAACTCACTGGCCTCTGTAAACAAGGACATTAACGCTGCTTATGGGTTTGTAGAGGGGCTGTATCTCTTCTGGGTTTAGCTGGAATCTGCTAGGTTTGAATCCAGGCTGGGCATTGGGACTGTCTCCTCATTCTCTCTGGACTAGTTTCTACGTGGGGTGTGTTTTTCTCATGGCAGATGGTAGAAATGCAAGAAGGTGAGTGGAAATGCGTAATGCTTCTTACAGCCTCAGCTGGGAACTGGCACATTGACAATCCCATTCAAGTTCCATCCGCCAAGGCAAGTCACATGGCTAACCCAGTGTCAATGGGGTGGGAAGGTCACGTTGCCCACAGTGGGACGTGACGTAGAGCACCGTGGCAAAGAGTGTGAGTGCATATTTCTAATTCAGGGAAAGAGGAAAGAATGGGAACAATGACCCAACTTGTCAGAGCATCCCAGGAATAATAGAAACCTATGCCAGGATTTCAAGGGGAGCTGTGAATAAAATGATCAGATTAGCAAAACACCATGCCAGTATGACACAGAGACAGCCAGCCACCTTCAAGCCTTCAAGGGTCCTAAGCAGTGTATCACTCCCTCCAGACTCTCAGTTACTCATGGTCATCAGAGTCCCAGAGCTGTACTACCTAAGCCAAGGCTCACACAGTCTTTTATAAACTTCTCCTCCATTCTCTAGCCAACGTCCCTGATAGGACTAACAACCTAATGAGCATAAGAGTCCTGTTGGCTTTGGGTTATTCAATTTAGATGGCTGACACAGTGCCCGTCTGCCATTCCCTCCTGCCCCAAATCCCTACAAATAACAGAAACAATAGTATTAAAAAGGAAACTTCTACAAAAATATCACTGAAAGCAAGAAGGGGGTGACATCAGTGGATCAGACACAATAAGAAATTCAGACAAAGTAGATGGGATCTGATCGAAAGAGGGAAAGTTGGTGAGACATTTGGGGAAAGGAATGGCCACACAATTTTGGGGGGCCCAGTGCAAAGTGAAAATGCTGGGCTCTTGTTCAAAAATTAAGAATTTCAAGATGGCAACACCAGAGAATTAAAATAGGAGTGGGCCCTGTGTGACTGCACAGGTCACACACCCGTGGAGCTGGCCCTGCTTGGGGTATTTCAATCCCCCAACAGTGGATACAGTGAGCACGAGGGTATCAGGAGCAAACATCTGTGTGATCAGTTTGAAGCAGGTTTGGAATGGGGCCAGCTGATTGGTTCAGGGCACACCTTCCCCCAGGCCTGAAAGCCTCCATTTGGTTCCCATCAGTGGGCAGAATTTGTTCTCCCATCCTGGGGCGTTGTATTAGTTTCCAAGGGCTGCTGTAACAAGGTACCACGACCTGTTTCGCTTAAAAGCCAGACATTTATCATCTCACAGCTCTGGAGGGCCAAAATCAAGGTGTCAACAAAATTGGTTTCTTCTAAGGCTGTGAGTAAGAGAATCCCTTCCAGGCCTCTGCCTTAGCTTCTCGTGCTTTGCAGGCAGTCTTTGGTGCTCCTTGGTTTATATTAATAGAAGCAGATGGTCTCTGCCTTTATCTTCACACAGTGTTCTCCGTGTGTGCATATTTCTGTGTACAAATTTCCCCATTTTATATGACACCAGTCATATCGCAGCCTCCACAGCAAATCGGTTTTATTTCTTTAACCTCTTAACGCAGTGGGTGTTGGGACTTTAGAGACCTAAGACCTATGCTTTGGAGTACATCATTGTGAGCCTAGGTTAATCAGAGGGACTGTTTGACCTCTAAGTGATCTGTAATGCCGCCACCTGCTGATTCCATGCTGTAGTCCCTGGGCTGTAAAATGGAGCCCCAACTGAATTCAGTAAAAGGTCTACATCCTTCAGTAGGTGAATCAATAAACTGTGGTACATCCAGACAATGAAACATGTTTTCTTTTTTAAATGTATATATTTAAGGTGTACAATATAATGTTTTAATATACATGTACATAATGGAATGCTTTCCACTTTTACCATGAAAAATAGATTGTTATCTAGAACTAAAAAGAAGGGAGCTGTCAAGTCATCACACTCCAGTAGGGCCTTATCTTAACTAATCACAGCTCCAAAGAGTCTATTTCCAAAACAATCACATTCTAAGGCACTGGGAGTTAAGACTTCAACATAAGAATATTAGGAAGACACAACTAATCCATAACAGGTGTATTTAGGATGTTCGAGGTACCTTTACTCCCAGGGGTGAAGATACCTTTCCTCCCAGGAAAAAACCAGGTAGGAAAGCTGCCCTGCTGCACACCTCAGCTGGCAACACGTTGTTCCTCACCTCCACAATCACTGGCAGCAGATGGCTATAAACAGATACCAGCAAACCGGGACCATCAGACACTCGGGGCAAACCAAATGTCTGAGAATGAGGTAGTCACTTTTGAAGAATATCATTTGATTAAATCTGCATCATTCCAAACAGATGGACTTTTCATAGTCCTCTGACAGTCCCTGAATTGCCACCGTTATTACCCAACAGGTACAGTCATTTATTGAGCTACTTTACCTGCAGTCAGGTTACAGAGTTCAAAAACTTTGTTGCTTGGCTCCCAGGGTTATCCAAGATCAGAGGTCTGCAACCTTAGCTGCACAATGGAGTCACCTGGGGGCCTCCAAAAATATTGATTCCTGGATTCCACCCTTTAATTGATCTAGGGTGGAACCTGGACACTGAGATGTTTTTTAAGCTCTCAGGTGATCACAGTGCACTGCTAAGGTCTAGAACCACTGGCTTGGAACTCCCCCCGAACCCAGCCATCTGTGTAACTGTAATAATGCATATTGACTGCAGATGGCACGGCATAGATTCGTTGGGGACTGATTTTTGTTTGCTGCTTCCAAGTATAATACTTCAGTATCTCTTCTCTCTAACTCTGTAACACCAAGTGCCTTGTTTTCCCTTTCTTTAGCCTTTTTTCAGTTGTGAAGGAGCTAAATCTCTGCTGTACAGAGCTACAGTTTTGCTTACAAAGGCAAGACCTCAGATGGAAACTGAGGCCTACAGCAGCACAGTGAATTATACCAAGACTAAGTTAAGCAGATAATAGACTTATATTTAGTACAATTTAATGTAAGGAGCAATAATGTGGGCTATAGCATCTTTTTTCCAAGGGTTCATGTTGATCTCACTTACTCTATTCAGCAGGACACACTGCTTTATGGTTTCAGTGAATGTCACTCTATCTCTTGCCTTCTCTTCCTCTTACTGTCACTCTTATCAACTCTTTTCTACCCTCTCTTTAATTCTCATCCTCTTTCTCCACTCCTGTTCTCTCTCATGTTGTCTCCCCTTTTCTTTACTCTTTTCTCCTCAATATTCTTGCTTTCACAGATTGCCATGGTTGGAATGGAGATTCAGCAGCCAAAGTGTTACGAAAATCAAGATATGCCACATGCATACCCTGCAGTTGCCTGAGATATCTCAGACTGCCTCTTGTGAAAGATATGAGAAGACACACACAGCCAAGAGAAGTCACCTAAGTATTTCTTTTCATCAGCCCATGAAATCTTCTTTCTCCCAAAGCCTTTCTTTCCATTTTGTGGTGTCACCCAGCGTGCTGATCTCAGAAACTACCTGGAAAAGTGCTACACAAATGTGGGGAATCATAATAGTGAATGACTGTAACATGCTTGTTACAAGCCACATACCCTTCTAAGCATGTTGACAGATGAGACTGAAGAAAGAGGCAGGAGGTGATTTCAAGCCTAAGCTTGAAATCTTAAACGTGCTCTTAAACGTGACTTAGTGTTGAAAGCACTTCAGAAAAGGGCAGCAGCAGAGTGAGAAAGATCACAGGCGGAATAACAGAGAGACTGAAAGCAAAAAGCAGAGAGACAAAGTATAGAAACACAGAGGGACAAAGACAGCCAGCCACCCAGATGCAGAGAACCAGTGAGACAGAACTGGACCACAACACAACTGAGCCGAGATAGACAGGCCCAACAAACACACTTCATGTTGGATTGCAACTGGGTAAAACAATTGCATGTCTGAGGCCTAATTTAGATCAGAGATTAGATGAAATGCAGGTTTGGTTCTGGCGTGACTTAAGAATCTTCTGATGTCATGGTTCACTGGTTTTAGAAAATGCATGCTTGCTTCTGGTGCACCTGGTATCTTATAAAAAGAGAGAGAGAAAAAATCCCTTTTGGTTTTTGGCTCAGTTACAGAAAAAAAAAAAAAGGTTAGAAAAAACCCACATAGTATTTAAGTTCTATGTACTTCACACTTCAGCAAACCAAGGCAAAGCATTCTGATTTTCTTTTCAAGTCGTATATTTTGCACTTGTCAGTTGGGATCTTCAAAGACTCCTTTAAGCCAGGTGCCTAACCCAGTATTGTCCTTAGAAGTAAGTGGAAAAAAGAATGGAGAATGGAGAGCATTTCCAGGATTAGATCTTGCAAGAGCACCCATCCTACGCAAGAGTGCCAACCCTTTAGGGGCAGAAGGAATTCCTCAGTGATTATAGCCAGTGGAGATATTGCATTGTGATTTTCCAGGACAATCGCAGCCTCCACAGCAAATCAGTTTTATTTCTTTAACCTCTTAATGCAGTGGGTTTTGGGACTTTAGAGACCTAAGACCTATCCTTTGGAGTACATCATTGTGAGCCTAGGTTAATCAGAGGACCTGTTTGAGTTCCAAGTGATCTGGAATGCTGCCACCTGCTGATTCCATGCTATGATCCCTGGGCTGTAAAATGGAGCCCTAATTTAATTCAATAAAATATCTATATCCTTCAGTAGGTGAATCAATAAACTGTGGTACATCCAGACAATGAAATGTTTTCTTTTTTAAATGTATATATTTAAGATGTACAGCATAATATTTTGATACACATGTACATAGTGAACTGCTTTCCACTTTTACCATGAACAATAGATTACTATCTAGAACTAAAAAGAAATGAGTTATCAAGCCATAAAGAGACACGGCCCTTAAATGCATATGGCTAAGTGAAAGAAGCCAATCTGAAAAGGCTACACTCTGTATGATCCCAACTCAATGACAATTCTGGGAAAGGTAAAACTACAGAGAGGGTAAACAGCTCAGGGGTTGCCAGAGGATAGCAGGAGGGAGGGATGAATAAGTGGAGGACAGAGGATTTTTAGGGCAGTGAAGCTACTCTGTATGATACTATCATGGTAAATACACATCATTATACATTGGTCCAAACCCTCAGAATGTACAACACCAAAAGTGAACCCTGGACTTGGAATGCAGGGATGTGTCAATGTAGGTTCATCAATTGTAGCAGACGTGCCGCTCTGGTGGGGGATGTTAATGACAGGGGAGGCTATGCGTGTATAGGACAGAGGGTATATGGGAACTCTATACCTTCTACTCAGTTTTGCTCTGAGCCCCTAACTACTCCAAAAAATAATGTCTATAAAATTTTTTACAAAGGTTCTCTGTATTAAAGACTTGATCATCTCATTTGGAAGAATGCTACTAGACGTGGAAATTTCCTCCCCTCCACCTCTTTTCCATCTCCTCTAGAATGAGGTCCTTTCTTTTGTTCACATGAGGTTTTCCCTTCCATCTAAAACCATTGAGGATAGAACATCTACGATGTGCCAGATTTTTCAATTTTACAGACAAAAGAGACTTAGGCTCAGAAAGGCTACCAATAAGCCCTGAAAGCCAGAGAGTTAGCATATGATAGAACCAGGATTTTCAAACAAAAGACTGTCCAAATTCTGCTGGCCAGGCACAGTGGCTCATGTCTGTAATCCCAGCACTTTGGGAGGCCGAGATGGGTGGATCACTTGAGGTCAAGGTAGCCCGGCCAACATGGTGAAAACCTGTCTCTACTAAAAATACAAAAATTAGCTGGGCATGGTGGTGGATGCCTGTAGTCCCAGCTACTCAGGAAGCTGAGGCAGGAGAATTGCTTGAACTTGGGAGGTGGAGGTTGCAGTGAGCCGAGATTGAGCCACTGCACTCCAGCCCAGGCAACAGAGTGAGACTCTGTCTTAAAAAAAAAAAAAAAAAAATTCCCCAAATTCTGGGATTTCCCACTGCACTATTTCCCCCTTCTGAGAGTTTGCTAGAGGCATGAAAATCATTCCCATTCACGTTTCTATAGAATCCTATTTGACTCTTGGGATTGATCCTTCCTTTTTCTTCTGTTCCACATCTCAATCCACAGGATGAATAAGTGGAAGCCACCAGAACCTGGATTTCAACCTGCAGGAATTACCTTGTAGGATATAGAGCTCCCAGGATGGAATGGGCTGTCTCAGGTACTACTGACCTCCCCATGAGCATGGAAATACCAAGGCTTGTAGAAGAGGCTTCACGGCTCTCAGTATTCTAACACTGTCAGTGAAATTTCGTAGTGTGGAGATCCAGGAGATACATGTCTTTTTTTTTTCTAGGAGGGGATTTTCACCCTCCAAGAAAATTTCATAATTGAGTTTCACTCCAATGGTGGAGAACTACTGAGACTAAGGGTGTAACGGACCATAGTTAGCGAGTCATTTTCATCAGTGAAAATGCACCATAAAGAATAATGCAGGCCAGGTGTGGTGGCTCACGCCTGTAATCCCAGCACTTTGGGAGGCCGAGGCGGGCAGATCACCAGGTCAGGAGATCAAGACCATCCTGGCCAACATGGTGAAACATTGTCTCTACTAAAAATACAAAAATTAGCCAGGCGTGGTGGCACGTGCCTGTAATCCCAGCTACTTGGGAGTCTGAGACAGGAGAATCGTTTGAACCCAGGAGGCGAGGGTTGCAGTGAGCTGAGATGGCACCACTGCTCTCCAGCCTGGTGGCAGAGTGAGAGATTCCGTCTCAAGAAAAAAAAAAAAAAATCCTCTAGGGGAGGAAGCTTCCTTGTTCCTTTCAGCTTCCAGTAGCTGTAGGCATCACTCGGCTTGCAGCAACATGAATCCAGTCACTGCCCCCATTTTCATATGATGTTCTCCCTGTCTGTCTCTGAGTCCAAATTTCCCTCTTCTGATAAGAACACAAGTTATATTGGATGTCAGGTCCACCCTACTCTAGTATGACTTCATCTTAAATTGAATTCTGTTTACAACAATTCTATTTCCAAATGAGGTCACATTTGGAGGTACTAGGAATTAGGGCTCCAACATACATTTTTTGGGATACCACAGTTCAACCCATAACAAAGTAAGTCATGGTGCTGGTTGCAAATTCTATGTAAATGTACAGAAATGGATGAATTTTATAATATGTGAATTACACATCAATGATTTATTTTAAGTGGCAAGAAGATTCCTTAAATTATTGCTGGAGGGGAAGGCACAGAATCGTTTATAGATAGCACTGACTCTCAACATATCATCTGAAAGTGTTAAAGCCGTATTCAGTCAATTAGCTATTCTATTTCTCATATGTAGCCCAGAGAGACACGCATATGAATTTAGATAGTAAAACATTAGAAACAAACTAGATATCCATCAGTAGGGAAATGGTAAATAAATTTAAATATAACCATACCATGGAATACTATGCAGCAATTACAAAGTAATTAAACATTACAATAACAATTAAAATGAGACAGTTTGATATTTACTGACATGGAAAGGAATCTAAAACATATTGCTGCAGAAAGGAAAAAGCAAATAACAGACTGATATAGAAGCATAACATCGTTTGTATAAAACAAACAACAATCCACATCAAAGAAAATCATGCTACACGTTTTCAAAGATACGTGTATAATAAAAATAATATCGAGAATTTAGTACGTGCCAGACACACTTCTAAGAAACTGATATGTATTAATTTATTAGATTCTTGGAACAAGCTAAGTACTATTATTGGATCCTGTTTTATGAAGAGGAAGCTAGGCAGAGAAATTAAGTTACTCCCTCAAGGCTACTGAGTGGTGGAATCAGAATTTGAATCCAGACTTGTCTGAATTCAAAGGGCCATTTCTTCTCCCAGCATAGAACTCGCATTAAAGTAAGTGGACACTTCCAGGGTGAGGTGGAGGAGATCCTATGACTACAGATGGAAACCATTGGGATTTCAGCTTTTAATTTTTAACATCTGTAAGAAATAATACAGAAAGATCCTGTGCTCCCTTTATCCAGTTTCTCCTAATGATAACATTATGCAAAATTATAGTATAATATCATAATCAGGATATTGACATTAATATAATCTACTGATCTTCAGATTTCCCATTTTACTTGTACTCATTTGTGTGTGTCTATTTAGCTCTATGCACTTTTATTATGTGTAGGTTCATATATCCATGGGCACCGTCACAGTACAGAAGGGTTTCATTGCCACAGGATTCCTTATGGTGTCCTTTCTTACTCACACACACTTCCCTCTTGCCCTGTCCCTATCCTTAATCCCTAGCCACCACTCATCTAATTTTGTCATTTCAAGGATATTAGTGGAGTCATATTGTATGTGGCATTTTTGGATTGCCTTTTTTCACTCAGCATAATTCCTTTGAGATTCATCCAAGTTGTTATGTGTACCAGTAGTTTGTTCCTTTTCATTGCTGAGTAGTATTTCATGGTATGGATATACCACAGTTTGTTCCTTTTCTTTGCTGAGTACTATTTCATGGTATGGATATACCACAGTTTGTTCCTTTTCTTTGCTGAGTACTATTTCATGGTATGGATATACCACAGTTTGTTCCTTTTCTTTGCTGAGTACTATTTCATGGTATGGATATACCACAGTTTGTTCCTTTTCTTTGCTGAGTACTATTTCATGGTATGGCTATACCACAGTTTGTTCCTTTTCTTTGCTGAGTACTATTTCATGGTATGGATATACCACAGTTTGTTCCTTTTCTTTGCTGAGTACTATTTCATGGTATGGATATACCACAGTTTGTTCCTTTTCTTTGCTGAGTACTATTTCATGGTATGGATATACCACAGTTTGTTTAAGCATTTCCCCCTTGAAGGGCATCTAGATTGCTTCCGTTTGGGGCTACTATGAATAAAGCTGCTATAAGCATTCCTGTAAAGATTTTTGTGTGAATGTCCATTTCAATTTCTCTGGCAGATATGCCCAAGAATACAATTGCTGATTCTTGCAGGTTTAATTTTCTGTAAAAAACACCAAACTGTTTTCCAGAGTGGCTGTACCATTTTACATTCCCATCTGAAACTTATGAATTTATTAATGTCTGCATCCTTGCTAACATTTGGTGTTGCCACTACTTTTTATTTTAACGATTCTGATAGGCATGTAGTGATATCGCATTGTTATTTTAATTCACATTTCTCATCTTTACCTGTGCTTCTTTTTCATGCATATCTTCTTTGGTAAACTGTCTCTTCCTGTCTTTTGCTCATTTTCTGATTGAATTGTTTGCTTGTTTTTACTTTTGAGTTTGGAGCATTCTTTATGGATTACAGATACTACTTCTTTACCAGATAGTGGTTTTCAAATATTTTCTCCCAGTTTGGAGCTGGTCTTTGCATCCTCTTAATGGGGTCCTTCACAGAGAAGACATTTTTAATTTGGATGGATTTACCCTCAAACTTTTTATAAAAAGAATGAATTCATGCCAAATGTATTTAAATATTAATTTAAAAATCAAATCTTTGTGTTTGTGTCTAGCAGATCATGGCTGTTTGGGAAAAGGTTGGAATTGAACTTCTCTTCATTTTCCTTCACGGAAGAAAACGCTCTTGCCAGACATAACCTATGGACTTCTTGTCCTTAAAGCTTCAAGGTTGCTGTCTCCCCACCCTGAAAGATGTTTGCTGTAGCCTGAGGTCCAGAGTACCATTGCTTCCTGGCTCTTGGTAGAGAAAAATGGATACCATTGCTCTTCTTATATCCACAGTGGTATTGGAAACCTACCATAGCCAGATTCTCATGCCATATGCTGAATACTTCTACTTATTCCAATAACCATGGCCCCTGAAGTCCTCAAGGTAACAAAAGTTAAGACAGGGATCACCTGGCCAGAGAGAAGAGTTACCACAGCTATTTTATAAGATGCAAAATGGAGATTATTTCCTAGCATCTCACCACCCAACATTAACTGCCAACCTGACCATGGGGAATGGAGTGGAGAAACCATATCAGGAGAGCTTGAAATCTGCATTCATTGTCCTGGGTGGCCTCTAATCCCATGTAGTTCCTATCCTGAATTTTTCGAAACTTATTATTTGCCTATGAACAGAGAAGAATGAAATTTGCTAGACATTTCAATGCCTCTTGCCAAACTAAAAAAATCCTAAATGTATAAACCAGTTGAAAGGAGGCATAGTTTCTTCCTCTCTCCTAACGTTAACCATTTTTTCAAATAGGTATGTTCTAAAAAATAGCAAACACCTGCACCCTGTAAAAAAATCAAAGTCAAAATATTACATTTAAAGTATTAGGTTGGTGTTGGCCGGGCACGGTGGCTCACGTCTGTAATCCTAGCACTTTGGGAGGCCGAGGCAGGTGGATAACTTGAGCTCAGGAGTTTGAGACCAGCCTGGGAAACATGATAAATCCCCATCTCTACCTCTACCAACACACAAAAATCAGCCAGGCATAGTGGCTCGCGCCTATGGTCCCAGCTACTCGGAGCCCAAGGTGGGAAGATCGCTTGAGCCTGGGAGGTGGAGGTTGCAGTGAGCTGAGATCATGCCACTGCACTCCAGCCTGGGTGACAGAGCAAGACTCTGTCTCAAAATAAATAAATAAATAAATATTAGGTTGGTGCAAACATAATTGTGGCTGGTGCAATTACATTTGCACCAACTTAATATGCTCCTCTCAATGCCCTTTCCAGGTCCAATATTCAAAGGACATCACTATTGCCAGTTTCTTGTTCATCTTTTCGGAGATGTTCTACCTATGCACGCATATAAGCACTCATTTGTCTTTCTCTGTCTCTACCTTTCTCTCTCCATAAATGGCAGAATACTATTCTTCCCCCATATTTTTATTAAGGATATATGTTCAAGATCATTCCATATCAGATCTGCCTCATTCTTTTTTAAGTATCTGCATATTATTATCTTGTATTTTACACACACTCCTGCCTTGAGCCTTTGGCTCTTGCTGCTTCCTCTTCATGGAATGCAGCTTTCTCCATTCCCACGTCCTCCAGATCTTTGCTCCAGTCTTCCCTGATGAGAAAGGCCATCCTTAACCACTCTCGTAAAATAGCTGCCATCTCCCACCACCTTCTTTCTACTTTTAATTCATTTTTTTCTGTAGCATTTTGTATCGCTTGACCTATTTGTTTATTTATTGTTTCTCTCCACCCATGAGAATGTAAGTTCCATGAGGGTGATGACTTAGTTTTGTTTATTGCTTTATTTCCAAAGCCTAGAATAGTGCCTGACACGCAACGAACACTTAGTGACTGCTGATTGAAGAAGTTACATGGAGGTATCAATGACATGTGATCAGTAACATATTGCTTGATTCTTTTTCTTATCAAAAAAAGTGTTATAACAATTTTTTAAATTTACTTTGTTTGTTTGTTTGTTTTAAGACAGAGTCTCGCTCTATCACCCAGGCTGGAGTGCAGTGGCATGATCTCGGCTCACTGCAGCTTCTGCCTCCTGGGTTCAAGCAATTCTCCTGCCTCAGCCTCCCGAGTAGCTGGGATTACAGGCGCCTGCCACAACACCCGGCTAATTTTTTATTTTTGATACAGACAGGGTTTCACCATGTTGGTCAAGCTTGTCTCAAACTCCTGACCTCAAGTGATCCACTTGCCTCAGCCTCCCAAAGTCCTGGGATTACAGGTGGGATTACAGACGAAAGCCACCACGCCTGTTTTTTTTCTTTTCTTTCTTTTTTTTTTTTTTTTTTTGAGATGGAGTTTCACCCTTTTCATCCAGGCTTGAGTGCAGTGGCGCGATCTCGGCTCACTGCAACCTCCGCTTCCTGAGTTCAAGAAATTCTCCCCTGACCCAGGCTCCCAAGTGGCTGGGATTACAGGCATGCGTCACCACACCCAGCTATTTTTTGTATTTTTAGTAGAGACGGGGTTTTGCCATGTTGGCCAGGCTGGTCTCGAACTCCTGTCCTCAAGTGATCCACCCTCCTCAGCCTCCCAAAGTGCTGGGATTACAGGCATGAGCCACTGTGCCCAGTCATAATAAATATTCTTACTGCAATATATCTCTGTTTACACATGAGAAAATATCTGTAGGATAAATTCTTCATTGTAGAAATGCTAAATGAAAGCGTATTTTGACAAACAGTGTTAATTTTTACTCAGAGAGTTTGTATCAATACACTTCCAAAATTTAAAATACTGTTTACCCATACCGTCCCTGATTATATTATCAAACTTTAAAATTTTTTCAACCTAATGTGTTTAACATATCACATTTTAAGTATAATTCATATTTTTCTAATTTTGACTCAGATTGAGCATTTTTTCACTTGCATTTGTGTCTGGGAACACTCTCTTCATGTCATTTACCTATTTTAAAATTCATTTTTATTAACAAAATAATACACATAATTAGTTCTAAAGATTTTTAAATTATATTACAAATCTTCTGACAAAAAGCAACCTCCCATGTTCCCAACCTTCCCAAGTCCTGCTCCAGGCACAATAAAAATTTTACAACTTCTTGCTATTTCTTCTATACACTTAGTTAGGTTTATAGATAATATATTCATATGACTGCATATATTTCTTAATTTAGAAATTAGGTTTTTTTACAGTAAATGAGAATTTAGCGCTAAAAAAGGAAAAGCAGCAGGAATAGCACCACCAACACCACTTTGCTCCCCAACCCGTCCAATAAATTTACATCTCAAATATAGTTAAATGAACATTCCATGTTTACAATATAACTTGTTCATTAAATGACTCAGTACATTTAAGTGCACTATTGAGTCAAGGTGTATATTTTGACTATCTTTTCTTAGTTCTATAACTTTATGCTTTTCCTGGAGTTGAGAGTTGCCTCATTTTGAAATCTGTTTAGTTTCCTATGGATAAATTACTTCAGAGTCTCCACAGAACACTAGAAACCCTTTTAACACTTTTTCCCACAGACAAATACATTTGTTATTCTACTGGTTATTAGTTCCACTGCTTTGCTAGGAACCCTTTATTTCTATCTCTAATCTCTCCATCTTCCTTCTCTAATCTGGTTAGTTGCCCTCTAGGCCTACTTCCCAGCTGTCATCTAGGGGCTTCTCTTCAAAATGATTTCTGATTATTATCTTTGCCTCTTCTCTCTGCTTGAATCCCCTCTTTAGAAAACTTATTATTTCTATAGCAAAGACTTGGAACCAACCCAAATGTCCATCAATGATAGACTGCATTAAGAAAATGTGGCACATATACACCATGGAATACTATGCAGCCATAAAAAAGGATGAGTTCATGTCCTTTGCAGGGGCATGGATGAAGCTGGAAACCATCATTCTCAGCAAACTATCACAAGATCAGAAAACCAAACACTACATGTTCTCACTCATGCGGGAGTTGAACAATGAGAACACATGGACACAGGGAGGGGAACATCACACATGGAGGCCTGCTGGGGGGTGGGGGGCTAGGGGAGGGATAACATTAGGAGAAATACCTAATGAAAGTGAAGGGTTGATGGGTGCAGCAAACAACCAGGGCACATGTATACCTATGTAACAAAACTGTACATTCTGCAAATGTAACCCAGAACTTAAAGTATAATAATAATAATAAAATGCCAAGTTTTAAAAAAGAAAAGTTATTATTTCTGTCTTTTAGTTTACTCCTTCATTTTGGTGTAATAAATTGTGCAACAGCTTTCTGAAAACTTGCAAATTTGAAGAAAAAATCTAGGCTCCCCTTTATACTTGATCGATAGTTTGAATGAGGATAGAATTCTAATCTGGAAATTATTAGTAGTCAGAATTTTTAACTCACTGTTATAGTGTCTTCTAGTTTCTAACATTACTGTGGAAAAATCCAATGTCATACTGATTTCCAATGCTTTGTACATGATCTGCTGTTTCTCTCTTTTAAAGCATTGAAACATTTTCTCTTTCCCCCCTTCTTTTAAAATGTGATGATGATACATCCTGATTTGACTGCTTTTTTCACTTTTTTGTTCTCAGCACTGGGTTAGAAAGGACATCTTTTGATACGAAAAATAATATTTTTCAAACCCGGAATTTTTTCTTTTATTTTTTCTTTGATAATTTTCTTTCCTCTGTAATCCCTCTTCTATTTTTTTTTGAGGATTCTGAAAATACTGGACATCTTGAACTGATGCTCAAATTAAACATATGTATGTATCTCTGTGTTCTGTATCTTCGTCTTTCGGTTCTACTTCCTCTGAGATGTTCTTAATTTTATCTTCCAACTCTTATGCTTATTTAATTCTTTAAAATAATTGTTATCTTTTTAGTTATAAAAGGCCCTTCATACACTCTCAAAATTTCTTTATTTATGGTATCCTGTGTCATGGGTGTTTCATTAACTATACTATAATGTAATATTAGCTGTAATGATATATTAGCTATAATGATAGCTAATATTAATTAAGGCGGTATTTTAAGAATTTGACAGAATTAGCTCCTTTAATCCCCAGAACCACATAAATTGAAGGAAGGGAGTGGCTCCTCAAAAGAAAAGAAAGGCATTTGATAACAGAAGAAGAGGAAAGGAACGAGAGATAGCCGAAAATGACAAATGCCCACCGCGGAGGAATTCGAAATACCATGTGCCTACCAGGATTCAGGCACTATTGTTAGGCACAGGGACTGGAAACAGGGAGAAGGGAATAAGACATTACCCCGGTTGTGTTCACATTTAAAAAAATATAGTTGGCAGCTAATGTCATTTGCCACTTGTCAGCCCCTGATGAATTCCTCCTCCAGTGCCTAGAAGCAGCCAGAAGCTGTGCAGGAAAGGCAGGCTGGAGCAGGAGGAGGGAAGTGGCGGGGGGACCTGGGAGTTGCTCCTTCTTCGTGAAAAGCTCTGATGGGAAAATTGTCAGCTGTACTCCCACTCCCTCCAAAAGTCAGTATGATGCTGCATCCATCTTAATCACCATCAGAGAGAGCAAGCATTTTAATATGCAGCATTATTCATGAAAACTTTGTTCTCCTTTCCCACTTCCTTCCAAAATAAGATGAATGTGAACTTGGAGTGAACTCCTCATTTGTCTCCTTCTTGCCTCTTTTTCATATTCAAACTCACTATCTTCTCACCATGGCCCACATCCTCTGGACATCCTCTGGGATACAGGTGAGTTAAGCAGCTTTCCAGCTGGGAAGTGGGAGAGTAAGGATGGAGGTATCTTGAGTCCCTAGAGGGTAGGGCTTACTGGATCTACCACTGGGAATTGAGTGATGAAGGAGATGAGGTTCCTTGAGTGGTGAAACTTAAAGCTCACCCATTCATCTATTTTCTTATTTAACAACATCGTTGGTTACTTACTGTGTATTTTGCTGAAAACACACAAAGAGTTAATCAGATATAATTTCCATCCCCAGAGGAACTGAATGCTGATTCACTCAACAAATATTTTTGAGCTATGGAGCAACCCCCAAACTAGGTAATTAGAATGCATATGATCCTTGTGATTTATCACCTTGTTATTGAACACTCATTCATGTACAATATTGATCGGTTATTGGGCACTCATAGGTTTCATACATTGTGCTAGACACTGCACTTATAGAGACACATTAAATAG
This sequence comes from Homo sapiens, assembly GCF_000001405.40. Classification (NCBI taxonomy): domain Eukaryota; kingdom Metazoa; phylum Chordata; class Mammalia; order Primates; family Hominidae; genus Homo; species Homo sapiens. The sequence goes on along the minus strand of NC_000016.10, from coordinate 13,378,692 downwards.
CCCAAACCCTTGTGCTGCTCAGCACCTAGAAGAGGAGAAAGATAGGAAAAGAATTAATCTATAGAGAACCTCATATATTATGACAGGTGCATGAATAACAGTCTGTCTCTCGATTTCTCTATATGATTCAGGAGAGTTGACTCCACTCTAGGCACATGAACAAGGGCTGGTCAAGTAGACCACGGCATCTTCCTGGACACAGTGGCTATTTCAGAGATGGACACAAGACGCAGGCAGGGTTTATAACACAACCCAGAAACTTTCCTGAAACTATTTGGCAGTGGGCAGGCACTCTAGTAATGCCAGGGCTGCTTGGAATGTACAGTCATCCTGCCACCACATGGAGAGAGCTTGCCTAAGAATAAAACCAACACACAGTAAAACAGAGCCAAGAAAGGGAAACAGAGCAAGTTTGTATGACATTATGTGAGTACCTGGAACAAGTCATACCTGAGGTAGCCATATTGGAGCAATCCCTGAACCATTCAAGTATGTGGGTCATTAACTTCTTCTCTTGACCTCAACTAGTTTGAGTTCTATCCCTAAGTAACATAAATCCCAAGACATCATCTATCCTAGCTCTGCAGGCTTCACAGTCAGCAGGGTGACAGATGTCAGGGCTCTCCAGTTGGCATAAATATTTTTGTTGGTGGTGTTGTTTAGATGGAGTCTTGCTCTGTTGCCCAGGCTGGAGTGCAGTGGCACAATCTCAGCTCACTGCCACCTCCGCCTTCCAGGTTCAAGCGATTCTCCCACCTCAGCCTCCCAGGTAGCTGGGACTACAGGTGCGTGCCACCACGACTGGCTAATTTTTTTTTTGTATTTTTAGTAGAGACGGGGTTTCACCATGTTGGACAGGCTGGTCTCGAACTCCTGACCTCAAGTGATCCGCCCACCTTGGCCTCCCAAAATGCTGGGATTACAGGCATGAGCCACTGCACCCGGCCTTGCATAAATGCTATTGGTTTTATTTTTCATAGAGAAAGGATATTCCCAAGAGGGAACATTATTGAGCTATATACTGAGTAGAATCTTCTTTTTCACATTCAATGAGACCCAACAGACTTGGAGAATATATTTGTGCCAAGAGAACCACGTATGTGTTTGTACATTTTATTAGCATATTAAAGGTGATCGGGATCAAAATCCATGGGTGGCATAGGTATCAGGTGTCCTAGCTTTGCTCTCTGCTCAGCATGGCCTAGCAGTCCAGGTAACAGAGGCATATTGGGACAATCCTCTTTGCTCTCCCTCCCTCCAAGCTAATGAGTCATGAGGAACAAATACGATGTTTGAAATGTAAATGAATGATTGGCATCTGGAAACATGATAAAAAAGAACTGGGATTTACCAGCACCTGGGCAGCTCATCCTTGAGTACACGGCTGCTCTGAATACTCAGCTTGCTCCATAAAGGGATCAGCCCATAGCTTTCTTTCCTGTGAAGCCTGAGCAACAGCACATGAATGCCGCCCCTAAGGCTGCTATTGTGGTCCATGATGGAATAAGAGCCTCATTCTCTGACCATCCAAGGCAAGCTCTTGGGGCTCACCCATTTCTCCACCACTGGTATGCAGTGTGCCCTCGTTGGGTGGTGAGATGCTGTAACCCTTCCCGCAATTCTTCCTCCTGAGAGGATGGAAGCAGCATTAAAGGTTTTTTTCTCATTAACTTTCCTTTAGGGAATCTGTCTTTTTTGATACAAATACCCTATCATGGTCAGGCATGATGGATTATGCCTGTAATGCCAGCATTTTGGGATGCCAAGGCGGGTGGATCACTTGAGTGCAGGAGTTCGAAACCAGCCTGGGCAACACATCTCTACAAGAAATACAAAAATTAGCTGGGCATAGTGGTGTGCACCTGTAGTCTCAGCTACTCAGGAGGCTGAGGTGGGAGGATCGCCCAAGAGGTCAAGGCTGCAGTGAGCTGAGTTCATGCCACTGCACTCCAGCCTGGGCAATGGAGTGAGACCCTGTCTCCAAAAAGATAAGAAAGAAAATAAACACCCTATAATTTACAGAATAAGGGATGTTCTTTCAGCTCCACCCCTGGAAACAGAAATTTAATTTTTAACCAATCTAAAATAAAAAAAATCCATGTGTTTGCTCATAGCCATGGTCCTGATTCAATTTTCTGCAACTTTACTTTCTCTTGGACTCTCTGGAAAAAAACAGCTCTGGTTATAGAGGTAAAAGCTGAAATGACTTCAGATACATTAGAGAGGTGAGTGGGCTGACATGGGATTTCCCCACCTGGCTGTAAATGTGCTGAGAAGCATGTAGTCATATAAGTGTGTTGACATCATCTTCACACTTTCTGAAGATTCTTCCAGAGAATCAGTCAGGCTCCAGGAGTGACTAGACCTCCAAATTATTATGCCATGACTCTATCTAAAATATCACCTGAACATATTATAATTGCTCAAAATATTTACTGCCACTCCCTAAGGGAGGATTATACATTTGTGTTCATTGAAACCATGTTTTAGCCATATGACGTGCTTATGCCATTGGAATGTGAACCAAAATGATGTGGAACAATTATGAGCAGAATTTTTCAGAGTCATTGTGTGGTATTTCATTTTCTCTCTTTTTTCTAGGGAACACAATTATCAATGTCCAAGATGGACTTCTTCCATCACCTGGGTACCTGTTTTGATTGCTGTAACTTTTGAAATCAGAAAACGTGAGTTTTCCAATTTTAAGATTTTTTTTTTCCCACTATTTGAAACCCCTTGTATTTTGCTACTTGAAACCCCATATAAATTTTAGGATCAGCCTGCCAAATGCTGCAAAAACGGGAGCTAGGATTTTGATAGGTGTTGGGTTGAATCTTCAGATCTATTTGGAGAGTGTTGCCATTTTAGCAATATTAAGTCTTCTTATCCATGAATACAGGATAGCTTTCCACTTACTTAGGTCTTCTTTAGTTGCTTTCAGTGATGTGTTGTAGTGTTTAGTGTACAAGTCTTAGGCTTCTTTTCTTAATTTCTTAAGTTTTTTGTTTTTTTGTTTTTTGGCTATTGCTAATGGAATTGTTTTCTTAGTTTTCTTTTTGGATGTTTTCTTTTTTCTATTTGAAAGTCACGCTACCTGACTTCAAACTATACTACAAGGCTACAGTAACCAAAACAGCATGGTACTGGTACCAAAACAGAGATATAGACCAATGGAACAGAACAGAGCTCTCAGAAATAATACCACACATCTACAACCACCTGATCTTTGACAAACCTGACAAAAACAAGAAATGGGGAAAGGATTCCCTATTTAATAAATGGTGCTGGGAAAACTGGCTAGCCATATGTAGAAAGCTGAAACCAGATCCCTTCCTTACATCTTATACAAAAATTAATTCAAGATGGATTAAAGACTTAAATGTTAGACCTAAAACCATAAAAACTCTGGAAGAAAACCTAGGCAATACCATTCAGGACATAGGCATGGGAAAGGACTTCATGACTGAAACACCAAAAGCAATGGCAACAGAAGCCACAATTGACAAATGGGATCTAATTAAACTAAAGAGCTTCTGCACAGCAAAAGAAACTACCATCGGAGTGAACAGGCAACCTACAGAATGGGAGAAAATTTTTACAATCTACCCACCTGACAAAGGGCTAATATCCAGAATCTACAAAGAACTTAAACAAATTTACGAGAAAAAATCAAACAACCCCACCCCATCAAAAAGTGGGCAAAGGATATGAACAGACGCTTCTCAAAAGAAGACATTTATGCAGCCAACAGACACATGAAAAAATGCTCATCATCGCTGGCCATCAGAGAAATGCAACTCAAAACCACAATGAGATACCATCTCACACCAGTTAGAATGGCAGTCATTAAAAAGTCAGGAAACAACAGATGCTGGAGAGGATGTGGAGAAATAGGAACACTTCTACACTGTTGGTGGGACTGTAAACTAGTTCAACCATTGTGGAAGACAGTGTGGCGATTCCTCAAGGATCTAGTACTAGAAATACCATTTGACCCAGGCATCCCATTAATAGGCATATACCCAAAGAACTATAAATCATGCTGCTATAAAGACACATGCACACATATGTTTATTGCAGCACTATTCACAATAGCAAAGACTTGGAACCAACCCAAATGTCCATCAATGATAGACTGGATTAAGAAAATGTGGCACATATACACCATGGAATACTATGCAGCCATAAAAAAGGATGAGTTCATGTCCTTTGTAGGGACATGGATGAAGCTAGAAACCATCATTCTGAGCAAACTATTGCAAGGACAGAAAAACAAACACCACATGTTCTCACTCATAGGTGGGAATTGAACAAAGAGGACACTTGGACACAAGGTGGGGAACATCACACACTGGGGTCTGTCATGGATGGAGGGCCAGGGGAGGGATAGCATTAGGAAATATACCTAATGTAAATGACGAGTTAACGGGTGCAGCACACCAACATGGCACATGTATACATATGTAACAAACCTGCACGTTGTGCACATGTACCCTAGAACTTAAAGCATACTAAAAAAAAAAAGAAAAAAAAATACAAAAACAACAAAAAAAAGAAATAAGCCAGGACATTTTGGCCTAATGCTGGCCAACGTGATGAGAGTTACTTGCTCCAGAGCTTATGGCCAAGTTGGCCAAGCTTTGTTGAAACTGCATCATGATTCATGTCTCTGTTCCTCCCCTTTCTTCCCCAAGTGATCATTACCAAACATTTTTCCTTCAACTCCTTCCTTGTCCAGGGGTTAATGCCCAAACTCCATCTCAGCATCTGCTTCCAGGGAACCCAACCTGTGACCATATGAACGTGTTATGAGATCTTATTCTGTGTGGGCCTCTGTGCTAAACACTGCATGTACATTACCTCATTTAATTCACACAACAGCCTTTTGGGGTGGCACTATCGTCACTCCCATCTTTTTTTTTTTTTTTTTTTGAGACGGAGTCTCGCTCTGTCTCCCAGGCTGGAGTGCAGTGGTGCAATCTCGGTCACTGCAACCTCTGCCTCCTGGGTTCAAGCAATTCTCCTGTGTCAGTCTCCTGAGTAGCTAGGACTACAGGCGCCCGCTACCATGCCCGGCTGATTTTTTGTATTTTTAGTAGAGATGGAGTTTCACCATGTTAGCCAGGATGGTCTCGATCTCCTGACCTCATGATCTGCCCGCCTCGGCCTCCCAAAGTGCTGGGATTACAGGCGTGAGCCACCACGCCCAGCCTCATCACTCCCATCTTACGGATGAGCGAGCCAAGGCTCAGAGACAATAATGAGCAGCCCAAAGTCACAGAGTTAACAAGTGGAGATTCCCTCATTGAAGACAGGTAAGAGACAAGATTTGGGCAAGAACACTAGTTTGTTTTTTCTTGTTATTTGTAGATAGAGCATACTACCTCCCAGGCTATACCCAAGTGTTTGCAACAAGGAGCTATGTTTTATGGCGAATCAGCTAATGCTGTATTACTCTTTCAACCTTTGAAACAGTTTGTATCAATTAGGATATGAACTTCCTCATATTGCAGGGTAAGGCATTTTGCTTGGAGTCAGGGGAGCAACTAATAAACCAGTATTTTGCACATAAAAACACCACGAAGTGTAGAAAGGTGGGTTAACCTTTCTACAGTAGTTAGTAGTCGGGATATGTGCTTTCAGTGAGGGTGCTATGGCCTCCAAGGGGGGCAAGAATTGGTTCTGAGGATGAAAAAAACTTACTATTTTATGTTTAAAGCACAGATATGTATCCAATACATTAAATATTTATGAGGTACATACACTAAACAGTATATCTATGTCATTAAAATTTCATATGAAAGGGTCAATTAATAAAAAGTGTTTTAAAGGGCTTCTTAGAGGGATGGTTTAAAAAAAAAAGGTTAAGAAACACTACTCTGGAGTAAGACTGTAGGTCGGTCAATCTCTGCTTCCTTTACGTCCTTTGCAATCTTGCAGCTATTCATTGTGAAGTTAAAATGCAGTAATTCATATAGAGCTTTGCACATCAAAAGAGCTTCTTAAATATTAGTCATGGTTATCATCTTAGGAAATACTTAGTGAATACTGAGAACTGAAATGAATAGCTAACCAGAGCCTGTTTCAAGGGACCAAGGTCTGTGGTCTCAAATGTCTCAAATCTCAGCAATGCGGCCCACATCCCTGCCACTGAAATGGTGCTGCTTGGACATTATATCAGAGTAGGAGTTATGGTGGGCCATGCCATGATCCCTTTTGCTTTAGGGCAAGTTGCAATTAGACCTAAGACTTTGTTCCTGTACCATATTTACTAGGAGGAAGCTATATCACCTGGACTTACCTTAGATAGACTGAATATAAGCCCCATGGGGACAGGGACCTTGTCCCTCTCCATCAGCCTTATTTTCCCATGATCTAGCCCAGCACCCAGCACCTTGTTATTTGTTAAATGAATGGAAAATGTTGGACTTTAATAACTCTGAGGTTTAATAATTCCTTTCTAGTGTAGTGTGCCTACCCACCTGGAGACTTTCAAAGTCTGATTGGGGGATGCAAAATCCCTAGAGTCCACAAAAGGAGGGTACTTCCATGATACTCCCCACCCTAGCACAGACTCTTTAGCAATGGCTAAATATCAATCCGCGGGCAGATATTTATGTAGGAGCTCCAATAAGATCAGTGTTTGAGTTCTAAATGCCTGGAAGAGCTCTGGAGGAACTGAAACAGAGAACAGGTAAGCTTTACAAAGAAGAAGAAAGGCAGGCAAGAGAAATGGGTGGCACGGGTGTTGCCTAGGCAGCTGCTGTGACTCTGGGTGGGTTTGAGAAGTCAAGTTGGAATCCTGGTCTTGATTATCTGAAAGGGGATTTGGGTAGAGTGAAAAGTAGGGGCACCTGACTGAGGATTGAGTCACAGTTTTCCTGAATGCCATCCTGCCTTCCAGGCATGTGTCTAGATAGTAATTGATTCTGTACATCTCCCCGTTGAGCTCACAGTTGGTTCTTAGCATACAGATGTTGAGTGAACTGATGCCAAAATAAGTATTCAGATGTCAGGTGAGGGGAAGGTTCTTCATCATGAAGGGACATCGCTAATCTTACTCTTTTTTCTTTATCCTTAACTTCCTTAGGAGTGTTTCAACCATGTGTGTTCACTTACCATTGAATCAAGGTAGAGCCAAGAGGTACTGTACTATAGCAGTGATTCTTAACCTTGGTTCCTATGGTGGAATCACTCAGTGGCTCCACCCCACATCAAATGAACCACAGCCTCCCCAGGCAACTCTAATGTGCAGCCAGGATCAAGAATCATGAAGCATAGAGATGATGTCGTTTGGAGGATCTCAGACTTCAGGCACATCAGTTTCAGTGGATACCAAGGATCCACCCCTAGACCTATTGCATCAGAATCTATGGGGGTGAGCAGGGACATCTGGATATTAGCAAGTTCCCCAGATACAGAGTAAATGTCTGCAGACTGAATAGTTGTTGAACAGGCAGTGTATCATGGTGGTTATCTGGACTTCCTAGGTTCAAATCCCAACTCTGCTACATAGTAGCTTTGTAGTTTTGGATAAGTTACCTAACACTGCCTCCATTTTCTCCTCTGTATTTTGGGGATTAATTAAATCTACCACGTAGGATTGTAAAGGTTAAATGGTGTTAATTCACTTAGTGGAGTCGACAGAATCAGCAAAGAAAATACAGGAACATACTTAGAGTAAAAAATTATTTGTCGTTTGCTGGAATTCAAATTTATTTGGGTGCCCTTTATTTTTATTTACTAAATCTGGCAGCAACCCTATCACTTAAAGCACTAAGAAAAGTGCCCAGCAAGTGCTCATAAGTGTTTGCTATTATTATTATTATTTCTATTACTTGATTTTTATTGAGTCCACTCCATTCCCAGCCTCTCTTTCAGACTAGAGTCCTTCAGAACCTTACTAATTTGGCTTCTAATATTTAATGCAAACCCATTCAAATAGAGGGTAGTTTAGAGCTTTTCAGCACTAACCAAACACTCCCTCAAAAATAAAATAAAATTATGTTCAAAACAAGATCATAGTGGGAATACTTAAAATAACTAACTGAACAAGACATTTTTATGACCCTTCACATGTTTGGAAAGCTCTCATTTCCGTACAATTAGGATAATTATAAACTGTTTTGTGCTCAGAAGAAGGTCCACTCAGCAATGCCTTCGTAAGTCGGTGCAGGTTAACAGTATCAGCTGAAGAAAACAAACCCTTCTTAACGGAACTTTCTTTAATTTCAAGATAGTGTCAGAAAATTAGTGTTTAAATCCCAGACCTACTGCTAAACAGCTGTGTGTCTTTGGGCCAAGGCATTTCTTGTTCCAGGACCTTTGTTTCCTAATTTTAAAGACCTGGTCCCCATATCATATGATTTCCTTAAGGGCCATTGACTCTACATCCCATTTCCCACTGAGGTTTGTATCTGAGCAGAAAAGGTAACCAGCACAGCATGTAAGGCAACCTGTGTTTGCAAACACAAGTTACGTTGGTCGTTACCAAGCCAGGAGGCGTAAAAACAGACAAAACCCATGGTCGTGGCACCCCGGGAAATACCTTATACCCCACTGAGCTCGACTCGGGCTGCACTTTGGAATCAGCTAGTGAACTCTATGTATTTTATTTTTATTTTTATTTCAATTGCTTTACAGGTACAAATGGTTTTTGGTTGCATGTATGAATTGTATCAACCAATGAGTGGATAAAGAAAATGTGGTATATTTATACCATGGAATACTACTCACCCATAAAAAAGGAACTTTAAATTAGATGCCTAGGCCAGGTCTCCAACCCCAGAGATACTACTGATTCAATTGGTCTGCGGAGGGGTCAGAGAACTTAAGCAACCTGGGTGTTGCTAATATGCACCTGGGGTTAAGAACCACTGACCCGGCTAGCCCCTGTGAGCTCAGTGTTTGTCATTCTTTGACATTCTTCTCAAACTCACCCTACATCCCCCAACATGAGGCTCACAGGATCACCTGTCATGTTGCTCATGATTGATTACTCTTTATTTAATGCATGCGGTTCTGCTCATTATGATGCAGTTGGCACAAAGACGGAGAGCCCCATCAGTGGACACCGAGAAGCGGCAGCAGTTTAGTCTTGGCTGCATCCTCTGCTTCTCTTGCTTGAACAAGGTGTTTACAGCTCACCTTACTTCTGGGGTCCCAAGAAAGTAAACTTTCTGCAGCCTTCCCACACTTATAAACCTAACTTTCCAGGATATGTTCTGCTCAATCCACCAATTTAGCACATATCATTGATTGGATTATTATAAAATGTTATGAACAGACAAAAGAATATAGATTCATTTAATAAACCAGCAAGCAACCACACTCCTATCTCCTAGACTGAACACATGTTAATGTTTTGTTCAGAACTTCCTTTGTAGTGTTCCTAATCTCGTAGCCCTAATGTTCTCCCAGGTGTTGACAACTACTCTGAAATTAGCAAGCACTCATCTTATCCACAATGTTATATCCTTTCTATATACGGAAATAAATGACACAGAATACTATTTTGTACGCTTTCAAAATATGTATGAATGGAATCACACTGAGCACATTATTCTGCAGCTTGCTTTTTTAAATTTGACATTTTAAGATTTATCTAAAGCAAGTATATTCATTTTAACAGTTGTCTAATGTTCCATTATATAAATATTTAACACTATCCATTCTAGTACCTTTTCTTTCACCAACATCACATTTCAAATATTTCCAAACACACAGATTCACATATAAATAATCTTACTAAGGAGTCTCATCCTTACCAGGAAAAAACATTTTATGATATACCACATGTATGCATATTCATTTATACACTGTATACTTACTCCCTGTCAATCATATGCTACATATTAGTAAAATTTAATTTCCTTCTGTATTTTGAAGTCGAAGTAAACATTATTAGTAGCTCTAATATTTTATTTCCATATCCCAGTGGGTTTTTTTTTTTTTGCACATATCTTGCCTTGGAGGTCATTGCTCCAATCAAATGCATTTTATGTATCTATTAATTAGCCTGTTTTTTTCTACCCTCCAAGATAAGAAAATTCACCTCTGATCAATACAGCACACCCCATCATTTTACCATCAGCTGGATACGTCTTTTAAAGGTCTTCTCTCAATCTAAAAACAAGCTCACACTGCATTCTCCACTATCCTCTCTCTTCATTCCTACAAAACCCCCTAACGCAACGAAGCCTCTAAAACCTACATAATCTAATCAGGTTCTTAGTTCCCATTGGCCTTTCTTCTGATTGTTACAAGTCCTGTCCTCTCTTAATTAGCATGTTTTTGAATATAGTAGCGATACTGTGTATATCTGATTTCAGAACATGTAAGGTTAGTCTGTTGAACCCCCGTGGAGAAGTAAGAGACTACCTGTGCTACCAAAATTCCTTGAAATCCCCCTTTTCTCACCTCACTGCCTCAGAAGCACCTCTAGCTCTCCAAGGGTTGAAAAATTCTGGTTACAAAATCATCCCTACAATTTCACCTACTCAGCCTCTCCTCAGATATGGCTATTAGAAATGCCTTTGCAGGTGATCTTGCTCAGTTTTAAGGGCTGGTTGATTGACCTGGTTGAATTAACACTTGAGGCACAGTAGGAAATTGCCAATCTGTGAGGTTTTTTAGAGGAAGCTTAGCATTTAGAGGGAGATATACCTAATGCTAGATGACGAGTTAGTGGGTGCAGTGCACCAGCATGGCACATGTATACATATGTAACTAACCTGCACATTGTGCACATGTACCCTAAAATTTAAAGTATAATAATAATAAATAAAATAAAATTAAAAAATAAAAGAATTATAGCTGATTGCAGCTACTAATGGTGTGGATTTGAATGGGAGCTAGGAGGCTAATGACCTGGAAGACTGTGGAATGCCCAGAAGTAAGTAAGGGTTTGTTAGCACATCCATGTTCTCAGACCAAATTCAGGGGTGTGTGTGTGTGTGTGTGTGTGTGTGTGTGTGTGTGCGCGCGCGCGCGCGCACGCACACGCGTGTACACTTCAGGAAACATCTTCATTCCCCCCCGCATCCTACTTGCTATTTAACCTTGTGTTAGGATTAGGAGTTAAGTTTTCATTACTAATGATGCAGAATTCAATAGAAGCTAGGTAATAAGTCAACAGATTTTGGGTCCAAAATCTTGTTTTCCCACTTAAGAACTTTAAGAATTTGAGCCAATGGCTTAATTTCTCTGGATCCTGGCTTCCTGTTCTGAAAAATAGGGACAATGATAATATTTCCGTCTTTTCACTGTGAGGATTAATTGGGATCATGTCTATAACGTGACTGATACAGGGTAAGAGCTTAATAAATGGTACCCGTGGGTGGCATCTTCCCCTCCTCTGTTTATAGTATCTAGTTTGCCTGAATTTAGACTCCAACATAATGGGGACCACAGAACAAACTCTGCAGGATGTCTGACATTCAATAAGCCCTCAGCATATGGTAGTGGCAAAACGTATAATCCTTGAATGGTTGTTGACAATCATTCTTGGACATTTTATTTAGATGTTCACCCTAGTACTGTAGTTGGTTTAATTACTGAGTTTAAGTTTTGCTAATTGAAACTCCTTGTACTGGTTTGACAAATGATTTTTGAGGTTATTAAGATCTTTGAGGAAGGGCAGGAATTGTACACATATATTAACCCAGATTTTTACAACCTCGATTCTTCTTCTTTTTTTTTTTTTTTTTTTGAGATGGAGCCTCACCCTGTTGCCCATGCTGGAGTGCAGTGGCGAGATCTCAGCTCACTGCAACCTCCACCTCCCGGGTTCAAGTGATTCTCCTGCCTCAGTCTCCTGAGTAGCTAGGATTACAGGCATGTGCCACCATGCCCACCTAATTTTTGTATTTTTAGTAGAGATGGGGTTTCACCATGTTGGCCAGGCTGGTCTCAACTGACCATAAGTGATCGCCCACCTCGGCCTCCCAAAGCGCTGGGATAACAGGCATGAGTCACTGCACTTGGCCTCTTTATTTTATTTTATTTTATTTTTGTAGAGACAGGGTCTCACTATGTTCTCCAGGCTGGTCTCAAACTCCTGGGCTCAAGCAATCCTCTTGCTTCAGCCTCCCAAAGTGCTGGGATTACAGGCATGAGCCTCTGCACCCTGACTAAAACCTGGATTCTTGCTACTCACAGTGTGGTCTAGGTATGGGCAGCATTGATGTCACCTGGGAGCTTGTAACAATGCAGAATCTCAGTATCCCTAGATCTACTGAATCCAAATCTGTGTTTCAACAAGATCCTTAAGTGATCTGTATGCACAATAAAGTTTGAAATATATTTACTAAATATTGACACTGTAAATGAAAACACATTTGCTTGCATTCTTTTTAGATAGCTGTGTCCTCTATTTTCACAGGCTGATTCTGTCTATGCTACAGGCACTACAAGAAAATGAGTAGACCAAAGCCTAAATGTTCCATTAAAGCATTAACCGTTGAGTAATCTGCAAGATCTTTTTAAATGATACAAGCCACTTAAATAAGATGCTGGATATTTTGTCCACAGATCAGTAACTGATGGCAGTTTTGCCATCATTTTACACATGGCCCTTGAATGGTGCATAATTTTCTGGGTCCACAGTGATATAAAAGCACCAGTATTACACCACGTGATGATAACGACTAAGTAGGGGCTCTGTGTATTTCAATTCCAGGCAAACTAGAAGGCTTCAGCAGAGCTTTTATTTTCTATGAGATGAAGTTTCCTTAGGGGAAACTTACTGAGCTATAGAATCATTCCATTCTTGTCCTTAATTTTTTTCAAAGGTTCAAATCCATAGGTCATCCATGAGGTTTCACAGACCTGGGACTCATTTCTGGTTTCCACCTCCACGTCCAACAATTACAACTTGGTGTTCCGAATATGTTTGCAATCCATAAGATGTGAAGATTAGAAGTATACTCTCTGGGGCCAGGCACAGTGGCTCAGGCCTGTAATCCCAGCACTTTGGGAGGCCAAGGCAGGCGGATCACTTGAGGTCAGGAGTTCGAGACCAGCCTGGCCAACATAGTGAAAACCTGTCTCTATAAAAAATATAAAAAAATTAGCCAGGCGTGGTGGTACGTGCCTGTAATCCCAGCTACTCAGAAGGCTGAGGCAGGAGAATAGCTTGAACCCGGGAGGCGGAGGTTGCAGTGAGCCAAGATCCCGCCACTGTTCTACAGCCTAGGTAACAGACTGAGACTCTGTCTCAAAAAAAAAAAAAAAAAAAAGAGGTATACTCTCTGTAGGAGAGTTAAGAGGGATAAGGTATGTTAAATGTTTAGCATGATGCCTGGCACACATCACATGTCCAATAAATGTTAGAGCATGCTACATACAACATGGATTCATCACTACCCTCCTTACATTGTAGGTCCTCCTTGCCAGAGGCAATGCAATGCAGTGGTAAGGAGCACAAGCTTTCCTGGACTTGAAGCCTGGTTCAGTCCCTTATTATGAATGTGACCTTTGGGGACATTTCTTAGCCCTTCCCAGTTTAAATCTCCATGAGGTGATGCTAGGGCCTTCCCCAGTTTGTTTTGAAAGTCTGGAAAATGCATACATATAAAGCATTGAACACAATATAGGTATAGGTACTGAATACCTGCCAGCTATTATTATTACTTTTATTATCATCATCACCACCATCATCATTTTTGGAAGACTTGTGGTGTCCCTAGGTCCTAGGGTATTTGGACTCAGCTTCATAGGCTCTCCTCAATGGAAATGCAAGGTCTTGTAATGTTTCTATCCACTTTCCTCCTTTGTTTTTCCTCATCCCTAATTGTTCATCTTCTCGTTCTTACTGCCTACACAAAGACGGAACCCCTAGCCTGGATGTTACCAGCAACATGCTCAAATAAATGTGCTCTAATCAAGGAAATTAGCTGAACACAGATACTTTTATTATAACTGTCATTCATATTATTCAAGAAGTGATTATCGTCCAGGGAAACCACCCATTCAAAGAGCGCACTTCTTTAGACATAGGGAATCAAGGCTCTTCCAGGGCTTGATCCAAGAATAAATGACATAGCAAACAATCTTGCAGAAGCCTCCTATCATTGAATTTTCTATTTAATAAAAATATTCTCTGGTGTTCACTATAATTGGGCATTGTCTGTTTAATATTGTCTATATGGTATATTGTGTGTTGAATAAAAATACTGAATAGTGTTAATTATATTTGGGTGAAAAGAACCATCTTGCATATTCATTGAAAGACATAAACCACCCAAATCCTGCAAGTTGAGTGAATGCTGAATGCAAAAATATCTCTTGTTGCTTGTTCTAAATTTGCTTCTCTTTATTTTCTCAGGGCATCTCTTGCCTATGATTCAACGTCTTCAGCAGAGACAATTGCTTTTCCTTCCTTCTTGGAGCCTGTGAATATCAGAGACTAGCTCTCCTCCTTCCCCAGATTCTGGTCTATTTCATGTTTTCAGTAAGGACCTAGTGGGCACAGGTGTTTCAGAGAAGCCCAGGCTAGTTCCAAAAGGCAGAGTAAATCTGTCAGTTCAATGCTAAGCCAATGACAATAAAGATGACACATACATTTAAAGAGAAATTCTCAAGCTGGACAGATCATCAGAAACATCTGTGGCTTTTTTGGTTTTGTTTTCTCGTTGTTTCTTAGCTCCATCCCTCAGATCAGTGACCCTCAAACTTGGGTGTAAATCTGGAATCATGTGGAAAGTTTGTTAAAATACAGATTGCTGGGCTCTGTCCCCAGAGTTTCTGATCCAGCAGGTCTGGGAGGGCCTGACAATGTGCATTTATAACAAGTTCTTAGGACATGCTGATATTTCTGGTCTTTGGACTACTCTTCGACTACTTCTTCCCTAGAGACCTTGAATAGTAATCTTCCGTGATTTGAAAATGTGCACGTCTATCATGCATGCTAAGGAACTCAAAAGTTTAAAACCACCAAGCAATGCATGCTTATCCTGAAGCCAGCGCTGTGCTAGGTTCAGCACAGATGATACAGAAAAGGCTGCATCCTGCTTGTCTCTGGAGCTCTACCTTTCATGATCCCATATCCCTGCATTTGTTCCAGTTCTACCAAACCATTTACAGTTCTCCAAATTCAAAGCTCTTCTGCACCTCCACTTCTTTGCACATAGTTTTTCATGTGTCCAGAATACACTTCCCTACTCTTCTGTTTCATCCTGCAAAACCCAGTTCAGCTGCTGACATCCTAATACCATCCTCTCCACCTCCCTATCCTTGCCACCACCACCTAATTTTTAAAAATCCCTTCCATCATTCATGCTTTAATTCCACAAATGTTTACCAGGTTTGCCTTAGGTGCCGGTCATTGTGCCAAGCACCTGGAATAAAACGGCAAACGAAGGAGACTTAGTTCTTCCTCAAGAAAAACCTTTCCTTCAAAGATACTATAGTCCAGAGGGGAAGACATGAAATGAACAACTTCAAGTTGTGATATTAAATTGTTATTTTGCTGAGCCTTACACAAATTTCCATGTTGTGCTTATGATCTAGCATTGAAATAGTTGTTTTCAATGCTTGTTTACCCATATAGACTCTGGTCCCTTGAAGGGCCAAATCCACATTCTCTCATCTCTGTGTACCCAGTGCCTACAGAGAGTAGATCACATGGTCGAGCATTTTCTAGTTTTCTGAGTTCAATGAAACATAGCTCTACTTCCCAAAGGGATAGCAATCTAATACTAACACAAGTGCAGCAGATGTGAAAACCTTAATTATATTATTAGTTGGCATCAGCATTCCTTTTATATGTGGGAACTGTTTTTGTTGAGAGGAATCCCTTGAGAAGTCACTTGGGGATTAAAGAAAATTCTCAGTGCCTGGACTTTGAAAAAAACAAGGCAATGAAAGAGAAAGCTAAATGGCTCTGTATGAGAAGATGAAAAGAACGGGACTTTGCTCCAGGAGTTGGGAGAGAAGAAATACAAGAAATGGAAATAAAATCAGGAATGTGAGAAGTGAAAGAGAGGAAACTACCACCAGGGATATGGGATAAGGCTTAGGGACAAGATGGGATGAAGTGCTTCATAAAATTTCTCTAGACCCAAGATGACCAAAACTTTCTGCATTTTCACTTCCTTGCACATGTCTTACTACATCCAGAATCCTCTTCTCCACTCCCTGCTTCATCCTTCAAAGTCCAGTTCAGATGCCATCTTTCTCAATACTGTCCTCTTCAGCTCCCCCATCTTTGCCATCACCACGTTTTTGTTTTTTTGTTTGTTTGTTTTGTTTTGTTTTTTTGGTCTGAGACAGGGTCTCCCTCTGTTGCCCAGGCTGGAGTGCAGTGGCACAATCACTGCTCACTGCAGCCTCGATCCCCTGGGCTCGAGTCATCCTCAACCTCCCAAGTGGCTGGGACTACAGAAGCACACCACCACGCTGGGCTGGTTTTTGTTTTTTGTGGGGTTTTTTTTGTTGTTGCTGTTGTTGTTGTTTGGTTTTGCTTTTTTTTTTTTTTTGGCTGTCGTTCTTAGTAGAGACAAGGTCTTGCTATGTTGCCCAGGCTGATCTTAAATTCCTGAGCTTAAGCAATCTGCCTGCCTTGGTCTCCCAAAGTGCTGGGATTATAGGCATGAGCCACTGCAGCCAGCCAGGAGCTATTTTTAATCTATATTTTGCAGGTGAGAAAACGAAGGCCTGGAAATGTTAAGTGAATCACTCAAGGTCACATAACTAGTGTGTGATGGCAACGGGGTTTGACTCTAGGTCTCTCTGACTCCAAAGCCCATAATTCTTTACCTCTTTTTAATGACAAAGGATAATGAACAATTACATGTTAATGTAAATGATAATACACATAGTGGAAATAATTAGTTATATGAAGGCTTGTTCATCCAATAAATAATTTCTTTAAGCCTATTGTATGAAACAGACAACACATCATCATGGATAATGGCAAAAGGGAAGAAAATCTCTGAGAAGGAGAGTGGAGATGATGGCATGGGAAGGAACAACCATCAGGGTGCAATGCCTTTGAAGACGTGCAGGTGGAACAGCACATGAGTGGAAGAACATGAGCTCTGTAATTAGGAAAAAGATTCATGTTTTAGTCCCCATGAACTCACTCAAACAACCTTGGGCAAGTTCCTTGACCTCTCTTCACCTGCATTTTGTCATCTACAAATGGGGATAAAAATAGTACCATTTTATAAAAGGCATCATTTCTGTAGGGATATAAATGAGATGAAGCTTGTAAAGCTCATAAAATGCTCAGCACACAGCAGATACCCAATGAAGGTTAATAGAGAAAGAAGTGGACAAAATCAAGAAACATTTGGGATTTGGTGATTGATCAGGAGATAAGAGGAGGATGCATCCAGGTTTCCGGCTTAAGCAACTGAAAGGATGGTGGTGTCATTAATTGAAATGGATGACGCTGATGGAGAACCAGGTTTATTCAAGACAAAATAAAAGCGTTAGCTCTAGAGAGCGAGCAACCCCATTCCCCTAAAAATAAAAGGAAGAGAAAGATGGACAGAGAGATAGAGAAGAAAAGAAGATGGTGTACCTTCTTAATCTTGAGGAAGAAATTAAATCATCCATGAGTATGGGAAATGAAGGAAAAAGTGTGAGTACTAGAAAGGTGAAGAATATTTAACAGAGCTTGAGTGTCTATTTGAATCTCTCCAAAAGAGAACCTAAGACAAGGAGTTTGGTGCAGGTATTTTATTTGAGAGGTTATCTCCAAAAGTTGGAATGAGGAGTAGAGCAAGTGAGAAGGGGAAGGATGAAAAGCTGGTGAAGGGGACATTATGGAGCTTGTTACTACTATGGGCAACCAGAGATCATCTTACCAGGAGCCCTCTGAGGAACTGTGTAGAATGCACCTCAGAATATTCCCTGAGAAGGCCGGGAGGCTGAAGCATTTATCCACTGACTCCCATCACCCACTGGTTGCAGGTTGTCCTGTTGGTGTAAATTCCCTAAGCTCCTCGGCTCCACCTATGCGAGGCTTGACTGAGCTGCCACCATTTTGATAAAAGCCCTGTATTAGTCTGTTCTCACACTGCTAATAAAGACATACCCGAGACTGGGTAATTTATAAAGGAAAGAGGTTTAATTGACTGACAATTCAGCATGGCTAGGGAGACCTCAATCATGGCGGAAGGGGAAGCAAACACATCCTTCTTTGCATGGTGGCAGGAAGAAGAACGAGAGCCAAGTGAAGGGGGAAGCCCATTATAAAAACATCAGATCTCATGAGAACTTACTATCATGAGAAGAGCATGGGGGAAACCGCCCCCATGATTCAATTGCCTCCCACTGGGTCCCTCCCAGTATCTGTAGGGATTATGAGAACTACAATTCAAGATGAGATTTGGGTGGTGACATAGCCAAACCATATCAAGCCCTGAGACAGGAAAGTGGAGAAACACAGTGGGGAACTGAAGTGGGACACCGTCAGTGAGCATCAGCTGCAGCAAAATTTAGAGGTGAGCTGAGGGTGCAGGACAGTTCTCTGAGTGGTCTTGCACTAACTCATTTCTCCCTCTTTCTCACTTGTAGTTCTCTTAAGTAACTGTAGAATATGCAAAGAATGCAACATCCTGAGATAGAGAGGAACTGGATGTAACAGCCCAGGCTCTGTTCCAGTCCCCAGAACCGGATGTCCTTCCACGCTTTAGCCCAGCAAGTCAAGTTCCCCAAGGTACAGAACTCAGGTGGACGGCTTTCCATAGTCCCTCAGCTGTGATGCAAGTGGGGCATGCACAGATGAAACTCTATCCACCCTGGGCAGCTTTCTTGAGTCTTGGGGGACCAGCTCAACATGAATCCTAGGCTTCTAGCATCCTTTGCTGCCTATCTGCAAATAATGAATTCACTTTATCTAACTTGATGTGTGTGGGTGTTCTGTGTCACCACACTCAGGCAAGTTGGTAACCCGTGCACAGTGAACCTGCTTCACACAAGGAAAGTGACACTGGCACCAACCGCATCTGCTAGAAAAAAGAAGTGACCCATAAACTTCAGATCTTACAAAAATCCTTAAATGTATAAATACCTCTAGTGGTATTTGACATATGAGAACCTGAGTCTCAGAGAGGTAAAAGTATGGTGATAAATTGGAGTTTTCACCCATATTGGATAGAATTCTAAACTTACACAACTTTCCCACCTACCATGCTGCCAGTTCTGAGCAAAAAATAAATAAATAAAATAAAAATTATTATTGCTATTTATTTATTTTTCTGAGATGGAGTCTCACTCTGTCACCTAGGCAGGAATGCCATGGCATGATCTCTGCTCTCTGCAACCTCTGCCTCCCAGGCTGAAGCAATTCTCCTGCCTCAGCCTCCCGGGTACCTGGGATTACAGGTGCCCACCACCACACCCAGCTATTTTTTTAGTATTTTTAGTAGAGACAGGGTTTCACCATGATAGCCAAGCTGGTTTTGAACTCCTGACCTCAAATGATCCACCCCGCCTTGACCTCCCCCCAAAAAATATTACAGTGAAAATGGCAACAGTATTAACAAGTTGATTCTCCTCAGTACTAATTATTGGAATTTTGAAGATTTATTGTTTTGCAGACTAGGATCTAAAACTGGACATTCTTCTGGAGAATCTAAAACTGGACATTCTTCTTCAGTTGAAGTCCAACGGATGGGAATTGCATTTCTCATCCTAATCAAGAAATTCTTTACCTTCAGGAATACAGAGCTATTAAAGTTCTAGGCTTCATGCCTCTGAGGAGGTATTCCAAAAATTCCATCAGTAATCTGCTAAGTTCAGTACCATACACAGTGTATTGAGGTCTTTTCCTGTATTCCTCATTCCAGCAGGTCCTTCTAACACTATTTGGTCCTAAAAACACCCTGTCTTCTAGGCCTGTCAATCATATCATGTTCATCTTTTTATGGCTCTGCTGAAAACAGCCAAGAGAAAGGTTATTACAGCTGCTGTTGATGTCTGGAACTCATAACTGTCAACAGTCTTATGTTGGTCAGGTATAAGGCAGAGAGGGGTTCCCATCTTTCTCTATCTGGAGGCCTTTCACTGGTTGGTTGAAGCACTTACAATTATGCTGAATGTATTGGTGAAAATTCTGAAAAGAGAATACTCTCTTACGGTTTTTGGGTCCTGAAGAATGTAAAGGAAAGGGAAGGAAATGGGAAGAGATAGAGGAATTGTATTAGCATCTACTTATGCCAGCAACATCCTCACGGAATATTTTATGTAATCCCCTTAGGTTGGTAACAGATTAGGTAGCTGATCTAAGAAAATGAGAGAGAACACGTGGACACAGCGAAGGGAACATCACACAGCACAGCCTGTTGGGGGGTGGGGGACAAAGGGAGGGACAGCATTAGAAGAGAGACTTTTTAAAGTCCAAAATCCCAAGCTTTTAAAACCAGGATTTGAATACAGGTATCTCACTCAAAACCCAGATGTCAAATATAGCACCTCATGCTCCCAGGTAGACATCACTAATCAATCAGGTCTTTTAGTCCATTGATTTCAGAATCCTTCTCACCCCAGTATCCCAGATAGTCACTACCAATCATAGCTAGTAGTGAGGGCCAATTGCTACCCTTTCCACTTGCTAAAACTTGCTGGATGAAGGAAGATTCTCTCTTTTCAAGGGAGGCCGTACCCATCACAGAGGCATACTGTCAGGCCTCTAAGCCCAAGCCAAGCCATCACATCCCCTGTGACCTGCACGTATATATATCGCCCAGATGGCCTGAAGTAACTAAAGAATCACAAAAGAAGTGAATATGCCCTGCCCCACCTTAACTGATGACATTCCACCACAAAAGAAGTGTAAATGGCCGGTCATTGCCTTAACTGATGACATTACCTTGTGAAAGTCCTTTTCCTGGCTCATCCTGGCTCAAAAAGCACCCCCACTGAGCACCTTGCGACCCCCACTCCTGCCCACTGAGCACCTTGCGACCCCCACTCCTACCCGCCAGAGAACAAACCCCCTTTGACTGTAATTTTCCTTTACCTATCCAAATCCTATAAAACGGCCCCACCCTATGTCCCTTCGCTGACTCTCTTTTTGGACTCAGCCCGCCTGCACCCAGGTGAAATAAACAGCCATGTTGCTCACACAAAGCCTGTTTGGTGGTCTCTTCACACGGACGCGCATGAAATTTGGTGCTGTGACTCGGATCGGGGGACCTCCCTTAGGAGACCAATCCCCTGTCCTCCTGCTCTTTGCTCCGTGACAAAGATCCACCTACGACCTCAAGTCCTCAGACCCACCAGCCCAAGAAACATCTCACCAATTTCAAATCCGGTAAGCGGCCTCTTTTTACTCTCTTCTCCAACCTCCCTCACTATCCCTCAACCTCTTTCTCCTTTCAATCTTAGCGCCACACTTCAATCTCTCCCTTCTCTTAATTTCAATTCCTTTCATTTTCTAGTAGAGACAAAAGAGACATGTTTTATCCGTGAACCCAAAACTCCGGCGCCGGTCACGGACTTCACCCTTAGCGGCAAGTCCCGCTTTCCTAGGGGGCAAGAACCCCCCAGTCGCTTATTTCCGCACCCCAGCCTCTTATCTCTGTGCCCCAATCCCTTATTTCCGTGCCCCAACCCCTTCTCTGCTTTTCTGGAGGGCAAGAACCCTCCACCCCTTCTCCGTGTCTCTACTGTTTTCTGTGGGTTTGCCTCCTTCACTATAGGTAAGCTTCCACCTTCCATTCCTCCTTCTTCTCCCTTAGCCTGTGTTCTCAAAAACTTAAAACCTCTTCAACTCACACCTGACCTAAAACCTAAATGCCTTTTCTTCTGCAATGCCGTTTGACCCCAATACAAACTCGACGGTAGTTCCAAATAGCCAGAAAATGGCACTTTGAATTTTTCCATCCTGCAAAATCTAAATAATTCTTGTCGTAAAATAGGCAAACGGTCTGAGGTGCCTGACGTCCAGGCATTCTTTTACACATCAGTCCCTTCCTAGTCTCTGTGCCCAGTGCAACTTGTCCCAAATCTTCCTTCTTACCCTCCCACCTGTCCCCTCAGAACCAACCCCAAGCGTCGCTGAGTCTTTCTAATCTTCCTTTTCTACAGACCCATCTGACCCCTCCCTTCCTCCCCAGGCTGCTCCTCACCAGGCCGAGCTAGGTCCCAATCCTTCCTCAGCCTCTGCTCCTCCACCCTATAATCTTTTTATCACCTCCCCTCCTCACACCTGGTCTGGCTTACCGTTTCGTTCCGTGACTAGCCCTCCCCCTCCTGCCCAGCAATTTACTCTTAAAAAGGTGGCTGGAGCTAAAGGCACAGTCAAGGTTAATGCTCCTTTTTCTTTATCCCAAATCAGAAGCGTTTAGGCTCTTTTTCATCAAATATAAAAATCCAGCCCAGTTCATGACTTGTTTGGCAGCAACCGTGAGACACTTTACAGCCCTAGACCCTAAAAGGCAAAAGGCCGTCTTATTCTCAAAATACATTTTATTACCCAATCTGCTCCCGACATTAAATAAAACTCCAAAAATTAAATTCCGGCCCTCAAACCCCACAACAGGATTTAATTAACCTCACCTTCAGGTGTACAATAATAGAAAAAAGTTGCAATTCCTTGCCTCCACTGTGAGACAAACCCCAGCCACATCTCCAGCACACAAGAACTTCCAAACGCCTGAACCGCAGTGGCCAGGTGTTCCTCCAGAACCTCCTCCCACAGGAGCTTGCTACACGTGCCAGAAATCTGGCCACTGGGCCAAGGAATGCCCGCAGCCTGGGATTCCTCCTAAGCCACGTCCCATCTCTGTGGGACCCCACTGAAAATCGGACTGTTCAACTCACCTGGCAGCCACTCCCGGAGCCCCTGGAACTCTGGCCCAAGGCTTTCTGACTGACTCCTTCCCAGATCTTCTCGGCTTAGCGGCTGAAGACTGACACTGCCCGATCGCCTCGGAAGCCCCCTAGACCATCACGGACATCGAGCTTCAGGTAACTCTCACAGTGGAAGGTAAGCCCGTCCCTTTCTTAATCAATACGGAGGCTACCCACTCCACATTACCTTCTTTTCAAGGGCCTGTTTCCCTTGCCTCCATAACTGTTGTGGGTATTGATGGCCAGGCTTCTAAACCTCTTAAAACTCCCCAACTCTGGTGCCAACTTAGACAATACTCTTTTAAGCACTCCTTTTCAGTTATCCCCACCTGCCCAGTTCCCTTATTAGGCTGAGACACTTTAACTAAATTATCTGCTTCCCTGACTATTCCTGGGCTACAGCTATATCTCATTGCCGCCCTTCTTCCCAATCCAAAGCCTCCTTTGCGTCCTCCTCTTGTATCCCCCCACCTTAACCCACAAGTATAAGATACCTCTACTCCCTCCTTGGTGACCAATCATGCACCCCTTACCATCTCATTAAAATCTAATCACCCTTACCCCACTCAACGCCAATATCCCATCCCACAGCACACTTTAAAAAGATTAAAGCCTGTTATTACTTGCCTGCTACAGCATGGCCTTTTAAAGCCTATAAACTCTCCTTACAATTCCCCCATTTTACCTGTCCTAAAACCAGACAAGCCTTACAAGTTAGTTCAGTATCTGTGCCTTATCAACCAAATTGTTTTGCCTATCCACCCCGTGGTGCCAAACCCGTATACTCTCCTATCATCAATACCTGCCTCTACAACCCATTATTCTGTTCTAGATCTCAAACATGCTTTCTTTACTATTCCTTTGCACCCTTAATCCCAGCCTCTCTTCGCTTTCACTTGGACTGACCCTGACACCCATCAAGCTCAGCAAATTACCTGGGCTGTACTGCCGCAAAGCTTCACAGACAGCCCCCATTACTTCAATCAAGCCCAAATTTTTTCCTCAACTGTTACCTATCTCGCCATAATTCTCATAAAAACACACGTGCTCTCCCTGCCAATCGTGTCCAACTGATCTCAAACCCCAGCACCTTCTACAAAACAACTCCTTTTCTTCCTAGGCATGGTTAGCGCAGTCAGAATTCTTACACAAGAGCCAGGACCACACCCTGTAGCCTTTCTGTCCAAACAACTTGACCTTACTGTTTTAGCCTAGCCCTCATGTGTGCGTGCAGCGGCTGCCGCTGCTTTAATACTTTTAGAGGCCCTCAAAATCACAAACTATGCTCAACTCACTCTCTACAGTTCTCATAACTTCCAAAATCTATTTTCGTTCTCATACCTGATGCATATACTTTCTGCTCCCTGGCTCCTTCAGCTGTACTCACTCTTTGTTGAGTCTCCCACAATTACCGTTGTTCCTGGCCCAGACTTCAATCCCACATTATTCCTGATACCACACCTGACCCCCATGACTGTATCTCTCTGATCCACCTGACATTCACCCCATTTCCCCAAATTTCCTTCTTTCCTGTTCCTCACCCTGATCACGCTTGATTTATTGATGGCGGTTCCACCAGGCCTAATTGCCACACACCAGCAAAGGCAGGTTATACTATAGTACAAGCCACTAGCCTGCCTCTTAGAACCTCTCATTTCCTTTCCATCGTGGAAATCTATCCTGAAGGAAATAACTTCTCAGTGTTCCATCTGCTATTCTACTACTCCTCAGGGATTCTTCAGGCCCCCTCCCTTCCCTACACATCAAGCTCGAGGATTTGCCCCACCCAGGACTGGCAAATTAGCTTTACTCAACATGCCCTGAGTCAGATAACTAAAATACCTCTTTGTCTAGGTAGATACTTTCACTGGATAGGTAGAGGCCTTTCCTACAGGGTGTGAGAAGGCCACCGCAGTCATTTCTTCCCTTCTGTCAGACATAATTCCTCAGTTTAGCCTTCCCATCTCAATACAGTCTCATAACAGATGAGCCTTTATTAGTCAAATCAGCCAAGCAGTTTTTCAGGCTCTTAGTATTCAGTGAAACCTTTATATCCCTTACGGTCCTCCGTCTTCACGAAAAGTAGAATGGACTAAAGGTCTTTTAAAAACACACCTCACCAAGCTCAGCCACCAACTTAAAAAGGACTGGACAATACTTTTACCACTTTCCCTTCTCAGAATTCAGGCCTGTATTCAGAATGCTACAGGGTACAGCCCATTTAAGCTCCTGTATAGACGCTCCTTGTTATTAGGCCCCAGTCTCATTCCAGACACCAGACCAACTTAGACTGTGCCCCAAAAAACTTGTCATCCCTACTATCTTCTGTCTAATCATACTCCTATTTACCGATCTCAACTACTCACACATGCCCTGCTCTTGTTTACACTGCAGGTTTACACTATTTTTCCAAGCCATCACAGCTGATATCTCCTGGTGCTATCCCCAAACTGCCACGCTTAACTCTTGAAGTAAATAAATGATCTTTGCTGGCAGGACTATGCTGAATCTCCTTAGGCACTCTCTAATCAGATATCCTGAGTCGTCCCAATTCTTAGACCTTTTATACCTGTTTTTCTCCTTCTTATTCCATTTAGTTTTTCAGTTCATACAAAACCGTATCCAGGCCATCACCAATCATTCTATACAACAACTGTTTCTTCTAACATCCCCACAATATCACCCCTTACCACAAGATCTCCTTTCAGCTTAATCTCTCCCACTCTAGGTTCCCACACCGCCCCCAATCCCGCTTGAAGCAGCCCTGAGAAACATCGTCCATTCTCTCTCCATACCACCCACCAAAAATTTTCGCCGCCCCAACACTTCAACACTATTTTGTTTTATTTTTCATACTAAGAAGGCAGGAATGTCAGGCCTCTGAGCCCAAGGCTCATATACGCCCAGATGGCCTGGAGTAACTAAAGAATCACAAAAGAAGTGAATATGCCCTGCCCCACCTTAACTGATGACATTCCACCACAAAAGAAGTGTAAATGGCCGGTCCTTGCCTTAACTGATGACATTACCTTGTGAAAGTCCTTTTCCTGGCTCATCCTGGCTCAAAAAGCTCCCCCACTGAGCACCTTGTGACCCCCACTCCTGCCCGCCAGAGAACAAACCCCCTTTGACTGTAATTTTCCTTTACCTACCCAAATCCTATAAAACGCCCCGCCCCCCCCCCCCCTTATCTCCCTTCGCTGACTCTCTTTCCGGACTCAGCCCGCCTGCGCCCAGGTGAAATAAACAGCCATGTTGCTCACACAAAGCCTGTTTGGTGGTCTCTTCACACGGACGCGCATGAAAATACTGTTACTTTCCAGAACAATCTTAAGGACAACACAGGAGCCCTTACATTTCCACTGGGATCCTGCTTATATTGTAACAAGGAGGTGCTGGATATAGCTACGCTCCCATCTCCCTACGGCAACCACTGATAATGCATTAATGCATTTATTGTTGGTTTTGCTCACCCCAGAAATTTTGCTGTTGACTTGAACTTCATTGTGATCATACTGCAGCTGCATTTGAAACCCTGCCTTTTCATTTAATGTCATAACAAAAGCATCAAATAAACTCTCATATCAAAAGAAACTGTTTTTGCTAATTTTTATTTCTGCTCCAGATTTTATGAAGTCAAAGAAATCAGACCATGCACTCTGTTCTCCCAATATTCTGCCCTCCTGTGGCTCAGAATGATTTTTTTAAAGGAGATATAAGAAGTTGGCATTGCTACTGAGCTTGGCATGACCAAGGGCTTGGAGTGGAGGGAGGAATGTTTTGGTGTTAGAAGCTGAAGAAGCCCTCCTTCAGCTATCACATCCTCTCTCCATGCTCAAATTGATATTCATCTCTCCAGCATCCTTTGATGTCAGGAAAGCCATTCTATTCGGGCAGGAGCCAGAAGGACCTTGGCTGATGCTCCACCTGTTGTCATTTCTCCCTCTGTCTTCCAGCAGTGAATTTAGAAAAACCCTTCACAGGATAGCAGTATGTTTGCTATCATACTACAGTTCCCCGTGTTTGATCTCATGTTTCTTGCCTGGAGCTCATATTTCAGACTAGAGTAAATTATTTACTGGTGTTAGCAACCAATCCTTGTGTTATTCAAAATATAAACCTGAAATATCGAGCAATCAGACCTCAACAGCTGAACGCTATTTATGCTTTGCAGATATAGAGACAGATCAAAGGATGATTCATAATTATTCTAACACAGTGATTTTTCCAAGTGAAAGAAGGGGAGATGCAGTTTTCCCTAGTTCTAAGGAAATAAACAGTAACCTGGGCAAGTGTTGATTTATCCTCCTTGGATTCATCACAGCCTGGGAGGAGGATGGCAGGGGTGGGGTGGGGAAATGGGACCTGGAGATGCCCTTACAACTGTCCTGGCTTCCTTCCTTTGCATGTTCAACCTCCTTTGCACGTTGACAGTCCTCAGTTCATCCTTCTGCTATTCATAGTGTGTTGTACTTGTCTTCTATCTCCTCTGCCTTTCCTGCCACCCACCAGTCAGTGAACTGAAGGTTAGAAAACCATGTTATACGGAGGAGTATGTTTACCTGGGAGCAGCTGCCATTTGCTTGCCCTGGTAGCTTTAACGTCGTCTGTCTGGGGGCCTTTGGGTCAGAGAAGAACAAGCGGTTCGTGACAGGCAGTGTAGGTAAGGGACTAGGAGACTGGGCTTTGATGTGACAGGGATTTGGGTTTGAGTCTTGGCTCTGCCACTTTTTGCTGTGTGATTCTGAGAAAGGTATCTGTTTCTCAGCTTCCTCACCAGTATGATGGGGATTGTTTTGAAAATTGAGACAATTCATATAAAAATATATTCACATAAAGAATTTAGCCCAGTGCCTGCACATCAGTGCCCAATAGATGGTAGCCATATTTACTGTTCGGGAAAACCTGCAAGCTTTTTCTAGGAAGTACTGTCGGTAGAAAATATTGCGGGCTTCATGTTCCCTGGAACAGCCAGGTTGTATTGTAAGATTAAGTCCTACTTACTCTGACTTTGCCAAAGCCTCTTTTGAAGAATAAAGAGGGTTTCTGTGTAATAAGGAGCAAATCTTAAAGCCAGCCATTCAACAAGCCATTCAGAATTAATACCCCAGGGCTCAGTTTTTTCCTCACTCTTTCTTTGCAAAAATACTTTGAAAAAAGCAGCTTAGGGTCATCTTGGAGGAACTTGGGCCTCTGAGGCAAAAAGGCACAACTGGAAAGAACCCACTTCTGCAAAGTCATGTCTGCAATTGGTATACAGAGGCACTCACCTGAAGATCCCAAGCGTGGCTTTCAGAGGACAGAGCCTTGAGGCTAGACAGGAAGCAATCTCAACTCAATGGGTATAAGTGAGCATTTATCAGTTTAGAAGCTGTATTAATCAGGGTTCTCCACAGAGACAAAGCCAATAAGATATGTAGAAGGAGAAAGATATGAGAAGTGATTTGTTAAGAGAATTGGCTCACGTGATTATGGAGGCTAAATCTCACAGTAGGCAATCTGCAGGCTGGAGACCCAGGGAAGCTGGTAGCATGGCTCAGTCCAACTCCAACGGCCTCAGAACCAAAGAAGCCGATGGTGTAACTCTCAACCGAGGCGGCCAAAACCTTGAGAACCCAGGGGGCCACTAGTGCAAGTCTTGAAGTCTGAAGGCCAGAGAATCTGAAGTTCTGATGTCCAAAGGCAGGAGAAGAAGGGTGTTCCAGCTCTAGAAGAGACAGAAAACAAATTCACTCTTGCTTTGCCTTCTTGCTCTATTCAGATCCTCAGCTGATTGGATGGAGCCCCCCATGTCAAGGGCAGGGCTTCCTTATTCAGTCCACTCATTCAAATGCCAACCTCTTCCCAAAACACACTCACAGACACACCCAGAAATAATACCTTAGCAGCTATTTGGGTATCCCTTAATCCAGTCAAGTTGAGACCTAAAATTAACCATCACAGGGGCCTTTCAGAGAACTCTGGTAAAAATAATGGGCCTCCTAACTTCTACATATCTTCTAAAGACCTTGGTCTTTTTGCTTATTTAACCTAGTTCCTCCCTTCCAGACCAGATGAAAATCAGCTCCTTTTTCTGTTCATCTAAACAAAAGTAACCATCCCTACATGAAATTTATTACTACACCTTCATGATTCTAAGATGCCATATTTGTAAGACACATCACTGATTTAATAGCACCTTTCTAGAAGAAAAACACAAAAATAAGTGTACCCATCAACTGTCAGTTGTTTCATGCTTTCAGTAATGGTAAAATGTGGAAAGATGTGCAACTTGGAATTGAAAACATCTAATCATGCTAACTCAAAGGGCACTTGTTGCAACAGAAATGCTACAACTGCCAGTGGATCAGTGAGTGCAGCAGTGGCTCTGTGTGGTATTAGAGCTCCCAGTACCTCCTCCTTCTCTTTGTATTCCAGTGTTCTCAGGAACCTGGCACTTGACCTCCAGAGAGCTGGTGCTTAATCAGCAAAGTCACATACGCATCTCTAGAGTCTGTCCCCTATCACTTCAACCGCTCTCATTCTTTAGGCAAGTTTTTAATATTTTCTGAAGAACCCAGAGCTGCCTCTATGAGACCCCCTCGTCCATGCAAGTCACTATGTGTTAACACTGCGGGTGGTTAAGACCTACTGAATATCAGTCAACAGGAAAATCTAAACCGATGCTGCCTTGCAAACCTCACTGGCATTTTGCTGGTGGGAATTAAGAGAACAAAGGGAGTTGATATTTGCTATATAAAGATCCTAGATGGGAATTATATGCCTCTTGTCTATCTCTTTGGTTCAAAAGCAGATCTATTTCCTTGGTTACAAAGAGCCCCTTACCAGGCTAGAGAACAGAACAGACACACTGGCTTGGTAATTTCAAAGAACAAATGTCAAGAGTGGGTGTGTGCATGAGGGAACAGTGTTTGGAAATGACTCTGTGGGCCACTAACCTACCCACTCTGGCAAAGGGGGATGTTAGTCCGAGGCAAATGGAGAGTGCAAAGAGAAAACAAGCTGGTGAGGCCACAAAGTATACAAATGAGGGAACTCTGTAACAGGCAGCTTTTGGTAAAAAGACAAGTTGTTCCGTGAATCTTCCTCTTCTCGGGCCCCTTCAATCTACAAATGCAGATCGGACCTCCATGATTGTCCTACAGGATCCCACTTCCCTGAGCATAGTCTGATTAGACTAGAGCTGATCACAATGATTCAAACAGGACCAATCAGATTGTCTCTAACATAATTCAGAATCCCATCAAGCAGCAGCCATTCAGTCTCTGTCTGTGGTTGGTTAAGTGGGACTGTGGAGACTGAATGGCTGCTGCTTGATTGGTTACAGAGTCAGGCACCAGGCATCAGCTCGACAAATTGCCAGCTGTTCTTAGGCAAATTACTCAACCAGGGTACCTCTCAGATTCCTCACCCGTACATTAAGGGCGATAATAGTACATGCCTCATGTGAGATGCTTAGCACAAAACTGCTGACATGTAAAAGTATGTGAGAAATATAGGTTGAGCCTCTGTAATCAAAAAAATCCAAAATTTGAGGTGTTCCAAAATCTCACACTTTTGGAGCGTGAATATGGTGCTCAAAGGAGATGCTCATTGGAGCATTTTGGATTACGAATTTTTGGATTAGAGATGCCGACACTGTTAAATCTAATGCAAATATTCAAAAATCAAAAAAGAAAATTCCAGAGTCTGAAATACTTCTGGTGTCAAGCATTTTAGATATGGGATACTAAACCTGTCTTAACGTTATTATTGTATTAATTTTCTGTGGCTGCCATAACAACTAACCGCAGACTTAGTGGCTAAAAAACAACACAAATATATTATTTTATAGTTATGTGGGTTGGAAATTCAACACAAGCCTCACTCACCCTTGTGACTATGTGATTACATTAGGCCCAGGTGGCTTATCCAGGATAATCTCCCTATTTTAAGGTCAGCTGATTAGCAATCTTAATTCCATCTGCAATCCTAATTCCTCTTTGCCATGTAATGCAACATATTCACAAGTTCTTGGGATTAAGATGTGGACATCTTTGTGGGGGGGTACGTTATTCTACCTTCCACAATTGTCAGAAAAAAAATTGAGGAGCTCTGGGCAACAATAGTACATCTTAAAGATGGTGAAGAAAAAGAAGAAATTCTGCAGGAGAATGAAGACAGGCCAGACACAACACTCATTCTAGAAATAACCCAGTGTTCTTATGTCAATCAGGGGCCCCTAAAAACTAAATTACATCATTTATGGATAATATCTCCCAGAATTTTAGTTGAGCCAAGTTCACTTTAGTATTTTTTTCTTTGTCCAGAAATGCAGTGCTCTTTTGAAAGAAGTCCTCGAGTTTCCTTTTGCACCCGCTCTAAACAACTATTGTCCCTGCACTATGCCCTGAAAAAGGAAGACATGTAAGTGCAGGATTTCTGTGAGCCTATGTGGGTACTGGCCTTGTGTAGAGTGATTTTACTTGGAATAGGATTATGGATGGACTCAATAAAAGATGTGTTTGAGTACTACCTCTGCCTCCTAAAATATCTGAGTGCCCAAACGAGGTATGCAGCCTTTATGCTGAGGCTATGACCCCAGGATCCTCATCTGATAAAATGGAGATAATGTTCTCTCCCTCATAGGATTGGTTTAAGAATTAAATAAGTATACTATACCTGACCCCGTGCTCAAAAAAGTGGTTGAGCAAGTGTTCAGAAATGGCAATTTTCCCTCCTTTTCTTTGGTTGAAATAAAAAATGCATCCTTGACATTGTATTTTCTCACATCATCAGGAAAAGAACTAAAAAGAAACTACATAAGCACAATACAACTTTCCTTTGATTGTTTTTGAGTCAATGAATGAAGTCAGAGCATAAAAGATGGCCAGAAAACCAGAGATCCACATGCCACATTACATAGAACAAATGTGAATAAATCTCAAAACCCAGCATGAAGGAAGAAAAGTAGGAAACAGGTTGGGATTTATAGCACAATACTATTTATGCAAATTAAGAACATGCACACGCAAGCACCACCATATTTTTTAAGGGTGCAGGTAAATATTAAATGATTATAAAACATGGAAGGCTACTTGAAGTATACGTATTAAGTCCACTGGGGTGTATACGGTATGGTAGGGGAAAAGGGGAAATAAAAATAATAAAATAGAATGGTTTATTTTCCTTTGGGTAGACACCACTTGACTGCTGGATCAAATGATAGTTCTATTTTTAGTTCTTAGAGAAAAAATTATACAAATACAAACATAAATAATAAAATAAAAGAGACTTCCACCACGAAGAATGATAACATGCCATGAGTGGGAGATTACTATTACCTCAATTTTTTTGTTCTTGACATCCTTTGTGAAAGCCAACAACAAGGGTCAATAGTAGCTTTTGTAATCCTATTCCAAAGGAATTGTCAAAAATTGGTACATTTAATAGAAGGCTGTTTTCGGTCGACACTGATGCACTTGATTGAGAGACGACCAAGTCTGGCCTAGTCTTCAGGAAACCCAGTTTTGCCTGAGACCTTCCTTGACCATCAGGTGCTCTATAAAGCTGTAGGGGTCTTTAGCCCATGAATATCTGGTGGCGTCGCAGCCGATTTAAGCTTTTGCAGTAACTTGCATGAAACTGAAGGCCGTTATCTTCAGTGAAATAACTCAGAAACAGAAAGTCAAATACCATATGTTCTCACTTAGAAGGGGAAGCCAAAGAATGCATATGCATGGACATGGAGCATGGAATGATAGACACTGGACACTTGAAAATGTAGGAGAGTGGAAGAAGGATGAGGGATGAGAAATTACTTAATGGGTACAATATACAATATTTGGGTGATGGTTACACTAAAAGCCCAGGCTTTACCACTATTCCTGTAACAAAGCTGCACTTGTACCCCTTAAACTTACAGAAATTTTTAAAAAAATTTTTTTACAAGAGTAAAACAACCCCATAAAGAATTGGGCGAAGGACCTGAATGAAACTTTTTCAAAAGAAGACATATATGAGGCCAACAATCATAGGAAAACAAGCCCAATGTCACTGATGATTAGAGAAATGCAAATCAAAACCACAATGAGATATTATCTAACAACAGTCAGAATGGCTATTATTAAAAAGTCAAAAAATAACAGATGCTGGTGAGGTCGTGGAGAAAAAGAAACACTTATACACTGTTGGTGGGAATGTAAATTAGTTCAGCCATTGTGGAGACAGTGTAGTGATTCGTCAAAGACCTAAAGATAGAAATACTATTCGACCCAGCAAGACCATTACTGGGTATAATAGAATATAAATCATTCTATTATAAAGGCACATGCACATGTATGTTCATTGAAGCACTATTCACAATAGCAAAGACATAAAATCAACCTAAATGCCCATCAGTGATAGACTGGATTAAGAAAATGTGGCACATGTACACCATGGAATACTGTGTAGCAATAAAAAAAGAACATAATTATGTCCTTTGCAGGGACATGGATGGAGCTGGAAGCCGGTATCCTTAGCAAACTAACACAGGAACAGAAAACCAAATACCACATGTTCTCACTTACAAGTGGGAGCTAAATGATGAGAACACATGAACACAGAGGGGAAAAGCACACACTTGGGCCTTTCAGAGGTGGAGGATGGGAGGAGGGAGAGGATCAGGAAAAATAACTAATGGGTATTAGGCTTAATACCTGAGTGATGAAATAATCTGTACAATAAACTCCAATGACACAAGGTTACCTATATAACAAACCTGCACTTGTATCCTGAAGTTAAAATAAAATTTAAAAAAAAGAAGTTTAATGTACCCAAGCAAGCAGCTTGGGTGACCCACTAAACAAGTCACAGTAGAGATTTATTCAAAAATTATGAAATTACTCTGGGTTGGCCTCCCTCTCCTTCCTTCCAATTCTACATACATGGGGAATGTTGCAGGCCCTTGGAGACTCAGTGTTCTCTACCTGTAGAATGAACAGAGTGACTTATCTTAGCTCTTTCCTGCTAAGAGAAGCCAAGAGGACTAATGCCTCCTTTGAGGTCCTTACTATAGTGTAATGACCAAGAACATAGGATTTGGAGGCATGCTTCTTGGGCTCAGACTTGGACTCTGTCATTTACTGGTTGTGAGATTTGGGGCATATATATTCACTTTGCTGTGCCTTCAGTTTCTCCACCTATAAAATGAGACCAATAATAGCATCTATTGTAAGTGCTTATCATCATGCCTGGCAAATGGTGTGAACTCAGTACATATGGCCATTGTGTCATTATTGTTGCCACTATGATAGTTTCTACTGTTATCATTATTATCAATATTATTACCATGTTATTCTATTTGGTGGCAGATGCACTATGGGAAAACATATTGCAAGGATCTGATCTTTAGAAAATAATTTTGAATTCTGCCACAGCTTTAGAGAACCCTCAGAAATAAGAAAAGGGCATAGAGGAGGAAGAAGGAAGAAGAGCTAAAAAAGGAATGATGGGGGAAAACAAGTTTGCAGCACTTGGAACCATTCCTGGTATGTAGTAATTTCCACCCCCCATTCCTATACACACACAAACCTTTCGTAGATGAATTGTTATAAAACCAAGATCTAAATGATAGCCAAATACAGACCTACTGGCTGGTTCTCCAATCCCATCACTCTCCACCCTCACCCTCCACAAAGTCAGTGAGTAAGAAAAGCTTTGATTCTGCCCTGTGATTCACACTCAGTGGGTTTCTTGGGTGATTTCATTATAAGTAAAATAATTCCAGGGTTTTCCCTTGAAGAGTAGTATACATTGGTGATGAAATTGTCATTTGTCTCTGCCAACAGACCGTCATGGGTTGTGAAGCTGAGAGTAGTCCTGAGGCTGTGGCAGAGAAGGGCATGGTCTTTAATGCTCTGGACCCATTTGCTAAGCTGATTTTTGCTTTTGTCCTATAACAACAATGATTAATTTTATCCAAATTATCCTTTCTCTCCTTGTTAATCCACCGTGTTTTTCTGAACACTTTCTTATGGATTAGTATTGATGCTGGGGTTTCTTGGAGGACCCAGCCAATGTAACAAAAGCTTCTCAAGATGTTTACTGATGCTCTTCTCCTATTGATCTAATTAAAGATCATGATGCCTAATATAATTAGTCAGCCTTTCTGTCAGGATGCTTCTTACACTTTTAAACATACAAGCACCAGAGATCAATTGCTTTAGGATAATGAACTACAATTCTGAAAGAAATGGCTTTCAGGATACAAATATGTGAATCAACTAGGACTTTAATTATAGGATTTCTCACTTTTTTGTAAAGCAGTTGATGATTATTTTCCTCCCAGACCAAGTCCTTCTCCATCTAGAGGCCAGAATCCCAGCATCACTTCATGGAATATGCTTTACATTTTTGACTGAAGGGATTGTCCTGAGGATGTGGTGTGGGAGCAGGTGACTCCCACACCACATGGTGATTAGCATTTTATTAGCATGGTGATTAGATGATGATTAGCATTTTATTTGTGGTACTAGAGAGAAAAAGAAAAAAGTGGGAAAATGTAAAAGTTTTATGAAAGAAAAGGTATGTAAGATTGAGATCACATGTTAAGGAATCAACCTTGGGAAGATAAGATATAATTTCTCAGAGAAAAGAATGTGAAGTTAACTAGAGATATTGAGAGATCTGCAGATTTGGTGCAAAGATTTCAGCAACATTACAGAGTTTTCATCTGAAGTTTTCCAGTTTCTCTATTGACTAAGCGGTAAGATCATCAGCTAAGAATAGGTCGGGTTAATGATCATGACAAAAATAAAACAAAAATAATCATATTAACAACAACAATAGTTAATATGCATTGAGTGCTTCTCATGTGCTAGGTAATATGTTAATCATTTTGCATATATTAACTCTTAATCTTTACAACAGACTCATTAGTTTGGATTAGATCTTTGAGATCTTTGAGAGCAGAAAAGCAATTTCAATAGGAAAACGTCATAGGATGTAAAACCATTCTCTTGGGTTTTTCTCTGTTGTGGTTTTTAGCTGCTCAGGTGTGTAGCCCTTACTGCATCTAGTGCTGGGTGTTGCCAGGAAAGTATGGTGGAGGGAGAACAGGAGCCAAGAACATTGAGTAGATGGCATTTGGAAGCAGGTGATTGCAAATAATGGACCATGAAATCTAATCAGAATAATAATGGCAAAGAGAAAGGGACTACCGAATGTGGGGAAAGTGATGGTGTAAACGGATTAGAGTCATAGTGAAGTTGAAGAGTTATTGTATTAGAGTTTGTTGCCTTAAAGATCAAAGGATCTTGTAGCCACAAAGGAATAAGTTGAGCCGGATGTGGAGGCTCACCCCTGTAGTCCCAGCACTTCAGAAGGCCGAGAGGGGTGGATTATTTGAGGTCAGGAGTTTGAGACCAGTCTGACCAACATGGTGAAATTCTCTACTAAAAATACAAAAAAATTAGCTGGACATGGTGGCACATGCCTGTAATCCCAGCTACTGGGGAGGTTGAGGCAGGAGGATCGCTTGAACCCAGGAGATGGAGGTTGCAGTGAACCAAGATCGCACCACTGCACTCCAGCTTGGACTCTGTCTTAAAAAAAAAATGTAGGAAGCTGGCATCTGTGATGTTTGTACATAGGACAGTGTTCAGTAACAGTGACTTCTAAGGTGTGACCCTGATGTGGCAGCTGAGATATAGAGCACGTGAAATAATAGATATGATCAGTTTTGTGCTTGGAAAAATGAGTAGTGTGGAAGGGGTAAGCATGTAATCAGGGAGAGAATTGGAAAAGAGTTTTAGGCATCTTGGAGACAGACCATGGCAGCTTAACTAGGGTTGTGGTGGTGAGACTGTAGGGAGGAAGTGGGTAGATTTGGGAACTATTTAGCAGGCAGAATGGTGAATAAACTCAATGGATTTGACTGTGAGAAGGAGAGGAAAGAAGCAAAGAGATGCCCAGATTTTTGGCTTAGGCAACTGGGTGGATGTTGCTCTGGTTCAGTCACAGAAAAGGATTGGAACAGAGATAAATAATGAATCCAGAGGAGACATGCAGACTGAGATACTTTTAAAGGTTTCAAATGAATCAGTATGTCTCTGCTACGTATAGATAGGATCCTTACATGTTGTTATCAATGTTTCCTTTAAGGAGAGTTTTGCCTTTGAATAGGTTACTGATTAACTCAAACAGGGTCTGTGGGAGGAAAGCGTGTTTAAAATGGAGAAACAAATACAGGTTAGCAAAGGCACTGTAAGAACTGAAGATAAAACTTTACTAGGACCAGAGGTAACTAGAATAATGCTTCCTGACCTGATAGGTTGTCTGCTGCGTCAGAGTAGAAATAACAGCAGGTATAAACTATAGACATCTTTTATGTTTCTCAGAGTGATGGTCATCATCATTGCCTCTGTTATTTGTCCTCATTTTGAATCATCTTGGGGGAAGAAAACCCTTGGGATTTTTTTCAATCTCCATCTCCTTACAGCAGCATGAAAGGTTTTATTGGGTTGCAGGGAAGAGGAATCCACTCATACAAGATTAAACAAAACATGGGAATTCAATGAAAGGATGTTGAGGGTCTTTTATTGAATCTGCAGAAAATGTGAAGAAAAAAGCATACTTTAAGACAGGCAAGGGTGGGGACAAAGACAACTCTAAGAATCTCAGCAGCAGTGGTTTGTGGACTTTCACCTGGTAGCTCTACACATCCCTGATTCTTCTTCATTTTCTTGGCAAGTATTTATTGAGTATCTACAATGGGCAAGCACTGTGCCAGGTGCTGGGGATACAGAAGTGGAGAGAAATAAACATGGATCCTTCCCAGTGGAGCTTGGAGTCTGCTGGGAAAGACAGTTATTAATCAAATAATCATACATACAAATGTATAA
Source organism: Homo sapiens (assembly GCF_000001405.40). Classification (NCBI taxonomy): domain Eukaryota; kingdom Metazoa; phylum Chordata; class Mammalia; order Primates; family Hominidae; genus Homo; species Homo sapiens. The sequence goes on along the minus strand of NC_000016.10, from coordinate 13,341,022 downwards.
TCACAACTGTGGTTAGTGTTTTGATAGAAAGGCACACAGTGCAATGAAAACCCACAGTAGACAAATTTGACCCAGTCAGGGAGATTAGGGAAGGTTTGCATGAGAAAGTAACCATGGAAATTATATTGGAAAGAGGAGAAAGAGAGTGGAGTGGAGAGTGGGCTTGTGTTCCCTGCAGAAGGAACAGCATGTGCAAAGGCCCGGTAGCAAGAGGACACATTTTGAGCTCAAGGGGCAACAAAGTCCAGTGTGGCTGCAGCACTAAAATGAAAGATGAGATGACATGAGTTAAAGCCTTGCAGGGCCATCATGGCTAAGGCCAGGCTGGATAAGAGCAATAGGGAGCCACAGAGCTGTTTGAAGCAGGGAAAAAGTGACTGATTTTTAGATTTGCCTTTCAAAAGGGTCCCCCTGTCCGGATTGTGGTGGAGGGTTTGTAAAGACTCAACTTCTGATTTCCAGCTCCCCAGAGGGTGAATCTGACTGGGACAGTTTTGATCATGTGTCTACCCTGGTCCAATCACATAACAAAAGGCTGAGGTCACATGGCAGGAACACGGCCACTGAGGACTCACCTCAAGGGGAGTTTTCAAAACAGATGAATTCTCCAGTATACCCCAACTAATGCATCAATTCACAAGGCACCATCACATCCAAAGGATAACACTGTCCCCTATATGTTCCCATATTCCTTTAGAAGAGGAAGCATCTGGGGAGCGAAAAAGGCAAAGAATTTTGGGAAAGACACCTGGCCAAATATAGGAGGTTAAGCCATTTGTGTGTATGTAGGCAGATGGCTTATCCTCCCATACTTCCTCCTCTGTAAAATGAGAGATAATCTTGACAGCCACTGTGTCCAAGGCTGGTATACCATGCTGTCAATTAGTCCCAAGAGGTAGCAATTATTGTTCACATTTTATAGATGTAGAAATGAAGGTTGAGCACATCTTAAATCAGGAATGACTAAATCTAAAGTTTACCATACTTTTAATCATCCTTCCAAATCTTATAGCCCTCCACATCAAATGAGTAATTACCTTTATCATTTCTAAAGAAATAATAGCAGAGTCCAATTAATAATAATATAATCATTGCTGATAGCTAAGGTGTATAGTACATTATTTTCCAGGCACTATTCCAAACACTTTATATATATTTATTCATGTAACTTTCATAACAATCTAAGATCTAAATAGTGTTATTATCTCCACATTATGGAAAACTAACTGAGGCACTCAGAGTTAAGTCGTTTGAGCAGGTTACTCAACAAACTGGTAGCAGAGCCTTTAACTCGAACCTCAGCAGATTGGCCTCAAAGTCCAGATGGTTAAACACCATGCTGTTATACTCTCTCTCTTTCTCCCTTTTTTTTCTCCACACCTCTTTCTCAAAACAAACACACACAAACAAAAAAGGAAAAATCTACTATGGGTATTATGCTTGAAATTCATGAATTCTTCATTTTATTAAAAGAAGCACGAGGGAACACCCATTCTATGCACAACTTCTATGTCGGTGCTACTGTTGCTCCCATTTTATTGATAAGGACTGAGGCTCAGAGAGATAAATTAGTTATTTAAGACAGCAGATTGTAACTGAAGAAATCCTGATTCAAATCCAAGTCTGTTTAATCTCAGAGCCTTTGCTATTAGGATATGAAAACAACGTCTTATCATCCTCTCTCCACTGGTTCCATTTCAGTGCTTCTTGCATGAACTTTAGGACCCTTGTAAAATAATAAGGTGAAAGACTGATATGGCAAAAAGTACCTAATAGCCCTTAAGTTATGACAGCTCTAACTTGGTGACACCCATACAGACCAGACTGTGTCCCATTTTCAAAAAAAAAAAAAAAAAAGTCACAATAAGGGATTGAGCTCCGGTATTTTCTGCTCCAGTTATAATCTCTGGCATGGAAATGAGTTATTTAGATGGTTAGTAACTGACAATCCCCATAAATTGCAAGAGAAGGCTCAGCAAGGGGACAGGTGACAGTATTTTGCTCTGTGTCATACTGTGTCTCTCAGGTTAGAATCCCTCCCTGAAATTCCATGTACCAAGAGGCCATGAATTATACATGTACTTCTGAAGTTTGATGAAAGTTTTCCCACCTATTAAATTGCCAGGTTCCCAAGTCTAACGTAAATCTAACCCAAATACACTTAGGAAAATATTGTGCCATTTGTTCTTCCATTATCGTGACTTTTGCTTTACTGTATTATGTATTCAAAGTGCCAGGAGAGCTTCTGCTTACTATACATTCACCTGGAGATTACAAACCAGTCAAATGAGTCTGTAACAGGCTCAGAGGTATTAGAACTCCAGAAAACATGGGCCTAATCTTTCCATCCCATCACTCAGGAGGCAGACCCTTTACTGCCCTGGAACCAACTAGCAGAAAAAAAGGCAGGACGTGCAGTGTAGAAGCCAGACTTCCAAATAAAATCCCAAGACTGAATGCTGTGGCCATCTCCCAAACCCTTCACTGGCTTGCTAAGGAAAGCACCCTAGGCTATCTATGATGTCTCCTCTTCCTATCTGTACAATCTGCTCAGCCTCAACACATACTCTTTTCCAGCCACTTCAAATATCAGCAGATATTTGGCATGCTCATGCTGAACAATGTTGTTATCAATTATTCATGAATGACGCTGAGGTCCTTGTATTGATTAGGATTGTTTTTCTGTTGCAAGTAAAAGAGCCATAACTCTAACTGACGTAAGCAAAAAGAAGAGATTGTTAGGCTATGCAATTAGGAAGTTTAGGGATACTGGAAGCTTCAGGTGTGGCTGGATCCAGGGATTCAAATGACATCACCAGGACTCAGATGCTTACCATCCCTCAGCTCTGTTTCTTCTGTGCTGGTGACACGTTGGGTAAGCTGTCTCCTTAGACTGACAAGAAGGCCCCTGGTAGCCTCACATCTTATCACTTCAGCCAAGCCAGAGTAAAGGTGGTGCCTCTTTTTAAAAATAATACTTGAAAGCTGTATTAGGCATTCTTGCATTGCTATTAAGAACTACCTGAGACTGGGTAATTTATGAAGAAAAGAGGTTTAATTGACTCACAGTTCCAAAGGCTGTATAGGATGCATGGCTAGGGAGGCCTCAGGAAACTTAGAATCCTGGTGGAATGAAAGGGGAAGCAGGCACATCTTTACATGGCAGAGCAGGAGAGAGAGAGTGAAGGGGGAAGTGCTACACACTTTTGAACAATGAGATCTCATGAGAACTCACTCACTGTCATAAGAACAGCAGGGGGAAGTCTGCCCCCATGATCCAATCACCTCCCACCAGGCCCCTCCTCCAACACTGCAGGTTACAATTCAACATGAGATTTGAGTGGGGACACAGAGCCAAACCACATGAAAAGCTTCAGGTACTTTTTTTAAAATTTGCATCAAGAAAAATCAGAATATTACACATGAATATCCCATTTGAGAGTATCTCTAGAAAAGCCCATTATCTGGCAATGTTGGCACTTCACTGGTGAATGGTAACCATATTAGTCTGTTTTCACACTGCTGATAAAGACATTACCAGAGACTGGGCAATTTACAAAAGAAAGAGGTTTAATGGACTCACAGTTCCACGTGGCTGGGGAGGCCTCACAATCATGGCAGAAGGTGAAAGGCACGTCTCACACGGCAGCAGATGAGAGAAGAATGAGAGCCAAGGGAAAGGGGTTTCCCTTTATAAAACCATCAGATCTCGTGAGACTTATTCACTACCATGAGAACAGTATGGGGGAAACTGCTCCCATGATTCAATTATCTCCCACTGGGTCCCTCCTGCAACACAAGGGAATTATGGGAGCTACAATTCAAGATGAGACTGGGGTGGGGACACAGCGAAACCATATCAGTAACCATGTGTTAGCTGTTCAGAAGGGGGCCTCCTTGACAAAGCGCATGGGCTCTCCCACTAATGAACTATCCCTCCCACACTTCATTGTCTCCCAGACTCTAGAGCCAGGCATCAGTTAACATTTGTCATCATACTGTCATTGCTGTTTTTGTTTCAGAAGAGAATATCCTTGTGGCCACATCTTTTTAAAAAGTGGGTCAGTTAACAAACTCTGAGAGAGCTGTGTATTTTCTTGCATCTGTTCCACTTTAGTCATGTATTAATATATTGCCTACCTGGATTCTTGGGGTGTGGAGGTTTGAGCCTCCACAGAAAGGTTGTTACTTTGATGGTGTTATAGGTGAGGAAAGCTAGCTGTGCCTAGAGAACCAGGGTCTAGAATGGACAAAGCAATGCAGGCAGAATGAAACCACTGATGAACATCCACCCACAAATTGAATATGCCACCTCCCCTTACCCAAAACTAAGTCCCACACCTGACATGTGGTCCACAGCTAAATTGATGGCTCTTGGTGATTATCCAAAGGCAGGTGTAGGAAACACATTTCTCATCTTTCAAATGAGTTATTTCCTTATCTTCTTGAGAAGGAGAGAATGTAACCTCCAACTATTTTAAGAAAGCAACACTGTAGGTTGCTACGTGCTTTCTACAAGGGAAATTCCTTTCTGGGATCAGAATGATTCACTAAGGGTTTTTTGCCTGGGACTAGCAAAATAATTAAGTAATTAAAATAATTCTATATTTCTGTCTTTGATATAAATTGCAGTGCACTGAACAAGGACTTGGATCCATAATAGGAACCTAATGTGGTTTTATCAAATTATTAATTGTTTTCTTGGATTCCTCTACGATCCAAGATCTTGACTGGCTATTTGGCACAGAGGTCACTGTTGTTAAACTCTTTTTAACACAGAGAAGGATGAGTATTATTTCTTCACTTTTGAATTGGAGAAAATTGGTTCTGGTGAGGTTCAATGACATGCCTGCTTGCTCCTGGACAGGTCTGAGCAGAGTGACCACGTGACCTTTCCACTAGCTCCTGGGAGACGGGAAACCACGGGACTTCTGATGTGAGGAGGCACCACGCTGGACCCCATCCCTTCAGTATTTAACTATAATTAGTGAGAACTACCCATATGGTGACTGTTCTAGGGCCAGATGGGCGGTTGTCAGGCGGCACATGATCTTTGCTTCACTTTGAAGGAGATGTGAGTAATCCTGGGGATATTAATCCAACAAAGGCTGTATTTATCTTCATTCTTTGGTTGATAATATGTCTCCATTTCTTCTGTAGACACCAGGGGGTACAAGGCAGAAGCACCAAGATAGTCCTGCCCAGGTCCTAAGGAACCAGGATGCCTTCACTCTGTGATTCCTACTTGAGTCTCCGATCCCCCCCAAAATGGTCTTGGCCACCCTCAAAGACACAGAGCATCAAAGGCTCTACGGCTCATGGGATAACAGAGCCTGAGAGGTTGTCCAGGCAGTTTGACAGATGAGGAGACTGAGGCTCAATCAGGGAAAGTGTGTGACTGGTTCATCGAAACAAGTTAAGGATGGAGCTGAATGACAGTTGCATGACCTGTCTCTGATTTTATGTACGGAGCAGGAATGTCCCAAAAGAGAATTTTGCATCTTCTAAGACAGCATATTCCTTTTCATTCTCAACCGATGAAAAGTTATATGGGCACCTTTGTTTAAGGGACTATAGTCACCTTTAAAGGGGGGTAGGGGATAGATATTGAAAGCATATTTATGATGGAAGCGGAACCAGAAAAGCCATCAGGATTCAAGATAGTGCTAGAAACAACCTACTCCATCTATCTCTCTCTTCCTCTGCAAACTTTCTCCCTAATGATGGCTCTGTGTCTGTCACCTCTCAACTCCATTATCCACTTGCTCTCACCTAACTAATCCTCTTCTTATTTATGGGACACATCCAGAGAAAGCCGGTCTGACTAGGCCTGAAGATAGGGCTCAAGTTAATTGGCCAGCCTCCTCTGGGTTAGATGACCTCATGGGTCTTTGACCAGCCAATGGATGAATGACAGACAGAACCCTAATCCAACCAGAGGTGTCCCCCATGGGACTAATTTGGGAACTGGCTTTGCACATGGAAACAATTCACAGGAGGAAGGAAGCATGAAAAGTTACCAGAACCAAAGGTAGGAGTTACCTTGTCTCTAGAATATACAGGTTCCTAGCACATAAACTGGAAGTGGTGTGCCCTGCTCCAGGAGGCGTGGGTGGGTAACATTTGCTGAGCATTGATGTGGCAGGCTCCCTGGTAAACATTTTACAATCATGACCCTATTTCTCTCAATATGTAATGGGCAAATAAGAATTTATATTAGTTCATTTATTCTTTTTTTTTTTTTTTTTTGAGATGGAGTCTCGCTCTGTCACCCAGGCTGGAGTGCAGTGGTGTGATCTCAGCTCACTGCAACCTCTGCCTCCCAGGTTCAAGCGATTCTCCTGCCTCAGCCTCCCAAGTAGCTGGGATTACAGGCGCCCGCCACCACGCCTGGCTATTTTTTTGTATTTTGAGTAGAGACGGGGTTTCACCATGTTAGCCAGGATGGCCTCGATCTCCTGACCTTGTGATCCTCCCACCTCAGCCTCCCAAAGTGTTGGGACTACGGGCATGAGCCAACACACCCGGCCTTAGTTCATTTATTCTTCACAGTAAATCCAAGAGCTAGGGACTGCAACTTGCCCCAATTCTACAGAGGAGAAGAGTAAAGCTCGGAGACAGAAGAACCCTCTGCTAGCAGGACTCTAATTTCAAATCAAGAGCAGGTTGCTGTTTCTTCTCATAGTCAGCCACATGTGTTCATGAGGACAGCTTGTGTCCAGCACTGGCTCAAACTCCAGACATCTGCACCAATAACCACTAAGAGGTATGTTCTTCTCTTTAGAAGTGGTAGCAATGTGAAAATCCCAGAAAGGAGGAATCCAAACACAGGTTTTGTCAAGTAGTGATGATTGTCTGCCCCCAATGAGGAGAGAAAAGGGATCTGCTTTCTATTCTTGATATGAAATGAGATAGCATCGGTCTCAAAGTCCAAAGATCACCAAACCTCAGTTTTCTCATTTGAAAACTAGGGACATGGGCATGGATGGGGAAGTCAAATGGAATAAGATTCATGTGAAAACAAGGAAACACAATTAAAATGTTGATCCTTTTAGCTTCCGTGGCTGTAGTTACAACAGAGACAGTCTGGAGCTAGATGAAACAACCTTTCCTGAGAGCAAGGTCTTTGCTATCCTTTGTAACAAGGTTATGAAGTTTTAATGAGAAAGCATAAAGCAGAAATTATATCGGCAAGCAGGGGCACTGGAGAAATTCCCCCTCCCCAACTTCCCCCTCCCTTTTTGCTGCTAAGGGTAGGATGGTTGCCTTAAAACAGGGTAGTTTACGTTCCAGATATTTATGCAACAATTTTCCTTTTATTTCTAATGGTTTTTAGGACATCTCTACTGATCTCCTTCATTCAAACCTTTTAGTAGGTGAATGAAACCTGGATCATTATCTCTGCAAAGTTAGACAATTTATCCCTTCGAAAACATGATGTGGCTCTTGGCTCCAGGAAGTCTGAGATTGTTGGAAAATGTCCAGAGGACCTATTCACCCTGGATGCCATGAAATATGCATGACACCAAAACAGACAGCCATGAAATCCTCCCTCCCTCCTGGATATTGGGAGGGCAGTGTCTGGGATCCATACACATCTCAGTCAAATGTACACCCAAGGACGAGCTTGAATCATATCAATGATACCATTAGGGTGATACCCTGTACCCAAAACCACCCTTTACTCAAACCAGCCTCCTCTGCTCCAGATTGCCTGAAGAATCAGAAGAGGATTTGATTGCAGCTGGAAGGGCTCCAGGACCAAACTGGTCCTCCCATGTCCCTGGCTGTGGCTTTGTTTTCCTTCCTTTGAAAGAGAGAAGATGGAGTGTTTGACCCTTGTATGGATGTTCCAATTGCATCATGCACTGACAACTTCAACCCCATTCAAGGTGCAAAAGCTGCCCTGGAGAGAACCATTCCCTTTCCCCCTTCTCCAGTGAAGGGCAGCTCTCCTGGACCTCTGACTTCGACGGGCACGGCAGAGGACCCCTTGCTGAGAGAAGAAGTCTTGAAGGGCTGAATATTTTTAAAAGACAAAAGCAGAGTTCAAAAGAGGAATCAAAAGAGGACAGACCAGCTCCGGCAGCAGCTTAGCATACATCAGGAAGCCCCTGGAGTTGCTGGCAGCTGGACCACAGGGCCATGTAGCACCTCTGCCCCCAGATGGATGGAGAAGGCATGAGTAACATCAGGACAGAGTGCGCATATACTCAAAGGCAAACGCCTGATTATTTTATTGTGCCCCTAATAATCCTCTCACGTGAGGCTCCTGAGAGTCCTCCTGGGGTCACACCCTGTTGAATTTTTTTTTATTCCCCAGTTGTTCTTCTCTCTCTGGGGAAAACAGTGATTCTGGAGTCTCTGGGGGGATCAGAGGTCCTGTCTGAACAGTGCTGCTTCCTTGCTGTGCTGATGGAAGGATCTTTGTCCTTGTTTGGGGAAAAAACATCCTTTTAAATCCAATTTGAAGCTTCTTTTGGAAGACAAATGGATATTTGAGGTAGGATGGGGCCTCCTCTAGCCAATTAGAGTTATTGAGTCATTTCCCAGTGACGATCTCTCTCGCTTTCAGTGTTTTCTTGGCCCTGTGGTCTCTTCCCTGCCCTTTCAATATTTTTCCAACAAGAAATGGAGATTACTCTGTCAAGAGGCAGATGGGTCCACCCAGTCTTTCATGGGCCTGGGAAGGGTCCTTCATGACTTCCAAAAGGTTAAGACATTGGGTGAACAACTTGTCCTGATTTCCTGGTTCTAGCACTGAAAGTCTCACATCTTGAGAACTTCTGAGTTCCAGGAAAACCAGGACAACTTGTCATCCCAGAGATTTGTCCCTGCCTCTTCCAACAGGCCTGTCTTCTCCAGTATACCAGCAGAGGGCCTCTCTTTGTTTTTTGTTGTTGTTGTTGTTGTTTTTGTGTTTTTTTCCTGTGTCACCTTTTCTGCTTGAGATCTATCTCAAGTCATTTCTCTTGACTTCTGATCCCTCCTTATTTTACCTAAATATCTCCATCTAATTTCTAACCCAGCCAGGTTATTATGAGAGACCACTGGTCCAGGACCAAAGAGAGTACTTTCTGAACGGTATCAGGAAGGAGAAACGGAACATAAAGTCTGCCGAATGTGCACCGAGCACTGTGCCAGATACTGAACACATACCATGCAATCATCCCAACATGGGGTAAGTATTATTATGGTTTCCACTTTCCAGATAGGAAACCAAGGACTAGAGCGCTTAAGTGACTCATCAGAAGTCAAACTGCAAACAAATGGTGGCATTGGAATCAGAGTCCGGATCTTATCTGGAAAGGAGAAGTCATCCTTGAAGAGAAGTTTGGAATTACAGACAAGAAATTTTCCAAAATGTTGAAGCCAAGGAGGGGGATATTTGTGATGGAGGAGAGCAGATGAAGTAGCAAAGTGGGAACACTGAAATATATGCATTCTTCTTTAAAAAAAATTAACACACTCTATGGAACTTAAGTCATTTTGTAAGATTTGAAACATAAAAATGTATTATGTATAATGTGATTTGCTCATAAAATTATCATGTTTGGTATATTTAAAGACATGAGATCATAGAAAGAAGAAGAGTTTGGATAAATAGCTTTTTTTTTTTACAGAAAAATTAAAATGTTTTAAAAATCATATTAAAGAGGAGTTTTTAAAATGTTTCCATCAGACGTTCACAATTCTATTGGCAGCCATTAACTTTTTTTGTCCTATGTTAACCTTCAGGAACCCCCAGAACTGACCCTCCAGGGCTCCCCCACCTGCCTAGGAGATCAACTCTCACCATCACTCTCTATCCCCATGCCCTCTGCATTCCCTCTTTTTTTCTATTTATGGGACACTTCGTGGGTCTAGCACCATTGTTATGTCTGGTCCGTTCTCAAGTCCCAGCCTTTTATCCACCTCCTTACTCAATATCTATTACTTGGTTCTGACTCTTCATAATTAACTGCTTATGGAGTAGTTAGCATCTGTGGTTATTCAAGGTGGCAACTGGTCATCTCACTTAGCTAAGCTCTGAGATAGGCTGGGCGCTAGGATCACAGGGCTACCTCTTTAAGACTTTTAGAGGGATGAGGCCAGGGAGAATCTGTCTTACACACTGTACACCTGTACAGTGATACATTAGAGTTCCTGGCTTGATGAGTGGAGTATGGGCTAGATATCATTCCCCGCTGGCCTTTTGGTCAAGTGCCCATCCCTGCTGGCTCCCAATGAGGCCAAGGTTTTCAAAGGCCCTTCAGAGGAGTTTGGCCCAAAGACTGAAATTAACTTTGACACCCACAACAAGGGTTGCTTAAATTGTGGTGCAGCTATAAAATGGAATACTATGCAGCCATTAGAATATCAAGACAGAGCAATGTCTACTAAACACTGTACTATCTAAAGCAAACAGTAAGTGAGGAAAGCAAAATAAAAGAGCGTGGAAGTATGCACCATTAATACACAAAAGAAGGAGAAGTGGGATGATAGATGCCTATTTGCTTGTACATTCATAGAATATCTCTGGAACGCTATCCCAGAAACTACAACAGAGAGGTGACCTAGGGAACTAACAGTGAAGAGGAGGAGGGACTTAATTTTCACTGGATATCCTTTTATAGTACCTATTTTTAAATCATTGGCAGGTATTATCTTGTTATAGTTAACAAGATAGCTAAATATACAAATAGATACATGAAAATCTAAAAGCACTTTGATGCACTGTATGCATTTGATAAGTATGCTATACATTAATTAAATGAAAAAAATCCTGGTTGATCAAGTCACCCACTGCACAAAGGACAGCATGCACATAGTCGGGTGAAATGGAGATATCTGTCTCTGAAAACAGAAAGTCGATGAACTTGCTGCCTATCTGAATGTGCCACTGGAATGGCCCCTCGGCCATATAGTCATTCCCACAACAAACATTAACTGATAACTTACAATGTGTTAGCCCTGAGATGGACACTGTGCTGCAGAGATGAGTAAGCCATGGCTGATCCACCTGGATCTCACAATCGGTCGGGGAGGCAGACACTTGATATGTTTCCTACAATACAATATAATTAATGCTCAAGGCAAAGATACTGGGGGACGATTTATTGGATATCTGAGGAACTGCATGATTTCAGAGCTAAAACTATCCTTAAGAACCATCTAGTTCTAGCTCTTCATGAAAAGTCAAGAAATTGAACCCGAACAAACAACCCCAAATATCTTTCCAGGACGGACGCAACAATAAGCCATCATTTAGCTCAAGGTCTGCAGGTTGGCTAGGGGTGGGCTAGGAATTCACTGGCATGGCTCTACCTTTCTGCTGTTCTTTTCATCCAGCAGGTTGTCCTGGGCATGTTATTCTCCTAGCATGGAGGAGATGCAAGAGGGCAAAGGGAAACTCACAGGCCTGGGAAGGAGTAGTCTTGGAATTTTACATCACCTCAGCTTATTCTGTTGCCTAAAGAGAGTGACATAGCAGAACTCAAATTAGAGGAGTGGGAAGAAAATGAAAAGTCAACAAGGAAAATGATGTGGCTGGAGGGAGGGGTGAAGAATTAGGATCAACAATGCAACCTAGCACATGGATTTTAATCTGTATCCTTAACCCAGTAAGGCAGTGTCATTGTCTGAGGTAAATACCCAGGGTTCATCGTCTTGCCCCAAGAAGATGAGGATGCCAACACACACAAGGAGACAAGGAGTGAATTTAGGAGCGGAGGTTTAATAGAAGAAAGAGAAAGGAGAACAGCTCTCTCGCTTGCAAGAAAGAGGGGCGCCGGAAAGGAAAAACCAGCCTGCAGCAGACTGCTCCTGATTTTACAGGCAGGCTTGAGGAGGCTGTGTGTGATTTACTTAGCGAGCAGGGAAGGCTGGTCGCCCTACCCCAATCTTATTATGCAAATGGGGCCTTTGCCTGGCCAGCGTCATGTTGTCTTCTCCTTCCTGTACATGAGGTTTAGCAAAAAGAAGGGAAGATGGAGGCGCCATTTTTAACCTGCCTAGTCCCAGGCAGCCATTTTCTACTTGCACAACTGCCGGCATTCAACGGTGCAAGCTTCCAGCTCGCTTGTCTATGTCTGCAGCTCAATTTTACAGGGTGCTCCTTGTTAGGGAAAAAAAATGATTTGGGGGCTGCTTTTCATTGAAAGGAAAATGTTACTGAGGACTTCTGTATTCTCACTATCTGCCTAAATAATTTCTTCTTAACTCCTATATCACCAGTGCAGTAGGCTGCCTCTTATGAAAAATGTTGCTAGGCTGGGTATGGTGGCTCACACCTGTAATCCCAGCACTTTGGGAAGCTGAGGCGGGTGGATCGCCCGAGGTCAGGGGTACAAGACCAGCCTGGCCAACGTGGCAAAATCACGTCTCTGATAAAAATACAATATATATGTGTGTGTGTGTGTGTGTGTGTGTGTGTGTGTGTGTGTGTGTGTATACACATATATTTAGCCAGGCGTGGTGGTGGGCACCTGTAATTCTAGCTACTCAGAAGGCTGAGGCAGGAGAATCATTTGAACCTGGGAGGCAGAGGTGGCAGTGAGCCAAGATCACGCCATTGCATTCCAGCCTGGGTGACAAGAGTAAAATTCCTTAAAAAAAAAAAAAAAGGAAAAAGAGAAGAAAAAGGAAAAGAAAAATGTTGCTAACATGGGGAGGTTCAAACCCCCTGGTGGGTAGCTGAATCTGCAGACCTTGCACTTGTAATCACACTGGTGTTGTCCAGGGCGAAAATAGACTCTAACTAGAAACAGACTCTTACTAGAGAGCTGGCATTTAGGAGTTATGTTTTCTTCCCTTTCTAATCTACTCCAGTCTGCCTAAGATTCTGTAGAAGTGCACAGGGGCTAGAAGAAGTGATGGTGAGAGGCCCCTGCTCGAGGCCGAGTTTGAAATTAAGAGGAGGGGGAATGGGAAATATCTGTATTTAGGGGAGTGGGAGGGGCAGTTGCTCTCCCTTTGCATGCATTTCAAAAACAGATTTCTTGCGCAAAGCTAATAAATGCGCATGATGTTGTTATGAGTACGATGAAAGATTTTAGGTGACACAAGTATTAAAGTACAACCTTGGCGGGGCACAGTGGCTCACACCTGTAATCCTAGCACTTTGGGAGGCCGAAGTGGGTGGATCACTCCAGGTCAGGAGTGCAAGGCCAGCCTGGCCAACATGGAGAAACCCTGTCTCTACTAAAAAAATACAAAAATTAGCCAGGCGTGGTGGCAGGGGCCAGTAATCCCAACTACTTGGGAGGCTGAGGCACGAGAATCACTTGAACTCGGGAGGCGGAGGTTTCAGTGAGTAGAGATCGTGCCACTGCACTCCTGCCAGGGCAACAAAGCAAGACCCTGTCTCAAAAAAAAAGTGCAATCTTGAGGCTCAAAGAAAGGCAAGAGCTATGCCTTTTCTTTTTTGAGACAGAGTCTTGCCCTGTCACCCAGGCTGGAGTGCAGCAGCTCGATCTCAGCTCACTGCAACCTCTGCCTCCTGGGTTCAAGTGATTCTCCTGCCTCAGTCTCCCGAGTGTCTGGGATTACAGGTGCACAACACCACAGCCACCTAATTTTTGTATTTTTAGTAGAGATGGAGTTTCACCATATTGGTCAGGCTGGTCTCGAACTCTTGACCTCAGGTGATCCACCTGCCTCGGCCTCCCAAAGTGCTGGGATTATAGGCATGAGACACCGCACGTGGCTATGCCTTTTCATGAGCTTGCTAATCTACTAACTAAAAAGTACAGGGTCCACCCCCAAAAGACCCAACTCATGCCAGGTCATGGCTCTCGGCTCCCTTCCTCCCAGGCAAGGACATGCTTACACTTCTAGTGCAGCGGGCAGGGAGAAAGGCTGGTAGGACTCTGGCTTGGTACGTTAAAAAAGTACCAGGAATGCGTCTTTCACATAGAGTAATCATGTTCAGTGTGTCCTGAAGGCAAGACTTTTAAAAATTGGTAAACACAATGCCAAGAACTGAAATAACTAGTATCACACTGTTCAACACCTAAACTGTGTACATTATTGACGGCAAAGAAGCAAATTTGGCCAGTGGGTGTTGAGGAGGTTGTTTTCAGGATAACTAGATTGCAAAGACATTCTGAAATGATTCACTGAGTTACTGATAATAAGGCACAGAGAGGAGAGAAACAAAAAATAAAAGTAGGTATTCATAAGTGGAACATGTATTATGTGCTGGGTATCTCAACCATATCACTTTTCACACCACCAGAATACATAGGGACAGGCACATGATATAATAACAGCCATTCAGTATCTTTCCTGGAACTTTGACTTTTTTTTTCTTTCTTTTTCTGAGAAGGCGCCTTGCTTCATCTCCCACGCTGGAGTGCAGTGGCACAATCTCAGCTCACTGCAACCTCCAACTCCCGCGTTCAAGCAATTCTCCTGCCTCAGCCTCCCCAGTAGCTGGGATTACAGGCATGCGACACTACGCCCAGCTAAGTTTTGTAGGTTTAGTAGAGATGAGGTTTCACCATGTTGGCCAGGCTGGTCTCGAACTCCTGGCCTCAAGTGATCCACCTACCTCATCCTCCCAAAGTGCTGGGATTACAACCATGAGCCACTGCACCCGGTGGGGACTTTGACTCTTGAAAGAAGTGATGCAAGGAGACTGGAAACCACTGACCTTCATTTATTCCAGTGTTGGTGCCCAAGTAAGGCCACTATGATAGTTACTTTTACGTGTCAACTTATCTGTACTACACAGTGCCCAAATATTGTCAACATTATTCTTAGTGGGCTCATGAGGATGCTTCTAGTTATCATTAATATTTGAATAGGTAGACTGAGTAAAACAGATTGTCTTCCCTACGGTGGGTGGGCCTGAATAGGGGAAAGGCAGGGTAAGAGAGAATTTTCTCTCTCTGTCTGATTATTTTAAGCCGGGACATTTCTCTCTTTCTGCATTTGGACAGCATCTTTTTTTTCTTTCTTTTTTTTTTTTTAATTTGACTTTAAGTTCTGGGATACATGTGCAGAACGTGCAGGTTTGTTACATAGGTATACATGTTCCATGGTGGTTTGCTGCACCCATCGACCCGTCATCTAGGTTTCAAGCCCCTCATGCATTAGGTATTTGTCCTAATGCTCTCCCTCCCCTATACCCATACCCCACCGAGAGGCCCTGGTGTGTGATGTTCCCCTCCCTGTGTCCATGTGTTCTCACTGTTTACCCCCACTTATGAGTGAGAACATACAGTGTTTTGTTTTCTGTTCCTGTGTTATTTTGCTGAGAATGATGGTTTCTAGCCTCATCCATGGCCCTGCAAAGGACATGAACTCATTCCTTTTATGGCTGCATAGTGTTCCATGGCGTAAGGATTGCATCTTAGATTATCAACTCTCCTAGTCGTCAGGGCTTTGGACTCAGACTGCAACTACACCACTGGCTGTCCTAGGTGTCCCTCCTGCAGACGGCAGATTGTGCAACTTCTCAGTCGGCATAACTGCATGAACCAGTTTCTATAGTATGTATAAATACATGCTCTAACCCCAAAATAATATTCTAAGGCCCTCGACCAACTAAATGGATCCCATCTTGGCCAAAGGAATCCTAAAGAAACCTGAAAAACTAGTTCAGGCCATGATGGGAAGGTGGGGTTAGACATGCCTCATAATACCTTCCTCCCTTTGGAGTTTAGGCACAACTGGCCAGCATTAACATGAAAAGAGAGATCTTAAGACTGACAAAACAAGCTGCTTGTAGCAATATGTTATCAAATTGCAATCTGACTCTGTCATGACATGACACACGACAGGTAGCAGGTGAAGTATTTTACCTCAAAATATATTTATTTGATATATTTTGAAATGGCTCTGAAAGCCATCTCTTCTGGGGGAAAATTTGCATTCTGTAGAGAATCTCCTTCCCTTACTGGGTCCTTTCCAGAGAGTCTGACACATTTTAAGTACTGATAAGGGACATTTACCATCTATTCTCTCTGAAGTCTGCTATGTAGAGGCTTTATTTACATGATAAGAAACTTGGCTTCCCCAATCCCGCTTATCTAAACTCAAGCATTTCTTTATGCTGAATTCAACTCTTCAGGCAGAGCTTAACTCTTTCAACAATATCCAATCAGGAAAACTTTGAATCCACCTATGGCCTGGAAGCCCCCGCTTTGAGATATCCTGCCTTCTGAGGCTGAACTAATGTATACTTTCCACATATTGATTTATGTCTTTGCCTGTAACTTCTGTCTCCCCAAACTATAGAAAACCAAGCTGTAATACAATCACTTCAGGCACATGTTCTCAGAACCTCCTGAGGGTGTGTCACGGGCTATGGTCCTTAATCTTGACAACATAAAAATCTAAACTGATTCAGATACTGCCTCAGATACTTTTTGGTTTACAATTCTATTGGTTCTATTTCTTTGGAGAACCCTGACTCACATAATCGTCAAGAGGTTTGTGCTACCAAGGCCATTTGAGGATGCCTAGATTGAAAAAAACAACCCCTGCAGCTCATAGAAGTGAAATTACTTAACTAATATTACATAGCAAGTGAGTAGTAGAGCTAGGATTTGAACCACTCTGCCTTAATCTAGAGCTTGTGCTCTTTCCCCATTTTTCTTTGTGGTTGCCAATCAGAAAGTGGCAGAATAGATGCTAGAAACTGGGCCAGGATCCTGGAGGTAACTATTTACCAACTCTTGAGCTACAGAAACTCCCAGAGCTAGGTCCTGGCTCAGTCTAGAGCAAAGATACTGCTAAGAGGTCACGAAAGGGTAATCAATTCTGATTCAGAGCTGCATTAATCCATTCTGCGTTCTATAAAGGAATACCTGAGGCTGGGTAATTCATAAAGAAAAGGGGTTTATTTTGCCTTACAGTTCTGCAGACTGTACAAGAAGTGTAGCACCAGCATCTGCTTCTGGTGAGGCCTTAGGAAGCTTGCAATCATTGCAGAAGGCAAAGGGGGAGCAGATACATCGATGGCACGAGAGGGAGCAAGAGAGAGAGGAAGGGGTGCCAGGCTCCTTTAAACACCCAGCTCTTACATGAACTAATAGAGTGAGAACTCATGACCACAAGGACAGCCTCAAGTCATTCATGAGGAATCTGCCCCCATGACCCAAACACCTCCCACTAGACCCACCTCCAACACTGGGGATTGATATGGTTAGGCTCTGTGTCCCCACCCAAATCTCATCTTGAATTGTAATCCCCAGGTGTCGAGAGAGAGACCTGGTGGGAGGTGACTGGATCTTGGAGGCAGTTTCCCCTATGCTGTTCTCATAATAGTGAGTGAATTCTCACAAGATCTGATGGTTTTATAAGGGGCTCTTCCCCCCTTTGCTCGACACTTCTTCCTGCCACCTTGTGAGGAAGTTACCTTGTTTCCCTTTTGCCTTCCACCATGATTGTACATTTCCTGAGGCCTCCCCAGGCGTGCGGAACTGTGAGTCAACTAAACCTCTTTTCTTTATAGATGACACAGTCTCAAGCAGTTCTTTATAGTAGTGTGAGAAAGGATTAATACAGGGATATTTCAATACGAGTCTTGGAGAGGACAAACAGCCAAACATCCAAACTATATCGCATATAAATATGAGATTTGAAGGGGGACAAACATCCAAACTATATTTAACCATGTCAAGCGCCAAACTTGTGGACTTCCACTCAATGACTGAGGATTCTGTCACTTAAAAGACATGGGAGATAAAATGCATCTGTTGACTCAACTCCAGGTACAAGCTTTGTGAGAGTGCATTGCACTCTGACTGCTGGCCATGAGACCAAGCACAATATTTCATTACCAAAAGGATGTTTGGTGGAGACGGAATAATTATAAGGAGCACCAGCATTCACCAAATACCTATTTTGTACTAGGCACTACTATAAATATTTTCCATAAATTACCTCCTTTAATTGTCTTACCAATATCAACATTATCACCCCCATTTTTGAAAGAAGAAAGTCAAAGTTAACTAACATTGAGCTGGGGGTTGAACCTAAACAACCTGACTCTTAAGCAGACATAGCAGGAAGATTCTGGGACTCTGAGATTACTGATCTATCAGGAAATCTCTGCAGTATTCCTACTTCTCACAGTTGTGGTGCAGGTACTGGACGTGACATGAATCCAGACACAGTATGACTGGTAGCCTCTTAGATTTTATTGGGTGGTAGTATCTCCCACAACCATAATGTGGGAGTTAAACAACTTTACGGGCCAGGTTTGATCTAGAAGAAGAAGATTTCACAAAGATTTTATAGCTTTAACTTTACAATAATGTCTCAAGCTTTCCTCATCCCCACCCAATTTCATCCCTTCTCTAAACACAACTTTGCAACCACCCACATCCCCAGGATGGATGGGGATGCGAGAGTGGGTGAGGGAAGCGCATCTGCAGAGACAGCTGTTGCTATTTCCTTTTTCTCTGGCCTGAGGTGCTTTGTTTTAGCCTTTCACTTTCCAAATAGGCCTTGACTAGCCTCCTTAGCACCCCTGCTAACCTTCAAAACTCACACAGTCTGGGTTTCTATGCAAAAGAGAAGAAAACAGACATTCCCCACTTATCCACCTACAGCCTTGTTTTCAGAGGGCTCTAACTGGCTCTGAGCCTGGAGCCATATTCAGCTAGCTGAATTAACTGATAAGAGAGGAAAGGATGAGAAGAGAGGAAAGGATGAGAAACCATTATGCAGATGTCTGGCTACTCAGGGCCCTCCTGGCTCCAGAGGCCTTGGCAGCTTTAGGGAAAGGCTGTAGATTTGAAGTTCAGTCTGTGCTCATTTCCAATTATTTTTTCCTATTAGATCACTCTAGGATCATTACTATTATTCTTCAACACTGGCTGATTTGCTGATCTGGTTGGCTGAACTCAGTTAAGGCACTCAGCTCCTTCGAGGCCATTTCTGTATTTGTAAAATAGAGATAATATACTACGTAGCTGGCAATATTATTATGAGAATTAAAGAAGAGAATAGTTGCAATGCATTTAATGTAATTAGTAAGACATATACAATATGTAGACATATGAAATATATAATCACAATTTTATTGTGTCGTTTAGTGAGCACTTGTTGAGCACCTATTATATGTCAGGTATTGTGTCAGGTACTTTAAAAAATATGTTGTTTAATGATCACAAATCCATAAGACATAATTCCTATTATCCCCATTTCACAGTTAGTGAATTCCAAAAGGCTAAGTGTTTGTTCAAAGATCACATTAGATATTAAGTGGCAGAGATTATTATTGAGATTATTTTATTATTATGATTGTCATTTGGAGTCCAACTATCTAACAATGGACAAATCCCATCTATATATTGCACACACAGCCATACACCGACACACCTGGAGATTATCAGACAGGCACACCTGAACACACAAGGAAAAAGGAAACATGTACAATATGCAACACATAAACTCATTAAGTTATAGAATTTCCCTCAGCCTTTACAATCAGTGTGTTCCTCTCCTTTGTACTATTCCCTTAAGTGTTCAACTAATCTGATGGATTAATGGATGTAGGATGCTAATAATGGCCTTATTTATTACAATACCTTCCCAAGGGTGGCTGTATTTTAACAGATGACTTCTGGACAGCAGAATGCAAAAGCTGCCAGAATTATTTGCTCTTAGGGGAATTTCAGGCCTATGGCAGGAAGATGAAAGAGAGACTCCCAGAGAAAAATCATTCATTCGTTCATTCATTCATTTATTGACATGCTATTTGTCACCGGCTCTGTGTTCTATGCTATAAAAGACTCTGGAGAGAAAGTCATACTGGGACATGATCTCTGACCTCACAGATACTAGAGTCTGCTAGTGTAACATACCTTCCTATTGCCACCTGTAGATGGATGGATCTGGCAACAATATGGGAATCGTGGTTGCATTTAGAAACTTCATTGTGGATTTCCAGAATTATGAAGATGTGCCGTCCAATGTAGTAACCATTAGCCACATGGGCTACTTACATTTGAATCTAAATGTATTAAAATTTAGATAAAGTCAAAAATTTAGTTCCTTGGTGGCACTGGCCACATTTCAAGGCTCAATACCTTCATCTGGTTAACGGCTACCAAGTTGGCAGACACAAGGTTTACAGCATTGCAGACAGTTCCATTGAACAACACCAGACTAGTAGATCAAAGAATGAAGATAGTTTAGAGACACTCAGATTCTAACCTTCTTGTTGTATAAATGGTGACAGGGAGGTCTAGAGGGGGGTGGCCACAGAATGAGTCCATATTTAGTCCAGCTGTGAAGAGGAAACTTTCAGTGCTTTTGCCAAATAATACCCTTGTCCCCCAACCCTGTCCTACCCAGCTTGTCAGCTTCCCTTCACAAGCAAAGGGTAAGAAGACATTGATTTCATATTTGACATGGCTCTGCATGTTCCAGGGGTAAGACTTGATCTCTGGAAGAAGCCATTGTCCAGAGGAGACCCTACTATCTCTACAGGAGGCTGTATTCATCAGCAACTACAACAACAAAAACAAAACAGCACCTTTCCTTTATGTGTGGCTCTTGGTACAGTGCTGAGAACATGGCATGGATTATCTTCTTTAAGCTTCCCTAGCACCCAAAGAGTTTAACATTATTACAACAGTTAAGGAAGCCATGGTTTAGAAAGGTGAGATAACTTGCTCAAGGTCACATACCTACAAAGAGAGAAACCTGAATTGGAACTTGCTGGGTTGCTTGACCTCTGAGCCTATTGCTGTTTTGCCTACTTTTTTTTTTTTTTTTTTTTTTTTTTTTGAGACAGAGTCTCGCTCTGTCACCCAGGCTGGAGTGCAGTGGCATGCGATCTTGGCTCCGTGCAGCCTCTGCCTCCTGGGTTCAAGCGATTCTCCTGCCTCAGCCTCCTGAGTAGCTGGGACTACAGGTGCATGCCACCACGCCAGGCTAATTTTTGTATTTTCAGTAGAGACGGGGTTTCACCATGTTGGCCAGGATGGTCTCGATCTCCTGACCTCGTGATCTGCCCGCTTCAGCCTCCCAAAGTGCTTGGATTACGGGTGCGAGCCACCGTGCCCGGCTGTTTTGCCTACTTTCTAACCTAACATTTCATTTTAAAGTTTCATCTTAACAGGCTAAGAAATGATTATAATTGCAGATTTTCCTTTTTCCTGGCCTGGCTTCAAATTCAAATATCAAAACAAATGTAAAACCAAAGTTTAAATAAGAACCATCCCCGCTGGAAAAGCCACATGCGTTCTGTTCCTTGGCCTTGTTTTTTTTTTTTTTTTAACAGCTCTGTGCACATCTCTGCACTGTACACCCTGGAAAGGCCCCTGTGGGACCCAGAAGGGGCCACAGCTGAGAGACCATTCCCAGGGCTCCTCTGCAAGCTCAGGACTGTGCATCATGGATGGAAAGGAGGGATTACATCAGATTCTGAGTAACCCCCCTGCTCCCCACGCACACTCCCATCCCAGGATGGCAGAGAGGGAGCAACAAAAGGGAGGAGGCTCACTTGAAGCTGGGCTCTTTCCAGCCACAGCCTTGGAGGTACCATTTCAAATCTATGTCAAGCAGGGGGAAAGAGCCAGCTTTATTCTTGTGCGATAAAACATTATCGTCTCTTATTCATGTAGGGTTTACCTCGTAGTGTCACTTTGACGACTAATATATTTGTTTGACAGTTCTTCCAACGGGTCTTCTAGTGCAGGATAAACGTGGTAGGCCGAAATGATTTCTCGCCAAGCGGTTGAGATCATTTTGTAAAAATAAATGTGGTTGGCCAGGTGTGGTGGCTCACACCTGTAATCCCAGCACTTTGGGTCGCCTGAGGCAGGTGGATCACTTGAGGTCAGGAGTTCGAGACCAGCCTGGCCAATACGGTGAAACCCCATCTCTACTAAAAATACAAAAATTAGCCAGTGCCTTGTGGCATGAGCCTGTAGTCCCAGCTACTCGGGAGGCTGAGGCAGGAGAATCACTTGAACCTGGAAAACGGTGGTTGCAGTGGGCGGAGATCTCACCACTGCTCTCCATCCAGCCTAGGCGACAGAGTGAGACTCTCTCAAATAAAATAAAATGAAATAAAAGTAGTGAAATGAGTCTGTGGGGACCACCTGAGTCCAAATGGGAGCAAAAGACTGAGAAGGTACACTTGGACCCACATGGTGGAGAGCTCTGAGCACCAGCTAAGGAATTCAGACTTGATTTAGAAAGCAATAAGGATATTTGAAGTGTGTTTTGTAGTTTCTTTTGTTTTTAGCCTAAGATTGCCATGATCCAGGTTTATTTGATCATTTTGCAAATGTAAAGCACCTTCTATGTGTCAGGTACTCTTCTAGATCCTGAGAATGCAATGGTGAACCAGACAGAGACAGCTAGTTTCTCTTGGAGCTTATGTTGATCCACCACAGTGGTCCTCAGCTGGGAGCAACATTGCACCCCAAGGCACATTTAGAAACGTCTGGAGGGCCAGGCACGGTGGCTCCCAAATCCCAGCACTTTGGGAGACAGAGGTGGGCAGATCACCTGAGGTCAAGAGTTTGAGACCAGCCTGGCCGATATGGTGAAACTCTGTCTCTACTAAAACCACAAAATTAGATGGGAGGGGTGGCACACACCTGTACTTCCAGCTACTCAGTCAGGATGCTAAGGCAGAAGAATCACTTGAACCCAGGAGGTGGAGGTTGCAGTGAGCCGAGATCGTGCCATTGCACTCCAGCCTGGGCAACAGAGCGAGACTCTGTCTCAAAAAGAAAAAAAAAAATGGAGGTATTTTTGGTTTTTAAAACTAAAGGGAAGGGTATTTGCTACTGGCATCTAGAAGTAGAGACCAGGGATGTTCTAAACATCCTACAATGCACAGGATGGCTCCTCCCAACAAAGAATTGATAAAATGTCAATAGTATGAGGTTGGGAAACCTAGTTTATTCCTTAAGTTTATGACCTATTGTTTACAACTTAATAGGTTTCTGACCTATTAAGTCATAAATTCATGAATGATACAGACCTTATCTCCTTGCATATAGATTATAGACATTGCCACAGTGTTGGGCACAGACTATGTACATAGTGGATCAAAAAAAAAAAAACAAGGCATTTGAAGGATGACTATGGAAATGATCCATTTATATACCAATGTCAGATATTACATATTTTCAACAGAAAATTTGAGACCTGAGGGTTTTCACTTCCAAGTGGTAGCTCAAAATCAAACATGAGGCATTTCCAATCTTAGGGACTTTAGATACTTCTGGAAAAAAAATCATGAAGTTGTAGGCATCAGAAAGTTTCTGTGACAAAGAGCTGTAACTTTCAAAGTTTGACACATGAAGGGACAGATGGTTGCCAACATTTATTAAGCACTTGCTGTGTACATGGTGTGAAGCATCATCTCCTACATCCTCCAAGCCCTGTGAGGTAGGGCTGTTGTGATCTCCATTCTACAGAGGCAGGGACTGAGGTGCATAGGGGTTAGGTTCCCAGGGTCACCCAGAGGGTAGGCAGAGCTGGCTGTGCAAGAAGGCAGTTTGAATGAATGGGTGCAGCATACAAGCATGGCACATGTATACATATGTAACAAACCTGCATGTTGTGCACATGTACCCTAAAACTTAAAGTATAATAATAATAAAATTTAAAAAAAGAAGGCAGTTTGAACCCAAAGCCTGAACTCTTTGCCTAAATTTCCTCTTGAAGAACTCCCTGCTGAGTTTACACTTCCCCTGAGAATCCTCAACGGGGTTGTCTGTCCTGAAATGTTGACTCTTGCATTTTGTGACACGACTTTAGGAAAATTAATCAGAATTGGCTAATGCAGATTCTTACAAGGAGAGGTTTGAAGACTTCTTGGCATCCAGACTCCTGGCGTTGCCCATGTCCCACTCTCTGGTCCATTCTGCAAGCTGCCCTTTTTCTCCCAACAAGCTCCCCGTCTGCTATTGATAGTTTCTGCTGTTCCCAACCAGAGAGTTTTGAAAAGATTCAAGGAGGAAGTTCTGACCTCTGGGGCTCTACTGGCCTCTGGAAGCAGCTAGGGACTCAGTCTGGGACAGGGAAGCTGTAATGTGTGAAGCCTGAAGTTCAGCTGAGGAAAGGGAGAGAAGGAACACGAAGATACCACCAGGCTTCCTTCCTTAAATGCACAGAGAACAGGTGACTTGCAGGTTGCAGGAGGTGCATGGGCTTGCATCAGGCTGCCCAGGTTTAAATTTTGGCCCTTTCTTACTGACTGTTTAACTTTGAACAAGTTATCTAATATCTCTGAACCACTTTCCTATTCTTGAAGGAGGTGTATATTTATGCCTGCTTTGTGGAGTCAATGGGAGGATCAAATGAGCTAACACTATATTGAATTACTCTTCAGACACATGTTTACCACATTTTATCATCTCTGGAATTGGAATGTGACTTACAATTGAGGGTATATCCTAGGTTATTGGATGGAGGGTTTTTTTTCTTAGTGGTACATGAAACAAAAGTGAAAGTTATTGAAGTCATTTTAGATTCGGTGATATAGTATGACTGGAACATGGTACTGGCTTAAAATATCAGGAATGATGGTTTCCATTTTTACTGCCACCTTGTAGCACATCAGAATTCCATGATTGTGGGCTCAAAGTAGATCCCTCATGGGTTTGCGTCTGACCTGAAGGTGCATTTGAGCACTTGGACTCAATAAAGAACAAGGAGAGGTCACATTCTGTTCTCGCTTCCTGGGGAAGGAGGTCAGCAGAAACCTACACACAGAATCCCCTAGACAGAAGGAAATAATGAAACTCCAGTTGCAATAAATCACTCTGGACACGTTCTCTGTGGTTGCAGGAAACTTTTGCAATAGTTGTTTCTTCTCTGCTCCACAATTTCCAACACAAAGCCACTGACCCCTCCACCCTCGCTTCCCAGGCTACCAGCAAGCCATCCAGACTGTGGGTAGCAACCAGGGACTCAGTGTTGAGTCATCGCTCCATGCCCAGGCTCTGCAGTCCCTGTGATATGCCCTTTCCAAATGCCATCCTTCATCTTTAGCTTGGGTACAACACTGGGCATCTGAAGCTCTCTCTCTTTTTTTTTTTAATTGTAATGACACTTTCTATCAGATGTTATTTACTCTAACCTACAAATGCAATATGTAGTGAGCAACAGTTCATCTGGGCAATTTTATCCATATTCACTTATGCTAAATAGTTGACCAGGGAGAGGGTAAACAGCATGATGATTAAGCAAGCAAGTGATGGCTTCTACCCGCCTGGGTTCATGTTTTCACTCTTAAATGTGTGACCCTCCTCCATAGGAGAGCTATCCATCCACTTCCAGTTTCAGTGATCTCATCTGTAAAACAAGAATAATAATAGCTAACTATATTATGCACCAGGCACTCCTCCATGCAATTTACATACAGTAATTTATTTAATTCTCACTACCATCCTTGAGGTAGGTATCCTATTAACATCCCATTTTACAGATGAGAAAATAAAGGTGCTTTGAGAAGTTACATAACTTTCCTAATTACACAGCTAGACAATGGAAGTCTGTTTGTCTCAAGTCCATGCTCTTAGCTACACTTCATGTTGTAGCCCCAACCTGAGAGAAATCCCTCCCTAACTGGAAGGACCACAAGAAGATTAAACGAGGTAATGAATATGGGGCATAAACCTCTGTGCTAAGCTTTATAAACATACTAAAGATTGGGTACTGTAGTGACAGCTTCCTCTTACTAAGACCCTGTCATGTGCCACACACTATGCTACGTCCTTTGACATACAAGCTCTCTTGTTCTCACAATTACTCTAGAAAGTAAGGATTATTGTTATGTGTCTCCTTTTAAAGACAGGGAGGTAGGTTCAGAGAAATTTCTTCTTTACAAATCACTGTGTACCAGTCAGCATTGCAGGTGCTATGCTACAAGTGATTTTCCCCCAAGGTACACAATAAATGAGTGGCCAGGTCTGCCGGACTCCAAAGCCCATGGTCTCTTTGCTGCATCTGAGATGCCAACAGCAGGTTCTATTTGACAAGGGTGCACACACAGATCATTTCAAGGGAACCAAACGGGACTGGGATCCTGTTGTGTGGATCATGATGACTAAGAATAAGGAGCTGTGGTAAGAACACTTAACAGAAGATCTACCCTCTTAACAAATTGTTGAGAGCATAATACAGTATTGTCAACTACAGGTTCTATATTGTAGAGCAGATCTGTAGAGA
The DNA here is from genome assembly GCF_000001405.40 of Homo sapiens. NCBI lineage: Eukaryota > Metazoa > Chordata > Mammalia > Primates > Hominidae > Homo > Homo sapiens. The sequence continues at coordinate 13,314,883 of NC_000016.10, read as the reverse complement.
GTATTCATCCTGCATAATTGAAAATTTATGCCAATTGAACAACTCCCCATTTCCTTTCCCTCTAGGCCCTGCTAATCACCATTCTATTCTCTGCTTCTATAAATTTGACTATGTTAAATTACGTATATGAATATTCTCACCACAAAGAAAAAAAAGAGAAAAAGGACACAAGGAAACTTTTGGAACTGATATGATGGATGTATCTATGATGTTGATTGTGGCGATGGGTTCACAGATGTGTGCATATGTCCAAACTCATCAAACTGTATTCATTAAATGTATGCACGTTTTTTTTTGGTATATCAATTATACCTCACTAAAGCTGTTAAAAATAAAATGAAATAGGCTGGGCGTGGTGGTTCATGACTGTAATCCCAGCACTTTGAGAGACCGAGGTGGGAGGATCACCAAAGGTCAGGAGTTTGAGACCAGCCTGGCCAACACGGTGAAACCCTGTCTCTACTAAAAATACTACTACTACTACTACTAATAGTAATAATAAATTAGCTGGGCATGGTGGCAGATGCCTGTAATCCCAGCTACTCGGGAGGCTGAGGCAGGAGAATTGGTTGAACCCGGGAGGCGGAGGTTTCAGTCAGCTGAGATCGTGCCATTGCACTCCAGCCTGGGAGACAAGAGTGAAACTGCATCTCAAAAAAAAATAAAAAAATAAAAAAAAATGAAATAAAAATGAAAGAATAAGGAGTTGCTCCCAGTGCATAATGAATTGCTTTAGAATTAATCCTAAAGTGCAAGAGAAAGAAGGAAGCTTGGAGATCACCTAGCTCAACCTTCCCTTTGCAGTAGAAGAGAAGAGGCTGGGAACCCACCCATGAGGTACAGCTTATTGTTAGCAGAGCAAAAGCAAAATCCCACGACCTCTGACTCCCAGCCAAACCTTCCTTTTTGATACCTATCTAACACAGAGAGTATAGAAAACTGAACCAAAGAGCTACCATTCAAGTCTTTTAATGTGTAATTTCTTTTGGCATTATAAAAGTAATGCAATTCTGCTATAGAAAATTGGGGAAATACAGAAATGAAGAAGGTTGTGACAAAAAATAAAATGATCCTGTTTCCCACCATCCAGAGAGCTGTAGATAATTTGGCATTTCCCTATGCATAGCATTTTGCTTATTTTCTTTTTCATTTTTATATACTTGCTAAAGTTCTGTGTATACAATTTGTTACAAGCCTTTCCACTTCAATTAGAAATATTTTTCTATGTTATTACAGACTATTCATAAACAATGTTTCCTTTTCAATAGTGAAATGCAATAGTTCCCTCCCCTATTTCCACACACACCACCCTCCTCATCTAGTCATATCCCCTTGGGAACCACTTTTTAAGCATTTTCATTTGAAGTTTCTCTGTTACCTCCATATGGCTAAATAACATGTGACTTCTAGATGTCTCTACTTCAGGAATTATCTGTTGATTTCCTGCTATGATGGTTGGGAGTTGGGTTCATTTCTACCACCATCTCCAAACACATATTTTCTCCTGCCTCTTCTCCCAAGTTATGCCTTTATTTTTAAATTCCTTTCTTGATTACCATTATACTATAAATAACATATCTAAACCTTGATTTCCCTATTTATAAAACTGGGTTTTTTTTTTTTTTTTTTGAGACGGAGTCTCGCTCTGTCGCCCAGGCTGGAGTGCAGTGGCGGGATCTCGGCTCACTGCAAGCTCCGCCTCCCGGGTTCACGCCATTCTCCTGCCTCAGCCTCCCAAGTAGCTGGGACTACAGGCGCCCGCCACTACGCCCGGCTAATTTTTTGTATTTTTAGTAGAGACGGGGTTTCACCGTTTTAGCCGGGATGGTCTCGAACTCCTGACCTCGTGATCCGCCCGCCTCGGCCTCCCAAAGTGCTGGGATTACAGGCGTGAGCCACCGCGCCCGGCCTGGGTTTTTTTTATTTAACATTTTGTAAGGGCCTCATCTTGTTATCTTCCCTAACACTTCTCAACTTCTGTTAGCTATAATTTTTCTTTTAGTTGGTTTTGCTAATTTTTATATTCTCTCTTTAGTCCATAATTGAAACATTAGTGCTTTCTCTAGAAGTTGATCCTAAAACTTGAAAACTAGTAAAAAAAATTTACATTATTGTGAAGGATGGAAATCTGTTGAGAGCATAATATTCCATATTATGATTGTACCAGAATTTACCTAAACATTATAAATTTAGGTTGTATTTTAAGAAGCTATGAAAATTATTTGCTATTGTAATCACATTTTGATAAATATATTTGATTTTCCTTGTCTGTGTCTGCTTCTCTGATGATTTCTTTTGAAGGGATGTCCAGTAGTGGCCAGAAGGGTGCTTAATATATCATGGATTCTGAATCAATGTTTGTCAAACTAATAAATGGTCTCTACAGTTTTAAGGCTCTTAGCATATTGTAAAACTGATTTTCAGCAAGTGTTCAAGGCAGTCGTCATTCAGTGTCTGTGAAATCCATGACTGAGGGGGGGACAGGAGGATTAGTTTATATTAGTTTCAATTGATTCTTTGAAAAGTGGGAAAAAGAGTGATGCCAGAAGGGTTACAGGAGCAGTTAACAAACTACTGTCCATGGGCCACATCTGGCCCACTGTCTGTTTTTGTAAATAAAGTTTTATTGAAACAAGACCACACCCATTTGCTTATAAATTTTCCATGCCTGCTTTCATGCTACAGCAGCACACTTGGGGCATTGTGCAAACACCACAGGACCCATAAAGCCTAAAATATTTGCTATCTGACCCTTTACAGAAATATTAGTAGACTTCTGGGCTAAAATATTTTGAAGAATAAGCCTAAAGTTGGTATACACTGGTTTTAAAACCAAGTGAGTCAGTTAGATTGTCCCCCTCTCTTCCTGGACATCCTTCCTGAAAGCCACTGGGCATACACTTTTCTCAGGAGAAAAATAATAAACTGTTGTATAATTTTAATATGTTACAGGCAGGGTTCTAAGTGCTTTACCTATTTTAGTTCATTTAATTTTCACAGCAATCCTATAGTTACTATTATTATCTATCTCGTTTTTACATATAAGGAAGTTGACTTGCACAAAATCGTAACTGGTAAGTAGTAGAGGAAGGAATCACGCTTGGAAGTGGAAATTCAGGGTCTGTGTTCCTACCTGCCACATAACACTGCCTCCTAAGAGAAATGAGAGAAGGAACCAACGAGAACAATCTCCATTTATTTGAAAGCGAAGTAAATACAGATAGTCTGGAGTGGACATTGTATGTCATCCCAGCTCACAATCACCCTCTGTAGTTGCTGCCTTAATCCACAAAGGTAGTCTTCTAGTAGCACTGTGTAATCAACATTACTCAGCCCAAGCTACTTGAAACCCACCAAGGCTGGACCAATCAGAGTCTTTTCCCTCCCAGGAGTTAAAAGGAAGAGAAAACGAGTCTCTACATGGGGCTGGGCTTGAGACGTATATTTGTAAAAGCTATTTAGGGTTGGCAGAAAAAAATATTGAATTCTCATTTAAGCTTATATTTCTAATAAACAATGAAATATTTTTAGTGTAAATACACCCAGTTATTGCGTAGGATGAACACTAAAAATCTTTATTCTTTAGCGGAAATTTAAATGTAATCAAGCATCAAACACATATATACGAGATACATAATATATAAAATATATATGTATCTATAAAGTTTTTGCTAAACCTGGTAGCCTTATGAATGTCTTTGTTTTGGAGAAATCTTGCATGAAGAGCAAGAAGAATCAGGCAGACAGAGAAGCAGAAACGAGAGACAGAGTATCTTCTAGGCCCTGCAATCCCTTTTTGCATTCTCACTCTTGGGTTTTACATGGACTCCTGCTTACAACCTGAAATCATCCTTAGAAGATAGTCCTTCAGTAGAAGATGTGAATGTTAAAGCATAAAATCAGGCCGGGTGTGGTGGCTCACGCCTGTAATACCAGCACGTTGGGAGGCCGAGGTGGGTGGATCACGAGGTCAAGAGATTGAGACCATCCTGGCCAACAGGATGAAACCCCGTCTCTACTAAAAATACAAAAATTAGCTGTGAATGGTGGCAGGCCCCTGTAGTCCCAGCTGCTTGAGAGGCTGAGGCAGGAGAATTGCTTGGACCTGGGAGGCCGAGGTTGCAGTGGGCCGAGATTGCACCACTGCACTCCAGCCTGGTGACAGAGCAAGACTCCGTCTCAAAAAAAAAAAAAAAAAAGCATAAAAATCAATGACATTAATTATAATGCAGTGGAGAATTTAGACCAAACATTCACATTTCTAATTTTTTGCTAAAAGTCCTTCAAGATAGAGGATTTCAGTAGACACATGATTCAACATGATGGCTTTTATTTCATCCTAACCTTATTGACTTAGAATGCCCCTATTAAATAATCACACCTCTAGGAATGATAACGTAAAAATCAAGATAGCAATTCTGTAGGTTGAGAGTGGGATAAGGCAGAGGAGGAACACACAAAGACCTTCAAATGAATTCATGGGGTTTATTTCTTAAACTATGTGATAAATATCTGGATGTTCACTAAACTGTTCTTTAAACATTTTTTATGTCCTAAATGTTTCATAGTAGAAAAAAAAAAGCAGCTTTTTAAAAGCCCACCTCCAGTCCTTGAATTCAGTTATAACTGTAACACGAGTTGAATGGAAAAGCTTAAAATTTGTTTTCTCTTGATTTGGCATTTAAAATACAGAACAGGCCGGGAGCAGTGGCTCACGCCTGTAATCCCAGCACTATGGGAGGCCGAGGCAGGTGGATCACCTGAGGTCAGCAGTTCAAGACCAGCCTGGCCAACATGGTGAAACCCCATCTCTACTAAAAATATAAAAATTAGCCAGGTATGGTGGCGCATTCTTGTAATCCCACCTACTTTGAGGGCTGAGGCAGGAGAATCACTTGAACTTGGGAGGCAGAGGTTGCAGTGAGCCGAGATCGTGCCATTGCACTCCAGCCTGGGCAACAAGAGTGAGACTCTGTCTCAAAATAAATAAATAAATAAATAAATAGATAAGTAAATAAATAAATAAAATACAGAACTTGGATTTTGTTTGGAGTTTTTTGTTTGTTTGTTGTTTTAGGTTTGGTCTAGTGTTCCCAAGAGTGTGGTCATGACCCATTATCTAGAATCTTAGCTTTCTAAGCACTGAGAACAGCACCTCACAAATCATAAAAGAGTTAAAAATATATCCCTCTGGCATGTTAACTATTTTTTCTCCAACTTTCTTTTTTTTTTTTTTTTTTTGAGACTGAGTCTCTCTCTGTCACCCAGGCTGGAGTACAGTGGCGTGATCTCGGCTCACTGCAACCTCCACCTCCCGGGTTCAAGTGATCGTCATGCCTCAGCCTCCCAAGTAGCTGGGATTACAGGTGTGTGCCACCACACCTAGCTGATTTTTGTATTTTTAGTAGAGATGGGGTTTCACCATATTGGCCAGGGTGGTCTCAAACTTCTGACCTCGGGTGATCTACCCACCTCGGCCTCCCAAAGTGGTGGGATTACAGGTGTGAGTCACTGCGCCCGGCCTCAACTTTTATTTTAAGTTCCAGGGTACATGTGCAGGATGTGCAGGTTTGCTACACGGGTAAACGTGTGCTATGGTGGTTTGCTGCACAGATCAACTCATCACCTAAGTATTAAGCCCAGCATCCATTAGTTATTCTTCCTGATGCCCTCCCTAGCCCCAACATTACCCCCTGGCCCCCCAGCATATTAACTATTTATTAAGTTAAAGGCACTTGAAAAAACCGCAGGTGCAAGAAGACCACATTGACCTTTATGCTGTTTCTTTAAAGCAGAAAACAAAATTCCCATATTAAAGACACTCTTCCTATACTGGAAAAAAAGGCAAGAGAGACCAAGAGAATATGGTATAGACCTTGTTAGAGAAACTCTTATCTTTTAAGCCTCCCCACATAATGTAGTTGTTTCTTCATAACTAACTATTCTTTGTCCAATCCAGTACATAAATAACTCATTCTGTTTATTCATGTCATCATTTCTTTATGGAGGCTCCTGTGCCACATAAAACTTATTTTATGCTTTTACCCTGTTCACCTATCTTATGGCGATTTAATTATTTGACCCAGTTGGAACCCTAAGAGGATGGTGGTGGGATTTTTCCATCCCTATAATATTAAATGTTCAATCTATATTGAATCAATGGATGACAACAACATAAATTCACAGCTGTAAGTTATGTCTTGTATTGAGTCTTCTTTCATCTTCACACACACACCTTGTCCCCCATCATGAACATGGAGATACTAAGAGTTATGGTGGGAGTGGGATAGAATTGGAGGGAGGGAATTTGAAGATTACCGTCATTGGGATACTTAGGATCTCTTTGGTCCAGAATATTTGTCTGAGACCCATGCTCATGGGGACACTCTGGCTAACATTGTCTCCATCTATTTTCCTGCCTAAATAATCTACCTTGAATAATGCAACCTCAGGACCCTCAGTGCCATGGTTATGAGAGACAGAGAAAGACCAGAGGCCACTACCATGGGTGCCAGTCTCTTGTCCTACCATTCCACTTCAACTAACAATGCCATTTGAAATTTATATGGTGCTTTTCATCCACATTGTCACTCATACACACCAGACAAGCTTCTTTCCAAGGGGATGAGCCTGGAACAAAGATTACTTTGATGAACATAAAAAAAAAAAAGCTCCTACAATTTGATGTCGTGTGCGTTAGAAAGTCCCAGAACATTGTATTCTCTTTTCTTACTGTCCTATTACTCATGTGGTGCCTCCAAATAATTATTTTCTGAGAGGATCTCAGCATTCCAGATGTACTTTGAATGTCATAAAAGAGCAAGGGAGACATGAGCATTAGATGTGGAATGAGGCAAGAACAGAAAACAAATTTTCCCTGGTCTGTAACATATGGCACTCAGAATATATGCGGTGAGATTTGTGAACGCAAGTTCATTTTGGTAACAGTGAAATCCAACACTAATTGCTGGAAGGACCGTTAATCATCCTCACCTAATCATGGAAATGAACACATCTAAATTTTCCTGAAAATCCCACTCATTGGGTAGATGAAAAAGATGGTCTTTTTTAAAGGCAAAAAGTTTAAAAGTTACCTTCATAAAGGAGCAAAACCTACTTTTTGTTCATTTCCTCTCTATTAAACACATCTAAACAACTTATTGATTCCTATAAGGAGAAAGAATGGAAAAATTAATCATATCTACATTGAATAAGGTTTATTACATTAGAGCTGTACTTCACGCAGGTTTTGGGAAGAACTTTTGTCTGATTAGTCATTGTAATCAGGTATTTGTGGGAAGAAGTGTTAATTCCTGGAATGGACAACCAATTAGTCATGTCTACAGTCAGCATAATGGTTGGCATCAGCCCCTGTGCTTTCTGATCTCCTACAGCAGATACAGAACAGGAAGCGACCACGTGCTTCTACTAGAACAGAAAGCGTATCCCCTTTCACACCATGAGGCCCCTGTGAAACCTCATTCCTGGATGTCTGAATCCTTAAAACCTCAACCACAAGCCAGGAGGAAATAGCAGCAGAAAATACAGGGGAAGTACATGAAAGGCCACACCATTCTGGAATGCAAAATATGAAAAATAAATGACATTTAAATAATGATTGCCATGTGCCAGGCAGTGGCTTAAGTCCTGTGCACATACTAGGTGATTTAATCCTTATAACAACTCTGGGATATGTAAGTGCTATTATTCTCATTTGATAGATACTGAAACTGTGCTTTGGAGCAGTTGAACGACTTGTCCAGGTTTGTAGAGATGGATCTGGTATTCAAAACTCAAACCAGCCTGAGTCTATGCAAAGCCTATGATATTTTTATTTCTTAATACCATAGAAACATGTTTGTAACATTTTAAATGAAATAGAATAAAACTTCTGCATGCAGTGTAAACATTTCATTCATAAATATTTATTAAGTATCTACTACTATTAGACTACTAAGGTATCAGTCTAAGCACACATACATATACATAATGTGTATATATACACACATACATACGTGTATGGGTGTGTGTGTTAAGATATGGCCACAAATTTTTTATGTCACTCAATTCTAAGGGATAGGATAAAGCAGAAGTGACAGTGTATGACTTAGGAGTCTAGGTTATAAAATATCTTGCAGCTTCCTGGTTACTCTCTTGCTCTTTGATTAATGTCTTGCTCTGAAAGATGTTAGCTCCCTGGAAGATGCAGCCTGATGGAGAGGAACTGAGACCTTCAGCCAATAGCCATGTGAATCATCTTGGAAGTGGATCCTCCAGCCCCAGTCAAGCCTTTAGCTGACTGCAGCCCTGACCAATATCTTGATGGCAACTTCAGAGAGATCCTGAGCAGTTAAGCCATTCTCAGAATGCTATCATTAAGTTTTGTTGCACAATGATAACTAATATCATTATCTCTCTGTCTCTCTCTTTCTCTCTCCCTCTCTCTCCTATCAAATAGTGATCAAAGAAAGCTAAAGAACAGCAGTATGGCACATGACCGAGATCTGTTACAAAGGCTTACTGCTCTTTGCAGTCTTCTTCCTGTGATCTTTATCTTAGCTGATGGCACAACCACCACTTGTTTAACTGAACAACAACAACAAAATCCAGTCATCTTTGACTTTTTCCTGTCTCCACCCCTCCCTTCCTGCAGATTGGTTGCCAAATTATGATAACCCCATTTCCTGTATCTCAATTGGTCTTGCTTCCCATCTCTTGCCATTCCAGAGTATTCATTCATTCAAAAAACATAGTTTGCAGCATCTTCTTATGAACTCCTACTCCTACTTCAAAGCCCTGGAATCCTTCATTAATGTTGAATCTCCTCTGCCACCTCTGTACCTTGCACACACTTCTAGATTCTCACTTTAAGTGATTATCTTTCCATCCTACTAGCCCATGAGCTTCTGGAGGGCAGGGACTCTGTCTTCTCATTCCTCTCAGTCTCCCCTGTCTCTAGAAAGGGTCTAGCAAAGGATATGTATGATTTGAAATATTACTGTATTGATTGTCTATTTCCATTTAACAAATTATCCCAAAATGTTCAAACCAAACTTGTGTAATCACCTCTTTGGGCTAGCATAGGGACTTGCTCTAAAGTCCCTGCATTGTCTCCCATTTTCTGTGGGTCAGGGATCAAAGTGATCTAGTTGGGTTATTTGAGTCGGGGTCCCTCACAAGGCTGCGGTCTTCATCTCAAGATTCAAATGGAGGACAATCCACTTCCAGGTTAATGCCTGTGGCAGCTGGCAGGGCACAGCAGTTTCTCACTGGCTGGAATCATCAGTTCCTTACCACATGGACTTCCCCACCAGGCAGCTTACAACAGTGCAACTGGATTCCAGCAGAGCAAGCAAGGGAGAGTGAGAGAGACAGGGGAAGACAGGATAGAAACCAGAGTCCTTGTAGCCCATTCTCATGAGGCACATTATTCCATCAGTTTTCCTGCATTATGTTTATTAAAAGTACATTCCTAGGCTAGCCCAAGGAAGTGATTACACAAGGGCCTGAATACCTGGAGTCACAGTCATTGGAAAATTGAGCATCACTAATCCAAAGATCCAAAATTTGAAATGCTCCGAAATTTAAAACTTTTTGAGAGCTGACATCACAACACAAGTGGAACACTCCACACCTGACTTCACGTGACAGATTGTAGTAAAAACTCAGGCACACAACAAACTCAGCGTCCCCAGGGGGAAGTGAAATTATCTTTAGGCTACATGTATTAGGTGTATGTGAAACAAATGAATTTCGTGTTCAGACGTAGGCCCCATCCCCAAGATATCTCATTATGTATATGCAAATATTCTAAAATCCAAAAGAAAAAACGATTCAAAATTGAAAACACCTCTGGTCCCAAGCATTTTGGATAAGAAATATTCAACCTGAATTTTAGGATCAGCCTAGCATAGTTACGTTGACCTTGTCTGTCAGAACAGATCCAGTAATGGGTGTCCTTCACCTGCATCGTCTAAGAGCCACCTTCAGTTCTTTGTGCTATATGCCCCTCATAGAAAATAGGAGCTGACACTTCTGCCCTCTGGAAACCAATGAATGGCAGGCCTTCACTTAACTTAGTCCGTTCATTCACTTATTTGGTATTTCAGCTCTGGGTGTGTTGCTTAACCTCACTACGAATCAGTTTTCCATCTGTGAGATGGGACTAATAATAGAACTCACCTCATAAGATTGTTGCGGGAATAAAAAACACACGTAAACACTCTTAGACCTCAAAACAACACAAATTCACAATAAATGATAGCAATATTTGATCATTTCTGTCATTTTGTCCAAGGAGGCCAAGATATCTAAAAGGCAGCTTCTGGCCAGGCACAGTGGCTCACATCTGTAATCTCAACACTTTAGGAGGCCAGGGCAGGCAGATTACTTGAACCCAGGAATTCAAGACCAGCCTGGGCAACACGGCAAAACCCTCTCTACAAAAAATACAAAAATTAGCCTGGCATGGTGATGCATGTCTGTAATCACAGATACTTGGGAGGCTGAGGTGGGAGGTTCACCTGAGCCTGGGGAGATTGAGGCCACGGTGAGCCGTGATCATGCTACTACACAGCAGCCCAGGTGACAGAGTGAGACCCTTTTGCAAAAATAAAATAAAAGGCAACTTCCGTGTGATGAAGGTGGTGTAAGACTTCATTCACACAAATCCAGCCTGGAACTAGAAATTGAAAAACCATAGAGGAGAATAGTTCATTGTTGCACAAATGGGAAGCACAAAGACAGAGGTTGGAGAAATGGATGGAGAGTAAGATCCCAGAGGTAAACAAAAAAGCTGTAGTATAGTCAGAAACCAGGCTTGGAAATGGTACCTTTTGTACATTTCCTGCTTTATTATTTTTTTTTTTAATTTCCAATGGGTTTCCCTAAACAATTAATATCACCCTTTAAAAATTAAGGACAATTCAACTTTGTTATGGGACACCAGGGATATGATTCTTGTGGTCTGTGAAAAGATTAAGTCTGGGAAGAAGAAGGGAAATGCATTTATTGAGGGACAAGTGTTAAGCCACAGGGTGTGTTTGGGGTTCTACCTGCACTACGTCATCATTCTCACGCAATCATATTAAGAGAGTAATTATTCCCATTCCTTTTTTAAAAATTTGGTAAAATGCATATAGCAAAATTAACCACTTTGAAGTGAACAATTCGGTGGCATTTAGAACATTTACAATGCTGTACAGCCACCACCTCTGTATAGTTCTAAAACGTTTTCATCATCCTAAAAGGGAATCCTGCACCCTTTAAGCAGTTATTCTCCATTCTTCTCTCCCCTCCATACCCTGGCAAAAACCATTCTTTGGTCTATCTCTATAGGTTTACCTATTCTAGATGTTTTTCATAAATGGAATTGTACAATATGTGACCTTTTGTGTCTGGCTTCTTTCACTTAATATTTTCGTATAGTGTTTTCAAGGTTCCTCCACATTGGAGCATATTCTGGTATTATATTCCTTTTTATGGCTGAGCAATATTTCAATAATATTTTATATCACACAATTTATTTATCCACTTAATCATCCATTTAGCCTACTGATGTGGGCTGTTTCCTCCTTTTGCCCATTGTGAATACAGCTGTTATGAACATACATGCACATGTATTTTTTTCAGTATCTGTTTTCCTTTCTTTTGAGTATATACTTAGAAGTAGAATTGTTCCTAGTTCTCTATGTTTGACTTTTTGAGGAACTGCCTTGTATTCCCTTTTTACACATGGAGAAAATAACACAAATGCTTTAAATCTAGGCTTCTTGGGCAAAAAACAGTTATTGCCATTTTGACTGGGTCATCGTATTAGTCTGTTTCCACGCTGCTACAAAGGAATACCCGAGACTGGGTAATTTATAAAGGAAGAGGTTTAACTGACTCACAGTTTCGCATGGCTGGGGAGGCCTCAGGAAACTTATAATTATACACGTCTTACACGGCAACAGGTGAGAGAGAGCGTGTAAAGGGGGAAGAGCCCATTATAAAGCCATCAGATCTCGTCAGAACTCACTCACGATCATGAGAACAGCATGGAGGAAACCACACCCATGACCCAATTACCTCCCACCAAGTCCCTCCCTCGACACATGGGGATTATGGGGATTACAATTCAGGAGGAGATTTGGGTGGGGACACAGAGTCAAACTGTATCAGTCGTACTCGCATGAATGAAGACTACCTGGAGGAAGTGAGATTATCTAGATGGAAGTGGGCCGTGGCCATTCCTGGGGGATAGAAGACAGCATGGCTCCCTGTGAGATGCCAAAAGAAGGAAGCAGGAGTGGCACAGCTGGGATCCCCTTCTGGGAGCCTCTGGGTTTAGTTCATGGAGAGAGTCTGTATCCCATAGTCATATCATGCAGAGGGAGGTGGCTCAGTCCCATTGCAACTAAGGGCCTGATTGCAAAGAACTAAGGCCAGAGGGGCTCCATTTATTCCTCCTGGGGCATCAGGCTGGTGGCATCGTTTGCCTTTCAGAGTTAGTAAAGCTTATCTCCTCAGGTTCAGTTTTAGAACTATTTATAGGGGAGGCTTTGAGGTTCTGTCCAGCTTTCTAATATAGACGCATGCACTCACAGGCACACATACACAAGCTATGGGCTTTCTTTACTATCTAAAAATGAGGTTAATTTCCTGCCTGTGCATCTAAGTTCAATGGGGGGACAAACAAGAGGTTGTATAAATAGTTTTCTGGCTTTCCAAGTTTCCCTTTAACCACCATGACACAACTGGACCGAGAAACAAGGATCTATGTCCTATAATGTGATGAAGGAAGAAAGGACCAGTGCAGCTCATACTACCCCACTGTCTAATGCCTTCTGTCTCTGCCCTGTATCCTTTAAAATCAGTGTGTACCCCTCACTCTGGGCCCACCATTCTCTCTGCAATAGTAAAATTGCTACCCTTATCTCCATTATCTCAGTCCCCACCTTGCACCAGGCATGTACCACAAACTATCTTTCTCCTGTTCACAGTAACTCTGTGAGGTAGACAACATTAGCCTCGTTTGACATTGAGAAAAGTGACGTTCAAAGAGAATAAGTTTGGTAGAGTCAGGATTTGAGCCCAAATCTTGGCTTCATTCCAAAGCCCATGCTCCTTGCTTCTCTGTGCCTCCTCTCCTCCCAACTTCATTCATTCACTCATTGCATTCACAGAATCATTACACCCACATACCTCATACTACCAATGCCTTAATAATTTTATTTAAGTCAACTCAGTTAGGAAATTAAATACCCTTTCAAACTCCTCTCAAGCAATATTATCTATAAAACCACAGGTGCTTAGTTATAATTTTCTGCTACTAATAAAAATTAACACAGAACTATTAGAAGTTTAAAAATCTTCACCTGTGCATCACCAAATGTCTTTTTGTGCACCAGCAGCTGCATATGACTTACACTTTGGGTGACAGTACATTCGACCTCACGGTATTTCAAGTGCAGTGTTGAGGCCAGCAACAGCAGCATTATGTGGGGGCCTATTCAAAATGCAGAATCTCGTGCCTCATTCAAGACACAGTGAATCAGAAACTACATTTTAACAAGACTCTCCAAGTGGTTCTTCTGCACATTAAAGTTTTGAGAAGTGCAAACCATCACCATAGGATGTCTCAGTGTGAATCTCGTCTCCTTTCCAACCTTTTCTCCTCTGGGGGCATTTCCACCTGTCTGGCCTCAGCAGACCCAACCTCAAAGTCATCCAGGCTCTGGTGAGATGGTCGGCACCACAAATTCTCTAAGGCACTTCCACAGGGAACTCTGGGCAGACTCTTGCATACAGATTGTAGAGTTTTTAAGGAAGGGTGAATCCGCATTTTTGAAAGAAGGGAAAGACGAATTGGTGATAAAAGAATAGAAAAGAGAAGGAGTCAATATTGACAAGGAAAGAAAAGAGTCACAGGAGAGTGAAAGAGAGAAGAGAAAGAAAGAGTAAGAGAAAGAAAGAAGAAGGAGGAGGTGGGAGAGGAAGAGAGGGGAGAGACAAAGAAAGGGGAGAGGAGAGGAGAGGAGAGGAGAGGAGAGGAGAGAAGAGGGGAGGGGAGGGGGGAGATTTTATCACAGAGCCAATAAGTGCTCCATTTTGTGCACTTGGCAGAACCCACATTTCTCTGAAATGAAACCTGGTCTCTTTGAATGATTTCTCCTTGGCTTGGGGCCAGCAGGGGAGAGAGTGGAGACAAGAGTCAGTGACACAGGCACGTTTATTGATTCCAAATAGAATTCCCTGGGAGTACATCAGAATGATTTTCAGGACTCAATTGAATTGACTTTTTCTTGAAATTAAATTCGTTCATGGCAGCTCAGTTCTTCAATAATCGCCCAGTTCTGTCATAAAGGGCCTCCAATTCCCAATTAATAAATGAGACTTTGAGTAATCTGACTCCACATTTTGCTCATGGGGCAGACCATATCACAGAGTAGGTCGAGGGAAATGCAGGAATATGCACCTCTCCGATTTTTCTCCAGGAGGGCCCACCTGGATGAGCTAGTTTGGGGCTAGGAATGAGGAGAAGCAGGGTTACATTTGCAGGGAAACTCCCAAAATTGATTCTCGTTCCAGGGGAGCTGGCTTCCCTTTGCAGCTTGTTACATCATAGTATCCCACTCAGAAATGGAATGTGGGGGCGGATTGGGTCTGGGAAGTCAGTACATCTTGAAATACAGGCGTACTGGGGAGGGAAGAAGAAAGGGAAAGTGAGCGAGAGCCTGCTACTTCTAGGCTTTGTTCTTCCTGCCTCCATCACCTCTCATTCTTTCTTTTGCTTGGATCAAGGTGCAATTTTAGTCTGTCTTTCCTGGAAGAAGAAAACAGCTGGGCTACTTTGAAATAGGGGGAGTTGAACGGAAGTGGCAGTAAAACATAAGCCTAAGGAAGGCAAGGTCCCTTTGAGCAACCACACTCCTACCTGGCACTTCATGTGCACTATCTCATTGAATCCTCACAGTCACCGTCACCCTATAGAGTATGTACAACCAGTACCTGCCATTTGCAAATGAGGAAACTGAGGCACAGAGCAGTTAAAAGAGGTGCCCATGCACACGTAGCAGGGAGTGGCATAGCAAAGATTTGAACAGAGATCTGTTTATCCCCATTTCTACAGGATGGTTAAGAGCTTGGACTTTAAAGCCAATTGTCGGGTTTTTTTTGTTTTTTTTTTTTTTGACAGAGGCTCACTCTGTCGCCCAGGCTAAAGTGCAGGGGTGCAATCTCTGCTCACTGCAACCTCCGCCTCCCAGTTCAAGCAATTCTCCTGCCTCAGCCTCCCACGTAGCTGGGATTACAGGCATATACTACCACACCCGGCTAATTTTTGTATTTTTAGTACAGAGAGCGTTTCACCATGTTGGCCAGGCTGGTCTCGAACTCTTGACCTCAGGTGATCCGCCCACCTCAGCCTCCTAAAGTGCTGAGATTACAGGTATGAGCCACCGGGATTTGACTCTGAACTCTTCTGCTGCCTGCCAGCTGTGCGACTTTAAGCAAGTTACATAACGTTTCCGTGCTTCAGAATCTTCATCGGTAAAAAGGCAACAGAAATTGTACCTACTTCATTGGATTGCGAAGAGTGAAGGAGGGTCTAATTCCTGATGATCTGAAAGGTCATCTAGAGCAGTGACTGTCTGTACAAGGGAAGCGCTAATGAGTGTTTGGCAAAGGAAGTTTTACACCCTTAGCCACAAAGTAATATTCAGGGCATTAAGGAGTGAATTTGGTTGGCTGGTAACTGTGGCTTAGATAAGTGGAGAGGGATATCTAAGCTGGACTTTGCTAGATGAGCTGGAGGTCACTGGCTGCCCTTGGGAGCATCCTTCTGTAGGCCCCTTACAAGGCAGTCCTTGCCTTATCCTTGCAGCTCTGAGGAGAGCCAAGGAGACTGCTTGTTTAACCAAGTGTGTCTGGGAAAGGCTTCCAGGCACCCCATGCAGGGAGCTTCCCACTCTGCCCTTGAGCAGAACCCAGTTGTGTGCAGAAGGGAAACTACACGTGCCCTTCTGACTAACCAAGCCCTGTGGTGGCTCTGAAAGCCATAATTAGGCCAGATCTCAGCATGGGGGCCAGGATGTGTGAGAGTGAAGTTTCAAGCCCTCCTTCCTTAGGGCCTAGTTAACAGAATAAACTCTTCCAAAGGGCTGCATTTCAGGGTTTCGCCAGATGAAGTACGGCTTTGACAGGGCGAACTCTGACCTGAAACGCCCAGGCAATCCTGGAGGCAACACTGCATGGTGATGAAGAAGCTCAAGCCCTAGAGTCAGACAAAAGTGGGTTCAAATCCTGACTCCAGCACTTACCAGCTTGGTGATCCTGAGGAATGTACTTAAGCACTCTAAGCTCTGATTTCCTCCTCTACACAATAAGAACAAGATATATTGCCTACTTCTTAAGATTATTGTGATGATTGAAATGAGATAATCCATATAACACTTTTAGCACAAAGTCTGGGTGATAATCTCTTAATTATGTGAGTCATCATCGTGTTTATTATTGATAATAATATTGATATTGATAATTAGTAGAATTATGAATAATTATTAATAGAAAATTAGAGTTTCCACGGTACTTTTCCCTATAGGAGTTTGATCATCAGTTCCTTCCAGCTTAGTAGGCTCTATAAAGTCCACATCCTCTCTGAACTTCTGAACTAACTGAAAATCAGAATTAAGACCAGGAAGGTTGATGAGTTTCTATAATGAAGGGAGCATCTCTGTATTTGAACGAAGAGCAGCCGGTGTCCATGGATTGAATTGGTCACAAGAATGTATTTCCCTGCAGCCTGGCAGGTCCATGGAAGATAAGAGTTTCAGAAAGCACTGATAGCAGCTGGGCACAGTAGCTCAAGCCTGTAATCCCAGTACTTTGGGAGGCCGAGGCGGGTGGATCACCTGAGGTCAGGAGTTCGAGACCAGCCTGACCAACATGGAGAAACCCTGTCTCTACTAAAAATACAAAATTACCTGGACGTGGTGGCGCATGACTCTAATCCCAGCTACTCAAGAGGCTGAAGCAGGAGAATTGCTTGGACCTCGGAGGTAGAGGTTGCAGTGAGCCGAGATTGTGCCATTGCACTCCAGCCTGGGCAACAAGAGCAAAACTCTGCCTCAAAAGAAGAAAGAAAAAAAAAGAAAGAACGCACTGATAACTATGTCCCTGTAGAAGGGAGCACCTGAAGTTCAACTTCTTCTTTCTCTGACTGTCAAGAAGCTCAACGCCAACAACCAGACCATTCTTTTCACTATTCTTCACTTAGTCAAATCTTTTCCCGCCTAAGGGACTTTGTGTCTGCTACTCCGTTCTTGCTGGGAATCCCTTCTCCTAAATATATGCATGCTGTTTTCTCACATCACTCAGGTATCTTCCACTTTAGAGACACCACCTGCAACTGTCTCAACCCCAGGCACTCTCCATCCCATCATCTCTTTCATACTTTTCCCAAAGACTAAAGGAAACCTCAACCACAGGCTTATGTCAACCTGGTCTCAAAGGCTCCACGATCTAAGTTTGTTTCAATTTCCTAAAAAATTATATGGCCAAATTATCAACAGTCTTAAAAATATCCTTCCCTTGGGCTCAACCATGTGACCCATAGGAATAGCCTAAGGTAATAATATGAAATACAAAAGAATGATGAACAAAACCATTTATCAAGGTAGCCTTTATAGAAGTAAAAACTTGAAAATAGCCTATTCCATAAGGGAATAGATTAAAATGCTATTGAACATCAGTGTGCTGAAACATTATGCAGGCATTTCAAGTTTCTAATACCATAGGGATGCCATTAGAGTCAAATATAAATCTGGATATTAATATTTGCTTACAGTATAATTCTGAATGGGTACATGAGATAGCATTCATCAAACAGTTAAGGTATTACTGATGGAAAGAAATATGAATGGTTATTCTCTTTGTTGTTTTTGTATTTTCTAAGACATTTTTACAACGAGAAAGCATTCTCTTTTTTTTTTTTTTTTTTTTTTTTTTTTTTGAGATGGAGTTTCCCTCTTGTCACCTAGGCTGAAGTGCAAGGGCATGCTCTCAGCTCACTGCAACCTCCACCTCCCAGGTTCAAGTGATTCTCCTGCCTCAGCCTCCCAAGTAGCTGGGATTACAGGCACCCACAACCACACCCAGCTAATTTTTGTATTTTTAGTAGAGACGGAGTTTTACCATGTTGGCCAGGCTGGTCTTGAACTCCTGATCTCAAGTGATCTGTTTGCCTTGGCCTCCCAAAGTGCAATGAGCAAGTATTGTATCTATAAAAAGGGAATAATATTGCAATGTTGTAATGTATGTGAAGGGTTATTTTTTTTTTTAAGCCCCATGTTATGCCTTGTTACTAGGAATGCAACCGTCAATCCACAGACAGAATGTGGCCCTTCCACATAGAACATTTTCAACCATATTCCCAGTATTCTCGGACACAGTGAGGAAGGGATCTGTTTTTTTCCCCCCTGCGTGCTGTTCAAAAACAGCACGCACAGCAAATAACAACCCTCTAGATAATACAAATGGGTAAATATTGCCAGGATTTGTTACATAAAGTGCTAAAAAAATATAACTTGAGGATGTAACCACTTATTTTCCCACCTTCAGAAATCCCAGCATCTGTTTCTGCCAAAAAGATGGAGGGTGGGGAATGTTGCAGAGAAAAAAAAAAAACAAAAAAGCAGAAGTCTTTTCTTTCAAAGTGACAGAAGAAGAGGTGGGGTTGATAGTGAAGGAAAATATTGCATTCAATAAAAAAGATCTATCTGTTATCACTGCTGAAACCACAACAACAAGTAGGCTATGAGAGTGACAATTGAGATTAACAGAAGGACTTGGATTAAGAGACACTTTTCAGATTTGCAAGAAAGGCATGAAAAAATCCTTCCCGTTTTCTAGCTAATAGACATATACAGAGTCTGATACAGGCTCAAAAAAGGTGTATTTGTCCCACGAGGACTTGCCTTATGACTTTGGGCAATTCAAGGAAAAGCTCCGACAGAAATTTTTTTAAGTCCTCTCTGAATCAATGCTCCTTCCTTTGAATTTTCAAATTTTCTCTTTGGCACACTTCATGCATTGGTCCTCTAGAAAGGACCACTGCATTGTGTGATAAATTTTTTATCACTAGTTTTCACATCCTCTTGCCTCCTTAGGGATCTCTTTCTCCAATCCTCAAATTTTCCACAACATTATTAAATCACAGCTGGTTGGCACCTGACACATCTCTTACCTGCCTAGCCCTCTGCAGGAAATTGAACCCCCCGAGGTGAAAAGACCCCAGCTGGCCTTTCGAGCCTGATATGCAAACCAAGGCTCGTCTCCTTCCTGGGCTCCAGTTCTGATTTTCAATGCCCTCTGAAGGACGGGCCAATGTCAGGCAGTGCCTACCTGATACCCTGGGCCGATGCCAGGGCAGGAGAACTGGCCAGAGTTTCATGAAGACACTGTCAAAATTTTGAGAATTGATTTTTGAAGGATTGGTTGTGTTCAGTACTTTTCCAGAAGGGTAGGAGGCCTGGAGCCACTGAGCAGCTTCTCTGAATTCAGGCTGATAAAATCCTCCTAAGCAGACCAACTCTTTCGGTCAGATAATGGTCCCAAATAAGAGATCCACAGTCAAATTCAGCCCAGATATATTTTCCTTTGTCTACAAAATAATTTGTGTTTTATTTATTTTACTTTCTTATTAAGTGTAAAACTTGAATGGTTCAATGCAAAAGTCTGCATTTCTAATTAAAAAAAATTTGGTGATGTAGTGTCACAATTAAGAGCATGAAATCTAGAGCCAGGTTCCCTGGTTTAGAATCTCAGCTCTGTGATTGCGGACAAGGTACCAAACCTTTCTATTCCCCAGTTTTTTTAATCTGTAAAATGGCAATAATAATAATAATACCTACCACAAAAGCATATTGTAAGGGTTAAATGAATTAATGTAAGTGGAGTTTCAGAACAGTGCCTCCCACATGTAAATGTTAGAACGGTTACTGCACTATGTTGGCTATTAACTCTGGACGTGCTTTCATTCACAGTCATCCTCCCTCACTCTAGATAGGACACAATCTTTTAATTAAGCTTCCATTTAATTATGCTTCCCACTCAACTCAATTCGCTCATTGTATTTGCTGCCTGAACTCTGTAAGTATTTGAGTTTGAGACCCCTGCTCTCCAATGAAGATACAGTATTTGCCAATGTGGGCCATTTGTAAACCCATAAGGATAACAGTGCCTTGGGTAACACCTTGGAGATCTCACAGCTGCAAATATCCTGGCACCGGGAAGTCTATGCACATAACAAGTGGAATGTTATTTCTTTCCCCTGATGTGGCCATGTGACTTGATTTGGGTCATGGAATGAAGCAGAATTGATGCACTGGTTTTGAGTTGAAGCCTTAAGAGGCTTCATGTGTTTCCACTAAGAGTCTTGCACTTTCTGCATCACTATTGAGAAGGAAAAGCCCAGGCTATATGCTGGTCCAGGAAGAAGAGGAATGATACACGAAGCAGGGCTTCTTCAGCTATGGTGGCCTAACTAACTTTAACATACAGTTCCAGCTGATTTGCAGACGTATTAACAAACCCAGCAGAGATGTGCTGAACCCATCCTGGGGCAGCCAATCCTCAGGGAATCCATGGTCATGTGATATATAATAATAGATGTTATCTTAAGCCACTGAGTTTTGGGGTAGATTATTACACAGCAAACCCTAGGTGATAAACTGGCCAATGAAACCCCTTAGCATAATCCAATGACCAAGCAGGATATTGCATATGTTTCTAGGATATGTGACAATGCCATCTGTGTTAGAAATGACCAGAAGCTCTGCAATAATTGTGTGGCTTGCTTGTGTAGCTTGCTTACTTACATGATGGGGTCAAAAATTCAAGGGTTGGAGTGTTGGATAAGCCAGTGTCAGCTGGGTACCCCAACCCTTCGCACAACCAAGAACAAAACCACAACACACAGCAAGACAAAACCCAATGCCCCTCATGAATCTTCTAAGTTCCTATGGCTTATTCTCTCATAATTTTTGCCATTTCTACATCCTTAGACACACATACAACCACTAGAGTTTTTGTTTTGTTTTGCTTTGAGTGTTCATTCTGGCTGTGCAATGACAGAATGGAAAGGATGCAAATAAGAATTAAGGCAGAGCCATGGAAAAACATTATGAAACTACTGGAGGTGTCCAGGTGGAATATAATGTTGGCTTCAACTTAGACTGTAAAAGGAAATAAGTGAGGAGATTGAATAACAAAAACATTGCCAATAATAACACTTATCAGGTGCTTGTTTTGTGTCAGGAACTGTACTAGTACATTATATATATTTAATAAACAACCTTATGAAATAGGTTCTACTACTTCCTCCATTTTACAAGTTAGGCTGAGCAACTTGCCTAAGGTGGCCTGGCTTGCAAGTGGTAGATTCAAACCCAGGATGTCTACGTTTTGAGTCTGGGCTCTCAACCACTGCACGATTCTGCCACTGCATTATTTAAGAGCTTTGCAGATGGTACAACAAACATGACTTAATGGTTGACTAGCCATAGGGAGCAAAGAACATGGAGTTCAAAACACTTAAAAAACCAACGTGGTCTTCTCATTTTTTCAAGGGAAAAGTAAGGGTGTGTGTGTGTGTTTGCGCGCGTGCGTGTGTTGTGGGTCAGATAAACAAATAAATTGTTTCAAAACAATCACAGGACTGTTATCTGAAATAACTTGTTCTGAATTTGTCTACCACAGCTGGGTACTCATTTTAATCCTGGGTAATATGTGAAGGCTATTTAGAATCTGTTTGTCTCATTGATTGCTCCAGTAAATACAGTAGCCAAGAGAAACAGCAGTTTGCAGGGGGGAAACCTGGGTTTTGTTTGCTTCATCTTGTTCTTGAAAAAAGATCCTCATTTGATGGAGAGCAGCCATCTGCTCTCTCCATTCTCTTTAGAATGGGGATCAATACTGGTTTTTCTGCTAAAGCAAGCAAATATATTTACTTTATTTCCAAAAGATGACTTCTGGGATCAAGGAAGCAGTGCCCTCATTCAACTGGATGTCTTAGAACTGTTGGTCCTTGACAAATTTTTTTTCAAAAAGTGTTTTAAAAGATTACTTTCTAGATAACCTCTCAGGGTACAATATACAAGACAGCCTCAGAGTCCTTTATCCATTCCCTGCCCTTGTATTGTATTGAAGATAAGACTTCTTTTTTGTATTACTTCCTCTCATCTGAGAGGTTGATTGTATTTGATAGGAACAAGATGACCAGCTCTTGGATGAGGACTGGATTTCAGGGACTTGGGCTTGATTACATGATGGAGGCTACTAAGAAGAGAGAGAGAAATCAGTACACACTGGATATTTAAGAAATAATTGAAAAGATGAAAAACAAAAATGCTTAGAAAATCTGTCACTAGATTTGGAATGAGCACACAGCTAGGTCCATTGTCTAAGTAAAAGGATCAGAAAAACATAAACGCAAGGTTATTTCAAGAGGTGAGGTAGGAATAAAGAGAGAAACCCAAGCCTTTCTTGGTAATCTGGACAGGAATATCCAACTCCTCTGTTTCAGGATTCCAACTGCATAATTTTAAAAACACTATGTTAGGAGTGGCCTGGTTTAAAAGCAATAGTCAAGACAAGCACACACGTAGTTTGAATTGTAATCGACTCTTGTCAGTCACAGCAAAGACGCTCTTAGAAACAAGGGTCTTGGGTCATCTTTGGCTTTTCCTAGTTCAGCACCATGGACAGACCCAAGGGGGCCATGATGTCTCCACACTTGGTCTCTGCTTTTCCTTAAGATTACATTTTCAAGCAGAAGACATTGATCATGAGGAATCCTACTCAAGCTACAAAAAAAAGAGGAAAAATATATAGACTCAGATATAAGTAGGCTATGAAATCCAAAGAAAGGGAATACAATCTTGACAGGAGGCCCTGTGACCAAAAGGTAAAAAAACACTGTTTTCTCCCTATCTCTTAGCAGTAGTCATGTGTTGTGATCTTCATAAAGGCTCCTACACAGTTCAGAGTCAAGGCTGCAGTTTGCCTACCACAAGTGTTAATGATATAAGAGTATGCTTTTTTAAGCCTTATTTCTGGCTCCATCTTATTGCTCTACTCTTCTATTTTTAAATTAGCTTTACATCTATTTTGAATTTGGGCTTTTTCTTTTGATGTTACATATTCTCTGGTGTCATGAGACATCTTTTCTGGGAAATAAGTAACTCAAATATCAACTTAAAACATGAACTAGAACATACACGCATGCATATATGTGATCACATGCTCTACATACACATGCTTATTTCTCTCTTAAGATTCCTCCCTTACACAAAAACAAAAACAAAATTGGGAGCACTTCATGGGAAACATGAAAAAGAGGCAATACATAAAGTGTGTGGGTAATGAAGTTAGTGGGTTATTTTGCTGTTTCTGTGGGGTAACTGTACATTTCAAGACTGCCAAATATGGAAGATGTGGTTTGCAAAGATTACTGCAAAAATTAGGTATATTTCATAGGACCCTTAGCAATGTAACTTTGTCACTAGTCTTATCAAGAGCTTGGGTTTGTTTCCCTTCACCTGGGGTTTGGGTTGGCTCAGTAACTGGCTTTGATCAATAAAAAATGGTGGAAGTGATATTGTGCAAGTTTTGGAGTCTAAATTTCAAAGGGTCTTGCGGTGTCTGCCTTCACTCTCTTGAAATGCTTCTCTGAGACCACCACATAAGGTAACAGATCCAGCCCAGTGAAGAATGAAAAGTCATACAGAAATAAGCAAAGTACCCCACACAGCAGCCAGTCAACTGCAGTTCCTATAGCAAGTTGGTGCCAGAGGCTAGTCTAGAGATTAGATCTCAGGTCCTTAAATAGTGTGTTCAGTACTGCAACTCTCTTCCGCAAAAGAAGACAGCTGCTGTGAGCTCAGAACTCTATGATACAATGGGAAAGAGACCACAATAAGTGCTAAATGATGGGGCTCTAGTCCCGGCCCAGTCAACAACTTGCTGTGTGTTTATAAGCGAGTAAAATGAACGCTCTGATCCTCCATTCCTTCATCTGTGTGATGAGCAGGTTGGAGAAGCAAAGTCCCAAGGCCCCTTTCAGTTCTAAGAGTCTCTGATTGTGTGACTCTAGCTCATGCCTTCCCAAGCTCTTTATCACAGTAGGAGCCCAAGGATTTTACCACCACAGGCTGGAAACCAGAGAGAGGGAGGCAGGGGGTTGTGTTTCATTCTGTCATCTCCCCTTCTTGTAAAGGGTAACATTGTCACTCCCAGCTTATCTTGCTGTGAATTTTCCTTAATGGTTTAGTTGGATTCAGGGCTCAGATTAATCATCCTGGATAACAGGAAACACGACAAACTCATCACTACTTAATTGGCAGCAAAACAAGATACCACGCTCCCTAGTGCAGAAGGTCTGTTTTGAAATCAGCTTCCATCCTCCTAGGTCTTAACAATGGTGTGCCATCTCATTCTCGGTGTGCTCATCTTGGCTAAAAGCATGGGTGAATGCCCACCATGGGGAAAAATAACAAGAAGATCCAATTCAGGAAAGTGTGACTCTGTTTGCATCTTCATTCCCAAAACCAACATAGTACTTAAGGGAGAAGCTCTATTTTGGCTATCTTCCATAAATGAAAATGTTTGCCCTTTCATAGTGTTAAACAAAAATTCAACATTATTGCTACATGTACAATACCATAGAAATAAAGATTAGATCATACTACAAATGGGCTCTAAATTTTTACATTCCATGGAATTTGTTATCAAAGAGATTTATTCACACTCAACTATGCACATACCATACCACCTATGTTCAATGCTGAATCTCCAGGGCATAGAATAGTAAATATTTGTTGAATAAATGCATCTCTCTTATAAAACAACTAGACTTATTTTATCTACTTTTAACCCTATATTCTCAAATTACAGCATTCTTTCTTTAATCACCATACCTAGTGATGTCAGTGTTAGTCAGGATTATTCAAATATTATTAGAAAGTATAAACACAATTCAAACTAGCTTAGGCAAAAGAGAATTTGGGGATCATGTGTCTGAAAAGAAAGTTAGAGTTGCTTACAGTGATCAAAGAAAAAGACATGAGAGTTTGGGGCTTGCAGATTCATTCTGAAACTCAATGCTCCCAGAAATTAATCAGCCAACAAACCAACTCTCCAGTCTCTCTCAATCTCTCTCTCTCTCTCTTTCTCTCTCTCTCTAGCTCTTGCTCTGACTCTCACTCTGTCTCTCCCTACCCAATTTTTCTCCTTCCTTCTTTCCTACCCTCCTTCATCACTTTCACTGCTAATATATTGTCTGATCCTCTTGGGGTTTTTTTTTGTTTTCTGTTTGTTTGTTTGCTTTTTGCTTATTTATCTTTTCTTTCTGCACAAGGACTTTTGTCCCACAACTGAAAGTAATTCCCTGGTTACTTCTTTCTAGAACCCTGACCCAAAGAACAAGCAATCAACTTTCCCATCAGCACCCCCCAACCCTGCCACAACCCTCCCGCCCCCCCACCAACCAAAACTGAGTGCCAGACAGGACTCAGATGGACTCAGTTTAGGTCACTTGCCCACCCTTAAGAAACTTTAAATGGCAGGGCAATGTCATCTGCCCACCTTTTTAGCCAGAGGGAAAACATGGGAATATGATAGACAAGAGACAGGACAACACAATGCCAGAAGAAAGAGGAGAGGAGGGTGGGCTAGGAAAGAGAAAGTGCTCTACTCTAATTCCTTTGCGGACATTCCAATGCCAATGCACACATTTCAGTCTTCCTCTTCCTTAACTCATCCGCAGCCTCTAACCCTATTTACCACTCACTCTCTCCTGAAGACAGGTTTTCATTGGCTTAGGTGATACCAACTGCTGTGGACAGAATTGTGCACCAACCTCATTCATATATTGAAGCCTCACTCATTCATATATTGAAGCCTTCACTCCCTCACTTTCATGTAACTATATTGGAGATGGGGTCTTTAAGGAAGTAATTAGGATTAAAGATTAAATGAGTTCCCTAGTCCAACAGGATTGTGGACTTATAAGAAGAGAAAAAGATAACAGGTTGTTTTTGTTTTTGTTTTTGTTTTAAGACAGAGTCTTGCTCTGTCACCAAGCTGGAGTGCAGTGGTGTGATCTCGGCTCACTGCAATCTCTGCCTCCTGGGTTCAAGCTATTCTGCCTCACCCTCCCAGGCAGCTGGGATTACAGGCGCATGTGACCACACACAGCTAATTTTTCTATTTTTAGTAGAGACAGCGTTTTGTCATGTTGACCAGGATGGTCTAGATCTCCTGACCTCATGATCCACCTGCCTCAGCCTCCCAAAATGCTGGGATTATAGGAGTGAGCCACCCCACCTGGCCGAAAACAGATCTTGATCTCTCTCTCTGTCTCTCTTTGTCTCTCTCTCTCCCTTCCTCTCTCCCTTTTTCTCTCTCTCTCCCCCAATCCCTATCTTCTTCTCAAGTCTCCCATGTGAAAACACAATGAGAAGGCCGTCCTCTGTGAGCCAGGAAGAAGGCCTTCACCAGAACCTGACCATGCAAGCACTCTGATCTTGAACTGCCTCTTCCCAGCAACGTGAGAAAATTAATTCTTATTGTTTAAGCCACCCAGTCTATGGAATTTTGTTATGGCAGACTAAGCTGACCAATAGCCAACATGGTCCCATTTTTCTCTTATCTCTCTGATATTTGTCTCTGTATGCTCTTTCATAGGTTGTTTTTCTTTTTTTAACCTAGTCCCATATTTTCAATTGTCATTATCACCTTGGCCACCCAGCTATAATCTTCAGCTCAGATTCCCACATGAGGTACATAAGAACATAACCTGCTGCTATGGAATAGTTCCCTCAGAAGTCCAAAAGTGAACTCACTGTCACCTCCCAAAGCTCCTCGTCCATCCACACTCTTCTCTGTGAATGGACCTGTATTCACCCATTAGCGAAGGGGCTTCAACAGAATGCATCCTTCTCCCTTACTCTCAGGTGAAAACACTCGCCAGATTCTATTTATTATACCCACTAAGTAGTTCTAGGAGGCCTCCATTTATCTTCATTTTTGCCAAGAACATCTTAGTGAAAGTGACTATCATTGTTCAGCTGAATTTCTACAACACTCACTTAGGTGGTCCCTGCAATTCCAGTTCTTCTTTTTGTGATCCAGTCTATGCTCTACATCCAAAACCTGATGATGCTATTCCTCTGGACAAAAGCCAGCACAAATAAAAGACCCTGCAGGGTCTGACTCCCACTATCCCTTCCAGCAATATTCCTTGCTTTCTCCCCATCACACTCTTTATTTTGGCCATGTGGATCGACTTACAATTCTTTTGAATCATATTATGTTCACAAATGCATCTGAATGGTTCAACATCTATTCTATCTAAAAACTCCATGCCAGTGATCTTTACCTGATTAACTCCTTCTAGTCCTTCTGGTTTTTCAGCTTAGTTGTTCTCCATCTGGGAGAGTATTATCATTATCATGTTAGCCACTCAGATATAAACTTCAGCTCAGATTCGCACATAAGCGACATATGAACTTATCTTTCTGCCACGGAATAGTTCCACCGGTGCCTCAAAGTCAGAAGTCCAAAACTGAACACATTCTCATCTCCTAAAAAGCCTCTTCCATCCACACTCTTCTCCATCAATGAACCTGTAGGCCTTACCTTCCTTCCACATTTAATTGGGTTCTTATGTGATAGCGTAGATCATGTTATTAATCTTATTGTAGGGCCATGTTACAGTGTTTTAAATAACGTACTTACATTTTCCTTCTTCTAGTGGGACTTCCTTAATGGTAGAAGTAGTGTTTGGTGTCTGTTGTGGATACTTAATCAATATTTGTTTAATGAGTGAATCGAAGAGGTAATGAGTTAAAAAAAATTAACAAAAATACACAATCATATACCCACACTCCATTTGCCTGGTGGCCATAATTCATCCAGCTTAGTTCTTAATAAAAAAATAAGAATTAAAAACAAAGACAAAAACAAAAAAATTCCCCACAGCTTCATCTCATTTACTGGGAGTCTGTGTGTAAGACCACTAAGAAGCATCATTTTTATGGCTTTACGTATCAGGTCAAGAAGTTTATTTGGGCTTATGCTAACTTCATTTCCTTTTCTTGAAAATCTATCTATGGATGTCTGCTGTCCTAGGATACTTTTGATCTGCAAATGAGATTTCTTTTATCAGTGATTATCCTCTAGTGATAAACAAACACACATCAAAGCTCTCCGATATATTTTGCAGATGACGTGTTTCTTCTTGTTACTTTTTTTCCCTAATATAGGTTTAATTTTTTTTCTAATCACTGTGGAACAAACAAACTGGCTGTTATATTTTGCCCAGACAATTGGTTCACTCAGAGCTGTATGCCTGTTTTATGCGGGCTCTTGACTGTAATTTTACACTGGTGTGAATAAATTTAATGACAAAGAAAATCTTTGGCAGCAATGGTACTGAAAAATAGGATATAAAATTGTAAGTGGAGACTTCGGGTTTAAAGCTGTGAACCCCAAATATCTGAGACAGGTCTCAGTCAATTTAGAAAGTTTATTTTGCCAAAGTTAAGGATGCATGCCTGTGACACAGCCTCAGGGGGTCCTGCCTATATGTGCTCAGCGTGGTTGGGGCATAGCTTGGTTAGCTTGGTTTTATACATTTTAGGGAGATATGACACATCAATCAATAGATGTAAGATGAATATTGCAAGAAAGGCAAGACAACTCAAGAGGGGAGGGGGCTTCCAGCTCATAGGCAGATTAGAGACAAACAGTTGCATTGTCTTGAGTTTCTGATTAGCCTTTTCAAAGGAGGCAATCAAATATGCATTTATCCCAGTGAGCTTTGAATAGAATACCCTAAGCAGTTCCCAGCTTGACTTTTCCCTTTAGCTTAGTGATTTTTGGGGTCTCAAATTTATTTTCCTTTCATAAAGCACATGACTAAAATGGTAGAAGATAAATACACATACTTAAAAACAACCCCTGACAGAGTTGGAAAGATAGGAGGAGAACCACCAGTATCCTCTGATGGAAGAGAAAATCAGCCTGAAGAGATTGGCAATGAAAACAGATGGGTTAAAGAACAAGCACCTTGTGGGTTGTCAGCAGGATAAGTAATTAAAAGATAAAGCAGTTAAGCCAGGCCTTGGCTTTATCTGACATTTACACTTAGGATAATGTCTTATATACAGATTTCCAACCCAGAAACTCTAACAAAGAAGGTCCCCAAAGCGGGATCTATGGTTAGAGAAGTGGGGCTATACCTTGGATAGCTTACAGCTTCCAGGCAAGACAAGGAGATCACATTCAAAACTGAAAATCTTCCACCCACATACGTTAAAGTAAATCTCACTCGGCCTCATCTGCCTCCTTTTATAAAAAAAAAAAAAAAAAAAAAAAAAACTACACCTGAATTAAGGCATTTATAATCTAAATCTGCATTCATTGCCAAGAGAACATGAAATTTGCCTTGGGCAGAAGAATTACTCCCCAGCTGCCAACATCGTTCAATTTAAATTTCATCAATTATTGTGAATAGCAACCAATAAATACCACACATTGGAATGAATCTAACTGTATGAAAAAGAATTTCAAAGTACAGTAAACAAATCATGTGTAAGGAAACAGTTAACAATAAATGAAGTAACTTATTGAGCCATCACATCAATAAGAAAGAGCAGGCTGCTAAGGAAATGAAAACACCTGAACTCTCAAACTCTCAAATACAAAATTTTAAAGCCATGATTGTCAAATTAAAAGCTAAAATTTAATAGATGGGTGGAATGTAAAAGAAAAAAAAGGCTATCCATGAATACCAAAAACCGGCCTGGGACACCCAGCTGAGGAATTCTGTTATAACTAGTGAAAAAAAAGATCAAACATGGGGTGAGGGGAAAGTTAAGACAGGTAACATACATCCAGAAGATCCAACATCTGTTTAGCAAATGTTCCAAAGAGAATAAAAAAGACTGGGCACAGTGGCTCACGCCTGTAATCCCAGCTGTTTGGGAGGCCAAAGCTGGCAGATCACTTGAGCCCATGAATTCAAGTCCAGCATGCGCAACATGGTGAAACCTCGCCTCTACAAAAAATACAAAAAATTAGCCCGGCATGGTGGCACGTACCTGTAATCCCAGCTACTTGGGAGACTGAGGCACAAGAACAGCTTGAACCCAGGAGGCGGAGGCTGCAGTGAGCTGAGATTGCACTGCTGCATTCGAGCCTGGGTGACAGAGCAAGACTCTGTCTTACAGTAAATAAATAAATAAATAATGAAATGCATAATAAAGAAATTTTTCTGAGCTAAAGAAAGAGCTGACCAGGTAATCAGCAGGTAAATCACATTTATTCAACACATTTTTATTGATCACCTGTGTGTCAGGCACTATTTTAAATGCAATGATAAGAAATACAAGCACTACATCTAAATATACTCTAAAGATACTATCTGAATTCAAGATACTAAAAGAAAATGTTAATGCTTCTGTTTTTGTCCATGGAAGGGTAACTGGTACTGGGCTAGACTTCCCACTGTGAATAACTATAAAAGTAGACAAAATATGGAAGCCAACAGGTTTTTCAGACGGTGGAAAACAGGCAGCACGAGATTGTGATTCATGAAAGAGGAAACACCTAGGTAAGTCCTGTGATTATATAGCTCTATACTTGGGGAAAATTTCTCCAGTGTGATGCAGAAAACAGGAGTCTCAACAGAGCACAGCAGTTCTGCTAAGTTGAGAAGGCAGAGAGCAGAGTTTGAAATATATGCAATGAAGCAGCTTGCAATCTGTTTAATAAATGAATTCATGAGTAATGTTTAATGAAGGCATCAAAAGGATGGAAGATGTGCAGAGAGGTTGCCCTAAAAGTCCATGCAGGGGGTCACTTGTAAGTGTATGGCTGAGGGCTAGCTTGTCCATTCTCAAGGTGAGATGTCCCAAGGTTTAGAAGACAACAAAAGTTAGGGTTGAAAATGGAACTTAGACACTAGAGATCAAGAGTGCTGAAGGAAAAAGAGTGCCGAGAGATGTTGGGGTTCTGGTCCTAGAATGGAGAGATCTTGTTAACACATCATTAACATACCTGAAATCCAGCAAAGACACAAGAATGTCCTCATTTTAGAATAAAGACACATCCTAGATGATATGGTTTGGCTGTGTCCCCACCCAAATCTCAACTTGAATTGCAGTTTCCATAACTCCCACCTGTTGTGGGAGGGATCTGGTGGGAGATAACTGAATCATGGGGGTGGTTTCCCCCATACTATTCTCATGGTAGTGAATAAGTCTCACGAGATCTGATGGTTTTATAGGGAGAAACCCCTTTTGCTTGGCTCTCATTCTCTCTTCCCTGCCACCATGTAAGATGTGACTTGCTTCTTCTTGCCTTCCACTACGATTGTGAGGCCTCCCCAGCCATTTGGAACTGTGAGTCAATTAAACCACTTTCCTTTAGAATTACGCAGTCTTGGGTATGTCTTTATTAGCAGTGTGAGAACAGATTAATACACTAGAGTAAGACCTACCGCTTTGGCCTACCCTAACAAAGCCTAAAAGAAAACCCAAATAAGATCTGCAGGGGAGACAGAGTTAGGAGGTGGAAGTTAGCTGAGTTAGAAAAATTTGATAAATACATTCTAAATAAAATTTGAACAAGCAAAATGTAAAGCCAAAGTTGCACAAAGTTCCTAGTGATCAACCAGTAGTTGAATTGCCTTCTAAGATAAGAATTAACACTCTTCAAAAAACTAGAATTCAAAGTCTTTATATTATTCACCATGTCCAGTATTCAATTAAAACCCACTAGCCATACAAGTAAACAGGAAAAAATGAACCATAGTCAAGAAAAATAAAGTCATTAATATAAACCAATCCTGAGCTGGTCCAAGCATGACGCTAAGCAGACAAAGATTTTCAAACAGTGATTATACATATTCGCAAATGATATTTAAAAAAACCTAAAGGAAAATGTAATCTTAATGAGTGGACAGACAGGAAATCTCAGCAGTTAAATAGAAAATGCAAGAAAAAATCAAATGAAAAGGCTAGAACTTAGAAGTATAGTAACGAAAAGTCCAATATGTGAAATTTAGAAACTCACTGGGTGAGCAAAAGAAACATTCAGTGACTTTAAAGACATGTAATTGAAAGTTATGCAACCTAAAGAACAAAACAAAAAAAGCTAAAAAAATGTAACAGAGTCCTAGGATCCTGTGGGACAATATCAAATGATCTGACATACATGTAGTTGAAGTCTCCAAAAGAGAAAAGAGTAATACTGAAGCAGAAAAAATATTTATTTTTAAGAAGTAATAGCTAAACATTTCACAAAAGTGTGATAAATATATAACAGTAAGTTATAGTTCAAGAAACTCAGTAAATATAAATATAACCACACTCAGGAACTATGTAGTTAAACTGTAGAAAACAAAAGACAAAAAATCTTTAAAGTAGGAAAATAAAAACACATAAAATTCAAGAGAACAAATGTAAAAAATATTACTGACTTTTTGTCAGAAACAAGGGAGGCCAGAAACAATAACAAAAAAATCTTGAATATGCTGAAGGAAAAAATAAAAGTTGGCAATCAAAAAGTCTATATACAGCAAAAATAGCCTTCAAAACTAAAGGTGAGATGTAGGCATTTTTAGATAAATCATACCTGGAAGAATACATTACCAGCATGCCTGCATGAGAAGAAATGTAGAAGGATATTCTTCAAGCCAAAGAGAAATAATATCAGATAGAAACTTGAATGTACTCAAAAGAGTGATGAGCACTGTAAATGGTAAATAAGTAATTTAATATAAAATATTGTTTTCTTTTTCTCATAATGTTCTTAAATTATGAGAAAATTTAAGTTAACATCTCTTAGCACTGACTGAATAAAAATAATAACATTGTAAAATGAAGTTTAAAACAAATATAGAAGTAAAATTATAAAACAAGTATATAAAGCATCATAAGGGTGCTGGGTAATGAAATTATACTGTTGGAAGTATCACATTTATGAATAAAACATAAAGGATAAAGCAGAAACTAGGAAGGTGGGAGGTGGCCCAGGTATGAAGGGAAAAAAATGGAAAAAGAAAGCAAAAATTGTACATTAATTGGTGTGAAATATAAAAAAGTACAATATGATTCCATATAAACTCTAATTGGTTTACAAAGAAGATATATTGATATACCTAGAACAATCACTGAAAATCTTAGAAAAAGTATGATTGAAAAATTAAGAGAAAATATAATAAATTGCTAAAAGACATTTAAATAACCCCAAGAAAGAAAAGAAAGAAAAAAAAAAACAGAGGAATGAGAACAAAAACTGAAAATGGAAAAAAACCAGAAAAATAGTTGACTTAAATACAATCAATTCAGTAATTCCATTAAATGTAAATGGACCACACCAAAATTAAAAGGAAGAAGTCATCATACTATCTGAAGATGCACATTTTGAAATAAAAGTATACAGAAAGATTGAGATTAAAATAATCGAAAAAAGATATACTATGCAAACAGTAAGCACAAGAAAGCAGAAAAACATATTAATAAGAAACCATATTGATAAGAGCTATAGGAAGCCATGTTAACATCAGATTTCATGACAAAGAATTTTAAAGAGGTAGAAAGAAACATCCATAATAATAAAAGTGATTTACTAGCTGTATAACTTTGGGTAAGTTGTGCAATCGCTCTGTGTAGCATTAGTCTCTTCATCTTTCCCATCTCCATCTTCATCTCTGGCTCATAGATATTTTTAAAAACGAGAATTAAGTTATATTGAATGAGAAAATGTAAATAATGTGACTCGCACAGTATCTACATGGCATATTAAAAGTAATTTTAAAAATAAAAAATAAAATAAGAATTTAAAAAGTAGTGGCAAAGACTGCAAAATTACTTTTGCATCAACCTAATATATTCTCCCATTTCTTTGGGTTTCCTTTTCACTGCTTGTTGCATTCTTTCCTGCACAGAGTGGTTTTTATTTTGATGTAGTTCAACTCATCTACTTGTCACATGTCTTTTGC
Source organism: Homo sapiens (assembly GCF_000001405.40). Classification (NCBI taxonomy): domain Eukaryota; kingdom Metazoa; phylum Chordata; class Mammalia; order Primates; family Hominidae; genus Homo; species Homo sapiens. Next base: position 13,280,835 of record NC_000016.10, on the reverse strand, counting down.
TGTCATGAGGCTTTTCTCCTATGGTTTCTTCTAAGAGCTTTATAGTTATAATTCTTATATTTAGATTCTTGATTGATTTTGAGTTAAAGGGTGGGTATGATACAAGGAAAGGGTACAACCTCATTGCATGTAGATATCTAAGTCTCAATAAATTCTAAACAACTGAAATCTTATTAGGTATATACTCTCGTTACAACATAATTAAATAAGAAATAAATAACAGTAAGATATCTAGAACATTCTTGAGATGTGTGGATGATAAACAATATACTTCTAAATAATAGGCAAGTCAAAGAGGACTCAAAAACTTCTTAAAATATTTTGAACTAAATGAAAATGAAAATACAATTTAGCAAAATTTGTGAGATTCAATGAAAGCAGTCCTTAGAGGGAAATCCATAATATTCGATGAACAAGTCAGAAAATAATAAATATCTAAAATCAATAGACTAATTGTCCACCTCCAGAAACTAGAGAAAGAAGAGTTATTTAAGCCTAAAGCAATTAGATAGAAAGAAATAATATAAAAGCATAATGAGGCTCTCAAGCTCAGAGGTTAGAGCACTGGTCTTCTGATGAAAGAACAGAAATTAATGGAATAGAAATCAAGGGAATAATAGAGAAAATCAACAAAGCCATATGCTGGCTTTTTGAAAGTTTCAATAAAGTTGATATAAACCACTAGCCAAGCTAACCAAAAAAAAAAAAAAAAAAAAAAGAGAAAGAGAGAGAAGATACAAATTACTAATATCAGAAATGAAAAAGTAGCATCACTACTCTGATCCCATGAATATTTAAAGCAGAGTAAATGTATACAACAAACAACTCCATGCTCACACATTTGATAACTTAGATGAAATGGACTAATTCCTTCAAAGACACAATTTACCAAAATAAGGACAATAGATACTTTGTATGTATTGAAAAACCTATACATCCTAACAAAATTGAATTAATACAAAGAGCATTACTGGAGTGACATTACATAATACTAAAACAGATAATTCTTCAGGAAGACAACAATCATAAATGCATATGCACCTGAAAACAGACATCCAAAACAAATGGACCAAATACTGACATGACCACAGGGAGAAAGAAGTGATTTCACAATCATAGTCAGATATTTTAGATAAAGATGTAGGTCACTTGAATGATACTATCGACTGCCTGGACATCTTTGATGTTTATAGACCTCTACATCCATCAGTTGTAGAATATTCATTATTTTCAAATAATTAAGGCATTCACAAAAGTAGATCATATGCAGGTCCATACAAGTCTCAATAAATTTGAGAGGATTGAAATAACAGAGACTAGTTTATGACTACAATAGAATTAAATTTGAGATTAATAACTGGAAGGTTTCTTGTAAATACTTTGAAGTCAACAAAGCGACAATGGATTTAAACTATACCTTGGAACAAATGGACATAACAGATATATACAGAACATTTCCTCCATCAACCACAGGATAAGTTTTCTATTCAACAGCACATGGAAATTTTTCCAATATAGACCATATGATAAGCCATAAAACAAGCCTCAATAAATTTAAGAAAATAGAAATTATGTCAAGCGCTCTCTCAGACCACAGTAGAATAAAACTGGAAATCAACTCAAAAAGGAACCTTCAGAACCACGCAAATACACGGAAATTAACTAACCTGGTCCTGAATGAGCAATGGGTCAAAAACGAAATCCAGATGGAAATTTAAAAAATTTGTTGAACTGAATGCAAACCCTCTGGGATACAGCAAAGGCAGTGCAAAGAGGAAAGTTTATAGCCCTAAGTGCCTACATCAGGAAGACTGAAAGTGCACAAAGTGACATTCTAAGGTCACACCTCAAGGGACTAGAAAAACAAGAACAAACCAAACCCAAACCCAGCAGAAGAAATTACCAGGATCAGAGCAGAACTAAATGAAATTGAAACCAAAAAAATACAAAAGATAAATGAAACAAAAATCTTGTTCTTTGAAAAAATGAATAAAATTGATAGACCATTAGCAAGATTAACCAAGAAAAGAAGAGAAAAAATCCAAATTACCTCACTAAGAAATGAAACAGGAGATATCACAACTGACACCACTGAAATAGAAAAGATCATTTGCAGCTACTATGAACACCTTTATGTGCATATACTAGAAAACCTAGAAGAGATGGATAAATTCTTGGAAAAATACAACCCTCCTAGCTTAAATCAGGAAGAATTAGATACCCTGAACAGACCAATAACAAACAGTGAGATTGAAATGGTAATTTAAAAATTACCAACAAAAAAACTCCGGGACCAGATGGATTCACAGCAGAATCCTGCCAGACATTCAAAGACGAATGCGTATCAATCCTTTTGACACTATTCCACAAGACAGAGAAAGAAGGAACCCTACCAAATTCATTTGATGAAGCCAACGTCACCCTAATACCAAAACCAGGAAAGGACGTAACCAAAGGAGAAAACTACAGACCGATATCCCTGATGAATATAGATGCCAAAATCCTTAACAAAATACTAGCTAACTGAATCCAACAACATATCAAAAAAATAATCCACCATGATCAAGTGGATTTCATGCTAGGGATGCAGGGATAGTTTAACATACGCAAGTCAATAAATGTGATACACCACGTAAACAGAACTAAAAACAAAAATCACATGATCATCTCAATAGATGCAGAAAAAGCATTCGACAAAATCCAGCATCACTTTATGACTAAAACTCTCAGAAAAATCGGCATACAAAGGACATACCTTAAGGTAATAAAAGCCATCTATGACAAACCCACAGCCAACATAACACTGAATGAGGAAAAGATGAAAGCATTCCCTCTGAGAATGGGAACAAGACAAGGAGGCCCACTCTCACCACTCCTCTTCAACATAGTAGTAGACATCTTAGCCAGAACATTAAGACAAGGGAAAGAAAAAAAGGGCATCCAAATCAGTAAAGAGGACGTTAAATCGTCACTGTTTGCTGACCATATGATCGTTTACCTTGAAAACCCTAAGGACTCTTCCAGAAAGCTCCTGATATGTTAATTCAGCAAAGTTTCTGGATATGAGATTAATGTACACAAATCTGTAGCTCTTCTATAAACCAACAGCGACCAAGTGGAGAATCAAATCAAGAACTCAACCCCTTTTACAATAGCTGCAAAAAAAGAAAAAAAAAACTTAGGAATATACCTAAACAAGGAGTCCGAAAACCTCTACAAGGAAAACTACAAAACACTGCTGAAAGAAATCATAGATGATACAAACAAATAGAAACACATCCCATGCTCATGAATGGGTAGAATCAAAATCATGAAAATGACCATACTGCCAAATGCAACCTACAAATTCAATGCAATCCTCATCAAAATACCACCATCATTCTTTACAGAACTAGAAAAAAAAACAATTCTAAAATTTATATAGAACCAAAAAAGAGCCTGCATAGCCAAAGCAAGACTAAGCAAAAAGAACTAATTTGGAGGCATCACACTACCTGATTTCAAAATACACCATAAGGCCATAGTCACCTAAACAGCATGGTACTGGTATAGAAATATGCACATAGACCAATGGAACAGAATAGAGAACCTAGAAATAAACTCAATTACTTACAGCCAACTGATCTTCAACAAAGCAAATAGAATCATAAAGTGGGGAAAGGACACCCTTTTCAACAAATGGTGCTGGGATAATTGGCTAGCCACATGTAGGAGAATGAAACTGGATCCTCATCTCTCATCTTACACAAAAATCAACACAAGATGGATTAAGGACTTAAACCTAATACCTGAAACTATAAAAATTCTAGAAGATAACATTGGAAAACTCCTTCTAGACATTAGCTTAGGCAAGGATTTTATGATCATGAACCCAAAAGCAAATGCAATAAAAACAAAGATAAATAGCTGGGACCTAATTAAAATGAAGAGCTTTTGCATGGTAAAAGGAACAGTCAGTAGAGTAAACACAACCCACAGAGTGTGAGAAAATCTTCACAATCTATACATCTGAAAAGAACTAATATCCGGAATCTACAACTAACTCAAACAAATCAGTAAGACAAAATCAAACAATCCCATCAAAAAGTGGTCTAAGGATATGAATAGACAGTTTTCAAAAGAAGATATACAAATGGCCAACAAACATATGAAAAAATGTTCAAAATCACTAATGATCAGGGAAATGCAAATCAAAACCACAGTGTGATACAACCTTACTCCTGCAAGAATGACCATCATCAAAAAATAAAAAAACAGTAGATGTTGGCATGGATATGGTGAACAGGGAACACTACTACATTGCTGGTGGGAATATAAACTAGTATAGGCACTATGGAAAACAGTGTGGAGATTACTTAAAGAACTGAAAGTAGAATTACCATTTGATCCAGCAATCCCACTACTGGCTATCTACCCAGAGGAAAAGAAGTCATTATACGAAAAAGATACTTGTACATGCATGTTTATAGTGGCACAATTCACAACAGCAAAATCATGAAACCAGCCCAAATACCTGTCAGTCAACGAGTGGATAAAGAAACTGTGCTATATATATATATGATGGAATACTATGCAGCAATAAAAAGGAATAAATTAACAGCATTTGCAGTGACCTGGATGAGATTGGAGACTATTAAACTAAGTGAAGTAACTAAGGAATGGAAAACCAAACATCTCACTGATATGTGGGAGTTAAGCTATAAGGATGCAAAAGCATAAGGATGATAATGGACTTTGGGGACTTAGGGGTAAGAGACAGAGGGGGCGAGGGATAAAAGACTACAAATATGGTCCAGTGTATACTGCTCGCATGATGGGTGCACCAAAATTTCACAAATCACCACTAAAGAACTTACTCACGTAACCAAATACCACCTGTACCCCAATAAATTATGGAAAAATTAAATTAATTTTTTTTAAAAATAAAAAATAAAAATTTCAACAGAATTGATGAAGACCTAGTTAGAACTAATCAAGAAAAAAGAGGGAGAATACAAAGTAACAGAATCAGGAAGGAAAGAGAGGTTATTTTCAGAGATTCTAGAGACATTAAAAGGATAATAAAGGAATATTAGTAAAGAAATTAAATTTTCTATTAAAAATTTTTTCACAAACAAGATGAAAAGCCAAGGTGATTTTATTGGTGAGTTCTATAAAACACTCACAGAAGAAATCATACTAACGGTAAGCTCTTTCAGAAAATAGAGAAGAGGGATATATACCTCCCATGTTTTATGAGGCCAGCATAATGCCACTATTTAAACTAAACAAAGACATTCTGAAATCAAAATTACACACCAAATGTACTCATGAACATACATCCAAATATTCTTAAAATATTACTACATCGAACTCATACATTTGATAATATATTATAATCACAAAAAATTAAAAGAAAATTGTAAAATATTGATAAGAAAGGAGAAAAATGTTTACATAGAAAGAAATCAGAACCATATTGACCTTAGACTTAATTACTAAAACAATAAAGCAAAGTCTGAAGCTCTAATAGAATATAGTGTTGAACTTTTATTTCTATATCCAGGCAAAATTGTCTATGCAGTGCAATCTCAATTACATTAAAATATGCATAGAAAAGATCTAAAAAGAAAAACAACCAATATTAATATAAATAACCTCATTATGTAAGAGAAACAATGTAGAGTGAACACCTAACTCATCAGTTACCACACTTGATCTTCACAGTAGCCCTGTGAGGTCTTTATTACCCAATCTCACGTAGCTGGTAGACGGTAGAGCTGCACTCAAATGTCTTCTGAATAGAAGGAGGTTTGACCTCATACCTTGTCATCAGTGAGGAATTTAGACTTGATAGTGAGTGACAGGTCTCCTGGATCAAATAACCATGGCCCCAACTCACAGTGGACCCAATCATTAGCGCTCTGGGCCACACTTCCAATGGATCTTGGGAATTTGTGCTTGACGAAAGGACAATTGATTGAATTCTCAGCACTGGCTGAGGTGTTTCTGCTGCAGGGAATTAGTGAGTCCTGCCCGAAACACGTTAGATTTCACTGGATTTCCTCCAAAGGATGGCTATCATTGCTAAGTGGCTTTTCCAGCTTCGAGGCAACATGAATGACTTTTTCAAGCACTCTGATTCCACCCAGAGTTGGCATGTCATGGAATTTGGGCCACTTGACATAATCAGGAGCTTTCTCTTCCCTCCTTCTTTCAGGGTCAGCCAGCAGTAATTTGGATCCCTTCTGTCTGCTCACATTATCTCTACCATGGGGAATTAACAACCACTTCACTGCACAGCTGCTAGAGGCTGGAATAATTAATTAAAACTTAAAATTAAACCATTTATAAGCATTTGCATCCGAAACTATAGGAGTGGGTGACCTCTTCAAGGCATTTCAACTGATTAGCAAGGGAAAGAAAATTTTTTTCAAGAGTTGTATTAGCAATATAAAGTGCATTTCCTAAGTATATATATATAAGGAATCACACCATAAAAGCTGATGCTAAAGCAGAACAATCTTGTATATAGCAACTGGAAATTTACCCAGAGCATCAAAAAGGATTCATGTAAGGAGACTGAGAGCCAGAACACCAAATTAAAAACATTGATTAATAAAGACAACTCAAGATGATGGCCTATCCATCTTCCCCTTTTATCTGGAGTGGTGCAGTAAATGATGGACAGAAACACATATTTTTATGCTTTCATCTTACGAGCCTTCAAGTAAGAGGTAAGCAAGCCAATGGCATGTGTTATGGATACTTGTCTAGACAAATATCTTACTTTTGACTAAGTGAGAAAACTGAAGATGTTAAGTGATTTTTTTCAAGGTCACACAGTGAATGATTCTTTTCTAAAAACAACTACTTTGGAAGAGCCCAGATTCTCTTTCAACAGTGGTATTTTCAGTTCCTACCAACTCTCTGATGGCCCTGGGAGACTGTCCTATTGGAAAGTGATTTCCGATTCCAGATACATGGGTAACCATGGACTTTGATAATTCATGAAAATCTTAGAGATTCTTAAGTTTCTGAGGTTTAGGAGAGAAAATGAACATTCACTGAAACCCTGCCCTATGTCTGCTCCTGTGGCCTCTTTGTAAAACTACTCTTGTTGAATTTTCATAATTTTCCTGTGCAATAGGCATTCCCATTTAACAGACAAAGAGTGATTCTAGCGAGTTGTATTAGTCCGTTCTCAAGCTGCTGACTGATAAAGACATACCCAATACTGGGCAATTTTCAAAAGAAAGAGAGGTTTAATGGACTTACAGTTCCATGTGACTGGGGAGGCCTCAAAATCATGGCAGAAGGCAAGGAGGAGCAAGTCAAATCTTACATGGATGGCAGCAGGCAGAGAGAGAGCTTGTGCTGGGATATTCCCTCTTCTAAAACCATCAGATCTCATGAGACTTATTCGCTATCAGGAGAACAGCACAGGAAAGACCAGCCCCCATGATTCAATTACCTCCCACCAGGTCCCTCCCACAACACATGGAAACTCAAGATGAGATTTGGGTGGGAATACAGCCAAACCATATCAGGGGTTAAGCAACTTGTCCACAGTCACAGATCTGAGATTTTGAAATGTGTCTATTAGGACATGTCGTTGAGATGTCTTACCAGGAGTGTAGAATCTCTTTTTTTTGCATTGGTGTAAGGGGAATGCACAGTTGAAAACTGGGTCCTTAATATTAATAATACTTCAATAAACTTTGTCCCATGTGGAGGTTCACAGCTAATTGCAGGTGAAGCCAGTGGAATGGGGTGAAATGTACCAATTCTGATGAATCAACTGGAGGCTTGGATACATCATTGCCACTGCTCCAATTCTGTGGCTTTGCAAGTTCAGGAAATGAGAGAGAAAGCAATAACCCCAGTTGTTCTGAGAGTTTAACATCACAAATAAAAACAGAGAGAGAGAAAAAATATCAGTGAGTCAATCAGTAAAGTCTAAGCGTTGCAGAGAATAAAAAAAATCTGTTCAATATAGGTATAGTTCTGATGGTAAACAATGGGATGGGGTAGATTGTAAAGAAGAAGAGAGAAAGATAACAGGTTTTTCCCGAGATGGAGGAAAAGGGGATTAATAACTGTTGTACATCTTCCAACTGCCAAGGCATTCTACCAGTATGCATATATTTCACTCAATCCTCACATAACTGGTATCAGCTGTTCTATAAATTTAGTGTATAAATGTGATGATATTTATTTTATTTTTCCAAGTCATCTTTTTAGTCCTTCACCTACAAGATTGGCCCAAACTCTGATAACCCTCTGTTAGGTCTCTTCATCAATTTTACTCAAAAGAACTGAGGTTCTAGGCTGGGTACAGTGGCTCACGCTTGTAATACCAACACTTTCTGAGGTCGAGGTGGGAGGATGGCTTGAGTCCAGGAGTTCAAGACCAGCCTGGGTAACATAGCGAGACTCCATCTCTATTAAAAAAAAATTGTTTTTAAACAGAAAAAAAGAAATGAGGTTTTATGGAGTCTACCTGTGGCAGAGGGGTGGAAAGGTCATTGTAGGGTCATTGTACAACTTCCACACTCAAAAAAGAACAGCAACTGCTTTGAAACTGTCGGCGATCACTATTGTTTCTTCCTACTTTATTGCTTTTATAAAAAAATTTATTGAGCTGTATTTTACATATTATGAAAAGTGCCCATTTCAATTGTATGCTTCCATAATTTTTGGTAACATTACCAAGTGATGCAACCACCGTCATAAATCAGTTTTAGAACATTTTCTCTCTCTCTTTTTTTTTTTTTTTAATTTTGAGATGAAGTTTTTCTCTTATCGCCCAGGCTGTGGCACAATCGCAGCTCACTGCAAACTCTCCTTCCTGGGTTTAAGTGACTCTCCTGCCTCAGCTTCCGAAGTAGCTGGGATTACAGGTGCCTGCTACCATGCCCGGCTAATTTTTGTATTTTTAGTAGAGGGGTTTCACCATGTTGTTCAGGCTGGTCTCGAACTCCTGACCTCAGGTTATCCACCCGCCTCAGCCTCCCAGAGTGCTGGGATTACAGGCGTGAGCCACCACACCCAGCCTAGAACATTCTCACACACACACCCCCCCCATAAGATCCCTCATCCTCATTTTGAGTTCATCACTATGCCCACCTCCAGCTCCAGGCAACCACTAATCTACTTTCTGTTTCTACCTTTCCAGACATTTCATATACCTAGAATCATGCAATTTGGTGGTCTCTCTGTCTGTTTTTCTTTTCTTTTTCACTTTACATAATATATTTGAGGTTCATTCATGATGTCGTGTGTGTCAATAGTTTCTTTTTATGGTGGAAGAATATCCCATGGTAGGGATATAGAATGTTTTGTCAACTCCTTCACCACCGTACACGCTGACTTACACATGGATGGATATTCATAACAGCACTGGTCATAATAACCTTAAGCTGAAAACAACCTGAGTGCTTTTTTAAATTGGTCTACATCTGTGGTTCTCAAGCCTGGCTACACATGATGACGTTGATTTAATGGGCTTGGGGATGGAGCTCAGGACACTTATTTGTTTCCAAAGCTTTCCAGGTGATTCTACAAACCAGGGAACTGTTCTACAGAGTCCAACAGGTAATGTTTGTTCCTTCTCTCTACACTGATGTTACAGTTCCCGGATCACCAGTGTGGTTCTTGGATTCCATTGCTTCTGCATTGAGCTTGGTCAAAGTTGCCCAAATGTGAGCTCCACATTATAGCATTTGATTTGGGTGTCAGACTTGGGATATATCCCTGCTACCCACTGAACCCCAAAGTCTTCCCCATATCCCTTCTCAGGGTCTGAGGTCAGTGGTCAGTATGCACACTTTCCTAAACTCTCAGAACCCAAGGAAATGGTACCACTTGATCTACTTCCCAAGTCAGGCTATAGAGCTAACTCCCTCTCTAGGAGATGCTACCTTCCATGGCTCAAAATTTATCTCTTCTTAAAGGGAGACTTATCAAATGATTCCCAGATGCTAACCACTATACTTCTAATCAGAGTCTACTTTTATGACTCCAAGGTGCTCTACCCCTCCCCATTTCCTGTTTATTGTACATATATCTTGATTAATAAGACAGAAAAATCATATTTAGTGACAGCTGTGTTACAACCTGCACAATCATTTCCTTATGTAAGTGTATAATTATCCTTATTTTCAGATATTGATCTTCAGCTAGGTTAATTGGGCAAGGTCATACAACCAATAATTGTAGATCCAGCATTGCAACCGAAGTCTTCTTGTCTCTAAAGCTGGTACACTTTTGACTACAATTTGTTGGCTTCTCTCCACTTCACTTCTCTGCAGAGCAAGGATTTCCACATTTCCTTTAAAATGCAATTTAATTGTAAATACATTCTTGCAAAGCTCATTCTATCGCCCTCATTTTCTCTTTTCCTTCCTCACTCTCCTAAGAGCAAGTCATTAGGAGGGTAAATTCTGTTTCCAAGTCTGCTTTGCCTTGTACAAAAGATCTCCTTTCAAAATTCCAGTGGAGGTGCCCAGGAGAGTTGCAATGGTGTCCTTAACTGCCCCTCGCCCCCAACTCCTGCTCTTGTTGGGTCTGTAGAATTCTACAGGCTTTGCGCAATGTATCAGCCCAATGCTCCAAAGTCCTACTCCTTGTCTCAGCCAGGTTGCAGCCTGCTGACCCTCACCATCAGGGGAAATGTAAATAAAGACAAACTGCAGTTTCCACCAAGTAAACAGTTGGATTCTGTTGGAGTCCGGTGAGCAAGGCAGGGCATTGCTCCATGTAAGCCCTTATCAGAGCCCAGCAAACATTTCCTCCCAATGTGGTTGGTTTTAAATGTTCTGTGGCAGGTAGAGTAATTATAATTGGGTCAGGCTCTCTGGGTCTCATTCTAATGCCCTTGAACAAAAACTCACTTTTGGCAAATGTCAGCCTCGCTAGTGGGGAACTTTAAAGAGGCCAAGTTTCACCAAATCTGTGGTGATTGCAAGAGCATGGATTCTGCTCCAGACCTTGAATCAAATCCCAGATCCCCTATTTATAAGATAGATGGCCTTGGGCAAGTTATATCACCTCTCTGAGGCACAGATTCCCACCTACCTCTACAGCCTTACTGTAGCCACTGCCTCCTAAATTCTTTCTCTTTATCCATACCACCTCTAGTATATCACCCAGGACCTTAGCATATACTGTCTCCTCTGCCTAGAACACTCTCAGAATGATATAGCTGAAAGGCGCTATTTTTGTTTACCTCCTTTATTTGTTAGATGAGAAAACCAAGGTACAGGGAAGGGAAGTGGCTTTTCCAAGCTTACCACTGAATCAACAGCAGAAGAGCCTGCTTGGCAGAGGCTCACTGGCTCACTGTTAAGAGACCATAGAGGGGAAGATAGATGGCAGTGGGAGCATAGAAAGCCCCATCTTGGAAGTGTTTTCTGTTTGTGATCACCAGAAGCCTGGATATCCCTGGAAATATGGAGGAGGATTTATTCCTGTATGTCCCCCATAGGGGAAGTATTGCTTTGACCATTTTACATATGCAGAAAGTAAGGCTCAGAGAGGTTGAGTAGCATTTCCAATGTACACAGCTGGTGACCGACCGAACTGGGGTTTAATCCAGGGCTCTCTGCCTTCAAAACCATGCTATATAGTCTAAAAGGATGCATAGGTGCCACAAAAGCCCTACAGTGTTTTGCTTTCAAACATTGACAAGCTTATTCTCTCTCAAAGATCAGATAAAGTTTACCACCTCCTGAAACCCTTCCTTGACTTCTCTTCCTGAACAGAACCTCCCTTCTGTCTTCTGCACATGTTACTTCATATGCAGCACAGGCAAGCTCCCTTGACTACATGTTATCATTATTTTTTTTTACCTGGATGTCTCCACCATTTGATCACAGCTTGTTGAGGACTGAGACCCTGAATTAACTGCTACATCTGTTTGCCACACATGATAAAGCTGTACATATAACTGGTAATAGGTAAGTGGGTATAACTGGTATCATGTGTCCAATTGGACACGTAATATGTACTCAGCAAATACTTGCTAAATATGTCACAAAGCTAGTTGTGGTTTTCCCCAAGAATTGCTTTTTATTCTGGATGCATGTTGATTTTTTAAAATGAAAGGATCTCCAGGATTAATATGAAGACATTTCAGCTCATTAGGAAAGAAAAATCACAAGAAATTGTGCCCACTACACTAAAAAAGGAAAATACGCTCACATTGAGGATGAGAACAAGACCATTAACACTACGGAGAAGTGTAATGTTCCCCATTTCCTCTACATGGGGAACATTATGTGCTGCTAAGTCTTGTACAACATGAATTTCTCAAAGGGACATTTTTGTTTGTTTGTTTGTTTTCTGAGACCGAGTTTTGCTTTTGTCACCCAGGATGGAGTGCAATGGCACGATCTTGGCCCACTGCAACCTCTGCCTCCCAGGTTCAAGCGATTCTCCTGCCTCAACTCCCAAGTAGCTGGGATTACAGGCATGTGCCACCACATCCAGCTAATTTTTGTATATTTTGGAAAGTCAGGGTTTCACCATGTTGGTCAGGCTGGTGTCAAACTCCTGACCTCCAGTGATATACTCGCCTTGGCCTCCTGAAGTGCTGGGATTACAGGCAAGAGCTAGAGAAAATTTTTTATTCAACATAAGGCATGGTTTATTCATCTCAGCATGCCAAACATCTCCCTGGCCCCCATTTTTACCCCCAGTGTCTATCACAAAAACATTGATTTGATCACAATAGAATTGAGAGTTTCAGGAGAGGAGCTGATGGGTGGGGTAGTAAGGGATGAGGTCCTAGAAGTGCCCCCATGAATTTGTGTAGCAGTTGCATCCAGCTGCATCTCTCCTGGCCTTAAGCCCTTTGAGCCCCTTTCTCCTGTTAATGTTTTCCTGGAGGAATCCTTTGGCCATAAGTATCCTATTCGTCACAGAAATGTCTATTCCAATAGAATAGTGCCAGGTGCTGAGCCAAAAAAAAAAAAAAAACCTGAGAAACAAGAAAAGAACCCCCTCTCAGGCAATGTACAAATACCTGGCCAAATTCTCACAACCACCCTGCAGGATCCTATTAGTTCAATTTTACAGAAATGTAAGCACTATTCCCTGGGACACAGAGAAGATGGAGCAGAGAATAGATTCAGGTTGGTCTGACCCACTACTAGTTGCTTATAATAATCCAGCAACTGGACTGTATCATTTACCTAACCTTTCCTCCTCATGTTAAACATTTAGATTACATCCTCCTTTTCAACATTATAAATAACACCACCACAGAGTTTTTAATACAGAACACTTTGGCTGCATTTACGATTGCTGTCTTGGAGGTAGAATTGTTGAATTAAGAAGCACGGATCTTTTTAAGGCTGTTGATATACATTGCCAAGTTGCTTTCCAAAAGGGCTGTACAAACTCACACTACCTCCAGCAGTGCATGACAGTATCAATTTCACCACACCCCCATCAGTTTGGGTAGTCTCATTTTTTGGAAATGTTATACATTTGCCAGCTGAAAATAGTATTGCCATTTTAATTTGCATTTCTTTGATTACTATTAAGGTTGAATATGTTCCCATATGTTTTTAAAGCCATTTTGATTCCTCCTTGTGATTTTTATTTTCCTATCTAATTTAGCTTTCAGGATCTTAGTGATTTTTGTAATAATTCTATAGGCTCTTGATGTTAAAATTAGCAAGTCTTGGTTTGTCATCTTAGAATATGGTCCCACTTGGCTTCTTTTTAAACATTTTTAAAGTTAAAGACATTTTTAAAAATACAATCAACTACATCCATCTTTTATTTTGTGATTTTATCCACCCAAAGTCCTCTTTTTCAGCAACTTGATAAATCTTCAATTTTATTTTGTCCTGGTGATTATTTTTATTTACAATTTTAAGCCGTTGGCTTTATCTAGAAGGCATAGGTTTTCTTTTTTCAGTGTTGAATCTGATGCAAGAATCAACATGAATTTTTGCCAAATTTGTCCCAGCAGTGGGTACTAAATAATCCCTGCCTTCCCCACCGCTTGTTGTCATCATATATGAAGGTCTTATTCCTAAGAGTAACTGTTTTTCATCCTTCCCTCCTTGATGTGCAAGGGCCTCTGCAGATGTCCTTTTTTCTCTCTGTTCCACCCACCACTACCTACTCAATTTCTCCTCCAGCAGGGTCCCCAGAGCTATCCTTGGACTTCCAGCAAGAGTTTTCCATCTTAAAAGTTGTGTGTTTTTTTCTTCTTCGTTTACAATGCCAGCCTATATTCTGGGGGGCCTGAGCCTCCCTGAGCAATTCCAAATGGGAAACACAACAACAGCCAGTACCTGTGGGAATGCTGCTTGCATGCTTGAACCAACATTGCCCTCATCAAAGCTAGCTCCCTCTAGCCTGGACAATCCTCATGGTGGGAACAAACAGCCTGCAGTCATTCCAGAGAAGCACTCCAGGCTCTTAGAGACAGAGAGCCTTCATCTTAGTCCTAGACTGGGGAAAGCATTTATTCCCATATAAGAAAACTAAATTCCTATCTTTCCAAAGAGGGAAATCAATAAATAATATCTAGGAAAGGGTAATAAAGAAATAATAATGCATGCATATTTAGAAATACAGCATAAAGCTAACTTTCTGGAAGAAACAGCTAACCATTAAAATCCCTTGCCTTTGGGAATGTGCCCAAAAGAAGAGATGCGGGGACATTGGCAAAGGAGACTCCTGCTTTCCTTTATAAAGCTGATTTATGCTTTTAACTATGTGCATGCAATTGCTTTGATATTTAAAAACATATTTTAAGAATCACCCACTGAACATGAAAATGCAAAAACAAGATATGCATCCACTTTATATCTGTTGTCTGATGAGCAAAATTCAATCTTTCTTTCCTAATCTTATATCTTAATAACAGAAATTCTCAGTGTCCAACCCTACAGATAAAGATGAATTTGAGTTTAGGAAATTGATTTCAGTGTAAATTGATACCCAGAACACTTGGGATGTTGGCACATTATTCTTTTAAAAACAAAATGCTCCAGAGATTCTTGTTTTTTTTTTCCAGTTATCTTTTGCCTCTTTTCCTTGTAAGAGATGGTTTCTGTCTCCCATACAAAACTCTCCACTTTTAGAAAGAAGGAAAAGTGTCTCATTGGTTTCATTATCCTCAGCATATATCACATGGTTTGATGATTGTATGCACTGCACTCGATGAATATTTGTTGAATGAATGAGAGGAGAGGAGAGAAGAGAAGAGGAGAGAAAAGGAGAGAAAGGAAGGGAAGGAGAGGGGAGGGAAGAGGAGGGGGTGAAGGTAGGGGAGTGGAGGGAAGGGCGGGGAAGGGAAGGGAGAGGAAAAGAAGGGAAGGGAAGAGGAGGGGAAGGGAATGAAGGAAAGGGAAAGGAAGGGAAGGAAAGAGAAGGGAAGGGAGAGAAAGAGAAGGGAAGGGAAGAGGAGGGGAGGGGGGAGGAGAGAAAGAGGAGAGGAGAGGAAGGGAGGGAAGGAAGGGAAGGGGATGGAAGTGGAGGGGAAGGAGATGAAAGGGGAGGGGAAAGAGATGGAAGAGGAGGGCAGAGGGGAGGGAAGGAAAGAAGAAGAAAGGAAAGGGGAATGGAAGGCAAGGGAAGGGGAAGAAAGGGAAGGGAGGGGAGGGAAAAGAAGGGAACAGAAGTGGAGGGAAAGGGAGGGGAGGGAGTGGGAAGAGGAGGGGAGGGAAGGGAACAGGAAGAAAGGGAAGGGGAAGGGAAGGGGAGGGGAACAGGAAGGGAGGGGAGGGGAAGGGAGGAGAGGGGAAAAGAAGGGAGGGATGAGGAGGGGAAGGGGGTGGAAGGGAGGGATGGGGAGGAGAGGGGAGCAGAGGGACAGGAAGAGGAGAGGAGGGAAGGGAAGAGGAGGAAAAGAGGAGGGGAAAAACAGGGGAAGGGAAGAGAAGACGAGAAAAGGAGGAGCGAGGGAGGGGAGGAGAAAGGCGAGGGGAAAGGGAGGAGACTGGAAAGGGAGAAGAAGAGAAAGGAGAGGGAATTATTACTTTCTTGACATTATTTATTGATTTCTCTCTTTGGGAAGACAAAGATTTAATTCTCTTATATTGGGGTGAATTCTTTCCCCAAGATGAGGGTTCTGTGCTCAGTGCTGTTTTGTTTTTTCACTCTACTTTTATTATTACTCCTAAACCAGAGCTCACTACTAACTTAAACCTAAGATATTAGAAAGAAAATCTAAAAATCAACTCAAGACTAGAAGCAAGAGAGACATTCTGTTTAGAATAATGAAGAATAGGAGAACTACTAGCAAGAAGTTAACCTTTGAAGCGCAAAATGTTTAACTGTACACCGGATGCTTCATCCTGAGGTCAGACAACCAAAAGAAACTCCGCCCCTGGTTTCCTCCACTCTCAAGATTTAAAACAGGCCAGCACGGTGGCTCAAGCCTGTAATCCTAGCACTTTGGGAAGCCGAGGGGGGCGAATCACTTGAGGTCAGGAGTTCGAGACCAGACTGGCCAACATGGTGAAATGCTGTCTCTACTAAAAATACAAAAATTTTAGGCATGGTGGCGTCCACCTGTAATCCCAGCTATTTGGGAGGCTGAGGCACAAAAAACACTGTAACCTGGAAGGTGGAGGTTGCAGAGAGCCAAGATCATGCCACTGAACTCCAACCTGGACAAAAGAGCAAGACTCAGTCTCAGGAAAAAAAAAAAAAAAAAAAGATTTAAAACAATGTCTCCCTCCCTAACTCCCCTATTGAGTTGTAGAAGCAGACACAGGTGATGACAGCCACCCATAAAGCAAGACATACTATGTTGGGGAAGGAGGTATGAGCCCAGAGTTGCTTAAGTAGTCATATCAGTGTTTACATAACCTTGCGGATAAAATTCCACTTTAATAAATAAAGGAAAGATCTGACTCTCCTTTTTGAAAAAGAAACAGGTATATAAGGAAGATTTTTTTTTTCTATTTTACATATCTGGTTGCCTCACAAGATTTTGAAAGACATTTTATTTTGAATTATTTATAGAATCACAAGAAGTTTCTAAAATAGTACAGACAGGTCTCATGTACCTATCATTCAGCTTCTCCCAAAGGTGGCATCTTACATAACTATACTACACAATAAAACCCAGGAAATTGGTATTGGCAGAATCCCACACAAGATTTTATACACAGTCATGTAGGAATTATATGTCCCTGACTGTATTAGTCTGTTCTTGGGTTGCTATAAAGAAATGCCAGAGACTGGATAATTTATAAGAAAATAAGTTTAATTGGCTCACAATTCTGCAGGCTGTACAGGAAGCATAGTGTTGGTCATCTGTTCAGCTTCTGGGGAGGTCTCAAGAAGCTTACAATCATGGCAGAAGGCAAAGAGGTAGCAGGGATGTCTTACATGGCCAATGCAAGAGGAATTTGGGGAGAGGTGCTATATACTTTTCAATCACCAGATCTTGTGAGTACTCACTCACCATCACAAGAACAGCACCAAGGGAATGGTGCTAAACCATTCATGAGAACTCCGCCCCGTGATCCAGTCTCCTCCCACCAGGCCCCACCTCCAACATGGGATTACAATTGAACATGAGATTTGGGTGGGGACACAGACCCAAACCATATCACTGACAATAGAGTTATTGGGAGGTATCCACAAATCCCATGACCACGGACTCATCAAGTTAAAAGTCCTTGCCGAATTCCCACCCCAGGGGAAACAGAGATGAGAAATGTCCATGAGAAATGTAGTGTAGTTGGGATGGTCTGAGTGAGGTGGAGTGAAGGCTCTGGGAATGGGGTTTAAGACATGAGACAAATTATAAATCCACAGGAATGAATAGTTACGTTGCAAGAAAATTTAAGGCAAGTAAACAGAGGCTTCTTATTGTCTAGATTGAGATGGGGAATAAAAAAGAGACCCTCATGTCTATGTATGAAGTGGGAATGCAAGGCATAGGTGCCCTGGGGAGAGTGATTTAGAAGGAAGAGAGTAGATAGTTAATGCTCTCCCTGTAACTTAAACCTGAATGAGCAAAAATTAGCTTTATATCTCTCAACTGGGTAAGCACAGTGAATGTAGCTCACCCCAAAAACCATACTTCATGCTGGAGTGTTCCATTACACAAGGGAGTAGCTAACATCTGTTTTCTTCCTTCCCTCCCTCCCTGCCTCTTCCTTCTTTCCTTCCTTCCTTCCTTCCTTCCTTCCTTCCTCCCTCCCTTCCTTCCTTCCTTCCTTCCTTCCTTCCTTCCTTCCTTCCACAATAACAATTTTTTTGAGAACTTACTCACCGGGCCAGAATATGGAAGTTCTCTATTGATCCTTCTATGGGTCAAGTTGAAAAAGTAAATAAAGTAGAGTTTCTGTCTTAAAAGATCCTCCAGGCTATTGGGCAAAGCAGCAGGTCAACAAGTGTGATACAACCTGATAAGCCTTCTGATATAGACAGAGTGCAGCGAAAGCTAAAAGGCTACTAGTGCAATTGAGGAAGGAGGGAACTGAGAAATGAGACTAGAAGCTTATAAGAGAGCTGTGGATGCCAGGATCTAGAATTTAGAGTGTTAAGGATGTTGCATGAAAGCTAAGACAGCCTAGCTGCACTGCACAGGTGCTCAGCTGCCTCTCATCAGTTTCTGGCTGGTATCAATCCCATTCTTTTCAGAAACTGAGCATATCAGGACTGGTTTTGTATGTTTTATTTTGTTTTCTTTGGAGGATTGACAACCTGTTGTTTTGCCAAATTGTTTGGGGGCATTTGAGGATAGTGGAGATGTTGGTTTCCTCTCAGTCTGAACCTCAAAGAGAACTGCTGGGTCTTATCTCAATTTTCTGAGTCTGACTGATTTAATTAATGTCTATGTTATCTATCTATTACTTTTGAAGCTGTTGTCATATTATTGATATGAAGGCTGCACAGTGACACACCTGCAGGATACACCTGCCAGCAGAATCTTGCCTACTGATATCCTCAGCCACAGAACTTAAGGCAAGAGATGTTTCGACTCCTGAGGATACTCATATCTAATTCTGGCTACAGATGGGTTTGAGTCTCATTAACTCCTATCTCAGTTTTCTTTGTCACAGTCCTCTTGGGCTCATGAAACCATGATCACCAGCCCATATCCATTTCAGGTCACAGAAAGTGTTTATGATGATGTACCCTCAGCACATGGCATTTGGTAGACAAGTGCCACCATTAATCTACCAGCTTCTTCCTACCTGAAGTTATAAAATTTTGTAAACAGTGGGTCTGGATTATAAGAAAGGGTAAAGTGAATTTAATCGCACTGCAAGGATTTGGATGCCCCAAATTTTATTCCTAGTCAACTTCAGAATAAATTCTGGTGTTTCATCAGCTTGGAAAGAGCTGGTGGGGGTGCTGTGGAATTAGGAAGAACCTCAGTTTGCATTGGACCCTGATACTTACCAGCTTTGTGGCCTTGCTCAAGACACTTAATGTCAGTGTCTGGCACAAAATGTGAGTGCTGTCAACATCATCATCAACAGCATCAAAATCATGATATCCATCATCACCATCACCACCACTACAACCACCACCGCTATCAGGATCATTATCATTATCATCTATAAACCTACAGATCTTGACTGGACGGACTAGAGTCTTCTCCCATGGACTCCTAAAATACCCTAAATTCCCAATCACAGAGTATGTCATATTTCACATCTAGAGTCCTCATGGGCATAGGCAAGATGGTCTTGTTTACCATTTGATACGGTTTGTGTCCCCGCCCAAATCTCAACTTGAATTGCATCTCCCAGAATTCCCAAGTGTTGTGGGAGGGACCCAGGCAGAGGTAATTGAATCATGGGGGCGAGTTCTTCCCTTGCTATTCTTGTGATAGTGAATAAGTTTCACGAGATCTGATGGGTTTATCAGGAGCTTCTGCTTTTGCTTCTTCCTCATTTTTTCTCTTGCTGCCACCATGTAAGAAGTGCCTTTCGCCTCCTGCCATGATTCTGAGGCCTCCCCAGCCATGTGGGACTGTAAGTCCAATTAAACCTTTTTTTGTTCCCAGTTTCAGGTATGTCCTTATCAGCAGCATGAAAATGAAGTAATACAGTAAATTGGTACCAGTAAAGGGGGGCGCTGCTGAAAAGATACCCAAAAATGTGGAAGCGACTTTGGAACGGAGTAACAGGCAGAAGTTGGAACAGTTTGGAGGGCTCAGAAGAAGACAGGAAAATGTGGGAGAGTTTGGAACTTCCTAGAGACTCATTGAATGGCTTTGCCCAGAATACTGACATCAATATGGACAATAAGGTCCAGGCTGAGGTGGTCTCAGATGGAGATGATGAACTTCTTGGGAACTGGAGTAAAGGTGACATTTGTTATGTTTTAGCAAAGACTGGTGACATTTTGCCCCTGCACTAGAGACTTGTGGAATTTTGAACTTGAAAAAGATAATTTTGGGTATCTCAGGGAAGAAATTTCTAAGCAGCAAAGCATTCAAGAGATGACTTGGGTACTGTTAAAGGCATTCAGCTTTATAAGGGAAGCAGAGCTTAAAAGTTTGGAAAATTTGCAGCCTGACTATGCAATAGAAAAGAAAAACCCGGCCAGGCGCGGTGGCTCATGCCTGTAATCCCAGCACTTTGGGAAGCCAAGGCAGGCAGATCACAAGGTCAGGAGATCAAGACCATCCTGGCCAACACGGTGAAACCCCATCTCTACTAAAAATACAAAAAATCAGCTGGGCATGGTGGTGGGTGCCTGTAGTCTAAGCTACTCGGCAGGCTGAGGCAGGAGAATGGCATGAACCCAGGAGGTGGAGCTTGCAGTGAGCCGAGATCACGCCACTGCACTCCAGCCTGGGTGACAGAGCAAGACCCTGTCTCAAAAAAAAAAAAAAAAAAAAAAAAAAAGAAAGAAAGAAAAGAAAAATCCATTTTCTGGGGAGAAATGCAAGCTGGCTGTAGAAATTTGCATAAGTAGCATGGAGACTAATGTTAATTCCCAAGACCATGGGGAAAATGTCTCCAGCCATGTCAGAGACCTTCATGGCAGCTTCTTCTATCACAGGCCCAGAGGCCTGGGAGGAAATAATGGTTTCATGGGCTGGGCCCAGGGTGCCCATGCTGTGTGCAGCCTAGGGACTTGATTCCCTGTGTCCCAGCCTTTCCAGCCATGGCTGAATGGGGCCAACATACGGCTTGGACCGTGGCTTCAGAGGGTGGAAGCCTCAAGCCTTGGCAGCTTCTATGTGGTACTGAGCATGTGGATACACAGAAGTCAAAAACTGAGGTTTGGGAACCTTGGCCTAGATTTCAGAAGATGTGTGGAAACTCTTGGATGCATAGGTAAAAGTTTGCTGCAGGGGCAGGGCCCTCATGGAGAACCTCTGCTAGGGCAGTGCAGGAGGAAAATGTGAGGTTGGAGCCCCCACACAGAGTCCCTACTTGGGGGCTGCCTAGTGGAGCTGTGAGAAAAGGGCCACCATCTTCCAGTGTACAGAATAGTAGATCCACTGACACCTTGCACTATGTGCCTCAAAAAGCCACAGACACTCAACATCAGCCTGTGAAAGCAGCCAGGAGGGAGGCAGGACCCTGCAGAGCCACAGGGGCAAAGCTGCCCAAGACCATGGGAACCTACCTCTTGCATCAGCATGAACTGGATGTGAGACCTGGAGTCAAAGGAGATCGTTTTAGAGCTTTAAAATTTGACTGCCCCACTGGATTTCGAACTTGCATGGGCCCTGTAACCCCTTTGTTTTGGCCAATTTCTCCCATTTGGAATGGCTGTATTTACCAAATACCTGTACCCCCATTGTATCTAGGAAGTAACTAGCTTGCTTTCGATTTTACAGGCTCATAGGCAGAAGGGACTTGCCTTGTCTCAGATGACTTTGGACTGTGGACTTTTAGGTTAATGCTGAAATGAATTAAGACGTTGGGGAACTGTTGGGAAGGCATGATTGGTTTTGAAATGTGAAGACATGAGATTGGGAGGGGCCAGGGGTGGAATGATATGGTTTGGCTGTGTCCCCACCCAAATCTTAACTTGAATCGTATCTCCTAGAATTCCCATGTATTGTGGGAAGGACCCAGAGGGAGGTAATTGAATCATGGGAGCCAGTTTTTCCCATGCTATTCTCTTTCTAGTGAATAAGTCTCATGAAATCTGATGGGTTTATCAGGGGCTTCTGCTTTTGCTTCTTCCTCATTTTTTCTCTTGCTACCACCATGTAAGAAGTGGCTTTTGCCTCCCACCATGATTCTGAGGCCTCGCCTCCAGCCTCAGAATCTGTAAATCAAACTAAGCCTCTTTTTGTTCCCAGTTTCGGGTATGACTTTATCAGCAGCATGAAAAGTAATTAATACACCATTGCATCCCTATTTCCTAGGAATGTGCTGGGGGCCTTGTAATTATTCAACATATTGTGAAATGAATTAATGACTAAGTAGAAGAGAAGAGAACCAACTCTTACTGTTCACCTGTTATATGCCATATCCTTCACCAACTTATTTCTAGTCTTCAAAGAAACCTTGAAGTGTTTCCATTTTCATTACTATTTTTTTGGCTGGAGTAATGAAGACCCTGAAAAGTTAAGTTAAAGGACACACAGTTAACAAATGGCTGTGACCATACCCAAACATAGATCTGTCTAAGAATTTTTTATACCAGTATGACTCCCTAATGAACCAGAAAATTTATTTATTCAGAATCTGCTTTACTCTGACTATTCAAGGTAATCAAACCTTTACTGTGTCCAAATGGAGTTGTAGGGGAGGGAAACTAAGATTAGAGAGTAGATGGCAGATGGCTAAATGGTGTCAAGAATACAATTACACGGCCTTACAGATGCTAAGATTTTCTAGCTAAATTTCAGCCACTTGAAATTAAGAAAATGCACAATTATTGTCCACTTGCTAAACTATCCATCCACACAGGGCATACTGAGAAGTCTGGTCATGATGTTTTTATTTAGCGAAGGATGCTTGCAAAATCTCAGCATTCTTTACAAAGAACATGGAAAGCACAGGTTTATGTCACCAAAAAAAATAAAGTATTTAAATTGGGTTTTCCTCCAAAAAGCACATAATGAGCAGATTTCAGATTTCATCAGCTTCTAAGTAGCACAGAAGGGAGCCTAAAATATTAAGAAGAGAGGGAGCTTTCACACTCTAAAAGTCATGTTAAGGGCTTTTACATAAATGTATGATCCCTGGTGGACACTCATATAGCCATGGCAACACCTGCAAAGACATGTGGAGTATTTCTTAGAACCACGGTATTTAAACTGGCAGAAGTGGACACCTGGAGGAAATATCTGCCAACATTCCCGTACTTTACAAAAGGGGGTGATCAAAATAAGATGATGTTATTGAAAAGGTAAAGCCTCACATAGGCCAAGAGAGCTGATGATGGTGGTGATGATGATGATGGTGTATGAATGAGCGTAGACAGTATACCCGATATTGTCCCAGTCCCCACCCTTGAATGTTAGCTACTTAATGCCTTATGGGCTTGTTATTGTTAGACCAATCTTAGTGATCAGAAAGGAGAGTCCCAGAGGTTAAATAACTTGTCACGTAATGAATAAGAAGTAAGCCAGGCACAACTTGATCAGCTTAATTGCATTCAATTACCCTACGCAGCATCTCCAAGTCACTCTCCAGGGTTCTAATGAAGTATCTCATTTAGTAGCAACAGTGCTAGAAAGAAAAGCTTGTCCTGGGATGGTTCCTTACCAATGGCCAAACTCTTTGGCTGAGAAAGAATGTAAGGGAAAAAAGGCAGAAAACACAAATTCTACTCTCATCTCTGCTCCTACAAAACTTCGTAAATGGGCAGAGAGTCTCTGGATGGTCGTTTGTACCCTGACATAATTTCTAAAGTTGGAGTTCTTAACACTGGGTTCAAGGGCACCAGAGGTTGGCATAGATGAACATCAGAGAGCCTATAAGTTCCCTGCAAGTATATCAAACATATTGTGTGTATGTGTATGTTTCTGGGGGAAGGTTCACTGATTTCAACAGCTGCTTAAAGGGGTCTAAGACATTCCTCACCAAAGGAACGTTTTCAGTCCCTAGAACTTTCAAATCATAAACTATTCTTGTCCTCAATAACCCTTATTATAAATACTCAAAAGGCAACACCGTGTAGTAAAAGAAATATTCATTCATTTCCTCACTCATTCATTTGTTCACTCATTCAAGTGTGAGTTATCAATTGCCTGACTTTACACTCAGTTCTAGGCAATGGGAATTCAGAGACAAACTAATCTTTAAAGAGCCCCCAGTCTAGTAGGGAGAAAGACACCTCAGCACCTGATTATCAAACAATATACGGCCAGGTGCAGTGGCTCACGCCTGTAATCCCAGCACTTTAGTAGGCCGAGGTGGGCGGATCACCTGAGGTTGGGAGTTCGAGACCAGCCTGACCAACACGGAAAACAACATCTCTACTAAAAATACAAAATTAGTGGGGCATGGTGGCCCGTGCCTGTAATCCCAGCTACTTGAGAGGCGGAGGCAGGAGAATCACTTGAACCTGGGAGGCAGAGGTTGCGGTGAGCCGAGGTGGCACCATTGCACTCCAGCCTGGGCAACAACAGTGAAACTCCATCTCAAAATAAATAAATAAATACATACACATATACAATATGCTGTAATTTCAATAATGGATATTTACAGGCCATGAGAAGAAGCACCTAATCGAGGCTGGGAAGGCAGGAAAGAATCTGATCTGCGTCTTAAAGGATTATTAGGATTAAGCAGATGTAGGAGAAAAGTTATTCTGGCAGAGGAAACAGGCAGGCCAGGTGGTAGAAACAGCATGGTGAATGTATGGGGGAACTTCCAATAGCCTAACTGTCCTAGAACATAAAAAGGTCAAAAATAGTAAAATATGAGTCTGGTGAGGTTGCAGGACAGGTGAGGAAGGTTGTTATATGACACCTCTTTATTCTACAGGGAAGAAATGTTAAGGATTTAAGCATAAATTTAAGTATTCTGGCTGCAGTATGGAGAGTGAGCTGAGAAAAATTTGTTCTATTAATCTGGGCATGAAATGATGCAAACTTGAGGAAAGATAGTGATCATCTCTCTTCCCCATAGACTGGAGTCATGTCTTCTTAAGTCTTTTCTTTCACTTCTCCCTAGACCTACCACATATAGCAGGTGCTCATATAATAATATGTTGAATGAATAAATTAGTAGTAAGGATTGGGAGGTAGAATTAATGTTCAAGAAATATTTAGAGCATGAAATTTGCAGGGACTGGAAATAGATTTAGATGTGGAAGGTAAGGAAGAAGGAAATTGAGGCAGCTCCTAACATCACAAGCTTTGGAATCAGCCAGATCTGGATTTCACTTCTGCCTTCTGAACTTGAATGGTACTTTTTTTAGACAACAGAAGTAGGAGTGAAAGATGGCAGTGATGGTTTAATGTGAACTGACCTAAAGATAGAATGAATCCTTTGTATGTATATGAAAGAGAAAGACACACACATAAAGAGACACAGAGTCCCAAAGATAGAGGGCAAGAGAGAAGAGACATAAGGTCAAACAGAGAGAATGTGTTTCAGAGAAAGGCAGATCTCAGAGGATGAGAAATGCATGAAACAAAAAGGAAGAAAGATGCCTAGACAGAAAGAGAATGAGAGAGGGAGAGAGAGAGACAGAAAGGGGAAGAATTGAGGGAGAGGAAGAGGAACAGAGAGGAAAAGGAGCATGAAGGAGAAAGATATAGTCAAAGTAGAACCATAGCAAGAGAGAGAAGAGGAAGTGTGAGAAAGCAGTGAGAGGTTAGGGGACGTAACAGGCATCAGTGATGTCCTCCACCTGCTAAAGCCAGGTATCCAAGTCTGCAGTGTTATTAGATAGAGGAGCAAAGAAGAAAAAGAGGATGATATAGAAAGAAGGAAAAAAAATTAAAGAAGCTCCTCCTGGGAGGTGAGGGGAACAGATACTTTCCTGCTGCTCAAACAGCTCAAGTTCAGGTTCAGGCCTGATCCTCTGCTACTTGGTATTAATCTACTGATCCATTACAAGACCACGTCGCCTCTGGGCAACACCTGCTCAACAAGGCTCCTGGCACTTAACAAGCCCGGAAGGGACTGTTTCTTCATTTGTTGAAGTCCAGTGCTTTCACTTTGCCCCAAGGTGTCCGCTGAGGATTCACTGGGAAGCCCCAAAGACAGGAGCATTTTGATGTTGCTTCTGAAGAATTTGCCACCTGAAAGACTCTATTTGGTTCTGGGGGAGGTGATTAGTGGGGCCAAGAGGCCCCTTTCTGGAAAGAACGTCATGGTAATTGCTGACAGCCCGCTGTACGATGGATGGAAAAGTCCAGAAATAACAAGAATAATGAATAAGCAATCAGTCTATTCTCAAGTCTGCTATTATTGCCTTTCTAATTGGGTGTCTCAGAGTCTCCTGGGATTCCCTAAACTCTGTTCCCAGAGAGACCTAGCAACCAAGGCTGGTGACATAATAACTCGTAACAAACCCTCCGGTTGGAACTGATGGTCATGCTGGAAGCAGTGACAAGTGGTCCTGTTGTCTTATCTTCTCTCTCCCCTAAATCTGTGAAGGCTGGACATGGAAAGTTTTGGACCAGATGATAGACTTGAGTCTGAATCCCAGTTCTGCCAATTTCTAGCTGCTTGGCTTTGGGCAAATCACTTCATCTAAAATTAGGGTTAATAGTTCCCACCTCATATGATTTGTGTGAAGACAACTGCTAATGTATGCAAATTGCCTGGCACATAGTAGACTTTCAATAAATGGTAATTATTAGTATTATTATTATAGAGGGCATCTTTGGCAAGGATAGAAAAGATTGGCAGCCTGACAAAGATGAAGCCAGAGCTCCATTTTGAAAACTACCACTGAAGTGTGCAGTAGCCCTAATTAGAATTTTTGTTAAGTTCTGATAATGAGAAATGTTTGAGAAGACATTTTTCAGTCTCCCTGAAGAAAACAGGAAGTGGAAGGATTTTTAAAAAGTGAAAAAAAAAGTAACCTTCAGTAATGTCTTATTTTTCTCTTCCTAATCTTGGTGAATGTTAAAATAAATTGGATGAAATGTGTCACCTTTTGACCTTATGGGGACGTTTCATAATACTCCTGTCCATGGATAATTAATGCCCAAGTGGATATATTTCTGATATGGTTTGGCTGTGTCCCCACCCAAATCTCATCTTGAATTTTAGCTCCCATAATTCTCATGTGTTGTGGGAGGGATCTTGTGGGAGATAATTGAATCATGGGGTGGTTTCCTCCATACTGTTTTTGCCATAGTGAATAAGTCTCACGAGATCTGATGGTTTTATAAATGGGAGTTCCCCTGCACAAGCTCTCTTGCCTGCCACAATGCAAGATTCGACTTTGCTTCTTTTTTACCTTCTACCATGATTGTGAGGCCTCCCCAGCCACGTGGAACTGTAAGTCCATTAAACCTCTTCTTATATAAATTACCCAGCCTTCGGTATGTCTTTATTAGCAGTGGAGAACAGACTAACACACACTGCCATCTCCCTTGTACCTTTGGACAGGTGTTCCCATAAGCACTGATGACGTTGACATGATAGTAGAAGAGATGCACCTCAAACCTCAGCCTCACGATACAGTTGACTCTTGAACAACTCCTACCCCCACACAGTCAAAAATCTGCATATAACTTTCGACTATTCCAAAATTTAACTAGTAGTAGCCTATTATTGACCAGAAATCCTACTAATAATAAAACAGTCAAGTAACACACATTTTGCATGTTATATGTATTACATACTGTATTCTTATAATAAAGTAAGCTAGAGAAAATAAAATGTTATTATTAAGAAAATCACGAGGAAGGGAAAATATATTTCCTATTTATTAAGTGGAAGTGGATCATCATGAAGGTCTTCATCCTCATCGTCTTCATTTTGAGGAGGCTAAAGAAGAGGAGTGAGAAGAGGAGTTGGTCTTGCTATTTCAGGGGTGGTACAGGCAGAAGAAAATGCAAGTATAAATGGACCTACACAGTTCAAACCCATGTTGTTCAAGGGTCAACTGTATTTCCTTTCATTCATTCATTAATTCATTCAACAAATATTTATTGAATGCCTATGTTCCAGGTACCGTGGTAGGTGGAGGGCATATGGGAGCACTCAAAGATTTCTACCCCCATGGAGCTTCCATCCCAGTGAGAAGAGACAGACAATAAGAGTAAACATAAGTAGATCAATTATATAATATGGTAGAAATGGCTGAATGCAATAAGAAAATAATAGAGAAGGTTAAGACAGGCCAGGAGACATGAGCAGCGCAAGCTTCAGTATCAACAGGGCATCAGGCCTCACTGAGAAGGTGAAATATAATCAAAGACCCAACAGATGTGGGGTGAGCCAGGGGAGGAAGACTGCAGCATGAAGAAGGGTCCTGGGGGTTTCTCACCCTCAGCACTTCTGACATTTGGGAACAGAGAATTTTCTGTCTTTGAAGCAGGAGAGCTGTCCTGTGCCTTGTAGGATATTTAGCAGCATCCTTGGCCTCTATGCACTACATGCCAGTAGCAACCTATCTCCCAAGTTATGACAACCAAAAATGTGTCCAGTTATTGCCAAATGTCCCCTGGAGGAGGGATACGACATTGTCCCAGTTGATGGACAAAGCGCTCAAGGTGAGCACATTCTTGGGGCATTTGAGGAACAGCAAGGAGGCCAGTGGGGGCTGGAGCAGAGTGAGTGAAGGGGTGAGTAGTACAACAGGAAGGCAGAGAGGCATTTGGAGGCCAGATCATGGAAGGTCTTTTGGGCTTGTTTTAAGGACTTTGATTTAAGGATTTTGACTTTACATGGAGTGAAAAGGAGGGAACTGAAGAAAGAACGTTGTGATCTGTCTTAAGGGAACTTGCTGTGTACTATGCATTGTTGCAGAATTCTTTACCTACATGGTACCTGGCCCTAGGGCACAAGGCTGGGATTTGAACTCAGTTCTCGCTGGTCAAGTAGGAAGTGGACAGGTTACATTTCCTGTTACCTGCCCTCACTCTGCTACTAAGTAAATAGTCAATTGTTGGATGACCATCCTAGACCTGGAATTACTACTGGAGATCCAGGCTGGTTCATCAACAGAGCCCTCTTTGTGTCAGCCTGGTTTGCCCCCTAAACCAGAACTTGAGCAAGGTACTGTGTGCAGGTATTTATTTTGGAAAGTATCCTAAAGAAAAGGAGGAGGGGCTTGGAAGAATGAAACAGGAAGGATGAAAAGCCAACCTCAAGGTACTTTATGGACCTGGTAACCACCATATGGGCAAGTGGGTTCCAACCCACTAGGACCCTCTGAGGAGCTGGAAGAAATCACTTAGAATTGTCTACCTAAGAGATGGAGAGGGGAACATGCACCACTAATCTCCAATACCCCTCTCCCCGCAACCATTAGTCAAAGTTTGGGCCGTGGTGTGTTAACCCTCTCACACTTCCAGGTTTGCACATGCTGAGGACACAAGGCACTGAGTCAGAAAGCAAGAGCTTTAAAGCACACCTAGGCCAGGTGCTAACTGGGTACACCTGCATAGCTGGTTGTCATGGCAATGACTGGAGTAAAAAAAGTTAGTCAAAAGCAGGTGAAGCGGGGATCAAGAAATATCAAATACAGGAGTTGGGGTGAGGGGCTGAAGTGTCCCCTGGAATATTATCTGCCAGCAGTCTCTTTTCCTCTGAGTATGGAGAGGAGGAAGCTTGGGGATGCTGCATCTCCACACACAAAGGCCGCCATCTTTGATTCTTGTGGAGCCTCTCAGAGCTTTTCCATCTGCTGTTTTATCTGTTCCTCACAGAAATCCTGCAGGAAGACGGGGTGGGGGTGAAGAACCCTATCGTGCAGGTGAAGAAACGTGTTCAAAACCTTACACTACTAGGTAAGGGTCACATAGAGTATTGGTAGCAGCACTAAGCTCAGGTTTCTAGAATTGATTCTCAACAGTAGTCCACTAACTACTTGCATCAGAATCCCCAAAGTGTTTCTTAAAATGCAAATTCCTGAGCCCACAGAGCATCTGAATCATGGTGGTCAAGTCTGAGAAGTACCACATTATACAAGCCATTAGGGTTTGCCTCACCATCTGCAGCAGCTGCCATGGACTTCACAGTAAAATGGCTGAATGGGTTCCAGCCAACAGAGTCTG
Source organism: Homo sapiens (assembly GCF_000001405.40). NCBI lineage: Eukaryota > Metazoa > Chordata > Mammalia > Primates > Hominidae > Homo > Homo sapiens. The sequence continues at coordinate 13,250,753 of NC_000016.10, read as the reverse complement.
CTTCCAGGGCCCCAAATATAGATCTTTCTCAAACCCAAAGCTAATCATCCCCAGAATCCTGGAATACAGAAAATAAGTGTATTGTTGTTATATATATAAGCACCTGGTGGGTGCCATTCCCAGAGTAAGACACAATGGGGTTGGGGTGATAAGAAATTTATGAAGGCAGAGTTCCTGACCAAGAGCGTCAGAGGAGTCCTAAAAAAATCACTGAATGCAACCTCTATATCATATGGATAAGGGAATCAATGTCCAAGATAATACAGCTAGTTTCAGAGCTAGAATTAAAATGAAGAATTTCTGGCTCCTATCCTAATGCTCTTAGGAGTCTACCCATGTGCCAAATAGCAGGGAAAATCACCTCTGACCCTCTCCCCCCAATGCAATTAATCATAAATTCTATTTGCCACTCCTCAGGACTGCCCACTCAGGACTGCTAATTGTACCTCCTGCCCCCACTCCTCCACCCCTAAGCTTTAAGTAAAGCTGTAGATGGTTTTCTCCTATCTCCAAGTCTCCTTCTGTCACACCTGAGGGTCTGGGTCCAGTTGAATTCCCCAGAACTTTATGTGCTTTGCAATTTGCAGAAGAAGCTTTGGAAAACAGCAGCAGGAGCCAGGGACTTGAAAGGGTAGCAGATTAGATATCCTCCAGTTAATATAAAGACTAGGTATGGAAGTGGTGAGGGTCAGAGAATGCAAGATAGAAATGCAGAGATGTGGCCAGGTGTGGTGGCACACACCTGCAGTCCCAGCTACTCAGCAGACCGAGGCGGAAGCATTGCTTGAGCCTAGGAGTTCAAGACCAGTCTGGGCAACATAGCAAAACCCTGGCTCTACAAAAAAATTTAAAAATTTAGCTGGGCAGGGTGGTGTGTGCCTGTAGTCCCAGTTTCTTGGAGGCTAAGGCTGGGGGATCGCTTGAGTCTCACAGGTTGAGGCTGCTGTGAGCCCACATGCCACTGCACTCTAGCTTGGGTGACAGAGTGAGACCTTGTTTCTAAGAAGTAAAATAATAATAAAAGAAAGGTGGAGATCAAGTGAAGGAGAAGGAAGAGGGGAGGAAAAAGAAGAGAAGATGCAACTGAGTAAAAAACAGACACAGAGAAGGAAACAGAGAAAGAGAGAAAAAATGTATAAGGAAGAAAACAGAGTCTGTAATTTATGTGTCTGCCTCCCCCATTAGATGCCAAGGTCTTGGAAGGCAGGACCTGTGCCTGATTCATCTCAGTGTACCAATGCTTATCCCTGTTTCACATATAGCAGATGCTCAGCATATCTTTGTCAAATAAGTCAGGGAATATAAAGTCATCTCAACCTACAACAAATCTACAGAAAGCGCATTATTATTCCTATTTTAAACGTAAGAAAATCTAGGTCAAGGAGGCTAAATTGATTGCCCAAAATGACATGGGCTATAAAAAGTTAGGCTGAGATTTTATCTTCAACGAGGCTGACCCCAAAGCCATTCTTCATATTTTTGGCAGGTAAATTCTCCAAACGTCCTGCTTTTATGAACCAAGGAAAACTCATCTTCCTTACTGGGACCAGCTGGACCAGGACTAATGTCTCTGAGAAGTCAGAAAAGTGAAGTATAACCAACATGGTGCTTCACCTAGATGTCCTCACATCCTTTTTCTTGTTTCCATGCACCTCTTTTCCAGATTCTGTAGTATTTGTTTCCAACCACCAGCACCTGAGACTCTTGGAGAAATTTTCCCTCAACATGCAATGAGCCAGAGTAGCTAGAAGTTTCCATCTCTTTGGTGAATGACTCGACTCATAGGCACATAAGAATGAAAGCCCTGCTCCCTTGCTTGGGGTTGATGCCAATTCTAGAGTAATGCACATAAGGTCTACCCTCTCTGTGGCGTTGCCTAAAAGTAGATCCTTGTTTTGGTCCTTCTTCTACGTAACTTCTGCCATCCCCTTACCAGTTTCTTCCAAAATTCCTTCCTTGCATATGAATTCCTATCTCAGGATCGCTTTCTGGGGACCCCAACAAAAACAAAATGGAAAAACCAAGGTACCACATTAGCCTGGTTCCTAATGGGTGGGAGTCGATAAGTAAATGCTTCCGATTAATAAAAGCCCAAGTTTGTTGAACATCCACCATGAGTAAGTGGTTTACATATCTTACCTCAACTGCTCAAACAACACGACAAGGTTGGTATGACTGGGCTTGCTCTACAGATGAGAAAAACTAGGCTCTGAAAATCTCAGTAGCTTCCCCAAGGTCACATAACTAGAAGTTATAGAGAAGACTCAAATCCAAGGTTATCTGACACCAAGGTTTCTCTCTGCATGCAGTGCCTCTCTTTATTTCTTTATGGTGCTTGCTTTCTATTGTTCATCTTCTACCTTCTTAATTTTTATTTTTTGGAGAAGGGGGAAGGAGAAGGGAGACAGTAAAGGGATTCTTGCACCCTCAAGGCCCGGCACCATGGCTGGCACATCGTAGATGCTCTGTATTTGTTGAATGAATTACAAAATGAGGTTTTTTGAGCAGAACCAAGCACTCAGCAGTGTTCTCTAAATTTTGTCCAAAAGTCTAATGTTGACTCCACGTGAAAAAGAATCAAACCCCCATGAGGAAAATTCTCATGGCAACTAATAAGACCCAAGAGAAAGGCTTTAAGACCCGCATGGTGCTGACTTTTGGCATCCTGGATCTGGGAATTCAACAGACACCTAACTTGTAGAATTCCAGTACATTCAGCTCAACTGCCTTTGATACATGGACAGCAAAATTCAAAAACAAATTACAGCATCAAAAACAGCTTCAAATTACCAGAAAATAAGGCACCCGCACATTGTAAATTGCCTCTTTAGAGTCTTCCCATTTTTTACCTTTTAAGATGAAAACAATGAAGTGTTCTATTTGGATGTTGAGATTTTTAAAAATGAGTTGCCCTTTTATAATGTTTTAAAAAGAGGCATCATAAGATGTGAATCTAACTGAAACCTCTGAACTTGCAAAAAGGAAAAATTCAAGAGGATGTGACAAAATTATTTCTAGCAACCATGACATTTCTTGATGGGAAATGCTTTCTTTGAACTGTACAACACAGCACGAGTTAGGATTTGGAATCTGACAAGAAAATAAGTGAGATGCCAAGCTGACAGTGAAGACATTTTTCTTCCACAAAGGTATTTTTATTTATTTATTTATTTATTTAACCACAGTAACTGGATCCAGATAGTACCAGGAACTTTGAGAGGGTTAAGTGGGGTGCTAGAAATTGTGGAACCAGAAAACTCCAGGTTTAGATTCTCGCTCCAGCACTTGCTCTGTGACCTTGAGTAAGACATTTAACCTCTCAGTTCCCTTATCTTTAAAATGGAGTTATGAACCCTTTCAAGGTTACTGAGAGGATTAAAGATCAGGTATGTAAAGGTCCTAGCATAGAGTAGAAGTTTAATTAAGATGATTGATATGGTTTCACTCTGTGTCCCCACCCAAATTTAATCTCTCATTGTAATCCCTTCATGGAAGGAAACTGGTGGGAGGTGACTAGATCATGGGGGCAGTTCCCCCATGCTGTTCTCATGATAGTGAGTGAGTTCTCAAGAGATCTGATGGTTTACAAGTGTGGCATTTCCTCTTTGCTCACTCTCTGTCTCCTGCCACCATGTGAAGAAGGTCCTTGCTTCCCCTTCCCCTTCCGCCATGATTGTTAGTTTCCTGAGGCCTCCCAGCCACGTGGAACTGTGAGTCACTTAATAACAAATTATTATTTTTATTATATTATTATATTTAAAATATAAATACTATATATTTACTATATATCTTTCATAACAAATTATCCAGTCTAGGGTAGTTCTTTATAGCAGTGTGAAAACAGAGTGCTACAATGATGATAATGATGATGATGGCAACGGATAACATTTATTGTTTTTTTTTAAATAGTCAGATACAGTTCTAAGTGCTTTATCTTTTGTATTTGTTAAGGAAATTCTAGCTACTCTAACAGATAAACCCTGAAATCTCAGTGCTTAACACACTGATAATAATAGAAGATTATTCCTAACTCACATAACGTCCAGTTGGTGGTGGAAATGGTGGTAAAGGAAGTTACTGCTTCACAAAACCATTTAGAGACTCATGCTGACTGAGGCTCAGAGCCCCAGCAAGAAGAGAAGAATGAAGCTTTTACAGTGCCTAACCCAGTGCCTGATACACAAAAAATGTTCAATAATTGGTAATCAAAGAAGTTGTTGCTATTAGCATTACGATGATTATTATCTTTCAAGGCTGAGACTGAATGTATGAGAAAGACTGTTTTAGTCTGATCTCACGCTGCTGATAAAGATATACCTGAGACTAGGAAATTTATAAAGAAAAACAGGTTTAATGGACTTACAGTTCCACGTGGCTCGGGAGGCCTCATAATCATGGCAGAAGGTGAAAGGCACATCTTACATGGGGAAGCATGGAGAAGAATTGGAGCCAAGCAAAAGGGGTTTCCTCTTATAAAACCATCAGATCTTGTGAGACTTATTCACTTCCATGAAAACAGTATGGGGAAAACCACCCCCATGATTCAATTACCTCCCCCCAGGTCCCTCCCACAACACGTGGGAATTACGGGAGCTACAATTCAAGATAAGATTTGGGTGGGGAAGCAGCCAAGCCATATCAGACTTATTTTGGTTTTATGTGGTGAATATATTCCTAACAGGATGGATTTTTTTTAAATAAAAAACTAGAATCTGACAATTTCTGGGACAGTGAGGTTTGTAATTGGGATCTTGCAAGTACTGGGCTGGAGAGAGCTTGTGTTGAAGGGAGGACATTGGTATTAACTGTCTCCAGTTAATTAATAAAGGGCTATTTATTTAAGCCCTTAAATAAACAGGCGCCAGACAAGAGCTTCCTGAACCTTGGACATTTGTCTTTCTCCTCTGGGAGGGGTGAAGAAATGGGGACATCCATGGTGATCTACTCCAAAGTCGGTCTAGCCTCATTCCAGGGAGAAGTGAGGACATTTAATACTATCAGTTTTAAAAAATGACACAGCACACACGATAGGCCAGAGCTTAAGGTTGAATCAGAGAGAACCAGGTTTCAATCAGCTCTGCCACTGACTTCCTGGGTTACTTTGTGCAATTTTTACCTCTTTGAGCCTGTTTCTTCTTCTATGAGTGGCGAAAAATAAAACACAATTTTGTGAGGTTATAGGAATCATCTGAAAGAATAATTCTCATAACAAAAGCTAATGCTGAAATGTTTACTAGGTGTTAAGCATTAAGCTACTGTCTTTTTATCTATTATTTTATCTCTCATAACAGCCAATGATAGAGATACTATTGTTATCCCTATTTTAAAAAAATAGAAGCATGAAGAGAATAGGTAAGTAGCTCTAAGTCTCACTAGTACACAGTGCTTCACCTGGGACCCACACACCTGCAGAGGGATTTGTGGGTAGAATTCAGTGGGTTTATGAAAGTAGGTGGGAGAAAATATATCATGTCTTTACTTTCACTGGCCTCTAGTTGAAATTTAGCATGTCCCTCAATTATAAATGTGGGCAATAAGGCAGGGTGCAGAGGCTCATGCCTGTAATCCCAGCACTTTGGGAGGCTGAGGTGGGCAGATTGCTTGAGCCCAGGAGTTCAAAACCAACCTGTACAACATGGTGAATGCCCATCTCTACAAAAAATACAGAAAATTAGCTGGGCATGGTGGCACGTACCTGTAGTCCCAGCTACTCGGGAGGCTGAGGTGGGAGGACTGCTAGAGCCCCAGAGGTCAAAGATGCAGTGAGCTGTGATTGCTCCACTGCACTCCAGCCTGGGCAACAGAGTGAGATCCTGTCTCAAAAGTAAGTAAATAAATGTAGGCAAAGAACCACCTATAGTATTAGCACCGACCTGGGACTTTGTCAACAGTAGAATCACAGATATTGTCGTATCACATCGCAAATGTAGCAGATAGCTCAAAGAATTGTTTGTGCTCATCAATACTTTGAAACCTCATGTTATTTATTGCATTAGTTGAAAAGCACATATACAGCTGACCCTAGAACAATGCAGGCGTTAGAGGTCGACAAACCCCATGTAGTCGGAAACCTCATACAGCTTTTGACTCCCTCAGTACTAAACTACTAATAGTCCACTTTGACCAGAAGCCTTACTGATAAAATAAACAATTGATTAACACATATTTAGTATGCTATGTGTATTTTATGTATGTATGTATACAAATATATAACACTGTGTGCTTATGATAAAGTAAGCTAGAAAAAAGAAAATCTTATTTAAAAAATCACAAGGAAGAGAAAACATATTTACTATTTATTAAGTGGAAGTGGATCATCATAGAGGTCTTCATCCTTGTCATCTTCACTTTGAGTAGGCTGAGGAAGGTGAGGGCTTGGTCTTGCTGTCTCAGGGGTGGCAGAGGTGGAAGAAAATTCACACATAAGTGGACCCCTGCAGTTCAAAGCAGTGTTGTTCAAGGGCCAACTGTATTACCATATCACAAATGTGAGTTTCTAAAAATATTTTCATGAGTATACATCGAGATAATGGGTTTTTTTTGTAATTCTATGTATTTTATTTTATGCATTTAAAGTCATTATTCTGAAAAGGGAATCCATAGGCATTCACCAGATAATTGAAAGGATCCATGGCCTAAGAACATTAAGAATATTCATAGTAGCCCATGGCTGTTAGAGAATCAGAAAGCCATGGTGGCTCAGGCCTGTAATCCCAGCACTTTGGGAGGCCAAAGCGGGTGGATCACAAGGTCAGGAAATCGAGGCCATCCTGGCCAACATGGTGAAACCCCATCTCTACTAAAAGACAAAAAATTAGCCAGGTGTGGTGGTGCGTGCCTGTAGTCCCAGCTACTAGGGAGGCTGAGGCAGGAGAATCACATGAACCTGGGAGGCAGAGGTTGCAGTGAACTAAGATTGCGCCACTGCACTGCAGCCTGGTGACAGAGCAAGACTCCATCTCAAAAAAAAAAAAAAAAAAAAAACGCTGCTGTAAACCAAAAATAAAATTCTAAGGCCCCTGAAACACTGGTTCAGGCCATGAAGGGAGAAGTGGGGGTCGGACATGCCTCATTATACCTGTCCAACATTAACATCAACACAGGCTTTAAGTCTGATAAGAAACATTTTAGAGCCTGTTCTCTCTGAAGCCTGCTAGGTAAAAGCTTCATCTTCATGATAAAACTTTGGACTCCACTACCTCTTGCATCAACCCAAACATTCCTTTCTATTGATCCCAGGTCTTTAGACAAACTCAACCAATTGTCAACCAGAAAATGTTTAAATTTACCTATAGCCTGGAAGCCCCCCCACTTTGAGTTGTCCTGCCTTTCTGGACCAAACCAATATATTTCTTAAATGTACTTGATTGATGTCTCATGTCTCCCTAAAATGTATAAAACCAAGGTACACCCCAACCACCCTGGGCACATGTCATCAGGACTTCCTGAGGCTGTGTCACAGACACATGTCCTCGACCTTAGCAAAATAAACTTTCTTTCTTTTTTTTTTTTTGAGACAGAGTCTCGCACTGTCACCCAGGGTTGGAGTGCAGTGGCGCGATCTCGGCTCACTGCAAACTCTGCCTCCCAGGTTCACACCATTCTCCCTGCCTCAGCCTGCTGAGTAGCTGGGACTACAGGAGCATGCCACCACACCAGGCTAATTTTTGTATTTTCAGTAGAGATGGGGTTTCACCATGTTGGCCAGGCTGGTCTCGAACTCCTGACCTCGTGATCTGCCCTTCTCGGCCTCCCAAAGTGCTGGGATTACAGGCATGAGCCACCGTGCCTGGCCGGCAAAATAATATTTCTAAATTAACAGACTTGTCTCAGATTTTCTGGGTCTACACCGAGTACCTGGCAAGTGCTCAATCCTCAGAATTTGTTACTATAATGTTATTAATATACACACTAAAATCCCAGTCATCCAGGAGCAAACCTTTGAAAGTGGTAAGAGACTCAATTCCATTGATTATACCCATTTCGTGGTGATCAGGAAGAAGAATACTCAGTCCAGTCAGAGAGCAGGGTTGAAGATTATCAACTGCAACCTCCTCCTTCTGAAGGAAAATGAAGACATGGAGTTGCAGGAAAGGATAGTTTCAAGGCACGTGGCAAATTGGCATTGGAATCAATAAATACCACCAGCCAAGTCTCCTGGAGTCAGTCTTCTCTTCATTATAGGACACAACTTTTCAATATCAGACATGAAGCCGGATGATGAGAGTTCCTGTCTCTAGAAGCACACAGGTCCACTCCAATTTCTTCTGCATCTCATAGTCCTTGGGATGATCCCACAGATGTTGGATGATGATGTAATGTGGCACTGTGCAAGGCTTCTCATCATAGGGTCCAGGGGCCACTCTAGTGCAATGACAGGGAGCTTGTTACAAACATTGGACCCTGGGCCCCATCTCCTCGGATCTACCTTATCTGAAGCTCTTTGAGGGAGCTTGGGAATCAGCATTTTTATCAAGCTGCCCCACTGATTCACATGCGAATCCAGGTGAGAACTATTGACAGAGCCATTAAAGCATGAGCTCTGGAGTTCAAATCCCAGTTCTACCACTTACTAGTTGAATTGCTTTAGGAGCATTACTCAAATTTTAGACAAATCTCTGAACAGCATCTCCAAAGCATAATAGTACCCACCTTTTGCAGTGAGAACCAAATGTGGCAATGCATAGAAGGTCTTTAACAGTGTGTGGCTCTGCAAATAAGCTTGCTATGATTATTGTTGTTGTTGTTTATGAGTTATAATCCACCAGGTGGCTCACTAGAGGAATAGTGTGGCTCTCCTCACAGAGGTGTAATTCTCTGTTCTATGACTACATTCTTGGGGCTCTGATGTGAGTGACTCCAGCCACCAAGTTTCCAAGTGCTGAAAGAGCATCCTGTGTGTTCCAGACTTCTCTGATAACCAGAACTGTGCCCCAAAGACAGCCCAGGGGATCTGCTCTGGGTGATGCTAAGTGACCCTGTGGCCAATGAAAGGTCTCCAAATCCCAGAGTAAAGATCCTGACCCTGACTGCAAATCTCCCCTTTGCTTGACATTGACAATGTCTCTAAGCATCCAGAGAGTGGAAGTTTCATTCCCCAGGGACCCCAGATCTCTGGCTTTGGGCAGCCACTGTGAGTTCCTGCCCACATCCTTAGGGTCTTTGGGACTTTGGTGTACAGTGACTGGCTTATAATCACCAGTAGGTGCATCTCTGTGCCTAGGGATTTTTCTTTTTCTCTTTTTTTGAGATGGAGTTTGGCTCTTGTTGCCCAGGCTGGAATGCAATGGTGTGATCTCGGCTCACCGCAACCTCCGCCTCCCAAGTTAAAGCGATTCTCCTGCCTCAGCCTCCTGAGTAGCTGGGATTACAGGCATGCGCCACCACACCCAGCTAATTTTGTATTTTTAATAAAGATGGGGTTAATCCACGTTGGCCAGGCTGGTCCTGACCTTAGGTGATCTGCCCGCCTTGGCCTCCCAAAGTGCTGGAATTACAGACATGAGCCACCGTGCCCGGCTGCCTAGGGATTCTTGACACCATGAAAGTCCTTCTGCCTTTGCACATGACAGCCTAGGAGTGTCTGAACATTAGCATCCCTGAAAGCAATTTGGAAACAATGTCTGATGGCCATGGGCACGTAAACACCCAAGCTCACGTTACTTGGGCAGGATGATTCTGTGTGTGTGTTCAACACTGTCTCCCAAAGTTTCCCTGCAGCATGAAACTCCAGCCGTGCATAGTGGTAGCTGACATGATATCATACTCTTCTTAGCTGCTTTGCCTTCCTTATTGAACCTCCCACCCCCTCCCAGTATTCTCTTCATTTCTCACATCCTAATCTCCGAGCCTCTTTCTGGAGGAACCATAGTCAGACAGGTTTCTACCTGAAAATTTCAAACTCTATGCTACCAGAGGCCAGACAGGAAATAAAATTTAATAAATAGGGGAAGAATCGAATCTTCCATCCTTTCAATATTTGTGTCTTCTATGACCCTGATCAGCGTTCAAAACTAAAGTTCAAATCGCAGCAAGATTCTTGACCATTAAGAATAAATTTAGTTATGATGAGGAAACCTAGCAACAATAGATTTCTAAAGGCAAAAGGATGTGAACTAGGAGATGTGACACAAACTTACCAAAAACGCTTCAAACACAAAGTCTCCTGGAAAATGTGTATATGTTGCTGTTAACTAGAAATTGCCTTTGCCGGAAACAACTTCCCATATATTCTGAGTATTATAGACCTCATTCTCTATGCTAATATTGGTGTTCCCTGGTGAAAACACAAATTAGGATGCAGGGTTCTAGAAAGATACATGACAATCCCAACAGCCTCACATATAATCAGTTTTATTGCCAGGTAAGAAATTCATATTAATATAGTGAATACATATGTTTACAAATAAACATTCTTAGAAAACAAACAAATGTGTTTTTTTCTTCATTGTAGGAAGAATTATTCGTATCATAAACTCTGCAGTTGTTGACAAGTATTAACACAGGTTTACTTGCAGAACATACGGTTACTAAAATATTCGCACATAAAATATGCTCCATTTACACAAAAAACTGGGAAGAGTTAGATGGGGAGGCCAGGCGGAGCCCAAGGCAGATGGAGGCTGAGACACTGTGAAAGGGCAAAGGGAAGTCAGACTCTGGTCCCATTGGGTTGGAAACTGGGGGACAGCTAAAGGCAAAAAATAGGGGCTGATGTCAGGGCATGGAATTAGGAAGAGGACAGCCTGTCTGCTTTGTTCTGGTTTCTCTCTTCTAGGTCTCACTACCCTAGCTATAGCGTCCTTGTCTTGGTACATGGAAGTCACAGATAGTTCCATAGGTTGTCCCGTCTTTCCATATTGTGAGGTCTGTCTACCCTCCCAAGAGGAAGCCAAAATTGACAAATGGGATCTAATTAAACTAAAGAGCTTCTGCACAGCAAAAGAAACTACCATCAGAGTGAACAGGCAACCTACAAAATGGGAGAAAATTTTCGCAACCTACTCATCTGACAAAGGGCTAATATCCAGAATCTACAATGAACTCAAACAAATTTACAAGAAAAAAACAAACAACCCCATCAAAAAGTGGGCGAAGGATATGAACAGACACTTCTCAAAAGACATTTATGCAGTCAAAAGACACATGAAAAAATGCTCATCATCACTGGCCATCAGAGAAATGCAAATCAAAACCACAATGAGATACCATCTCACGCCAGTTAGAATGGCAATCATTAAAAAGTCAGGAAACAACAGGTGCTGGAGAGGATGTGGAGAAATAGGAACACTTTTACACTGCTGGTGGGACTGTAAACTAGTTCAACCATTGTGGAAGTCAGTGTGGCGATTCCTCAGGGATCTAGAACTAGAAATACCATTTGACCCAGCCATCCCATTACTGGGTATATACCCAAAGGACTATAAATCATGCTGCTATAAAGACACATGCACACGTATGTTTATTGCGGCACTATTCACAATAGCAAAGACTTGGAACCAACCCAAAAGTCCAACAAGGATAGACTGGATTAAGAAAATGTGGCACATATACACCATGGAATACTATGCAGCCATAAAAAATGATGAGTTCATGTCCTTTGTAGGGACATGGATGAAATTGGAAATCATCATTCTCAGTAAACTATCGCAAGGACAAAAAAACCAAACACTGCATGTTCTCACTCATAGATGGGAATTGAACAATGAGAACACATGGACACAAGAAGGGGAACATCACACTCTGGGGACTGTTGTGGGGTGGGGGGAGGGGGGAGGGATAGCATTAGGAGATATAGCTAATGCTAAATGACGAGTTAATGGGTGCAGCACACCAGCATGACACGTGTATACATATGTAACTAACCTGCACATTGTGCACATGTACCCTAAAACTTAAAGTATAATAATAATAATAATAATAATAATAATAATAATAAATACTCCATGGATACATTAAAAAAAAAAGAATAAAAAGACCTTCCCTATCCAAACTTCCCTCTTCAGTTCATCTCCCAAAACCAACTGGAAGATAATAAACTATGAAGCACTTCCTGAGCTTTCCATCCTAGACAGGACTACTTGGAAAGTACGTGTCCTTCTTGGGCCATCATTGTGGCTACATCTTAATGACCAGTCTGCACCTTTGCTGCCAAAATTACAACTGCAGACCCCAAGGAGCCCAGTTCAATTGATGAAGTTTATTCAGAGGAGAAGGAGCATGCAGAAGGAATACAATACTACAGATTTAGAGGCCAAGAAAGACTCTTAATCAGAGTTGAGATAAGGGTGGGACGAAGTGGACTGGGGGCAAAGAGCAACCACGAGGTAAAAGGGAGATAAGAATTATGGAAACTTTGAGCTGGAAAGAGCCTCACAGATAAGTCAACCCAGGGTTTTCTGAAGTGTGGGCTATGCACCCCTAGTGTATGCACAATGATCATAGGCAGTACATAGCTACAGCATTGTTCAACACTGACTTGCATAGGAAATGATTCCCCTTTCATTTACTTTTTGGTCCATCTTATTAGTACAAAGAGAAAGTCTTCATTGGGTGCTGGTATTTTTAACAATTATTTAATACCTGATGATATCATTTTAAGAGAGAGAGAGAAACAGAAACAGAGAGATGGAGAGAGAAAGAAAGAACCCCAGGCTTTAGTTCAGACTCACAGACAACAGACTCCAGCTGGAATTTAATCATCGCTGCTTGTTTCCTTTGTACTTATTTTTATGTTTGCTTTCTATTTATGGCAACTGATGATTTTTTTTAAATTTGTGATGAAGACAGGAAGTTTTCATTTTAAAAACAAAATGCATTAAAATGAATCAATTTAGATACAAATATTGTGAAGGTGATATACAGAGATGCCAAAGTGTGTTGCAGGTACATAGCTCATTAACGTCAAGGAAACTCTGACCATGCCCAGTGGTATTTACTTGACTCTGGGAAGCTCTGGGGTCTTCCCAAGGAGGCTGAGAAGGTGGGCACTAAATCTCTGACCCCAGCTTTGTACAGCATGGTACCTTTTTATACATGGAGATCTCCTATTATGCGTTCTTTGAAAGATCTCTTTTTTTTTCTTTTTTTTTTTTTTTTTGAGATAGTCTCACTCCGTCACCCAGGCTAGAGGGCAGTGGTGTGGTCTCAGCTCACTGCAACCTCCCAAGTTTAAGCGATTCTCCTGCCTCAGCCTCTCGAGTAGTTGGGATTACAGGCACCCACCACCATGCCCAGCTAATGTTTGTATTTTTAGTAGAGACGGGGTTTCACCATGTTGACCAGGCTGATCTCAAACTCCTGACCTCAGATGATCCACCTGCTTCAGCCTCCCAAAGTGCTGGGATTTTAGGTGTGAGCCACTGTGCCTGGTCAAAAGATCTCATTTTTAAAAACAGGTAGAGGTTTTGCAGTTTCAAAAAGCTTGACCTACCCCAATTCCCCATGTTTCAGATGGGAGACTCAGGCCCAGAGGGATCAACTGCATTGTTGGTGTCCTCGTATCTGCTGGGAGTGAGGAGAATAAATATCTGGTTTTGCTGATTTCGTGATGTCAGAGTGGAGAGACAGGTGAGGCAGAACCTTGCAGCTCAGGATTTCAGAAAATACTCTGAGTCTTGTTTGGCCAGACCATTTATAGCTTCTGACACCAGAGTTGCTGTGGGTCTGTTGAATGTTAATTAACTACCAAAGACCTTTAGGGGCTAGTTGAAAAACCTTCCACCTTAGATAAAAATCTCTTCTCTCTCAATCCACTTCTTTGGGCTTCCACAAAACAAACACAACTTGTAGGAAAACTGACTTTGCTGGGACCCCAAGGACTATGGATTATGAGAACCAACCAGAAAAACAACCTCAGGACATTCTGGATGGGAGATGAACACATGAAGTATGTGGGGAGGTAATTTGGAGGGACCATGGGAATTACGGGACCAAGAAACATCTGACAGGTTTGAGAGGGCTAGAAAATGGAAGGACTAATTTTGATAGTGTAGAGAGTAGGGAGGTCTTCGTTCTTGGGTACCCCTGACATTGTAGCAGCCCCTCAGAGGGTGTTATGGGGTGGGCTCACCTACAAAGGAAGGATGGAAACATCTTCTACTACTGCAGAAAAAGAAGAGGAAGGAAGGCTAAAAGAACACAGGTTGCACTTGGGAAACAAGACTGTCATTAAACAACAGTAACACATTGAAGGCACCACCCACGCTTATGACATTTTCAGTCCAAAGCAGTTGAAGTTTGGCAGCGGCGGCGGCAACGCGCTGAAGGGAAAGGGATGTCAGGGACATACAGTTTATAGAGGACTTGTTTCTGTGGCTGTTTCAGGTCTTGGAGGCAAAACCCAGAAATCAGAGGCTTCTGGATCCTCATCTGATCTCCTGTGGACTTTTCCAACTGTGGATTTGTTGTTGTTAATGTCAACAAGTCTTCAAGATTTTTGAAAAAAAAAAAACACCTAATTTGCCGTTTTTATCTGTTTTGTAGTGGGCTTACATTTTAATCCTCTTTTTAAAAAGTTATTTGATACTCTCCGGACCCTCTCCGTAAAAGCCCATCCCTCCCATTTCCACGGTCATGGTCCTTATGGGAGTTCTCTAAAATGTTTTTTGTTTTTTGTTTTTTCCTTCCCATCATTGTCGGTGGGTTCAGGGTCTATTTACTTTCTGTGAGTTTGAGGGTGTGTTGTTTTTTGCTTTCAACATGGATGATATGAAAAGTACTATAAATAGAATGGTTGGGGTCCAGTTACTGTTTCATGCTCGTCAAAATTTTACGTCCACGTCACCACTTCTTGGAATTAGAAAAATGCTTCTAATGTGGGCAAATTCCTCCCAGAACAACTCCTCTTCCAGAATACACTCTTCTCTTGTGTCCTCCCTCATTCTCTACCCCCATTTCCACCCTGGCTTTCGAACCTAGAAACAGACAGCACGTGGCAAGTAGTGTATGTGCTCAAATGGACAATTTCTCTAAATTGTGCTACTTTTATATTTTGTCACCATGGATTTCAGTTTCAAGTTAGGAGGAAAAGAAAACTCAGCCCCACGGTTTGGGCATGTGAGTTGGCCATCTTGGGCCTGAAGTGGAAAGAGTGTGCCTCATTTTCCCCTTTGCTGTATTGCTGAATGTCCACGCTTCGGTCTTTCTCAGCTGCCCGCCGACACGTTACAGGCATGACCTAGGAAAAGCGCGACTCTGTGTCCCCAGTAGGTTTAGAGTTGGTTCTTGTTGAGAGTGAGTGTGTGGACGCATGTATTAGGGGAGGATGGGGAGGGTGTGGGCGGGGTTGTTTTTTGCCTCTCTCAGTTGAGTGTGGTCTCCAGGGTGCTCCCTGTGGTGAAAGCTCAGACAGTCACTTCTGTTTTGCTGTTGGTGATGAAGTATGGCTGTGGGGGTGGGTAGTGCTGGGGGCGAGTTCCCAAGGGGTCGCTGGAGCCTGTCTCGGCCGTGCCAAGCTTGCCCTTGTTGCTGTAAGCCTGCCGCCGGAGGGACTGCTCGTTGGGGTCCCAGCCCTTAAAGTTGGTGGTAGAGGTGTAGGCCAGGGGATGTGGGGGCATCTTGTTGGTGCGGGACTTCTGTCCATTCTGCTTGGCAGGACCGTGCTCAGGGCTGAAGGCCCGGGGCTCGTCCTCCACTCTTACGGGGTGCAGAGGTAAGTTCCCCTTGGCAGCCAGCTCAGCCAGGTGCCGTCGCTTGGTGTAGAAGTCGTCATTGACCTTGTCAGCTACACATCGGAACGGGTGGATGAAGAAGGGGAAGAAAGAGAAGAGAGAGAGAGAGAGAGAGAGAGAGAGAGTTAGAGACTGGCATGTCAACCCAAGAACAGCATAAAAATGGGCCAACAGTCCAAACAAGACACACTAGAAACTCCACCTAGAACAAGACAGAGGGAAGGGCAGCACCATGCCCTTTTCACAAACAAAGAGCAGGACCAAGAGGATTAAAGGCATCCCCAAGGGAACCTCTAGACCTCCGAAATAAACACTTCTCCCCCCACAGTCCCACCTACCATTCTGCCATCGTTGGTTTGCCTATGAAATTCGCGTGTTGTTTCTTTTTTATTAAAATGATACATTTTCATTAGAGAAAAGAGTGAACATGTTAAGTGATCTTCCTATCTATGACCTACCAATCAAGACAGCCGATAACAACTTTTGGGTGTATTTTCTTCTGGTATTTTTAATAAACAGAGTTTAATTTGGGATTTTTCTCCGCTGGTTTGTTTGCTTTTGTTTTTGCTTTTAGCAGTTAAACCAGACCTGTATTCACATTTCAACTGTGACACCTGCCAGCAGCTTAACCTTGACTAAATTACTTAACATTTGTCAGCATCAGCTTCTCCATAAGGAAAGCCATTACAATAAAAAAGTATACTTCATAGGTCTGTTTGGAGAGTTAAATGATATGATCTGTGTAAAGTGCTTAGATATTATCTACCACCATTATCATCGTCATTATAAATAAGTTTGTTTCTATTTCTCAAGTAATGTTCTATCAAGCATTTCTTCATGTTGTTATAAATTATTAATAAACAGGATTTTCATGTGTACCTAGTATTTCATTGAGTGGAACTATCAAAATTAATTAATTCCCCTATTAATGAGTGTTCTAATTGTGCCAATATTTTGCTATTACAAATACAGTTGTATGTAATAGCAACTTTTCACTTAAACCTCTCTTTATATTTAGAATTTTGAATTTAGCATAATTCTAAAAATGTTTTCTTATTTATTTATTTATTATTATTTTTTCAGACAGGATCTTACTCTGCTGCCCAGGCTGGAGTGCAGTGGCACAATCATAGCTCACTGCAGCCTCTACCTCCTAGGTTCAGATGATTCTCCTGAGTAGCTGGGACCACAGGCAAGCATCACCACACTAGGCTAATTTTTGTATTTTTTTGTTTGTAGAAATGAGGTTTCACCATGTTGCCCAGGCTGGTCTTGAACTCCGGGGCTCAAGCAATCCTCCCACCTTGGCCTCCCAAAGTGCTTGGGATTACAGGTGTGAGCTACCGCACCAGGCCTGTTTTCTTAATTTACATCAGGGATTGGCAAACTATAGCCCACGGGGCCAAATCTGGCCACATCCTGATTTTGTAAACAAGGTTTTATTGGACACAAAACCATGCCCATTCATTTATATATTATCCATAGCTGCTTTTGTTCTGCTGTGGTAGAATTGAGTGCTGGTTGAAACTCAGCTGACAGAAACCGTGAGACCTGAAGAGCCTGAGATATTTACTACCCAGTCCTTCTTTAAAAAGTTTGCTGACCTTTGATTTGGATTATAAAAAGTAGAATTATTTGGCCAAAGAGTATAAACATTGTTAAGGCTCTTGATACATATTGCCAACTATTCTACAAAAGAGTTTTACCAATTTCCACTCAATTTAACTACACTCTCTCCAGCATTGAAGGATTCCTTCCTTCCTTCCTTCCTTCTTCCTCTCTCTCTTCCTCCCTCCCTCTCTTCCTTCATTTTTACTTCTCTTTCTCGTTCTTTCTTTTGAGGACTAAGCTCTGATTTTTTCTTATCTTGCCCAGATTTCTATCTAAGGGGTCTGGGAGTCATATCCTACAAACCATAAATTCTCATCAGATGGGTTTTATTTAACGCTATATATCGTGACTTACTTTCCTATCTGACTCTGACACAACATTACATGACAAAGAAGAAAGTCAAAATATTTTACCCCAAAACATGTTTTTTTGTCGTTCTTTGAAATGGCCCTGCAAAAAAAAAGTTTTTTTGTGGGGTAAAACCTACATGTGTAAATAAGCTCTATTAACATAGCTAGATTTTTTCTTCCAGGCCCTCCCAATCGTAAAGAGATTAACTGAGAGTCTAGCACCTTTTAAAAGTCTAAATAGGAAACATTTGTCTTCTATTGTCTCTAAGGGCTGCCACTATAAGACTTCAAAAGAACCTTGGTCTCCACAATCTTTTATCTTCACCTGAACATTCCCTTTCTATTGATCCCAGGTCTTTAGACTCAACCAATTGTCAACCAGGAAATGTTTACATTTACCTATAGCCTTGAAGCTCCCCACTCACCATCCCCTTCGAATTGTCCCATTTTTCTGGACCAAACTTATGTATTTCTCAAATGTATTTGATTGATGTCTCATACCTCCCTAAAATGTATAAAACCAAGCTGCAGACCAGCCACCCTGGGCACATGTTCTCAGGACTCCTGAGGGCTGTGTCATGGGCCATGGTCACTCCTATTTGGCTCAGAATAAATCTCTTCAAGTATTTGACAGAGTTTGACCTTTTTCATCAACACTTTCTTTTCTTTTCTTTTAATTTTTTTATTATACTTTAAGTTCTGGGATACATGTGCAGAACGTGCAGGTTACATAGGTATACATGTGCCATGGTGGTTTGCTGACACTTTCTTTTCTTATTTGTTTTTCATTTGACAATTTTATGAAATCTCCTTTTATTTTATTTTAATTTCTGAATTCTTTTATTATAAGATTATCTACACTTTTAAAATTAATTCATTAGCAATAAACTTTTGAACTTTCATCTCTCAGGGGACCAGAAGTATTTGCTCTTTTATCCACACGTTGGGATCTCACAGTGTCACACATGTGAACTTACATAAAGGTTAAAGAATGCCTGCCTCCCTACTAGAATGTCCACCCCAGCAGGGCAGGAACCATGTCTGTTTCTGATTCTCCTTCATATCTTCAATATCTGATTCTCCTCCTTACAGGGCTCTATGCTTCTTTTCTCATTAGATCCTTTCAACAATGAAGGTGGAAAAGATGGGGACTATTTCTCCCGCTTGACAAATAAGGAAACTGTCAAGCTCTGGCATATAAAATGATTAAACTAAGGTTACCCAGAGCTAATGGCTGAGCCAGAGTAGAACCTACATTCAATCAACATTATTTGAAAGGCCACAGACGGAAACCCTTGGTTTCAGGACTGAAACAAAAATATGTCCCTGTTTCTGATGCTGTGTCTATGCTAGACATCATTCATTGATCACCGCACTCTTTCCTGGCTAGCGTGGCCTCCACTCGGACTACTGCCCAAGGAAACAACCCAGGAAGCCACATATTAACTTGCTATGTATGATACAGTTTAAGTTGAGTTTATATTCCTTGTAATGCAAATAGCTCCGACTGATAAAGCCTTTCAAGAGAAACTTCCTCTTTAAATTCTAGGGCTACCTGAAGGTATGGAATGTCAAAGCCAAAAGGAATCTTGGAATCTGCTAAGGCTGTGAGGATCACACATTCCTGAAATGTCATGAATTGTTTAAGGTAGCACAAGTTAATATTAGAGCTGGGACTAGAACCCATCTTCCTGCCTTTTGGAGGAAAGCTCTAGATTTCCAGTGCCATGAAACTTCAATAGAAGAATACTCAAAGTTTCCCCCTTCGACATCAAAATTTATATGTCATTACCTCCTGGATTCAACAGCATCTCTGGCCCAAGGTGGCCATGCCTGAACCCAGCAACATTACTCAGATCTGTTCTTCAGCCTCTTTCTTATCTCTCACATGGGAACCACCCATCCCTTAGCCACTTAAGCCAGAAACTTGGGAGCAATGGTTGACTTCATGCTCCTCTTCTCTTGCAGGACAACTGTCAGAGGCATGTGAACCAGAGCAACCCCATCTTGAATAGCAGCTGGGTAAAATGAGGTTGACACCTACTGGGCTGCATTCCCAGATGGTTAAGGCATTCTTAGTCACAGGATGAGACAGAAGCCTGGCACAAGTCATAAAGGCTTTGCTGAAAAAACAGGTTGCAGTAAAGAAGCTGACCAAAACCCACCAAAACCAAAATGGCCATGAGAGTAACCTCTGGTCATCCTCACTGCTACACTCCCACCAGCGCCATGACAGTTTACAAATGCCATGGCAATGTCAGGAAGTTACCCTATATGGTCGAAAAAGGCGAGGCATAAATAATCCACCCCTTCTTTAGCATATCATCAAGAAATAACCATAAAAATGAGTAACCAGCAGCCCTCAGGGCTGCTCTGTCTATGGAGTAACCATTCTTTTATTCCTCTACTTCTTATTAAACTTAATTTCACTTTACTCTATGGACTCGCCCTGAATTCTTTCTTGCATGAGATCCAAGAAACCTCTCTTGGGGTCTAGGTCGGGACTCCTTTCCCGTAACAAAGGTGGCCATGCCTGAACCCAGCAACATTACTCAGATCTGTTCTTCAGCCTCTTCCTTATCTCTCACATGGGACCACCCACCCTTTAGCCACTTAAGCCAGAAACTTGGGAGCAATGGTTGACTCCATTATCCTCTTCTCTTGCAGCACAACTGTCAAACCAACAAGTCCTTCCAGCCATACCTAATAAATATTTATTTAACCTATTCCCTTTCTCCTACCCCCTTTGAACATTGTTCTCCTTCAGTAACCAAACTGGCCTCCTTGCCTTGTTTCACCTCCTCCAATCCTTTCTCCATGTTGCAGTCTTTGAGCTGTTTGTTCATTCATTTAGTCATTCATCAAACAGGTACCCACCATGTACTGGACACTTGAAATATGAAGAAGAATCAGAAACAGACATGGTTCCTGCCCTGCTGGGGTGGACATTCTAGCAGGGAGGCAGGCATTCATCCAAACCAACCTGCCTTCTTTTCTGTCTCCTCTCTTTCCTTCTTCCACCAACCGTGTTTGTTGAGGGCCTAGTTTGCTCCCTGAAAGGGCACACAAAGGGGCCTTGATCTGATCAGGAGGGAGATGGTGGTCAAATAATCCCCCAAATTACATAAATGTATAACTATGGTAAGTGCTATGAAGGGGAGCTAACCAGTCATAGCAGTACTTATAATGAGGTCCCCTATCTGGTCTAAGAACCAGGTGTCTGAGCTGCAGAGTCTATCCCCTTCATTAGCACCAGGTTTACTGTTACTCATCTTGCAAGACTTAGCTGAGATATTGCCTCCCTCATTCCCTCAGACTTTCTCAGCCACCCCTGCTCTCTCCATCATAACACTGACTACGCTGTTTTATAAATTTCTGTGTTCACATCTGTTTCCCCACTAGACCACGAGTTCTTTGAGAGCAGAAATATCCTTCCATCTGGGTGGCTCAGTGGTTCTCAGTCCTGGCAGTACATGGAAATCACATGGGGGAGCTTTAAAAGTGTTCAGACACCTGGACCCCTTCCCAAAACCATTTGATCAGAATTTCAGAGATTGTGGCCCAGACATATATTTTCTAAGTCCCTCAGGTGATTCTAATATGCAGCCAGGGTTGAGAACCACAGGGATAGCCTCTGTCGTTTTCACAGTTCCAGCACATAGGGGTGTTTTTTGTTAGAGAACTAAAGGGAAGTATCACTTCACTCCTATTATGCCCAGCTGCCTCTCCCCTGAGGTCCCTCTCCCTTCTAGAAAGTCCGATAAAGTCAGATCTCTCCATAATAAGCTCCTCCCGTGGCATTTATCATGACTGTCATTTTACACTTGTTTGTGCAGTTCATTCATTATCATCCGTCTCACTCACTAGCGTTCCAAGATGAGGTATGACTTTTGGCCAGCATTATATAAGCAATGTCCAGCCTAGTTCCTGGCAGATATTAAGGACTCAGTCAAATTTTTTTTGAGACAGTGTCTCGCTCTGTCACCCAGGCTGGAGTGCGGTGGCACAGTCTTAGCTCACTACAGCCTTTGCCTCCTGGGCTGAAGTGATTCTCCTGTCTCAGCCTCCCAAGTAGCTAGGATTCCAGGTATGTGACACCACTCCTGGCTGATTTTGGTATTTTCAGTAGAGAAGCGTTTTTCCATGTTGGCCAGGCTGGCCTCAAAGTCCTGACCTGAAGTGATCCACCCACCTTGGCCTCCCGAAGGGCTAGGATTACAGGTGTGAGCCACCACACCTGGCCTCAGTAAATATTTGATGAATGATGAGAGAGGGAAGAGGGAGAGGATCAGGAAAAATAATAAGTACTAGGTTTAATACCTGGGGGATGAAATAATCTGTACGACAAACCCCCATGACACAAGTTTACCTATGTAACAAACCTGCACTTGTACTCCTGAACTTAAAAATTAAAAAAAATATATGAGCAAAATACAGTGAGAACATAGAGAATATAGGGCAAGAATAGGGGTGGAAGCTATCTTTCTCACTTTCCTCCCAGTAATCTTTCACTGAAAAATCTCACTCGCCCTCATTAAATGTCTTATAATGATCCAGCATCATTCTTTCCCATGTTCCTCTTTCCAGACATCAGACCAGTCTGAGGTCTGCTCTGAGCAAGGGATGCATTCAATGGTTCCTGTTTCTGAGAAGCAGACAAAATAAATTATGAGTTAAGCATCCCAGCAGCTTCAATACATGATGTCCCCTCAGAAAGTTCTAAAGAAAAGTAGATACAGAGGCATTCAAGTCTGTCCATATCCGTGCAGATGGGGGGAAAATCCCATTAAGAGGAAACAGTGAGTCCCACATGGAGAATCCACACCATCCTCCTAACCTAACTCTGAGCTGGTTGCTTGGTGAATCTGGTATTGGGTACTCCCTGAGCACAGAAAGTGTTTGGTACTTGGGGCAAGAGTGGAGTGAAAAAGAAAGTCTGCAGGCTCTGGAATGAGACAGATCTGAGTTTATGAGACCTTGGGAACACCACTTAACCATTTATGCCTGTTTCCTTAGGTGTGAAATGGGGATAATATTAACCACTCTTGGATTTAATGTGAGCAATGAATTGCATGAGATACACCTGCTACACAGCACAATTCCTGGAATGTAGTAAATGCTCAATACCTATATTTTACCTATTCCCTGCCTTAAGAAAGAAGCCCTGGATTAAATTTGACAGACATTGTTTGAACACTTACTCTATGGTAGGCAACTTACTAGGCACAAAGCAGGCATTCATCCAAACCAAGCTGCCTTCTTTTCTGTCTCCCTTCTTTCCTTCTTCCACCCACCATGTTTGTTGAGTGCCTAGTTTACTCCATGAAAGGGCACACAAAGGGGCCTTGATCTGATCAGGAGGGAGTTGGTGGTCAGGGAAGCTTTATTGTTTAAGGTAGCACAAGCTAACATTACAGCTGGGATTTGAACCTATTTTCCTGCCTTTTAGAGGAAAGTTCAAGATTTCCAGTGCCATGAAACTTCAACAGAAAAATAATCTAAGATTCCCCTTTAGACTTCAAAATTTATATATCCAGTTACCTCCCGGACAGATTCAATAGCATCTCTGGCCCAAGGTTGTCATCCCTGAACCCAGCAACATTACTCAGATCTGTTCTTCAGCCTTTTCCTTACATCTCACGTGGGACCACTCACTCCTTAGCCACTTATGCCAGAAATTTGGGAGCAATGGTTGACTTCATTCTCCTCTTCTCTTGCAGCACAACTGTCAAACCAACAAGTCCTTCCAGCTATATCTAACAAATATTTCCTTAACCTATTCCCTTTCTCCTACCCCCTTTGAACATTGTTCTACTTCAGTAACCAAACTGGCCTCCTTGCCTTGTTTCACCTCCTGTAATCCATTCTCCATGCTGCAGTCTTCGAGCTGTTTGTTCAATCATTTAGTCATTCATCAAACAGGTACCCACCATATGCTGGACACTTGAAATACGAAAGACAATCAGAAACAGAAGCAGACATGGTTCCTGCCATCCTGGAATAAACATTCTACTAGAGAGGCAGGCATTCATCCTGCCTCTTGAGAAAGAACTCTTTAAGCTGAGATCAGAAGGTGAAGAGTAACAGAAAGAGCAACCCACGTGAGGGAATATGTGGCATATTCCAAGAATGACCAAAATACTTTGCAGCTCTTACCATCAAGAAGTGGAATCTATTTCCCCATGCCTTGAATATGTCCTGGCATTATGGTGAGCTTGGACCAGTAGATTCTAGCAACTTCTACTCTAAGGCTCTTGAAATCTGCCTCCATGTGAAGAAGGGATCCCCTAGACTCCTGGAGGATGAGAAACCCATAGACCAGTTACCCCTGTTCAACACAACTAACCAACTGCTAACTGCAGTATGTTCAGTGAGGCCATCTTAGACCATCAGCCACCTAACAGCAGACCCAGATACCAAGAAAATCCAACTGAGAGGAGCCAATCCAGCCCAAACAAGAACTTCTCCGTTGACCCAGAATCATGATCTCGATAAATGGTTGCTATGCTCAGCAACTAAGATTTGGAGTCATTTGTTATGCAGCAGTTGATAACTGATACATGACAGCATTTGCAAAAGCTTTGAGGTGAGAAGGAGCCGAGTAGCTTCAAGAACCTGAAAGGATATCTGAGTTATAGATGAAGAAGGCAAGGGATCCTCAGGCCATCTAATGTCCTATAGGCAAGATTATATCATTCATGCCTATTCATTTAACTAACCATTCTCCCACCCTAGGACTCAGGTGGTCTCTTAGAGAAGCACAGTGTAGGCACTGAACTGGTGCCTGGTGCATGAAACTATCCTCCAAAGAGATATTTTCAAGATTATTTCAACAACAAGGAGGTGGTTAGAGGTTAGATGGATGAATCATTTCCATTACCTGGAAGTGCAGTTTTCATGAAAACCTGTTTTCATAATGTTTCTGTTCCCCTCTGGTTTGGAGCCAGGTGAGGGGAAAGAAATGCTTATCTAGCCACTCTTGGCTTTGTGCAGTGTAGTCCCTGTCTTAGTATATTAAAAAGCTACTTGCAAAAGAATAACAGATTCATTGAACAGTCTTGTAAGCCCCATTAATAAATGCATTAACCTAATCAGCCCCGGTACCTCGTGGGCAGATGGCTGACAAACTGACCAGGAAACAGATGTGTGAGCCTTTCAACAACACTGGCCCTCTCCTATTTGACTTTTCTTCATTTACAAAAGAAGAAGAAGAAAGGAAAAGGTGCTTTCCTTCTAATGACCCTAATTGCCTTGAAGAAACTGGGGCTGTAAAATTAAACTATACCTTCCTCCATCTGTCTCTCTCTTAATTAGCAGCAGACACTTGTACAGGTGCGGGGCGGGATGGAGCCTGGCTTCCGTGGAAAGGGAGAACGTCAAGGTAATAACCAGTTCCCAAAACAAGCTGCACATCTGAGGGTCTCAGCAGGCAGCCTCCCACCTACCTCCTTTCCTTGAGGCAAAGATATCTTAGGGAGGGGTTCCTACCACTCATTCTTTCTTGGTAATATTCCTGGGTCACAGGTGATGGATTTCACCTGGTAAGCAATGCCCCAACCAAAGCTTTCACATTTCCTCATCGGTTTCTGCCTTTCGCTCAAGGGTATGATAAAAGACAGCAATTAATCTTCTCATTACACTTAAGAACAAAATCCAAATTCTTTGCAGTGGTCCCTGAGGTCTGTTTGACGTGGACTCTAGCTACTTATGCACCCTCCTCTGCTCCATACCTATTGTGAACACATCACAGTGTGTGTTCGTTTGTTAAAGCTGCCATCACAAAGTACCACAAACTTGATGGCTTAAAACAACAGAAATACATTCTCTTGCAGTTCCAAAGGCCAGAAGTTGGCCGGGCCATGCTCCATCTGAAGGCTCTGCTAGAGGATCCATTCTTGCCTCTTCGAATTTCTGGTGGTTGCTGGCAATCCTTGGCATCTCTTGCCTTGTAAGCTACATCATTCCAATCTCTGCCTTGGACTTCACGTGGCCATTTTCCATGTGTGTGTATGTGTGTGTGCGTGTGTTTATGTGTCCAAATTTCTCCCTTCTTATAAGGATATCAGCCACAGGATTAGGGCCCACATTAATTCAATATATCCTCAACTCAATGACCTCTGCAAAGACTCTATTTCCATGTGCATTCCCAGCCTGAGGTTCTGAATGGACAAGGATTTAGGGGGGTACTATTCCACTATACATGAGATTCCTTTCTGTTCCTGAACACGCCAAGCTTGTCACCATCTCAGGACCTTTGGACATCATCCCTGCTGTTTCCTCTGCCTAAATACTACTTGTCATCTGGACCTGTGACCAAAGGCTACCTCCTGAAAAACCCTCCTAATACCCAAAGAAGACACCTCCACCAATGGCTCTGATGACCTATCCCTATTTTAATATGTTCATAGCTCATATTACTATATAAAGTTATCTTTTTTGGTTACTTGTGTATGCTCTGTCTCCCTTAACCAGAATATAAAGCTCCACTTAGGGCAGAGGTTGTGTCTGTTCTGCTCACTGCTGTATCCTCAACGTCCAGCCCAGTGCCTGGTATACAGCAGGCGTGCAATAATATGCACGTGATGAAAGAAGGAAAGCACTGATGATATTCCAGTTCCAATGACAGTCCCTGAAATATGAGAAATGGGCAGGATATTACATCTCCTGGTCATTCAGTCTGTATCACCGAAGACTGAGTCATCTGTTCTTTACAGGGATTGAAGGGCTGGAGCTCAGGTTAAGTGCTTTTATGTCGCAGACAGGCGAACTAGGATCCATTTTCCTGTCTGAGAATTTGCAGAGACCTGGATACTCTTTAGCAGACCTAGCTCGGGGGAAGGGAGGTAGAATAAAGTCAGGTGAAGAAGGCAGGGATTGATTAAAGAGACTGTTTGGGTATATCAGAAGTCTGAGTAGAGACAGGGACTTCCTCTCTATTTCCCCACTCTTGTCAATGGCAAACTGAGTAATTGCTCACCTTTCTTAAGTGTGTGTTCTATGCTACTGCCTTCACTAGGAATTTACATTTGCTATCCCCTTCAATACTCTCAACATCCTAATGAGGTAGGTGTTACCATTGGTTTTATTTTATAAGTAGGGAAACTGAGGCTCAGAGAGCTTTGGCTGTTTATCCAACAAATGGAGCTGAGACTTGAACCCAGGACACCTGGCTCCACTGCCTCAAGTTATGGCCATCACACTCAATATTTATGGAAGCTTTTGCCTGCAGTATAGAATATTGCAATGTAGGCATTCTACATTGCCTGCAATGGACAATGAATATTGCTTCTTTGACAATATTTATAAAGGGGAATTCCTCTGCACATGCCCTCTCTTGCCTGCTGCCATGTAAGGCATGCTTTTGCTCTTCCGTGGCCTTCCACCATGATTTTGAGGCCTCCCCAGCCAAGTGGAACTGTCAGTCCATCAAACCTCTTTCCTTTATAAATTACCCAGTCTCAGGTACATCTTTATTCGCAGCATGAGAACAGACTGATACAAATGATGACAAAGAACCAACGTGTTGGTTTTGAATCCTACACTAGGCTCTTGAAAGCTATGGTAGAGCCCCCAGTCTTGAAAAACAAGAAATGAGATCTGGGAATGTTGAGAAGGAAAGAGGAGTTAATATGGCTGGGAGTTTGAAGGATTCAATGCACCAGTTTTATATGACAGATAACAAAGTTTGGAAATATGCACATCTCACTCTGTCACCCAGGCTGAAGTGCAGTGGCATGATCAGAGCTCACTACTGACTTGACCCTCCTGGGTTCAAGTGATCCTCCCACCTCAGCCTCCCGAGAATCTAGGACTATAGCCATGCAACACCATGCCTGGCTATTTTTGTTTTTATTTTTGTAGAGAAGGGTGTCTCACTATGTTGTCCAGGCCTGTCTCAAACTCCTGAGCTCAAGCAATCCTCCTGCCTCAGCCTCCCAAAGTACTGGGATTACAGGCATGAGCCACCGCACCCAGCCATGTCTGACTTTTGTGACTACAAAATCTTCTTTACCATATGGAGGAAAGAGTATAAACTTTGACAGCAGATGGATCTGGGTTCAAATCTCTAAGCTTCACCTATAAAATTGAAACTAAAATAACCAGGCCTATGTGGCCTGGGGATGGAGAGTATTGAAGAGAATCGTGTAGAGGACGTTGCATCCTGAAAAAAGGCCAATGTCATTGCCTCATAGCAAGTATCCAAAGGGTAGTAACTGCTATTTCTGTCGTCATCAGAAAATATAAAGATTATAAAATTAGGATAATGTTATATATACCTTGTGGATATACACCTTGTGGTGTGTGTATGTATATATATATATATATATACATACACACACACCTTGTGGAGTGCAGTGTAGAAGTAAACGAGACAAGGCTTGCGAAAACTCAGAACATTATGCATAGTGCATGGTACATCTCCTGAAATGTACATTCCCATCAGAGAAGATGCTGTGGCTGCCTGCTTCTTATCTCCCAGATCAGATTTAGTCTACCTTCTTTTTCTTGGACACATGGTCACTCAACTCAGAACTAGATTTACCAGCCTTCCTGGAAGCCACATTTGGCCATGAGACTGATATCGCACCAGTGAAATAATAGCAAAAGTGATGTGTCCTATTTCTGCTTTACCTGACTTGCTTTAAAAAAAGAAATCCTTGTTCTAGGTCTCCTCTCTTCCCTCTTCCCCCAGGCCAGAATTACACAGTGACAGCAACCAACTATAACAATGCAGATGAGGACAAGATGGTAAGAGTCATAGTGCAACAAGGTTGGAGGAACCTGGGTCCTGGAGTGACCACTCGGAGTAGAGCTGCCCACCAACCTGGATTACTCTCCTTGGGTCATGATATGGTTTGGCTGTATCCCCACCCAAATCTCACCTTGAATTATAATGATTCCCAAGTGTCTTGGGAGGGACCTGGTGGGAGGGACCTGGTGGGAGGTAACTGAATCATGGGGGTGGGTTTTTCCTGTGCTGTTCTTGTGATAATGAATAAGTCTCATGAGATCTGATGGTTTTATAATGGGGAGTTCCCCTGCACACACTCTCTTGCCTGCTGCCATGTAAGACGTGTTTTGCTTCCCCTTGGCCTTCCACCATGATTGTGAGGCCTCCCCAGCCATGTGGAACTGTGAGTCCATTGAACCTCTTTCCTTTATAAACTACCCAGTCTCGGGTATGTCTTTATCAGCAGCATGAAAACAAACTAATACAGGTCTATCACATGAGACAGCTATATCCAAAACAGGCAAATATATAAAGACACAAAATAGGCAAGTCATTGCTTGAACCAGGGGTTAGCTGGGAGAGGACTGCTAAGACAGTAAGAGATGGAAAATGTCTACTAATGGTTATAGAGTTTCTTTCTGGGATGAGGAAAATGTTCTAATATTGACTGTAATGATGGTTGCACAATTCTGTGAACATTCTGAAAACCACTGGATTTTACACTTTAAATGGGTGAATTGTATGATAGGTGAATCATATCTCAATAAAGTTGTTTAAAAAAGAAATACTTCTTTCTCTTAAGCACTGTATTTGTGGGACATTTTAGTACCGTAAAACAGTATTTAACTTATATAGGACCGTTTTCTCGGTCTCTGCTTTCTTCTTCTTCACAAGCTGAATTAAAAAGTGATAGGGAAAGAGTTCATGTTGTTAAAAAAAAAAAAAAAAAAAGTCCAGGTATTTCTCTCTTCTTTTGAACTACATGGTATAAAGTTGTGCAGATTCCAGAGGCTGTCTCAGCAGACAGAAACAAGAAAGGCAGGAAAAAAAAAGCCTGAGTTTCCTAAGCAGGAGAGGACCAGGGAGTAGATGGAAGATTTGTCTTTATGGTGAATTAGTTGCACTTCACCTGCCTCCGGGCCTTGCTGCAGAGACACAAGTAGCGGAGGCTGCACATGAACCAGGTCCTAAAGAAGCACGGGGCATCTGGCCCTCCCCACGGGGCACCATATCTTTCCCAAAGCCATATTGCTCTAAGAGAGAAAACCGGAAAAAGGCGTCCAGGAGCCTGGCCCTTTTTTAGTCTTAACCCTGAAGGCTCCCAACAGGCGGTGGTACTGTGATTTTTTTTTTTTCTAAAATCCCATATATAGGCAAACTATTAATCCAGAGTGAGGAGGGAGCCTTTGCTAGGGAGAATTCTAAAACAGCCCCTGGCTTGGGCTTTGCAACAAAGCTGTCCAGCCTGTACCATGGGCCCCCTTTGTTGTGGCTGCCAGGAGCCCTCTGAAACCTCAGGCCCTTTCTCTCTTCACTTAGGCAGTCCTGCTGTGCAGTCAACATCTTCTGAAAGGCTACTGGACAACGGTGGACAGGCTCATTCTCCAGCCATGGCTGAGCACAGATCCCCTCCCACCGATTCCCACACAGGGTTCTGGATGGAACTGCATCCACTCACTGCCTTCCTGTGCATTGCTGCTATATAGATAGAGATTTTTTTTTTCCAGAAATTCATTGCATGGTCTGTCTTCCAATCATCCTCCCAGCTGGTGAAATTTCATACAACTGGTGGTTTTCTAAATGAAGCAAATTAAGGGAAAGAATTCTAAGCCCTACTTGTCACCTTCCTCTTGGCTGTAGTTTCCTGGGACCATGTCAATGTAGATAATTATGAGATTTGGGATCCTATGTTAGATTAATGCATGAATCAATTCTTTGACTTTCTCCATCTCTACACTCTGTTCCGTGTGACTAAGAGATGTTAGCAGACATGAGACATACAGGCATTTGGAGAAGTGCTTGCTGGTTTGAATTTCTCTCTTGCACCTCTCCCACCCTCATGAGACCATATCTGGGCTGCCTTATTTGAGGATGAGGCACATGGAGCAGAGTCAAGTCACCCAAGTCATTCCAGTTAAAACCAGCCTAGATCACCCAACATCCAGCCAACTCCCAGAGAGATGGGTGAAATCACCTGAGATAAGAAGAACCTCCCACATCAGCTGAAATCACTGGAATATAGACTCCTGATCTAAATAAATGCTGGTCTAAATACATTTTAAGCAATGAGATTTGAGGTTATTTGTTACGCAGTGTTATTGTGGCAGTAGCTGACTGATAAAAATGCCAATCATTCACTCACCATACTTCCAAGAAGAGCCCCCAATTTTCAGGTGAGATGCATCTCTTTCCTATTCTTTTTTTCTTTTTCTGAGATGGAGTCTCACTCTGTCACCCAGGCTGGAGTGCAGTGGCGTGATCTTGGCTCACTGCAACCTCCGCCTCCTGGGTTCAAGTGATTCTTCTGCCTCAGCCTCCTGAGTAGCTGAGATTACAGGCACCCACTATCATGCCCAGCTAATTTTTGTATTTTTGTAGAGACAATTTCACCATCTCTGTTGGCCAGGTTGGTCTTGAATTCCTGACCTCAGGTGATCTGCCCACCTCGGCCTCCCAAAGCCTCTCTCCTATTCCTAATCCATGTGGTTTGGATGTCATATCCCTCCACTTCCCCATGCCCCAGGCATTCTCCATTTCTTTGCCCTCCTCCTACAAATTTGTTCAGAGGTGGGCACATGACAAGGTAAGGTAATCAGAGCAAAACCTGGGATATTTACTTACAGAGGCTCAGGGGGCAAAAAAATTAATAGTCTCAAGCTTTCCATCTTTCAGGAGAGGAAATTTTAGCACCTGTTATATACCAAGCTCAAAGACTGTCACATGGATAAACCAGTATTGGGTCTAGAATACAGGTTTCCAGACTTCCCTCTGGTTGATTCTCATTTCCCAGTACCTTTTCAGAAAAGACAAAATTTCCTTTGAACACTATGCCCAGTTTCATTTAATAATTTATTAACAAAATATATGTTGATTGCCTACTGTGTGTGCTGTGAGTGTCACGCAAGATGGCTTTGGAATGAACAGGATCTGGCTGGGTTAGCCTCGGAAGGACACACGGCCAAACTAGTCAAATGTTTATTGCAATCTTGATGCAAGAGCATTTTCTACAAACCAGAGAACCCTCTTTGCGCATTCATTTCATGCCCTATGGGTTCCCAAGGAAGCTCATCAAAATCCCAGCACTTGCTGTGTGCTTTTCAAAGGGGACTGAACTCAGGAGCGAGTAGGATTTGATTTTTATTAAAAAACTTCACCTCACATCACCCTCCTGTCTTCCACCTGCTTTGCACCCGGCGGCTCATGACCAAACCAATAACCAAAATCAGGAAATTGCAAAAGCCCAAATTTCATGAAGTAATGTTTTAAAGCTGCCTTTCGATGGGTGTTCCCTCCCCTGGGATGGTCTATAGGATGCATGCACTCCAATGGAACTGTAACCCTATTGCACATTGTCTATTGTCTTGTGCCTCCTGCATGAGCATTTCTCATTGGGCTAAGTCAATTTTCTTAGAAGAAGGAAAGAACTAGCATGTACTGAGTACCTACTATGGGCTAGACACTGGTTTAGCGATTTTACGTACATTGTCTCATTTAAACCCTCTTAAAGAGACATGGCAGGCAATATCATTCTTTCCACGTGACAGATGAAGGAACTAAGGTCCAGAGATGTTAAATAATTTGGCTGACAAATTACTCTGTCACTGCCAATAAGTGGCAGAGCAAGAAACCAAACCCAACACTATCCACTTTCAATGCTGTTACCGTCCAGCTGTGGCCCCAGCTCAAATCACCACTAAGAAAACAGTTTTATTTCAGCAAACAGCAAAAATACATTGGGAAGAACGCCGGTATGTAAACGGATGCTGTGTCGCAAACTGCGATTGCATCTAGGGTGGGGGATTAGGAAAAGCTAGGTCTAAACTCTAATGTACATAAGAATCACCCAGGAGGTGCATTTTAAAAATGAATACTGGGACACGACACTCAGATGTTCTAATTCCTTAGGAGTGAGTGGGCCCAGGATCTACATTTGTAACAAGCGTCTCCAGTGATTCTGGGTCAAGTCCTCAAGCCCCTCTTTGAGGTCTGGACCCTGGTCCTGTTGTGACGTACTTTTCTTTTGCGGTTTTAGGAAACCCCAGTTTCCTCATGTATAAAAGCAGAAAAGCTAGGTGAAATGTCTTTCCTTCCTTCTTTTTTTCCTTCCTTCCTTCCTACCTTCCTTCCCTCCCTCCCTCCCTCCCTTCCTTCCTTCCTTCTCTCTCAGGTTGGAGTGCAGTGGCATGTTCTTGGCTCACTGCAGCCTCTGCCTCCACGTTTCAAGCCATTCTCTTGCCTCAGCCTCCCAGGTAGCTGGGACTACAGGCACATGCCACTGTACCTGGCTAATTTTTCAATTTTTAGTAGAGATGAGGTTTCTCCATGTTAGCCAGGATGGTCTCGAACTCCTTACCTCAAGTGATCTGCTCACCTCGGCCTCCCAAAGTGCTGGGATTACAGGCATGAGCCACCACGCCCGGCCTAGTGAAGTGTATTTCCTTCTGAAAGATTCCATCAGGATGACTAAGAGCTATCTCCAAAGCAGAGATAAATGGAGACTTTGTGAGTACTGGCCTCTTTTACTCTTATTTAGCACCTATTATATACCAAGCCAAGCCCTGTGCAAAACCTACAGAGAGTACATTCTCTGATTTCCTCTATTGGAGCAATGGTAGAAATGGGAGCGTGGAGCATGTATGTAGCTTGGAAAGGGGGACGCAGGCTGATTCTAGTCAGAAGCAGAGAGATTACACTGCAGTCTATGCTGGCAGTTTCTCCTAATTTGATTGCCTTGCTGTAGCACTGGGCTTAAGTTTAAAGTTTCTGTTTGCAAAATAAACAGATTTCCAAAGACACGGCTTCATCTTGGTGAAGACAGTCTGCTGGTCTTGAGATGGTGTCTTCCAGGGTGGATTTTATTTTAATTAATTAATTTATTTATTTATTTATTTTGAGACGGAGTCTCACTCTGTCACCCAGGCTGGGGTGCAGTGGCAAGATCTCTGCTCACTGCAAGCTCCACCTCCCGGGTTCGCGCCATTCTCCTGCCTCAGCCTCCCGAGTAGCTGGGACTACAGGTGCCCGCCACCACTCCCTGCAATTTTTTTTTTTTTTGTATTTTTAGTAGAGATGGGGTTTCACCGTGTTAGCCAGGATGGTCTCGATCCTCTGACCTCGTTATCCGCCCACCTCGGCCTCCCAAAGTGCTGGGATTACAGGCGTGAGCCACCGCGCCCAGCCCAGGGTGGACTTTAAACAGGTGTGACAGGTGGGTGGATTTTAAAATGGTGTGACAGTTGTTTCCAAGGCTGGGCGTGGGTGGATCAATAGCAGTGACCACTAGGGGGCAACTTGCATGGGAAGCCCTAGGTGGTGAAAAATAAATCGTACCAACTAGCATGATGTTTATCATTTCCTGTCCTGGCAGACACACTCCAAAGGGAGTCATTATCAATGCAGGTGGCAGTAAGAAACTTGTATCTTCAAGGACCTTGTCCTTTCCCCTTGACAGCTACCTCTTCCTTTTCCCATCTCCCCCACTGCTCCCCAGTGACATCTGCACCTCTACCTACTTCTCTGCCCACGCCCTATGTTCCCAAAGTAGGTTCCCAGCAACATTCATGCCACTGAATGTTAAGATGTTCATCGGTCTTCCTTAAGAGCAAAGAGATCAGATGTCAAAAGTGTTTGGGAAATGGTGGGTTAAAAAGAGTTCACCAGTTTTTATTACCACAAGGCTTTTCAGAGCCTTTAATTTGCTCATCTGATAATAACAGTACTACTAATACCAGTAATGAACTGCATGCATTTATTACTTTCCATATGCCAGGTACTATGACACGTGTTTTCAACACCTTATCTCACAACGACCTAGGAGGTAGGTGATATGATGGTCTCCATTTTGCAGATCAGAAAATAGGGGATCAGAGAGGTTGAAGACAACAAGACTAGCAAATGATGGTGCCTGTATTGGAACCCATATATGCCTGAGTCTAAGCCCATCATATCCAAATTGTCTCTCTCTTTTTTTTTTTTTTTTTTTTTTGACAGAGTCTCGCTCTGCCGCCCAGGGTGGAGTGCAGTGGCATGATCTTGGCTCACTGCAAACTCCATCTCCCGGATTCAAGCGATTCTCTTGCCTCAGCCTCCTGAGTAGCTGGGACTACAGGCACGTGCCACCACGCCTGGCTAATTTTGGTATTTTTAGTAGAGACAGGGTTTCACCATGTTGGTCAGGCTGGTCTCAAACTCCTGACCTCAGGTGATCTGCCCACCTCAGCCTCCCAAAGTGCTGGGATTACAGGTGTGAGACACCGCACCCAGCCTGTCTCTCTCCCTTTTAAGAAAGTGGCAGGATGTGGAAGGTGGGGGCACACAAACTCCCTAACCTTGCTACCATACCTCATCTAGAGTCTGGGTCTAGAGGTTGAGTAGAGAACACTAGAGGCAGACCAATGACCCCAGAGGAACTTGGTTCTCACTGGGACCACTTTTCCTCTCCCCCGACAAGGCAGGATAAAGGTGCCTTTAGCAGGACAGGTGAAGTTAGCTTGGTTTGGGTAGAAAACAGCTCCTTGCTTTTAACCTAAACTGAAATATGTTCTAAATGCATCTGACAACAAAAGGATGATATAAGGACAGAAATGCAGGCTGCCTCCAAATGCTGTCACAGAGATCATAACGGCTTTGTTTTTCACAGGGAGGGAAAAAAGAAGTTAATGCCTCAAATTAGGAGGTCTGTCATGTTCCAAATTGTTTGCATTTCTAAAAATGGACTTTGACATGTGAATACTTATTATCTAATGCAAAACCCAAAAATCTGTCTCTCTGAAGGCAACAGCCAGGTAGTCAGGGGATTCTCATTAAATACACTGATGTAAAGCTCTCTTTCCCAATGAGGGAATAGAATGCACTCTCCTCCCTGCAACAACTCAGGATGTTTCTGAGCCAAGGCTTAGTGAATCAGGTGCTCCTGGGTAAGGCCCAGGAATCTGGGTTTGTAACAACCCTCCAAGTGATGCTGATGTGTGCTCAAGCTGGTTACAACGTGAGAACCATTGGTCTCATGATCCCTCCCCCTCCTCACTCAGTACTTTTTGTAGTCTCTCAATGATCCTTCCACTCCCATTTTCTTCTCTCCATCCTCTACCCACCTCAGTGCAGGTCACCACCCACCTGCAAGAGCCTTCCAGTGGGTGTCTGCAACTCTAGTCCACAGTCCCCTAATCCAGTCTCCACTTAGAAGCCAGAATAATCTTTTGAAACGGCAAAAAAAAAATGGCCACAACTATTGATATGGTTTGGCTGTGCCCCCACCCAAATCTCATCTTGAATTGCAACTCGCACAATTCCCAGGTGTTGTGGGAGGAACCCGGTGGGAGATGATTGAATTATGGAGGTGGGTCTTTCCTGTGCTGTTCTTGTGAGAGTGAGTGAGTCTCACAAGATCGGATGGTTTTAAAAATGGGAGTTTCTCCGCACAAGCTCTCCCTTTGCTATCCACATAAGATGTGACTTGCTCCTCCTTCCCTTCTGCCCTGATTGTGAGACTTCCCCAGCCACGTGGAACTGTGAGTCCAATAAACCTTGTGCTTTTGTAAATTGCCCAGTCTTGGGTATGTCTTTATCAGCAGCATTGAAACAGACTAATACACCAGTTTCTTGCTGATATCCTGGCAATGTCTCCTAATTTTCCCCAGTTCGAGCTCATTAAAGAGTTCTACTGGCCAGGCATGGTGGCTCATGCTTGTAATCCCAGCACTTTGGGAGGCCAAGGCAGGTGGGTCATCTGAGGTCAGGATTTTGACCAGCCTGGCCAACACGGTGAAACCCCGTTTCTACTAAAAAAAAAAATTCAAAAATTAGCTGGGCACGGTGGCATGTGCCTGTAATCCCAGCTACTCAGAAGGCTGAAGCAGGAGAATCCCTTGAACCTGGGAGGCGGAGGAGGTTGCAGTGAGCCAAGATCGCACTACGGCACTTTAGCCTGAGTGACAGAGTGAGACTCTGTCTCATAAATAAATAAATAGATAAATAGTTCTACCTCCACCTCCTTAGGTCAGTTACTTCTCCACCAAGTCCAACAAAGCATATGGAGAAGGGTGTTTCTGGTCTATTCTAAAAAGAGCTGCTTCCATTACACCCTAGTGGAAAATAGCTTAGAATAAGGGTCAGACTGATAGAGGTTCAAACTGCAGATCTACCACTGAATAGTCACATGACTCTAGACCAGCAAGACTTATCCATACTTAGACATCATGTCCTCATTTCTAAATGCAGATGACAATGCCTACACAGCCTGATCATCATAGAATTAAATGATAAAATGATGTAAAGGGCCAGTCCTCTGGCACATAGTAGGGCGCTAATTAATGATAGCTGCCACCTGGTCTGGTCACCCAGCTGGGTTAACTCACAGACTCAAGTCGACCAACTTCCTAACCCTCTCTGCTCACCACGCTGTCCCAGGAAAGTTGAAAATAGCATTCTGTTCTCTAAAAGGCTAGTCATTCCCAAGACCCTTGGCCAATAACTTGATTATGTTTTTCTCTCCCTCAGAAGCTGTGTTCTTCCCCCGCCCCGCCCCCATTAATTAACCTTGTGTTTTGCCATTTGCCATTGCAGCTTTCTGAGAAAAATCAACATATTTCACCTTACCTGGCATGATTTCTCATAGTGATATTTTCCATCAGGCAGCAAATATTGGGAAGTGAGGGCTACCACGTTGTCCAACAATTGCTAGATGCACACACACACACACAAACACACAAACACCTACACACTGGAACTTAGACGGACTTGCAGATGCCACCCTATGCAGACACACATGTGCACAGGTCACACAGACACCAGGACTCTCTATCCCTTCATTATTTAATGCTAACTTTGACAACACCTGGACAAAAGAGCTAGAAAAAGCTGTACAGTACCTTTTGGTGACTTAAGTGTCGATACTGCCCAGTCACCATCAGAACTTCCTAAAAAAATAACAATCAAGAAATGCTGATGATCTGTTTGCAGGGCACCCATGTTCACTATGCCCTCACACCCAGGTGCTGTTGGCTGCCCCTGCTGCAGCCTCCAAGCAGGGACAGGCCTCAGGGGACCCAGGGAACAGGGAAGGGAGCCACGTGTGAAAATGCAGCTATGTGTGTACCTCTTTCTGCAAGGCCTTGAAGCAGCCTCACGTTAACACCCAACAGAAGATCAAAAGAAGCCTCCTGAAAAAGGCCGAGATATTTTCAGTTACGTAAGGCAGAAAGATAATTCTTAGGTAGAAAATCTGGCTGTAAATTTCAACCTGCTTAGAAAGAAAGGAAAGTTTGAGTTATATGAGCTCACCTTGGCTCAAGACTACACTCTGATGACAAGAGATAGACTTTGATCGTGTTCCACTGCAATCCCCCTCCTGAAAAGGGGCACATTATTAGCCCCAGATTCAAGGTTGGGACAGGCTCTACTGACTGCGACTTTAAATGCTGGGTGACAGGCCCCATGGGGTGGGGGCTACCTTACCACAGTACCTAACACACATTCTGTGTTTGGAAAATATGACTGAATGAAGGAATGCATTCAATTTTATCCACAGAGTCACCCTTTCTAAGGTAGGGAAATTCTAAACGGTAACGAGATCAAGCTTGTTATCTGAGAATCCCATAATGAGTAATACATTGCTTTACAGAACAGGTGTGTGCCTGGAGTTTTCATTATAAATCAGTTTATCCGAATTGAATTCCCTTTCAGATGTCCCGAATGAGCCCTGGGAGATCTAACATTATTAACAGAATTCCATAATGACTCCTTTCATAAAATGAAGGATACTGAGAATTGGCCAAGGCTATACCCAACCCAACCCCCACCAACCTCGCATTTTCTTTGATAGTTCTCTGTAAGATTGGGTTTTGCTTAAAGTGGGGCAACCCTACCCACGAGACCTCTCCTCATTGGCTGGAGACCTGGCCAATCAGCGTGTGGTCCTAGCTCTTTCCTTTCTTAGGCATCTACCTAGAAAGACCAAGTCCTCAACAGTTTGGCACTATTTCCAGAGATATATCAGGCTGAGTGAAGGCGCAGGGAACAGTCTGTCATCTGAATGATTACAGAGCACAGATCCGGCCCCATTTAAACATTTCTGGCTGGCCTCCCCAGGCGTGCCAAAGGATGCTCAAATCGCCACATCCCCCCCGTGGATCTGAACTGTACACCCCTCATCACTCACAAGAGGGACAATTGGAGCAACAGAAGAGAGAAGAGTGAGGAAGTTAAAACTGAGTCGGGCCCACCCAGGATGACTCGGTTCTCTTCTCCCCCATAGCCAGGGTCATCTGGAAATAGTGGTGCGACCCCCATTCTTCCTGTGTGGATGGCCACACGCTGACCAAGCCAACAAGTCGCTGACTCCAGGGAAGCCATCTGAACCCCAAATTAAATCCATTGCTGTTTGCCTTGAAGGCAGGAACCATTATTTTGTCACCTCTGTTCCCATTAGCTCAGATAGGGCTTAGCTATTACAATAATGAATTTTCATTTATAAGTTCATTGACAATAGGGCATTTAATAAGATGATGTATAGGCTACGGAACATTTAGTTAAGGCTCCACTGTGTACTTGGTCACACTCATGGACATTAGAAAAATACTTTGAGGGTGAAAAATGCTCATGAAGAGGAAGTAGACCTAAGGTATTAAAAGGAAGGAGATATGAGGGAACTTTCAGTGTGACGAAAATATTTCTCATTTTTATTGGGATGTGGATAACCAAGTGTATGCTTTTTTTTTAAACAATCACACTATTGTAAAATTATGAACTGTGTATGTCACTGTATGTAAAATATACCTCCAGTATAGCATACCTCAAATACACTAGAGTTCAATTATACTCAACATCATAGGGAAATTTTTACTTTCTTTTTTTTTTCTTTTCTTGAGACAGAGTCTTGCTTTGTTGTCCAGGCTGGAGTGCAGTGGCACAATCTCGACTCACTGGAACCTCCACCCCCACTGCCCCCCGGGTTCAAGTGATTCTCCTGCCTCAGCCTCCCAAGTAGGTGAGGTTATAGGCGAGCAGCACCACACCTGGCTAATTTTTGTATTTTTAGTAGAGATGGGGTTTCACCACGTTGGCCAGGCTGGTCTCGAACTCCTGATCTCAAGTGATCTGTCTGCTTTGGCCTCCCAAACTGCTGGGATTATAGGCATGAGCCACTGTGCCCAGCCAAACTTTTACTTTCAAACAAAGAAAAATGATGAGTACCTTGGTAAGCTCTCCTTCCCCCAGAAGAGCAGGGGATAGGCTTCCCCAGCTTTTCTTTTGCCTGGTTACATACTTTAGATGCTAGAAATTTCTCTGCAGAAGACAGCATAGTTTCATGGGAAGAACATAGGATTCCAAGTCAAGCACTCTTGAATATGAGACTTGGCTCTGCCATTTACTAAAAGTACGGATTATGGGGAAATAACTATGCTAAGCTTGTTTCCCCATCTGCAAAACGGGGGGTACTGATGCCTCCCTCAGAGGTGTGCTGTTTATGAGCTCAGTGATGTGAGCCCCCTTTCTGCCCTAACTTGAAAAGAAATTAAACTAGTAGAGGCCAATCCATGGCCAAGTGCCTCATGTATGGCTTTTAGGGTTTTCACTCATGATTCCAAGAGTAAAGAGGGAATTCCTGCCATATTGAAGTGTATTGTTGCTGTTGTTTCAAAAAGTGCTATTGGAAAATGCCTTGTGATTCTGGCAAAATGTCAATCATCTGTCAAATAGCAACACAGACAATTTTTTTTTAATAAAATTAAAATTTTGAATTAGAAATGAAGTGACGCAGCATTTTATCAATGATGCTGGTACATCCTGTCTCTTTCTTATACTCAATGGCCAAGGTTGCATTGAGCCATCTTAAGGGCACATGATCATGAATCTTTGGTCACTTAGGAGTTCAATAATCAGAAACCTAGAGGAAAAACTGGACAAGGGGCTAATGAAAGATAAATGTCAATGTGCAGGCAACTTTCTGTTTGCAAAGCCCATCAGGAATTACATAAAAGGGTGAAAGGGTGATCTTTTCCAGTTCTGGAAGTACCAATCATCCCTCTCTGAACCACCAAGTGAGCTTTAGGGACATTTTCTTTTTTTTGAGACAGAGTCTCGCTCTGTTGCCCAGACTGGAGTGCAGTGGTGTGATCTTGGCTCACTGCGAGCTCCGCCTCCCGGGTTCACGCCATTCTCCTGCCTCAGCCTCCCAAGTAGCTGAGACTACAGGCATGTGCCACCACACCCAGCTAATTTCTTTGTATTTTTAGTAGAGACGGGGTTTCACTGGGTTAACCAGGATGGTCTCGATCTCCTGACCCCGTGATCCATCGCCTTGGCCTCCCAAAGTGCTGGAATTACAGGTGTGAGCCACTGCACCCGGCCTAGGGATATTTTCATAAAGACGTCTGTCTTCCAAACTTTGGCCTGTGAAGAATCACAAGGTAGGCTCCCATATTGTAACCATATGGGCACCTCAGGCCAGGGAACTTGTATGCTTAACTGGATTTTCAGGTTACATTTTTGGCTCGGTCTATAACAAGACCCACTTCTCAACCTCAACATTGGTGGGAAATGTTTAAATCCACATTACATTTTTGCTTTAGTAAGGAGAGTCAATTGAGTGAAAAAGAATAGTTCCCTGATGGATTGTATTGAAACAGAATATTTCTCTGATGGCTAACATTACAGTATCTATATGCCTGGGCATCAACTTTTATTGTCCACCCTGAAGATGGGGAACTTGAAGAGGTCTAGACTGATTCTTTGAGGGTCCTTAGGACAGCTTAGAAAAGCCATTTGTTTGCTTGCTTGCCTGCTTGTTTTATCAGATCCCTGACATGAGTTAACTTTCATGTATGTCTTTCCCATCAGACTGGAGTAAAGAATATGGAACCAACCCTTTCTCCCTCAAAATGAAATGTGGGCAATTGCATGTTAATCCAGGTACCAGCGTATCTCCGAGATCAGGGGAAAATGATG
Organism: Homo sapiens; assembly: GCF_000001405.40. NCBI lineage: Eukaryota > Metazoa > Chordata > Mammalia > Primates > Hominidae > Homo > Homo sapiens. The sequence continues at coordinate 13,209,222 of NC_000016.10, read as the reverse complement.
ACCGCAGATAACTCTGGTCTGGGTCTTTAATATGCTGCAGTATTTGCTGAGGACTGACATATGTCAGGCTAAGAACTTTACCTACACTATATCATCAAATTTTCTAAGCCATTATCTGTGTGTTATCATTATTATCTCCATTTTACAGAAGGAGAAACTGAGACCTGAGGAAGTTAAATAATTTCTCCAATTACTTGATAAATGTCCAAGCTGGGTCTTAAACTCAGCCCTGACAAATTCCAGAGGCTGTGCTATATTCTGCTATCCTGCTGATTCTCTAAGGCCCCTCTCAGGCTAGATAAGGTGCTTCTCATATGGTATTATTCACTAGTTTTACAAATAGGTGTTGGGAGTCCTTACTAAGCACCCCACATGACACTAGGTGCTGGGGATACATTGACAAATGGGACAGATTTGGTTCATGCCTCAGTGGGACCTGCAGTCAAGGGAAACCAGACTTAATGTTTGGAGAATGAATGAACAACTGAAGGAATAATTCAAAGTCATCATCCCTTCTGGTACAAAGTCCTATACGGTTTAGCCACTAACAATTCCCCAGTGTGTGCTAATATTTTACCAAGAGCTGGGCAGTGAAACCCTTGGGAACAGAAACCATTCTGCAGTTACATGCCATGTATGACTAGGTGGTGCATGTCCAATTCTCTCAATAGGAGAATCGCTTGAACCCAGGAGGCGGCGGTTGTGGTGAGCCGAGATTGCGCCATGGCACTCCAGCCTGGGTGATAGGAGCCAAACTCTGTCTCAAAAAAAAAAAAAAAGAAAAAAAAAGAAAAAGAAAGGAAAAGAGGTCTCTTTAAACATGAGTGAGGGTGATCCCAACAAGCAAACAAAAATAAAATACAATAAAATAGAAAGGAAGGCAGGTTTGGGGAGAATTTGCCTCAGGAACAACCAACATTAACACCCTTTATTCAAACCGTTTTTTCCCTGAGTTGGCAGGAAATGAATGGCACATGTTTAAGGCATTCTAATAACTAGAATGAGTAGAATTATTTAATTTTCTAATTTTAAAATTAAAATGGAACTTGGACATCTTATAGTTCAGTTTTCTCATTTTTCATATGAAGAAGCTGAAGTCCAAGAGCTTCATTGACCTGCTCAAAGTCATCCAGCTAAGTACAGTTAGAGTCTGAGTGAGACAGAGCCTCTGATCATCTTCCCAGAGCTCTGGATGTTAAAGCTTCCCAGAGAAATTTATTTTCCAGAAGTATTTTTGAGCTTACCAGTGAATGCTAAAGATTGTCTAACCTCTCCTTATTCTCTGGATTGAAATATTTAGAAAATGAATCTGCTTATCGGAGGTTGCAGAACTTTCAATGGCAAACCATTTTTTAAACAACTTCTCTCCTGGCTGGTAATAATTTCATTAATAAAATGCATTTCATCATTCACACCATGATCACATTATGCTTTAACAAAGAACCCTTGAAAGAACATTTATTATGGGATTTGCATTTTATATGTGCAGGCAGATGCTGGATTCCTGGCTAACCCATTGAGTCAAGCAATCCCTCAGTCTGCTCCTCATTGGCCCTCCAGATTCACAAGACCACCTATGTCTCAGAGAAAGCCCTGAGAACTCTCACAGTGGTCAGAAAAAAAGGATGAAGAACAGGAGGGGGTACATCAACCCCATCTAGGACTGGGGAAGGTGTCCCACGTGGGATGCTTCAGAGTTTTCTAGGAGGTATTAGAGTGCTTCCTTACAACCAAGCTATTCCTTTTTTTTTTATTCTTGTCAAAGACAAGCTCATTCATTCATTCAACAAACATTTCAGAAGTTCCTGATTTATGAACAGAGGGTTACTCAAAGAGTGTGAAATGATTTTCACACTGAAAATTTAATCCCAAATGCATTGCAGACATTTGCCATGTAGAGGAGCTCCACATAAATCTTGGATAAAATCAAGGAATTTCTGTTAGAATATCCCTCTGCTATTTTCCCAGGGAGCGACTGGGTGTCATACTGGAGTGCAGTGGCACCATCTCCGCTCACTGCAACCTCCGCGTCCCAGGTTCAAGTGATTCTCATGCCTCAGCCTCCCAAGTAGCTGGGATTACAGGTGCCTGCCACCATGCCCAGCTAATTTTTGTATTTTTAGTAGAGACAGGGTTTTGCCATATTGGCCAAGCCGGTCTTCAACTCCTGGCCTGTTGATTTTTTAAATGCCTAAAGAAGAATAAAATAAAATGGCATATGTTATTTATCATCTAACTGCGAGGCTCAGAAAGGGAAGTGGGCCACCAAATAGCATATGAAGGCTTCCACAGTTACACTGGCAAAGATGCCGTGACTCTTGCTCTCCTAGGTAACAGCCCTCATCCCTTCCTAGTAACACTGAGTATATTTGAATGCAGTTAGGATGCATATGCTGTGCAAACAGGCAATATGGAATAGAAGGAATCTGTGGTCATGGGACATAACGAGGGTTGAGCTGGGCATAGAAATTCAATGTGAAACATGGGTAACCAGTACGTAGGGTCTTACAAGGCTTCAGATTTAGAAAAGCCTGTGTCAGTTTGCACATCCTGTGTCCTTGGTATTATAAATTTGGCTCAGTCACTATTTGAATGATTCCATCTGGAAATCTTAAGAGATCAGGGAACATGAATTCCCAAACATAGACTTCTGGTATAAGCACTGGCTAAGCACCTAGGAAGTGCCTGGCCCTATGCTAGGCACCAAAATGCTTGTTTTGTGAATCTGATGTGTGTTGATTATGGTTACCACATGCATCTTAGACACATGGTTGTGTCAGTGCTTTGGGTTCTGGTGTTAGTTTATAACAGGATTAGCATATTTCATACTGAAATCGATCAGCAAGTATCTCTCATCCCATCTCCAATGAGGGGCTTGGCAGTGGGGGGAGAAAATAGGATGAACAGTTGATAATAAAAGAAAGTATATGGTTTGTGGGGTTTTCTGCCTGCCCAGAGTTTTTCGGGAACCAAAACTATGTGAGAATAGATAAATAAATAAATTTTATGAATAACTAAAGAGTAGAAGACCTCTACCAATAAATGGGATTCCACTCAAAGTGAATTGTTCTAATGCTTCGGAGCTTCTGACAGTCAATTCTGCTGGGAAGGTGAGGACTCCATGTTGGAAAAGGAGAATGTTTAAAGAAGTCCTTCCTGGCCAAGTGCAGTAGCTCACACCTGTAATCTCAGCACTTTGGGAGGCCAAGCTGGGAAAATCATTTGAAGTCAGGAGTTCGAGACCAGCTGAGCAACATGGAGAAACCCATCTCTACTTAAAAAAAAAAAAAAAAATTAGCCAGGCATAGTGGTGCATGCCTGTAACCTCAGCTACTCGGGAGGCTGAGGCAGGAGAATCACTTGAACTCCGGAGACGGATGTTGCAGTGAACCGATATCGTGCCACTGCGCTCCAGCCAGAGTGACACAGTGAGACTCTGTCTCAAAAAAGAAAAAAGAAGAAGAAGACCTTCCTATGATATCTGAGCATGCTCTAAGATGGAAATGAGAAAAGGATTCATCCATGGGGCTACTAGAAACAAGACCAGGGAGCTCTGGAGAAGGGAGGTGACAAATGTATGTTGAATGAATGTCCTTTACCAGTCTATAATATGAGTCATCACAGGCATCCTTAGGCCCATTTTACAGATTAGAAGACTGAGACCTTAAAAAGGGGCCAAATGTTGCCCAAGGCTACACAGATGGTAAGCAGTAGAGCCAGGATTTGAACTCACATCTGTTTGGCTCTTTCTAGCTCCCCAAGGAATAGACTCAGAAGAATCAGGTTAAGTGGAAAGCCTGGCTTTAAAATCTCTCCTCTGAGACAGGGAGAAAAACTTAGAGCTCACAGGACACAGTGAGAAGGAAAGAAAAGGAATTTCCCCCATGTATTAAGGTCATTAGAAGAGGAAATTCAGAGCAAGCATTTGAAATAGGATTTGGTTTTCCTGGATGTGGGACTGATGAAGTAGTTTTCATGAATGGCTGTCACCCCTGGCTTCACACTAGAAACAGCCACAGAGTGCTTTAAAAATGCCCATGTCTGAATCTTATCCTCAACCAGTTCAATTGAAATCTCCAGGGTGGACCTGGGGCATCCTTATATTTTACCTGCTCTCCAGGTGATTCTAGTAATTGGCATCCACATGTGAGAACCATTGATTTAGGGAACCCTGAGGTTGCCACAGCCAATCAGGAGTCAGGAATTGCTTTCTGTGACTGTTGCTTCTATCCAATAGAACCCTTTTATGAGCAAACTGTTCAGGAGCCTCAGTCACTGTCAGGGTAACTATCACACCCCCTCATGTTTAAATTGAAGAATGAACTGAAGGAACCAGGACAGTGGTGGAAGCAGTGGCTCTGGAGGGATAAAAATAGGGTTCAATTCTCAGCTCTGTCACCCACTGCTGCTTGACTTGGGCAAGTTATATTAGCCTCTTAGAGTCTCAGTTTTCTAATCTGGTAATTGGGATAATCATTGTGTCTTCACCTTGGAATCACTATGAGAAAACAAGGGTTTAATTCAATGTCTTGCACTTGGTAAGAACTCCATTAGTAGCAGCCCCAGGCTGCCCACTCCCGTAAATACTTAAATCCTGAAGAGCAGAAGTTGCCTGGGATAGGAACGTGCATTGTTTACCAACTTCTTAGAAATGGGATGGACTTTGTAGGTGAAGGGTGTTACCCACTAAAGTATAAGGCATTTCTGGGATGGAGAGACCTAGATTCTATGTCAAGATTCCCTGAGGATCAGCTAGGGTAGATGGAGATGGTAAAGGGGTTAAAGTGTCAGTGGGACCAAATGAGCATCCAGGTTCTTCTCCCCAGGAAATAGCCCTCACCGCACATGTGCCCCTCGCCCAGCCACCCTGCCTCACACAGCAATGTAGAACTTGTTCTAGGTCAGAGAAAGCAGCTGAGGGTCTCTGGTCCTTAGAAACCTGGGTCCCAGGTAGAGAGACCCAGAAGATGGGTAGATAGATAGATAGATAGATAGATAGATAGATAGATAGACAGACAGACAGATAATAGGTAGATAGAAAGATGATAGATAAATAGATAGATAGATAGATAGATAGATAGATAGATAATAGGTAGTTAGATGATAGATAATAGGTAGACAGATGATATAGATAGATAATAGATAAGTGGATAGGTAGATGGATAGAAGGATGGATGGATGGATGATAGATAGATAATACATAGGTAGGTAGATAGATGGATAAGTGAATAGGTGGATGGGTGGATGGATTGATAGATGATAGACAGACAGATGATAGGATAATAGGTAGATAGATTCAATAGATAATAGATAGGCAGATAAGTGAATAGTAGATGGATGGATGATGGATGGATGGATGGACAGACAGATAGATAATACATATGTAGGTAGGTAGATGGATAAGTGAATAGGTGGATGGATGAATGGATGGATAGAGTGTATAGGTGGATGGATGAATGAATGCATAGACAGACATAGATAGATATATAGATATACATATTTATAGACAGAGAGAGAACAAAAATGAGATAGAGGCAGAGAAAAGCAGAAAGAGAAAAAAAGAGAGCTAGAAAAAGGAATTAGGAAAGAAAACTGGAGATAAAGAGATCTACAAGAAGCAGCAAAGGAGAGCGAAGAGGAGAAAGAGAAAAAGATCCATCAGGTGGCACTTACCGACTGCCTTTAAGGAGGCGTACTTGTTGAGCTCTTTTCCTGGTGGCTGCTGTTCATAGGGGTTGGAGATCTGGCCCAGGTTCGGGTACGAATGTGGATGGCCCATCTGCTGGAGCAGAGGAGAGGTGGGCACTGCGTTGTTCATCTGGGTGGCATCTGGAAGTGAAGACACAGAAGGAGATTGTCACAGACAGGGCAGAACCATCTACCTTCCCTCCCATCACCACATCACTGGAGACCAAAACTCTCCCCACCCTTTAGGGACGCAAGTCGCAAAACAGCAGAGGGTTCACAGATACATGGGACACAATTGAGTTCATAGTCTTCACTGGAGAGCAAATGAGGACAGGTGGGTGTTTTTCTGACATCATCTCAAAAGATGTGCTCAAAACATGTTAAACTAACATGTTAAGGTCCTTTCAGTAGAGAGGTTATTTTTGTCAATGAAATGATATTTGTATAAAAAGATGCCCAATCTCAGTAACAGTCAAAGAAATGGAAGTCAGAAGAACAATGAGAAGCCATTCCTTTGCCAACAGATTGGCAGATGTTAAAGGGATTGAAGGACATGAGTACTGGCAGAGATGCTGAGCACAGGGAGGCCTCTTAAAGCTGCTGGTGGACATGCAATTTCCTATATTTGCAGGAAGAAATCAGGCACTGAGTATTGAAATGTAAAGCGTATGTATATGTTGACTGAACAATACCACTTTTAGCAACTGAGCCTACAGAAATAAAAGCATCAGAATGTAAGGATATTTGTTCAGAGATGTTTTTGCACCATTATTTGTAAAAATGAAAACACATACACAGAAACAATCTGAGCTCATATCAATATGGGAATTCTTAAATGAATTATTATAATACATATGATGTACATAGTATGTACACATATGATGGAATATCTTTCAGGTGTTAGAAAAAATGAAGGAAAACTTGAACAGTTTCTTATGGTTTATATTGTTAAAGGGAAAAAAGGAAGCTTTAAAGGAAAGCAAATAGTATAGCATTTTTTGTTAAGTAATATAACCTATGTGTATATTTTTGCATACTACAAGTTTGCACAAGACACAAACAAATGTAAAGACAAACAAACTAAATATTGGCTGCTTGAAGGGAAATGAGATTCAAGGAAAGAGAGATTCAGGAAGGTTTTTCTGAGCTGAGATCTACAGGAAGGAGGGTTGTTATAATAGTTCAGTGTGGTGGAAGGTGGAAGATATGAGGGAGGGTATTTCAGGCAGAGGAAGCAGCATGAGCAAAAGCCGTGGAGCTGGATGGAACCCAACATGCTCAGCAACGGAAGGAATTGCCCTCTGAGCTCTGGCCATGCACAGCTAGAGAATACAGTGTAAGGAAACTGGAATGAGGTGGGGTTGGAGAGGGTGGCAGGACCCAGTGAACACTGGTAAGTGTCACCATCTTCATCCTGAGAGCAATGGGATGGATAGACAGGAGGCGAGACCCAAATGGGAATGGGTCTCGCCTCCTGTCTATCCATCCCATCACTGGGAGATAATGATGGCTCACTTTGAGGTGGAAAGTATGGGTTCCCTCTGGCTTCATGAAGCATGTGTGTCCATCCAGGTATGCACTGCGGTGGTTGCCAGTGGTGCCTTGAAAGATCCCCTTTATCTAGTATGTGAACCCATTTCCCAGCTGCTGCAAATGTTGGCTGCTAACAGCTCACAGCTGCCTTCAATACCCAGAGAATTGCTCTTGGCTGATAGGAGCCACTGCCCTGGGGTCAATATGCTTCACACACCTCATCCTCAAGTGGTCAGCAACCAATGTCCCGCTGACACTGAAGTCCAAAGACCAGCCCCTTGCCTCAACATGGGGATAACTTTATGAAATGATGATACTTCAGAGTTCACATGGACTGGGACAAGTTTAGAGTAGGAGTCGGGAAACTTTTTCTGTAAAGGGCCAGGTAGTAAGCATTTTAGACTACATAGGCCATCAGTCTCTGCTTTGACTATTCAACTCTGCCTTTGTAGCATGAATGCAGCCCTAGACAGAAGACAGTTGACTCTTTGTATCCACAGGTTCTACACCCTTGGATTCAGCCAACTGTGAATTGAAAATACCCAGAAAAAAATTAAAAATAACAATACAATAGTTAAAAATAATACAAGTAAAAATACAGTGTAACAACTATTTACATAACATCTGTGTTGTACTAGTATTATAAGTAATCTAGAGATGACTTAAAGTATATGAGAGGATGTGAGTAGGTTATATGCAAATACTATGCCATTTTTTTATAAGGGACTTCAGCATCTGTTGATATTGGTATCCTTGGAGGGTCCTGAAACCAAATCCCCATGGATACCGTGGGACAACTACATAAATGGGTGTGGCTGTGTTCCAATAAAACTTTATTTACAAAAACAGGTGGTACCAAGTTTGACCCAAGGGCTATAGTTTGACAACCCCTGAATCTGGACTTTACTTGGAGCCCCATTTTTGTGTGGCTCCCTAACCTTTCCTACACTGCTTCCCTCATAACCTTAGAGGTGTGTGTTTATTTGTTACCTGAAGAACACTCCCTCAAAGTCACATGCATCTGAACCCCTTTCCCAGGCTTTGCTTTTAGATAACTCAACCCCTGATGCATACGGAAAATGTGTGGCTTTAGAAACCAACAAACCCAAATGGAAACAGGCAGAGATACCCTAGCTGAGGCATGAGGTTAGGGACAGTATTTTTATCACTTTACCTGCATGGGCCATCACACAAGCCCAAGTGTTAAATGGGAATGTCGCCAAACATAAGTGCCAAGTAACCCAGTCTTTGGCCAACGTCTGGAGAGACGCATGTATCCTTCTACCACGATAGCTTTTTGGCCGAGATTCAGCTGCGATGGGAGAGTCCCAGGATTAATAAAGTAACAGTAGAAAAGGTGTTGATAAGGTATGGCTTTCACCACACCTTGGAGCCCAAGATCCTCTGACATTCTCCTCTCCAAAGCCAACCCACCAGGGTTCCTGTCTGCTTCCCCTGGGCATGTCAGGCCAGCCATGTTTTGTTCCCAAGTATTGGTCCTGTGGGAAATGGCTTACTGTTAAGTTCTCATTGTATGCTGCTGCTGCTGCTGCTGCTGCTGTGTGTGTGTGTGTGTGTGTGTGTGTGTGTGTTTCATGATATATTTTTTGGTGGATAGCTACTGTTTTTGTGCAAAGTCCTTATCTTAGTGACTTCCGGGGAAACACAAACTAAGACAGTTACCGTGATTGGCAGCTCATCACACAACTCAAGTGGCGATAAAGGATAAAGAAACATACCAAAGGACTTAAATGCAAGCATATTTGGCAGGTGATCTCAGGAAATACTTGTAGCAAAAGGATGGGGGAGTTAGAGAACAAGAAGAAGCAAATAAAGTGCAATGCCAAGCAAGATGCAATGTGGTCGACTGGAGTTTAATCCCACTCTGGAATTCTGGTAAATCGTATTGAATGCATGCCTCAAAATTATGTCACCCCAAGGGCAAAGGACCCCTTAGTATTTACACACAAACTCCTATTAGTCATTGGTTGAGAGCTGCTTCCGGGAGATGTTAATTCGTTAGCACTGGCAACTTCCCATGTTCACAGGCAAAGCTAGCTCCAGTGGCCAGAGATACCCTCGCTCAGGGATGTAAGAGCTGGCAGTTGAAAAGCAGGTGAGTATGTGCCCAGCTAGCGAGGGCTCATTGTGCTATACAGTAATTCAGACCCCTGGCCATGGAAGCGAGCATGGAGCCTGAATCAAACCAATCCCAATACCTCCTTCTTATAATGATGATTGGACCAGAGGAGAGCATGTGATCTATGCTGGGCCAATCAGAGTTCTTCCATCTTCCATCAACTTTTCTACTTGGAACCATTGGAGTCAAACAACGAAAAGGCCATGAAGTCAAGTGAATTTGAACCTACCATGTGGAGAAAATCTTTCTTCATTATTAAAGAATAAGAATCACACCCACAGGAAAGCAGCTGAGGAGAGAGAGAAGCCCCTTTCTAAAGAGTGTTTTTTGTGGCTCCTGGCTCCTGCCACTTGCAATGTAGAGTTCTGACTAAGGCAATTGTTGTCTGGATTTCCTCTGGGAAGCTGAAACTGACCAGAGGGAAGGCTGTCCATGGGGCAAACCCAGGTATTGCCTCGAGATGGAAAATGCATTGCCCCTCAGTTTTCTACAGAGCTACAGCAGAAATTTCAAACAACAATTTGGCTGACTCGTGCATAGAGCGTGCCCAAGGACATTAGTAAGCTAACTAATGTCTCAATGGTAGGCCCCCCTACCCCTGGAAATACATCCCAAACACTAGACTGTCTAATTAAAGATTTGAACCTTCAAAGCCTATTATCCTCCAGTATAAGTCCTTTCTCTCATCTGTTTGATCCGTCAGTCTCAGACTCAACCTACTAGGCTCAAACCCTGTGTCCAGGTCTGCCAGAGAAAATACTAAACACTTCGTTAAAGAAAAAAAATAATTCTACAGAGATGTTCCTCACTGAATATGTTGGGACACACTTTTATATTATTAAACAGAATACATGATATTCCATTATAAAGTATTTGCTTTTAGATTATTTATCCCAAGTCCTGAGACACCTCAGGGGCAGTGAGTAGTTACTTAATATAAGTAGACACAACCATAATACCCCACCAAAGCGATCCCTCTCAAAAGAAGTGACACCATCCAGAAGGTGCATTTCCAGTTTCACATTAAGAACCACATAAAGCAAATTTCTGGCAGTTTTAGATAGCCATTTTGTGCTAGCTTCCAGGCACTGAATATTCAGAAATATTAAAATCCAGTTTCAGGGCAACAAACAAAATTTATTAAACAGACATTTGTGACTAGGTTTTCTAAATGTCATTTTCTTTTCACTGGACAGGAAGATAGAGACCAGACCTGGCAACCCAGTTGCTTTGTGAGTTTTCCACAAATATATTCAGCTAGGGAGGAGAAACAAAAAAAAATGCAGATTGGAGATAAGCCCAGGTTGGAATCCAAGAAAACTAGAACAATAGGGTGAGTGAAAAAATGCAGCATGAATGAGATCTAGGTTATAATCTGCAAATCCTGCCCTTGCCAAGTTGAGAGAAGAAATATGCATGTGTGTACGTGTGTGTATATATGTATGTATGCATATGTACATACACATACAAGTATATATGTATGCATATGTACATACACATACAAGTATATATGTATGCATATACACACAAGTATATATGTATGCATATACACACAAGTATATATGTATGCATATACACACAAGTATATATGTATGCATATACACACAAGTATATATGTATGCATATACACACAAGTATATATGTATGCATATACACACATATATTAATTTTTTTTTTGAGATGGAGTCTCACTCTGTCGCCCAGACTGGAGTGCAGTGGAGTGGTGTCAGCTCACTGTGACCTCCGCCTCCCAGGTTCAAGTGATTCTCCTGCCTCAGCCTCCCAAGTAGCTGGGATTACAGGCATGTGCCACCAAGCCCGGCTAATTTTTGTGTTTTTAGTAGAGAAGGGGCTTCTCCATGTTGGCCAGGCTGGTCTTGAACTCCTGACCTCAGGTGATCTGCCCGCCTTGGCCTCCCAAAGTGCTGGGCTTACAGACATGAGCCACCTCGCCCGGCCCGCATATATAATTTCTTTTCCACAGTCATAGCAATAGATGGAATCCAGTAACATGTCTCACTCTCAGAAGTTCCCTTCTAGACATTCCCCATCCCCAGAGATATCTTACCCACCTCTGTGGAAAGGTACTCCTTATCCAATGCCACAAGAAAATTCCCCCCTCCACCCATTATAAGCGCAACTCATTACGACCCTTCGAAATAATGAATGAAGACTTGCCCTTCTGTGATGCTGTTTTTCCATGCAGACCCTTGGTCCACAAACGACAAATTGATGGTGTCCTGTGCTCTCCTTCCTAAGACAGAGAAGGAGCCTCGTATATCCAACAATCGTCTTCAAAGAAGGTTAAGATACAATTACTCATTGGAAGCATCTGGCAGACTTGCGCCAAGGTAACTACCGTGTAACTCCTGTTGTTGTGTGGGATATCTTAGTTACTAAACAGGGAAATAAAACGGATGCAACTCAGAGCCACTTAAGGTAAAAATGCTCAGTTATAAATACTGAGAGAATGCTCCAAGTCTCTCCATGCAGAAGAGACAAATATTAACTGTCAGAAACTAGACCATTCTGGCTCATCTTAAAGGAAAGACAACATAATGACTCCTTCAAAGCATATCCCAAGGAGGAATAGCCCAGAAAGGCACTAGATGGTCAAATAGTGTTGTTTTGTCGAGCACACACCGTGTTCCAGACAGTAGGAAAAGAGCTTCTCATGTTATCTCTCTCTCTCTCTCTCTCTCTCTATATATATATACACATATATGTGTGTGTGTGTGTGTGTGTGTGTGTGTGTGTATGTACAGAGAGAGAGATACAGTTTCACTCTGTCACCCAGGCTGGAGTGCAGTGGCATGATCTCAGCTCACTGCAATCTCCACCTCCCAGGTTCAAGTGATCCTCCCATCTCAGCCTCCGAGTAGCTGGATTACAGGTGTGAACCACCATGTCCGGCTAATGTTTGTATTTTTAGTGGAGATATGGTTTCGCCATGTTGGCCAGGCTGGTCCTGAACTCCTGACCTCAGGTGACCTGCCTGCCTCAGTCTCCCAAAGTGCTGGGATTACAGGCGTAAGCCACCGCTCCTGGCCTCAAACAATAAATTTTTTAAACAAACTCTTTACTATGAAACGGTTTTAGATTTACAAAAGTACTGCAAAGATAGTACAGAGAGTTCCTGTATCCTCCAGACCCAGTTTCCCTATTATTAACATATTAGTGTGGTATATTTGTCACAGTGAATGAATCAATTTTGATATGTTACTATTAACTAAAGCCCACACTTTATTTGAGTTTCCTTAGTTTTTACCTAATGTCCATCTTTTCTGTTTCAAAATATCTAGGTACCATATTAAACTTAGAATTTAGTCATATCTCTTTAGATTCCTCTTGCGTGTGACAGTTTCTCAGACTTTCCCTGTTTTGATGACTTTGACAGTTTTGAGGGGTACAGGGTCAGATATCTTGTAGAATGGACTTTTTTTTTTCTTTCTTTTTTTTTTTTTTGAGACGGAGTCTCGCTCTGTCGCCCAGGCTGGAGTGCAGTGGTGCAATCTCGGCTCACTGCAAGCTCCGCCTCCTGGGTTCACGCCATTCTCCTGCCTCAGCCTCCCGAGTAGCTGGAACTACAGGCACGCGCCACCTCGCCCAGCTAATTTTTTGTATTTTTAGTAGAGACGGGGTTTCACCGTCTTAGCCAGGATGGTCTCAATCTCCTGACCTCGTGATCCGCCCACCTCAGCCTCTCAAAGTGCTGGGATTACAGGCGTGAGCCACCACACCTGGCCTTTTTTTTTTTTTTTTTTTTTTTTTTTTGAGAGAGAGTCTTGCTCTGTCCCCCAGGCTGGAGTGCAGTGGTGCAATCTCAGCTCGCTGCAGCCTCTGCCTCCCGGGTTCAAGCGATTCTCCTGCCTCAGCCTCCCGAGTAGCTGGCACCACAGGCACACACCACCACACCTGGCTAATTTTTTTATTTTTAGTAGAGACAGGGTTTCACCATGTTGGCCAAGCTGATCTTGAACTCCTGACCTCAGGTGATCTGCCTGCCTCAGCCTCCTAAAGTGTTGAGATTACAGGCGTGAGCCACCACGCCTGGCCAAACGGAATTTGTCTCATATTTTTCTCATGATTAGATTGGGGTTATGGGTTTGGGAGTGAGGGGAATCACTGAGGTAAAGTGACATTCTCATAACATAGCAAAAATATGTACTATAATGACTCATCGCTATTGATGTTAAACTATTGCCTGGCTTAGGAAGTGTTGGACAGATTTCTCCTCTATAAAATTATTCTATTTTCCCCTTTTTTCACATTTTACTCTTTGGAAAGAAGTCACTGTGTGCCATTCACACCGTATCTAAGGAGTAGGGGTTATGCTCTACCTCCTTGAGTGGAAGAAATATCTACATAAACTATTTGGAATTATTCCTCATGGAAGATTTGTCTCTTCTTCCTCATTTATGTATTGATTCAATCATGTATTCATATCAGTGTAGACACATGGATATGTATTTTATACCTTGGGTTATAATCCACTACCACTTTATTTTGTTTTGTTGCTCAGATTGTTCCAAATTTGGGAATCGGAAACTATTTCAATTGTCTCCTTTGACAGATTCCCCTCATTTTTAAACTTTCTAACTTTCTGGCAATACAAGATTCCCCAGGCTCATCTTGTATAGATTTGTTATCCTGGTCCAAGAATCAACCATTTCTTCAAGGAGCCTGGTTCATTTTATTGGAGAATAATATTAGAAACCAAAATCTAGGTGCCAGGTGTGCTGGTTTTTTCTACTCCCTCTATGCTGACAAGGTAAGGGAATTTAGATATGTATGCTAATATATGTATATACACACATATCTACAAAAATTTACAGAAGCAACTATCCGTGTCTATATTGACCTAAGCATGAAGTCATCCTGATGTCTCCAACTCTAACTCACTGTCAGATGAATCATTCTAGCTTCCTCCCTCGATTATCTGTAACCTCCCACTCCAAGAATAATAAACCTGGCTCCCATTATCCACCATCCATTTGTTACTTGTTCAATTCCAGTACATAATTATAGCAATATCAGAATTGTTAACCCATATCCTCATGGGACACAACTTTATCAACTAGAACACAGTGCTTATGGACTATGTATTTTTTAAGTTTTTAATGTGTTTTTCTCTTCTTGTCTTCCTGAGTGTGTGGGCTTGGCTCTGGATGGCCCATGACTTCCATATGCCTGGGTAGGGTTGAGGAATTGAGATTTATTACAGAAGTAACACAAAAAATGATGATATTGATAATGATGAGGAAGGTGAAGACACACTTGTATACATAATAAACATAAAGGGGTTATGAGGTACCCCACACTATTCCATATACTAGCTAATCGAATTATCCCAGGCATCCTTATGAGATACTATTATCAACTCCATTTTGTAGAGGAGAAAACCAAGGCACAGAGAGGTTTGGCCCAAAGTTACATCACTGGAAACAGCAGAGCCAAGCTTTGAACCTGACAGTCTGACTCTAGAATCTGTGGACTTAGGCACTTCCTTATTGCTGCTGAAGGAGGTAATATTCAAATCTCTAACATTCAGAAATGATTTGGCAGCCAGACAGTAATACAATGTGAAGTCACGCACATTTGGAAGACATTTGTCTTTGGAAGGTGTTTTGTTCTAATTTTTTTTTTTAATCTCCACCTTTCGGCATATTAAGGACCGCACTTGGTTGGCAAGACCACAGGATTTTTACAAGAATGGACCAGAGAGGAATGGGATGGGATGTCTGACTCCTCCAGTTCTTGGGGGGATGTGAGAAGGAAAAGAAAGAGAGAGGAGGAAGACTAAGATCATGTCACCGACTTTCCCTCTTTGGGTTTCAGATGCAGGGTAGGGGAGGAATGTTGGATGAGTTGTGGGAAATGCTTGAGGCAGGAGTCTCTTGTCCTGCTTCCTCTGAGACTCTAGCAGGAGCTCATAGTGAAGCTCTGAGCTGTCACAGGGCAGCTGAGCCAGTTAAGAAACAGAGGGATATAATCTAACCAAAAGGTTGCCTGGTTGGCACTCCCCAATAACTCTGAGATACCAGATACCCCAAGAGCTGGGGTCTTACCACAGAACCTGCCACTATGGGGCAATGGGCCCTACACAGTTGTGTGGACTGGGTTTCCTTCCACTTCATTCTCCCTCCTTTCTCTCCTAAGCAGATGGTTATCACAGGCTAACTCAGACAAAAGTCATGTGCTCAGAAAGGCCAAATTGGCCAGGCGCGGTGGCTCATGCCTGTAATCACAGCACTTTGGGAGTCCAAGGCGGGTGGATCACCTGAGGTCAGGAGTTCGAGACCAGCCTGACCAACATGGAGAAACTCCATCTCTACTAAAAAATACAAAAATTAGCCGGGCATGGTAGCTGTAATACCAGCTACTCGGGAGGCTGAGGCAGGAGAATCGCTTGAACCCAGGAGGCAGAGGTCACAGTGAGCTGAGATTATGCCACTGTGCTCCAGCCTGAGCAACAGAGCAAGACTCCATCTAAAAAATAAAAAGGCCAAATAAAAAGGAAAAGGCACATTAACCATGTAAAAACAACTTTCCCTCACATCTCTTAAGTTAAACCATCCTATTTTACAAACAAGGAAACCAAAGCTCAGAGAGGTTGAGTGCCCAAAGCCACACAGCATGTTATAACAGTATCAGGATTTGATGTCAAGGTTGTCTGTTGGCAAAACTAATGTTTCCTTCACCAAGCTAGGCTGCCCCCAGAATGGATCAAGAAGAGCCTGGAAGTTCAGCATTGAACCACGCATTGAACCACCTCTGTGGACAGAAACTTCCTTCTGTCTTGAATAACTTCCTTCTTCCTGCAAAATTTCCCAGTCAGATGAGAAAACTGCTGGCCAGATCTATGCTTTTTTGTTTCTTCTTCTCCTTCTTCTTCTTTTCCTCCTCCTCCTTCTTCTTCTTCCTCTTCCTCCTCTTCTTCCTCCTCTTCTCCTCCTCCTCCTTCTTTCTTCTTCTTCTCTTTTTTTTGAGATGGAGTCTTGCTCTGTAGCCCAGACTGAAGTGCAATGGTGCTATCTCAGCTCACTGCAACCTCCACCTCTGGGGTTTAAGTGATTGTCCTGCTTCAGCCTCCCAAGTAGCTGGGACCACAGGTGCGTGCCACCACGCCCGGGTAATTTTTTGTATTTTTAGCAGAGATGGGGTTTCACCGTGTTAGTCAGGATGGTCTCGATCTCCTGACCTCGTGATCCACCCGCCTCGGCCTGTTTCTTCTATCCAGAGAACAGAACTTACTGTTCTATGCAGATAATAAACAAGTTTCCTCCCAAATTAGAAATACCCTGCTTCCTGGTGGAACCTACCTATGTGCTTGCCTCTTCAGCTTGGTTCATCCATCCATTCTTCCTCACATATTTTAGTGTCTATGGTGTTCCAGGCATTGTGCTTGGTTAACGATTCCCAGCTCTTATACCACTTACTAAAGAATTTCATAAAATTTTTCCAAAGCTTTCTTTTTCAAATTTTATTTTATTTTAGATACATATTTGTGCATATTTGTTACATGGGCATATTATATAAAGGTCAGGGTCGGGGTCCTAGTGTAGCCATCACCCAAATAGTGAACATTGTACCTGAAAGGTAATCTTCAACACTCACTCCTTTCCCATCCACCTCCCTTTTGCAGTCCCTAGTATCTGTGATTTCCATCTTCATGTCCCTGCATACTTACTGTTTAGCTCCCATCCATAAGTGAGAACATGCAGTATTTTATTTTCTGTTTCTGAGTTAGTTCACTTAGAAAAATGGCCTCCAGCTCCATCCATGTTGCTGCAAAGGACATGATTTCATTCTTTTTCATGGCTGCATAGAATTCCATAGTGTGTATATACCACATTTTCTTTATCCAGTCAACTGTTGATGAGCACATCAACAGTTTCCAACCCTCACTCCTTCCACTTCATTGGTTCCATAACTTTGCTATTGTGAATAGTGCTGCGATGAACATACAAGTACTGGTGTCTTTTTTGTATAAAATTCTACTAAAGCTTTCAATACTCAAGAGGGACCATGCTTTTGCCTAGCCCATGAGGCCACACTGGTCCTGCCCAGGGACATTCTTCATCTCCACTGTTTGCAACACACCTTCTATACCCTATGATGTGGCCTCAGCCATCTCTCTCTCCACAGACAGCACGATCCAGGACAACATAATGAAATAAGAATGGAGTTTTTAGTCAGTCCATTTTGGACTCAAATTTTTGCTCTTCCACTTACCAACAGCATCTTTGGGTGTCTTATAAAGCCTATATAAGCCTCAGTCTTCTAAGCTCTAAATTGGGACCATAACAGCTTCCTCATGGGGTCACTGTGAGGTTCAAATACATTATGATCATCATGCTTAGCAACGCACTGAAACATAGTAAGCACCCAACATATGGTAGCTAAAGCTTGCTTGATTGCCTCCAATTGTTTAGAAAGCCAAGACAACATAACAGGTGGCCATGAGGAAAAGAGGATGTTAGGTTTCCATAAGGTCCTCTCTGGGCTCAGAATTCTTGGACATAGTCTAGATTGTTCCATTGCCTCAAAACCAGACTAATGACAGGGAATGGGCAGGAGATGTCCCTGCTGGGGCCAATTGCACTAGTTAGTCTCATAAGAACAAAAAAGGAGAATAGACATTCAGAAATCAGAACAGAGCTCTGGCTTTTAGCACTGTTTTTCTTTCTAACCTTTCCAAATCTTTATGCCAGCAACCTTTTTGAGGGAAATCCTTAAAATTATGGTTTGAAATACCATGTAGGTTTTTTTCTGTCCACAAGCAAGGAAAAAAGAAGTATCCAATCCAACTCAAAATTACCCTGAATTTGTCAAAAGAGAATATAGCAGCCTAGGCTTACATCAGAAAAGGTTTATGTAGAAGGAGAATTGAATCTTTTTGAATCTTGGTGGCAGAGAGACCAGCAGGAATTTGCAATAAAGAAAAAAAAACACATATATAATCATAAAACCTTTGGAAAATGAGGCATTGGTGTTACCCAAGAGTTTATATGTTTGAGCATGAAAACTTAAAAAAAAAATTTGAACCATTTAGGATGGAAATATTTTAAAACTAGAGTTGTTAAATATTTATTTAATGCTCACTTTCAGCCAGTTTTTATGCAGGCTCTGGGGGACAGAGATTCATTTCAAAATCCCGGTTGTGCTGCAAATAGATAACAGTCTAGGGTAGGAGGCAGATCCGCAGCATGGCGGGATACATGAAGAACTAGTTGCAACCAGCAACGGTGAATGATGTGAAGCAGCAAAACAGAGGTTCCCGCGCAAGCACAAGAGAGGGCCACCTAATCCAGTTTTAGAAGGCAGGGGGCCTTGCTCATCTGTATTCTGCAAGAGTTTCAAAGGCAGCAAAAAGAAGAGGAGGAGTTCCATTTTGATTTGAAGTAGCATCATGTATATGTGGACGAAGAAACCACAATGTATTGTTATCAGTTCTGAAACAGAACATCCCTAACGTCCCATAACTCACCCTTGGTGGCTCACCATCATCATTCTAAAGACTAAAGGGTGTTTTGCATATTCTCACTCATAGGTGGGAATTGAACAATGAGAACACATGGACACAGGAAGGGGAATATCACACTCTGGGGACTGTTGTGGGGTAGGGGGAGGGGGGAGGGATAGCATTGGGAGATATACCTAATGCTGGATGACAAGTTAGTGGGTGCAGCGCACCAGCATGGCACATGTATACATATGTAACTAACCTGCACAACGTGCACATGTACCCTAAAACTTAAAGCATAAAAAAAAAAAAAAGACTAAAGGGTGTTTTATGCCCACAGCAGCCACTTCATCCAATTTAATGAGATACTATTAACAGGAGATGTTTGCCCCTTCACTCAATAGCCCCAGCCTACTATGGCTGTTTAGTTTCTGCCCCTTCTCTTCTCCTCCCTCTGCGTCCCTCTCCTCCTAATTCCTTCTATCGTGTAGTCTTCCTTTGTCTTCCATCATTGTCAGTCTGTTTTACCAGCCACATAGTGAGAGGCAGCCTTCTTTACTCGCAGTTCTAATGTGTTAGGAAATTAGAAACCAGATACTCAAGCTCGTTAGGATAAATTGTCATGTAACAATTAACCATATGTAAAAATACAGTTTTCTTCTGTAAAATCCTCTGCTCTCCTTTATGTTTTCCCCAAACTAACTCTGAGCCATCTTTCAGGTCTCAGCTTAAACACATGCCTTCCACATCGTTCTCTCTCCTTTCTCTCCAAAGCAGATGGTTACCACAGGCTAACTCAGACAAAAGTCGTGTACTCAGAAAGGCCAAATAAAAAGGCACATTAACCACGTAAAAACTTTTTACCCTCATATCTCTAAGTATAACAATTCTATTTTACAAAGAAGGAAACCAAAGCTCAGAGAAGTTGAGTGGCTTTCCCAAAGTCACACAGCATGTTGTAACAACATCAGGATTCGATGCCAGGTTTGTGTGATGGCAACATCGATGTTTCTTCCGTCAAGCTAAGCTGCCCCTAGCACATATCAGGAAGAATCTGGAGGTTCAGCATTGAGCCACCTCTATGGAATGAAACTTCCTTCTGCCTTGAGCATCTTCCTTCTACCATGCCCACCAACCGACCTCCCTAATCTTCATCCCCTCACTAAATACCCCTGTAGCTCCCTGTATTCATCTGCTAAGGTAATATAACAGAGAACAACAAATGGAGTGGCTTAAACAATGGAAATATATCTATAATCTCACAGTCCCCAGAGCTAGAAGTCTGAGGTCATGGTATTAGCAGGGATAGTTCCTTGGGAGGGTTCTCCATGATTCTCTCCTAGCTTCTGATGGTTACCTGGCAACCTTTGACATTTCTTGGCTTGGGGATCTCTGCTTCTGTCTTCACATGGCATTCTCTGTGTGTGTCTGCATCCAAATTTCCCTTTGTTATAAGGAGACCAGTCATATTGGATTAGGGACTCATCCTACTCCAGTGTGCTTCATCTCAACTAATTGCATCTGCAGTTAAGTCACATTCTGGGGGTACTGGGTGATAGGACTTCAATATAATATTATATTGTAACATTCCTTTTCCTTTTCTTCCTTACTCACATTAATACTTTCATTTATTTTCAATTCTTGTTTTCCTCATACCTTTTTTTTTTTTTTTTTTTTTTGAAACAGGGTCTTGCTCTGTCACCCAGGCTGCAGTGCAGTGGCGCAATCATAGCTCACAGCACCCTCGACTTCCTAGGCTCAAGTGATCCTCCCACCTCAGCCTCCTGAGTTGCTGGGACTACAGACATGCACCAGCATGCCTGGCTGATTTTTTTATTTTTGTAGAGACGGGGTCTTGCTGTGTTTCCAAGGCTGGTCTCGAACTCCTAGGCTCAAGCCATCCTCTCACGTTGGCCTCTGAAAGTGCTGGGATTACAGGCATAAGCCATTGTGCCCAGCCTCCCCACACCTTTCTGAGGTCAGGACGGATGTCCATCTCCTTCATCATTCCATTTCCAGTACTTAGCCTCACTCCTTACTGGATCTGAATTCTAACCCAGGAAAGGAAGAGAAAAAGAAAATGTTTTGCAGGCACCTGCTGTGTCAAGGCAGTTTGCAAGGTGCTTTACCTAAAAGTCAGACATTGCTCCAAGAAAAATGCATGAGCTTTCATGGACTGGGTTAGCAACAACATTTTGGTTGCTCTGAAATTTGTTTGCTCTTTTTTGGAGTGTGTGTGCAGTGGGTAAGTGTTTTGTTTATGGACCATTTGATGCCTGGGACAGCAAATGACCACACAAAAGGAAAGCAATATAACAAATGAGAAAAATGAGGCTCAGCTTTTCCCCCAAAATAAAGATACTACATTGATCAGGTAATAACACAGCACACTTCCCCCACGGTTGGAGGATGAAACGTGATCTACAGCAAGTCTCTAGGAGGGAACATCTCTACTCAGGGGTTGGAGGAACCTGTAGACAATCCCATATCAGGCTTTATTCATGAAATGTTCACTGTGCATCATCTAGGTTGAAGCTGCACATGGTCAACGTGTGGAAGCATGCTACTTTGTCGACAACCTTGTACATTTTGTCCACTCACAACCCCACTGAAGTTAGGGTGCAAATCTCCCCATTTTGCTTTGAAATTTCATTTTTAAGGATCTATCAGAAAAAGTATAAGTGAATGGTTATGAAATTCACAGCAAAGGTCACTATCATCAGTCTTACTCTTTTCTAGACCTTCAAAAGTTCCCCAGATGGGCTGGGCGCAATGGCTCACACCCGTAATCCCAGCACTTTGGGAGGCAGGGGTGGGTGGATCACTAGACATCAGGAGTTTGAGACCAGCCTGGCCAACATGGGGAAACCTCATCTCTACTAAAAATACAAAAATTAGCCCAGTGTGGTGGTGCACGTCTGTAGTTCCAACTATTCAGGAGGCTGAGACAGGAGAATCGCTTGAACACAGGAGGTGGAGGCTGCAGTGAGCTGAGATTGTGCCACTGCACTCCAGCCTGGGTGATAGAGCAAGACTCTGCCTCAAAAAAAAAAAAAAAAAAAAAAAAGAAAAGAAAAGAAAAGAAGCCTTCTCTGTCCCTCAAGGTGCCAATCCTACCTCCTGAGAAGTTTTCAGATAGTGAGGCTGTGAAGACAGAATGGGTCATGCAGAGCCAGAGAACTTGGGTTGCAATCCTGCCCCAGCAATGCATAAGTTGTCAGGCCATAGGCAAATTAATTAGCCTTCCAGAGTCTGCTAGGGCACATGGAATGGGGGAAACGGGGAAGTCAGTGCTGCTGCATGTGAAACAGAGGTCAACCAAAGAACTGAAAGCAGTATCTCGAAGTGGTATTTGTAGACCCGTGTTCACAGCAGCACTCTTCACAACAGCCAGGAGGTGGTAGCAACCCACGTGTCCATCGACAGATGAATGGATAAACAAAATGTAGTCTGCTCATCCAGTGGAATACAATTGAGCTTTAAAAGGAGGGAAGCTCTGACCCATGCCATGATATGAACAAATCTTGACAACATTATTTATGCTAAGTGAAATTAGCCAGTCACAAAAAGACTAAATACTGTATGATTTAATTTCTGTGAGGTCCCTGGAGTAGTCAAATTCATAGAGATGGAAAGTAGAATGGTTACCAGGGGCTGGAGAAGCGGGGATTGGGATTTATTATTCAGCAATGCAGAGTTTCATTTTGGGAAGATGAAAAAGTTCTGGAAATTGGTTGCACAACAATGCGAATGTACTAAACTCTACGGAAATGTACACTTAAAAATGGTTAAGATGGATGGCTGGGCACGGTGGCTTCACACCTGTAATCTCAGCACTTTGGGAGGCAGAGGCGGGTGTATCACGAGGTCAGGAGTTCGAGACCAGCCTGACCAACATGGTGAAATCCCATCTCTACTAAAAATACAAAAATTAGCCGGGTGTGGTGGCATGCACCTGTAATTCCAGCTACTCAGGAGGCTGAGGCAGGAGAATTGCTTGAACCCAGTAGGCAGAGGTTGCAGTGAGCCGAGATCGCACCACTGCACTCCAGCCTGGGTGACAGAGCAAGACTCCATCTCAAAAAAAAAAAAAAAAAAAAAAAAAAAGGTTAAGATGGTAAATTTCATGTTATTTTTTTCCCCACAATTTCACACATACACACACACACACACACAACAATGTGCTTCACATACATGTCCTTTATTCTCAAACCCATTCAATAAACCAGGCATTATTGTATTCATTTTGAAGATAAGAAAACAGAGGCAAAGGGAGGCTGTGAGTCACTTATTCAAGGTCACAAGCCTCAGAGACACAATCAGCTTCATCCAAAGCAAATGTTCTCTCTGTCCCAGCCAATTCGCTACCATGGAGTTCAAGGTAGGGTAAAATGAGATATGTCCTGAGAATATCACCCTTAGTGCTTGGCATGCGGAAGTGCTCTGCAATGTTAGATCCTATCTCGTTTCCCTATAACATTTCCAGTTTTACAAAACTCAGTCCTTGATTAAAACAACCTAGCCATTTTATTTTCCTCTGAAAATGCTCAGGGTGGTGATTGTTGAGTAAATCAAACCCTTTCTAATTAGAGATTGGGCAAATTTATTCATGAACAACTCACTTATCAAATAATCACCATGTGTCCATCCTAGGCTAGGCATCATTCTGGGTACTGAGGAAAGAAAAATGGACAAGACTCACTCCTGCCTTTGAGAAGCTCAGAGTCCAGTGAGGGAAACAGGTAAACAATTTCCTTGTAACACATGTGAGGTTATTAAAAAGCAGGTACAAAGAGAGATTAGAGGCAACATCTGTTTCAAATTGGGGCTTGCCTTTTTGTAATCCCTCCTATGCCAAATTTCTAAAAATGTTAATCAAGATATAAAAAATGGCCCAGGCTTGGCAGTCCATGACTATAATCGTAGCACTTTGGGAGGCTGAGGTGGGAAGATCACTTGAGGCCAAGAGTTCAACACCATCCTAGGCAGCATAGCAAGACCTCCATCTCTACCAAAAAAATTTTTAAGTAGCCAGGCATGGTGTCATGTCCCTGTAGGCCCAGCTACTTGGGAAACTGAGGCAGGAAGATCACTTAAGCCCAGGAGTTTGATGCTACAATGAACTATGATTGTGCCACTGCTCTCTAGCCTGGGTGATAGAGCAAGACCCTGTTTCTAAGAACAAGCAAACAAAGATATAAAAAATAAACATTAAAATGCATAAATAATACAAAAATGAGTTATCACTATATATCTGTAAGAATACCAAAAAAAGCAAAACAGAAACCAAAACACAAATCTGACAATGCCAAGTCTCAATTTAGGATATGTAGCAAGTGAAACTCTTGCACCTTGCTGTTGGTAATGTAAAATGCTACAGCTCTTTTGGGAAAATAGTTTCTTTTTAGACATATACTTACAATATGATCCTCCAATCCCACTGCTAGGTAATCAAGAGAAATAAAAAATTTTATTTACACAAAGCCTGTGTACAAATGTTTAAAGTGGATTTATTCATAATTGCCAAAAACTGAGCACAATACAAATATCCTTCAATGGTGAATTCATAAACACACTGTGGTACATCCATACAAACAAATTACACTCAGGAATTAAAAATGAATGGACTGTTATTAATACATGCATCATGCTAAGTTAGAGAAGCCAGACTCGAATGCCAGATACTGTCTGATTCAATTTATAAGACATTGTGGAAAAGACAAAATTATAGGGACAGAAGACAGAGCAGTGGCTGCCAGGTTCACAAAGGCCATAAAAGTGCAGAACAACGGAATTGGTGGTGGGGGAACAAAACTACTTTGTGTCTTGATTGCAGCGGTAGTTACAGCACTCTACGCATTTGTCAAAACTCATAGAACCATCCCCAAAAGAATGAATTTTACTGTATGTAAATCATAAAGTAAATTTAAAAAGTTTTTAAAAAATATGCAAAGACATCACCCTACTTAGAAACGTAGAGTAACTGCTGGTGTTCCAGAAACGGTGAGAGCTCTCTGAAATATGGAGCTTAAATGGGATTAGCTTAAGATGGGAATCCATAGCCCAGGATCTGAGGCAGAAAGTACAGCTGCAGAAGATAGGCTCAAACATCCCAGCGGTGATAGAGTCTGGAAACAAAAGCAGGTGAGGACGTTTACAGGTGATTAGTTATGTGAGGCAGTGGAATGGAAATAGGTGGGTAAGTAGATTGAAAACCATCCTGCCTCTTCCCAAACCATCTGGCTTCTCAATTTAGTGAGGCAGCTACTATGACTGAGAGTTCTTGGAGTGGAGGGACAGAACAATCCTCTGGGTAGAGGAGGGTGCTTAGGAAAAACTGCCCCCACCCAGAAGACCACCTGCCCAACCGTCTCCTGAGTGACATTTCCTGTCCCTCCCCCAGAGTGTGGATAAGAAACTGCCAGTAATAAGAGTTTCTGTCCGCCCCTCCCACAAGAACATAATGCTAACAAATCCAGCAGAGTCAACAAGGAACCACAATCACAAAACTTCACATCCAATCCATGGTCACTAACTGCATAATACCAACACCATGAAATAGGAAAGATAAACTCAAAAGTGGAAGAATTCAAATCCATGGAAACAGAGCCAAGAGAGCAATTAGATCAGGACCTTAAAGTAAGTGTAATTAACATCCTCAGAAGGATGAGAGTACATTGCATACCTGAAATGAGAATAGGTAGTTATGAAAAAAGAACCTAATAGAGTTATTCACAAAAGGAAAACATAGTTGTGGAAACCAAGATAGGGCACTTTATAGAGACTTAATTATGTATCCAGAGCATTCAGGGACGGTTTCTTGAATCTTTAAGCTCTCAGTTGGGAGATCATTTCTGTCCAAAGAAACTACAAGGATGAAGGTAAAGAACCATGAAAAAGCATTTTATGCCTTTTAAGGAACCTTACGAAAATCAGCGAAGCTGGAGCAGAAAGTACATTGGGAAGAGATCTTGTTTACTATAACTTCTATTACTAACACTAGCCATGGATTACTTTGCAGTGAAAGTGTTCAAGGTTTCTAAGTACACAAATACATAGTGTTAACACTTTTCAAGTGTGTTACCTAATCTGTGGCAGATTGTATTTTCTGAAGATGACCATCACAATATCTCCCTCTCTCATACGGACTTTGCAAAGTGATGTTGGCATTTTTTCCACCTAGTGGTGGAGGTCTGTGGCCCTTCTTATTAAACTTAGGCAGAACTTTGTGACTGCTTTGGCCAATGGAGTAGGGCAGAAATTATGCCCTGTGAATTTTGTGTCTAGGTCATCAAATGCCAGGCAATTCTACTTGCTTTCTTGGGACTCAGTGGCCATGCTGTAGGGAAGCCCAGGCTACATGAATAGCCACGTGTAGATGTTCCAGCCAACAGCCCTAGCTGAAGTTCCAGATGACAGCCAGTATCCATTGCCAGACATGTAAGAGAAGCAACTTCAGGGTGACTTCTGCTCCAGTCACTGTGTGACTGCAACTGTGTGACAGACCCTGAGTGGGAACTGCACAGCTGAACAGAGTCAACTCCAAGAACTATGGAAGATAATAAAATGATTGTTTTTTGTTGTTGTTGTTTTAAGCTACTAAGTTTCCAAAGATGGTCATCACAATATCTCCCTCTCTCAAATGCATTTTTTGCAAAGTGATGTTGACGTTTTTTCCACCTAGTGGTGGAGGTCTGTGTCCATTGCTTATTAAGTTGTAGAGTGGTTCAGTACACAGCAATGACATCAGAAAAACATCTTAGTTTGTATATCTGAAACACTAGATTTGCATAAGCTCCAATTCCAAATTTATAAGAAATCAAATGAGATGAACTTTAACCTGAAATCCCAACATTTACTACAACTGAGGCCATCAGAGGAAAAATAGAACCCTTATACCTTTGACTCAGTGTTATAAACCTAACCGGTCACCATCATCATTAGTGGATACACTGAGACCTGCTGGAAAATAAAAAGGGGCAAGTGATATGAATGCCTGATCAAAGAGGAAAGGAAAGGTTCTTCTTTCAGCTAAACATTCCTAAACCCAGAGGATGGTTTTATACAATGAGCTCCAGGCTTGGAGTTTTTGGCTATGTGACCTCAGGTAAGTTACTTAACTTCTCTGATGTCCCCTGTCCCTCACCGATAAAATAAGAATAATGACACTTATTTTATAGGAAGTCCCCATTTTCAAAACTATCTGGCAAAAATGAACCCACAAAGATAAATGAGAGATACTATGGCAACTTAGGTGAAACCTATTGTTAGAACTTGGGATGTCCCAGACATAATTATTTTCTTTACATATTTACTCTGAGCTTGCTAGATGTTCCATCACTATGTAGCTTCTGGTCACCATTGGCTCTGGCACGATTTCTGCCTCCCCACGTCAGTCCCTGCACACCTGATGGCTGTTTTGCACCATACTTATTGCTCGCATGGAACAAAACCTTTGTTGAATTTCCACCTAATGTCACTCTTCATTCTTTGCTGGTTCCCTTAAAATAATTCTAAGTGAATCTTGAATCCCTTCCTGCCCAACACACACATCTCAAGGGTATTTTAAAGGTTGTGACCTTCAGATTCTCCTTTCAAAACATTTTTCAAATTTATCCCCCTTCTCCCCATCTCCATCACCCCCTCTTTAGATGAAACCAGCATTGTTTCCTACCTGGACCTCCTATTGAGATACCTCTCTTTCTCTCACTCACTTCCAATCCATTAACCACTCACAAGTCAGGGTAATCTCTAACACACGAGCTATGACATCATTCCCCTGCTTCAGACCCCTTAACTAATTCCCGCTGCACTTTAGAATAAAATCAAAACCCATACCATGTATGACAAGGTCCTGCATGATCCCGCACCTACCAACTTCTCCAGACACATGGCATTACCTTTCCCATTGATCTCTATCCCCCAGCAAGCTGAGCCCTCATTTAAACCTTCAAATATGTGATTTCCCCCCTCACAGCCTTCATACACATTCTTCCCTTTGCTTAGAATGTTCTCACTTCTCTTGATTTCCCATTCATCTTTTTGTACTTTGCTCGTATATGTGTGTGTGTGTGTGTGTGTGTATATATATATATATATATATATATATATATATATATATATATATAAAATTTTATTTTAGGAAAGACTTTCTTGGGCCTAATCTCCCATATAAATCTGCTCTACCCACCATAGTAATTATAATTATTATTATG
The DNA here is from genome assembly GCF_000001405.40 of Homo sapiens. Classification (NCBI taxonomy): domain Eukaryota; kingdom Metazoa; phylum Chordata; class Mammalia; order Primates; family Hominidae; genus Homo; species Homo sapiens. Next base: position 13,181,180 of record NC_000016.10, on the reverse strand, counting down.
ATTATATAAACAACAAAAATAATGGTAACAATAAAACCCATTATTTTCCTCCATAATCATAGTTTATAAAATGTATATATTTATTTGCAGGATTATTTGATACCTGTCTTCCCCACTGGATGTGCAATAACAATATCTATTTTGCCTACTGGTTTAATGCCAGTATCCAGCACAATTTCTAGCCCATGGTAACTGCTCAGAACGTTTTTGGATGAAAAAAAATAGTGAATTAACACTGAGTGCACGATTCCAAATGTTACTCCAATTGACTATGATTCCATCAGGTGTCTCCTGAAGCAGGAATAACTCTCCATCTGGAAAGGAGACTGTCCCCCACATCAATTTCCTGGGACATGGAATGTAGAATCCTACTTAGCACTCTGTGTAGTGTTGATAATCCTGATTCCATAAGGATGGCTCAGTCTCTCATTTTCAGTTCCACAAATTGATCTCATTTGATCAGTTTGTTTATTTATTTATTTAGAGACAGGGTCTCACTCTGTCACCTAGGCTGGAGTGCGGTGATGCAGTCATGGTTCACTATAGCCTCAAACTCCTGGGTTCAAGCAATCCTCCCACCTCAGCCTCCCAAGTAGCTGAGAAGACAGGTGCATGCCACCCTGCCCAGCTAATTTTTTAATTTTTTATAGACACAAGGTCTCACTGTGTGGCTCAGGCTGGTCTCGAACTCCTGAGCTCAAGGGATCCACCCACCTTGGCCTCCCAAAGTGCTGGGATTGCGGTGTGAGCCACGGTGCCTGGCTGATCAGTTTATCTTTTTCACTCTAAGCACCAAGGTCAGCCATGGACAGGCTCCCTCTGGGTTAGGTGTCCTGCACCCCTGGTCCAAACTTCTGTAAACTGGTGTGGGGACAGAGTTATGTAGCAGTCAACACAGCAAATATCTCTCAACAGGAATGTGGATAGGCAGTGTAGCTTAGAAGCCAGACAGGCGGCAGAGGCTCTGAATATATCTATACCTTTTCATAGGAGCCAAGTATTGAAAGTGTAGAAGTGTTAAACAGTGTCTACATTCATTGAACAAATGTTCCACGTACATTGTAAATGTCCAGACCTGACTGCTTCGTGGAGTTCTACATCTTAAGTTCTCAGGCAATCTTAGTTAAGAAACTTGATTAGCCAGAGGTCATTTGCCTCACAGACTCAGGAGAGTTTCCTACCCACCTGATAGCTCTCTCACATTGTAAAACCATCATCAATGCCCTGGGTCCAGATCAGCCTAAAGGAACAGCCCCTAAACAAACATTTCCAGTCTTGTCCCACTTATTCAATCCTGCTCTCAACACAGTAATTAAACACCCACATCCTGCCAGGAAGACGCAGTAGAGGGAATTTTACACTCTAACCTTTCCTCTTTGGATTCTGATCTGCTCCCATTCAATGGCCCCATCTCATCCTTTAATTTTCTCATGGGGTCATAGATTCTTGGATTTCCACACCAAATCTCAAAATCATTAATTGATAGAACAAATTGGAGAGAACCTTTGCCTTTCCCACAGCCCCACTGTCATTCCCAGGGGACCATCATTGGAGCCAAGGCCAGGAGGCAGGAGTATTAACAGAGGATTTCTCCTCAATCACCTGAGAAGGCAAGGAAGAGAGCTTTGATTTTCTTAGGTGTGAGTCCTAGTTCTTCCTTCTGGTAGCTCTATGACTGTATAAATTTAACATTTCTGATTCTCTGTTTCTTCAGCTATAAAACAGTGGTAATCATAGTATCTATCTTTTAATGGTGTTGTGAGGACAAAATAAGATAAGGCATGTAGAGATGTTTATGACTAGCACAGAGCCAGCACTCAACAGACATCAGAGAGATTTTGTTTTGTTTTGTTTTGTTTTTGTTTTATTGAGACAGAGTCTTGCTCTGTCACCTGGGCTGGGGTGCAGTGGTGTGATCTCAGCTCACTGCAACCTCCGCCTCCTGGTTGTTCTCCCGCCTCAGCCTCCTGAATAGGTGGGATTACAGGCACCTGCCACCACACCCAGCTAATTTTATTTTTATTTTTAGTAGAGGCAGGGTTTTGCCATATTGGCTGGTCTAGAAATCCTGACCTCAAATCAGCTGCCCACGTCGGCCTCCCAAAATGCTGGGATTACAGGTGTGAGCCACCATGCCCAGCCTAGAGGGATGATGTTGTTATAGAGTTAAGTGGTTACTCAAAGCCTTAGACATCAACAACTCAATGATTTTGAGATAGGAAGAAAGTTTGCTTCAATGCTTAGACCACCTTACATTTAACATCAGGCTTTTCTAGAATTATGGATATTATTACTAAATAGGGCAGAAAAAAACAAACAACAACAACAACAACAACAAAAACCTGGCCTCTGAAAACATGGACCTGGAAATAGACCAAGCTGGCTAATTAATGTATGTCCAGACACCTCCCCATCATCTTCTGCTCTCTGGGAAATATTACTATTTTCAAATGTGGTTTCCCTCTAAGGCCTTGTAGACCCAAGGCTGGAGGCTGGCTTCTCTGTTTCACATTCCCAGGTCCCCGGCACTAGCAGAGACCTGGGAGTGGGAAGTTGTCTGTGTTGCTGGGGACGGGGAGGACTCTCCCAGCATCTCGGAGCTAGATGACTCTGCCAAATAGCCAAATGGTTAAATGTTGAGGGCTGTAAATGAGGCTCATCTGTCAGTCGTGGGCGGGCACCAGCTCCATCTGCTGTGTCGGGAGCTTGGAGAGTGATTGGAAGAAGCAACTTGTAAAACGTGGGGCCCAAGATGGGAGGCAGAAGCATCGTCAGGAGATAGTAGAACTGGGAACCTTGAAGACTCTTTCAGTCCCATTAAAAATTTAACAGATGAAAAGAAAAAAAAAAAAAACCCAGAGAGAGGGATGGGCTTACTCATGGTCACCCTACAAATATGTCAAGATGAAAGCCAACTCTCTAGAATTCTAGATTACTTCTCTCTCCACACGTGCACCTGACCCATCCTTGTAGCTGATCCATGGATGGAGGAGAATGCTCTGAGCAACTTGAGAAGAATAAAATACCCTAGCTCCTTTGTCTGTGCCCACAAGTGTTCTTCAAGTTCAAGCACCTTCTCTTCTTTAAAGAACCTCAAAATCGATGTGATTATTCACTCGTTCATTTGTTCACTCAATAATATTTTTGAAATATCTCTATGTGCAAAGCATCATTCCAGGGACTGGAACAACCTCAGTTACAAAACATGAACCTGGCCGGGCGCAGTGACTCATGCTTGTAATCCCAGCACTTTGGGAGGCCAAGGCAGGTGGATCACGAGGTCAGGGGTTTCAGATCAGCCTGGACAACATGGTGAAACCCCTTCTGTACTAAAAATACAAAAATTAGCCAGGTATGGTGGCGATTGCCTGTAGTGTCAGCTACTCGGGAGGCTGAGGCAGGAGAATCGCTTGAACACAGGAGGCAGAGGTTGCAGTGAGCCTAGACTGCGCCATTGCACTCTAGCCTGGGCGACAGAGTAAGACTCTGTCTCAACAAAACAAACAAACAAACAAACAAACAAAAACACCGTGAACCTAGTTCTTGCCTCCAGGAGCCAGTAATCTAGTAAGCAAGACAGGTATCAGTTAGGGAAAATCGTATGAGTAGATATATGCTTTCAATTGCGCTTTTTAAAAAAAATAAAATAAAAGTAGAAGTATTGAGCACTAGTCTTGCCTAATTCACATGAGGTGGGATATTATGAAGAACTGAATGTTTTTTTCCCCCACCCATTTTTGTATACAGTGGCAATACTTTGTTATTGAGCAGATGGCCACAGGGCAGCCATAGTCTCTGTGGGGAGTCTGCACAACAGGATCAGACCTCAAAAGAGCCATTCTAAGATTTTGAGCTTCCAAACTTCGTATTGCTATGGATGAGCATTTGCTGAGCTAGGTTTTGTTTCTGGTCCAGAAGGTATGAAGAATCTGGGCTCTAGGAGAGGAAAAAGATCAGAGAGCAATTAAGTGAGCTGCTAATATGTTCTCTGAGAGGGGGTTCTGTACACTGTCCCTGGTGCAAACAAAGTGCAGATTTTCATAACCCTCAAATTCCCCACCACTTCTGAGAGTTTCACCTTGGATCACAGATCTTTCCTGATGGTGGGCTGAGCTGAGAAAATGAAATGCAGAGAGAATCAGGCTTTCCCCAGCCAGCAAATTCAGAGGATCCCCAGCTCTGAGCCCTCAAAGATCAAAAGCTGGGAGACAGTCTGTAATTGGAGTCATGTGTCCTCCCCAGCCTCCGAGTAACCACTCAGATGAATAACAGCGACTCAGCATCATGGCTTCATTATTGTCTCAACATTAGATTAAGAACAGAGAGGGGAGAAGAGGTGTGGGTGATCTGAGGGTTGCAGATCTACAAGGCCATTATCTGTCTTGAGCTTCGGCCCACCCTACCACCCACTCCCCCATGTGAGGTTATAATATAACAATAAGCCTGCAATTAATTACATTTTACTTCTTGGGGAAAAAAAAAACAGTGGTGAGTCAAAAAGCCAGCTCAGAGATGGAATGGGCATCACTAGTTATGTAAGCAGGAGGGGGCCAAGCCTTGGGCTGAATTCAGAACTCCCACTGTGGGTCCGTGTTCCTGGGTCTGTCTGGCTGTTTTGGGCTGGACTTCCCAGTGTCTGTGAGTGGCACTTGGCCCTGAAGGGCATAAAACCATCAAACACAAGAGTGGTGGCATCAGGCATTGGTTAAGATCCAGGTTCTAAAGAGAGTGGACTGTGAGACCTGGAAAGACTTTGGGGTCAGGACGAGGAGGTAGAGAAGTAGGCGTGGTGTGACCTGTGTGATCAGAGACCAAAGAGATTAAAATGGGCACCTCTGCAGGTGTCCAGGACAGATGACTCGTGTCAGTCAAAAACCAAACTGGTTAGCAGAACTGACTGTAGGCACATAATGATCAAAGGCCATACCTAGACCCCCCAAAATATGCCTGGCTATATAAGCCCCCTCCAAATCTAGATACAGTCTTAGGGACAAGGATAAAGGTAGAATAAACTGAGTAAAGAAATTGTAATCAACTAATAGAGGTTTTTAACATTAGGCAGGTTTTTATTAAAAAAACACGGAAATTAAGCTAAGTTATAAAAAAGATATTTAAAGTTACATTTAAATGTAACTTTAGTAGGAAAAAAATGCTATGCCTACTTAAAGTTACATTTAAATGTAACTTTAGAGATTTGATTTGGCAAGAGACAGAGGGAGAGTGAGAACATACCTCGGTTCAAATCTCAGTTCTGCCAACTCAATAGCCCTCTGGATTTGTACCTAACTAGTTTCTCTCTCTTGCTTGGTCTCCTCACATGTGACGTTCTAAGGAAAGCCCCCACCCACCCTTGGAAGCACGTGAAAGTGTGGGGGGGCATATTTTATTATCAAAGTGATGCAGGGGAGGCTACTAGCATTGGGCACCAGGTTTGCTAAAATGTCCTGCAATGTGTGGTGTCCCACAGGGATTCATCCCACCCAATGTGCTCACCGTGCCCATGCAGAGAAATACTGGAGCTAATATTCCAAGTTCCTTTAAGACCAGTTGAAAAATAACTTTCAATCAGCCCTGCCTCTCTTACAAGTCACAGTAACCTTCACCTTCTTCCTGGCCAGCTGTGGGCACGAGACTGAATCTGTACCCATCTCAGAACCCTCACCTGGGCGTGTCTCACTCAAATCACACAACTTCCCAGCCTGCAAATAACTTTTGTCATCCATTCTCTCATTTACTCCTTATAGCATCTCTGGAACATAGGGAAAAAATCAAATCTTTTTATTTTTGTTTTATTTTATTTGTATGTATTTATTTTGGAGAGGGAGTCTCATTCTGTTGCCCATGGCTCACTGCAGCCTCGAACTCCTGGACTTGAGCGATCCTCCCACCTCAGCCTCCAGAGTAGCTGGGACCACAGGCATGTGCCACCATGCCCAGCTAATTTTTTCTTTTCTTTTTTTTTCTTTCTTTTTTTTTTGGAGAGACGGGGTCTCACTGTGTTTCCCAAGCTGGTCTCTAATTCCTGGGCTCAAGCAATCCTCCTGCCTTGGTCTTCCAAAGTGCTGAGACTACAGGCATGAGCCAGCTACCACGTCCATCCCAGACCTTTTTTAAAAGACGGAAAGTGAAGCCAAGAGCTAGCATCCGATAGGCAGCTCTGGGACTGAAGCTGAGATTATTTCATGCTAAATGCAAGCCTCTTTTTGTGTCCTGTGCTGAGGACGAGGACCCAGTCATAAATTTCTCTCATATCTTTGCCTAAGTCTTTTATGGAAGCTCAGGAAGTACCTGGAATATAAGGGACCCTTTCCCCACATAAGGAGTCTTTCTTTTTCTATCTCAGAGCTGCCTTGGATCCAGAGATTATAAAGGAATCAGCTTGGCTCCTTTGGACCTCTCACACTCCCACAGGCCTCCCTGGTCCCCTTACCAGGAAGCAAGAGAGAGATCATTTCATCTTCCTACAAAACCAGCGTCTTCCCTCTGCACCTCACCCCATGTGAGAGGAGGGCATTGCTACTCACCCTCTCAAGTCCAAACCCCTCCTGGGCTTCTCCATCACCTCATCCCTCCATCCCCAGTAAGGGGTCCAGTCCTGGAGATTCTTTCTCATAAATATTTCTCAAATTTCTTAGCCTTCATCCCTGCCCCCAGTTCTGTCTCCAGTTTGCCTGCCTTAATTCAGGCCATCGCTATCTCTCTGAGGACCAACATGGTCTTAAGGAAGAGGTATAGGCACCAATGGGCTTACAGCTCCTTAACTCCCAAGAGACAGTCAAGGACTCTGACAGTGATGAAAGGGAGCTTCTGTGAACTGATCTGGGGCCAGACTGCAAGGTACATGAGGAGGAGGAATATCTGGGTTCCCAGAGCCCAGCATAAGGCAGGACCAGAGGAGAGTCATGTTTTTGTTGGGTAAACAAACAGGAGGCTGGAAATGGTTGCATGAGAAGGCCCCATAATGAAAATTAAAACCCAGAAAACAAACCAAAACAACAAAAAACAAATGCTATATTTTACAAGTTTATACAAGCCAGAGGTGTAGGATAATAAATATCAAGTTAGTAAAGACCTTGGAGATCAACCAGTCCAGCCGCTCATTTTATTGAGAATGAAGGGTGGGGATGGGAAACTGAGGCCTAGAGAGGTGATATGACTTTTTAAGGCCCCAGCACGTCCCAGACTGTGGAATCTGCCAGGACTCCGACTCCTCAGTCAGCATTAAGTTTCCCAGAACACCTTTTCCCCATTTCTTCTTCTAGTTTGTCACTCCAATCAGCCATCATCTCCTCCAGGAAGCCCTCCCTGAACCTCCAAGCTGGGTGAGATGCTCAACCACTCTCCTCTAACAGCCCTGTGAACTTCCTCTGGCTTAGAATACATTGACCTGACTCTGTTGTAATTGCCGGGTTTTTCATTTGTCTTCTCCATTAGACCTCGGTTTCCAAATCTCGGCACAATTGACATCTTGGGAAAACTCACTCTTGGCTTGGGTGGGTGATAAGGGACTGTCCTGTGCATTTCAGGAGCTTAGCACATCCCTGCCCACTGCCTCCTGCAAGTTGTGACAACCAAAAATGTCTCTAGGCATTGTTAAATATCCCCAAATAGGGGTGGGGAGCAAAATTGCCCCCAGTTAAGAACTGCTGATCTAGATTGTTAGGTCCACGCGGGCAGAAACAGTGTCCTCTTGTTCTTTACACTCCTATTATCAGCACAGGTCCTGGAACATGGTAAACATGCAACCAATCTAATCTACAATTAGGAAAATGTGTGTGTGTGTGTGTGTGTGTGTGTGTGTGTACATGCACACATACATGCCATTTCCACATTGTAGTGTCTGAAATATATAGGATATATATATATCAAAGCATATAAGAGTTTTGTTCTTCTGGGATACCTTCAGCATTTCTGTGTGTTTATATTGCATTGTTAACGCTAAGGTGTTAATCAAAACCTAAAAACTCTTTGTTTCTGGATTGGTAAATGAGTGAGAATGAATGTGTGTGTGTGTGTGTGTGTGTGTGCGCACGTGCATCTCTTCTGACTGATAAACAATTCCTTTTCAAATAATATTCATACAGAGAAGAAAATGTATTTTCAATGAAACAAACTCCTTTTTCCATTTGATAAAAGGGACATTATCGGGGTCATTAAAGCATCATTATATGTTGAGCTCCTAATGCACTGGTCTTTACTTGGGAGCACACGGCAATCACAAAAAAGAATTTTTATTGCCAGTTGAACAGATCGGGAAGTAAGATATTATGAAATGTGCTATTAGGCAGAAGAAAAGTAATTAGGTGACAAGCAAAATACATTATTCGGCGTTTCAAAATATTTCCACTTCATCACCAGTTCATTACAATCCCGCCTCCTCTCTCGTGGCCCACTAGGAATTTACATCAAGATTATTTACCAAAAAAAAAAAAAAAAAAATCATCAAGATAAGTGAATTGTAATTAAGTCATATGATTGTTCTTGGTACTCTCTCATGGGCCTAAACAGACGCGAAACCAGGCTGACATTGTTGCTGGAAGACTCAACGACGGCTCTTCTTGCCAGCACGAAGGTGATGGTGAAATGGTGTTTTCATTGTTATTTCACACACACAAAAAAGAAACTGAGGAGCCCTAGATGGTGACACAGAGAGGAAATAGTCAAGACCAAAGTCAAGATGGTTGCACATATTTAAAGAGGCTTCATGCACACGTTGATTATATGCTACGACTAATGACTCAGTTACTAATTCCCTTGAGGATGAACAACCAGCCAGTTACCTGGCTTTATTTAGTATCTATTCCTAAAGCCACCTGTTTAATTAAGGACTTCTTGTGCACTTTGGACTACAAAGATGTGCAGGTGTTATAACTAGGAAGCCTTCCAATCCCCTAGGCATCTTAAGTGTCTCTGCAAAACCAAGCATAAAGTTAGTGCCCATTTAATACTCACTGATTGACTGATTTGATAACCAACTGATTTAATAAAAGCAATAAACAAAGAAGAGTACCTATTGAAAAAGAAAACAGCCCTGAGTCCTAAAGTTAAAAGAAGCAAGATATATTCAGTTAGCTCATTTTATAAAGGCAGAAGAGAGGAGGGAAGGAGGGAAAGGGGGGAAAGGAAGGGAAGGAGAGAAAGTGGGAAGGAAGGAAGAAAATTGCCTTGTATACATCCAGCATACCAAACACTAGGGATAAGCATTTTCATTTGGGTTATTTCATATAATAGCTACTGTAAAACTAGAAGTAAGTCCTGTTATTAGTATCATTTAACAAATGAGGAGAGAATCCGAGAGAGAAAGCTATTCACTCAGCATCACACAATGTTGCAATTTTATCATATGCATACGAATGTCAACACATATATGCAAACATGATCATGTCACCTACGTTGCTCCAGTGGTTACCATTCTCTCAGGATAAAGATGACAGTCCTTACCCGGCCCACACAGCCCCCATCCACCCCTCCAGCCTCGTGCCATGTCACTCCCCACTTTTTTGCTCTTTGCTAAACTTTTAGCCACCTGGTCTCCTTTCATTTCCCCAAATGCTCTTTGTTCTTTCTCTCCCAGGGCAGAACCCTGGCAAGTACTATTTCCTCTGCTGGAAGCACCCCCATTCATCAGCACACCCCTGCCTTCCTTCATGTCAGCTTCAAGAAAGGGCTTCCTTGACTCCCGCCCCCACCCCCGCCCCCTGCTGTATCAATGGCCTGTCATTCACTCTCCCAGCACTGCACAAGTCCCTCCTCCATGACATCTACCCCATTTGCAACTTCACGCCAGTCTCTGTGATTTGTTGATTAATGTGTAGCTTTCCATGAACTAGAAGCCTGATATGGTTTGGATGTTTTCTCCCCTGCCCCAAATCTCATGTTGAAATGTGATCCCCAGTGTTGGGGGTGGGGCCTGGTGGGAGGTGTTTGGGTCATGGGGGTGGATCCCTCATGAATGGCTTGGTACCCTCTCCACCACCTTAATGAGTTCACAAGAGATCTGGTTGTTAAAAAGAGTCTGGGATCTTTGCTGTCTCTCTCTTGTTGGCTCTCTTGCCATGTGACACGCCTGCTTCCCCTTCAATTTTGGCCGTGATTGGAAACTTCCTGAGGCCCTCACCAGAAGCAGATGCCAGCACCATGCTTCTTGTACAGCCTGCAGAAGGGTGAATCAAATAAATCTCTTTTCTTTTTCTTTTTTTATTTTTTCCTTCAACTTTTATTTTAGGCCCAGCGCGGTGGTTGACGCCTGTAATCCCAGCACTTTGGGAGGCCAAGGCGGGTGGATGACCTGAGGTCAGGAGTTGGAGACCAGCCTGCCCAACATGGTGAAACCCCATCTGTACTAAAAATACAAAAACTAGCTGGGCGTGGTGGCACACATCTGTAATCCCAGCTACTCAGGAGGCTGAGGCAGGAAAATGGCTTGAACTCAGGAGGTGGAGGTTGCAGTGAGCCGAGATGGCACCATTGCACTCCAGCCTGGGCAATAGAGCAAGACTCCATCTCAAAAAACAAACAAACAAACAAACAAACTTTTATTTGAAATTCAGGGGTACATGTGCAGGATGTGCAGGTTAGTTACATAGGTAAACGTGTGCCATGGTACTTTGCTGCACAGACCAACCATCACCTAGGTATTAAGCCCAGTGTCCATTAGCTATTCTTCCTGATGCTCTCCACACCACCCCTGGCAGGCCCCAGTGTGTGTTGTTCCCTGCCACGCATCCATGTGTTGTCATCACAAATCAATTCTCTTTATAAATTACCCAGTCTTGGGTATTGCTTTATAGCAACACAAAATTGACTAACACAAAGCCCCTGAGTTCAGGGATCTTGTCTACTCCATTCACCATTGTATCTCAGGCACTCACACAGCATATGGCATGCAGAGTGGCTCAGTAGATACTTATCATAGGGACAAATAAATGAACAAATGAACATATATTTTACTTTTCTTTTCTTTTTTTTTTTTTTTTTTGAGATGGAGTCTCACTCTGTTGCCCAGGCTGGAGTGCAATGGCACGATCTCAGCTCACTGCAACCTCCACCTCCCAGGTTCAAGCGATTCTCCTGCCTCAGCCTCTTGAATAGCTGGGATTACAGGCATACACCAACACGCTTGGCTAATTTTTATATTTTTAGTAGAGAAAGAGTTTCGCCATGTTGGCCATGCTGGTCTCAAACTCCTGACCTCAGGTGATCCACTTGCCTCGGCCTCCCAAAGTGCTGGGATTATAGGGATGAGCCACCGCACCCGGCCTGAACATGTATTTTAAATACCTATTTTAAATACGCATGTAAGGATTCATAACCAGACTGCCATGCCAGCCAGAAACCCAGTGCAACCCAGGAAAGCCCCAAGAGAAGAGAGTGATCCGAAGCTGGGACACAGAGCATACATTTCCACCCATAGCAATCATATGTCATCATTAGCTTTCGGGAAGGCTAAAGACTATACTACAAAGACGGCATTGCTCTCTGACTTCTGGTCTAGGCTGTTCATAATTGTTTAAGAAATCCAAAGCCAGGAAACTGATAAAATGTTTTGTTTTCCTCCTCTTAAAAATGATACATCAGCTGCCTAGTGTTTTTCATAAATTCTTTAGCCAGAGTTGTGGTTTTTCATCCACAATTCACATTAAGGATTCTTTATGAAAATGGCTATAAGAGAGGAATTTAATGGGATTATGATTTTTTTAAAGCTCTATCTCTCTAATTAATACCCCAGAGGGGGATTTTTTCCTAACATAATGGCCTTTCAGTGTTAAAAGGGCTTAATATTATGGTAAAATATGTTAACTTTCCTGGCATTCTGACCCAGCCAATAACATGAAAAGGGAACGCATCTGTCTTCCTGAAGCTTCTGCCACCGCAAATGGTGTTGTTTTCACTATTTTCGTAATGAACTAATCAACTGCTTATTCACTAATTGCGTCTACATTAAAAACTTATTACCCCGGAAAAGGGCTGCACTGCAACTGACCTTCCAATGGAGCTGGGAGGGGTGAAGATCCCATGACAACTGTAAGACAAAGGAAATGGCCAAACCCAGGGGCGGGTATTATTCTCTTCTCTGAAACAGGTGTGAGGTCTTCCGTAGGGGTCATTGTATACAGAGAGTTGGAAATCCAAAAGCAAAAGCTGCTCCCACTTTGCTAAGGTCCATGCCTCAATAGGTTCCACTATAATTATCAAGATGATAAAAACAATGATCATGGTGACAATCACTCACTGAGCAAAGTGTTCCTGCCAGGCACGATGCATGCGTCATCTGTCTCCAGTTCTCATGTCGGCTCTGTGAGGCAGGTATTGATGCCTACTCTTAGAGGTAAACAAATAAGAGCTGAGACAGGTGAAGTGACTTGGCCAAGGCCACACAGTTGGCAGATGGTGCAAGTGGAACGTGAATAATGCACTTCCGATGTCACTGTCCACATCCTGGGCTCCTAGCCTGCTAGAGAATGCAGAATACGAGAAACTAGGTGCTGATGAGATCCAGAGCAAATCCCAGCTCGCTAGCTGCTCCTAAGCTCTCACTGCTTTCTGGCCAGCTTTCTCTAGGCAGTAGTTCACAACCTCCTGAACAGGCTCCCTTCTCCCTTTCATGGTGTAGTAGAGAGACAAGGCTTTGCAGTTTGCTACAGCTGGGGCACCTAAGAAGACTACATTTCCCAGCTTCCCTTGCTGGTAGACATGGACCATGTGATTATATGTTGGCCAATGGAGTAAGGGTAGAAATGATGTAAGCCGCTTCCAGGTGACTGATATGGTAATGTTGGAGGCCATAGGTTTGGATGGCATTGCTATGAGATGGAGATGGCTGCCCATGTGTGGCAGAGTTTGTGTAGGTAAGAATGTTTTAAGGAATTAAGCTACTGGACTTACAGGTTTATTCATCGCTGCTACATAGCCTGGTCTTGTCTAACTGAGCTAAATCTTAATCACTGGCCCTGGGGTGATTAGGACAGATGGGTAATCAACCCTGAGTCAGCCCATAACGGAGGTGGTTGGGGGTGTGGGCTTTGGATTGGTTAGTTTGCATAAGACAGTCACGCTTGAAGTTAAGTCCTTTACTATCTCCAGGAACTGGCTAATCCTGAGAGGAGCAGTCCCTCCAGGGTCAGCAAGGTGCCAAGACATCAAAGCATCAAGCACAGAAGCTGGAAAATGTGGTTGTTACAGACAGGTGAGCTGAGACCTGAATAATGAGAAACTATCAGCCATGGAAAGAGTAATAAGACCTGCTTGAAACACATAGAACAACACAGGAAATCCAAGAATTAAGACAGAAGGACTGTATTAGGCTGTTCTCACACTAAGTTCTGCTATAAAGAAATACCTGAGACTGGGTGATTTATAAAGAAAAGAGGTTTTATTGGTTCACAGTTCCACAGGCTGTACAGGAAGAATGGCTGGGGAGGCCTCGGGAAAATAACAATCATGGCGGAAGGCGAAGGGAAAGCAGGCATGTTTTACCTGGCCAGAGCAGGAGGAAGAGAGAGAAGGGGGGAAGGTGCTACATGCTTTTAAACAACCAGATCTCATGAGAACACTATCAGGAGAACAGCACTTGGAGAGGTGGTGCTAAATCATTAGGCATGGCCCCCATCATCCAATCACCTCTCACCAGGCCCCACCTCCAATACTGGGGATTATAATGGAACATGAGATTTGGGTGGGGACACACATCCAGACCACGTCAAGGAGTTACCAGAAACGTAAGAGGCACAAGTCAAGGGAGGCGAGTGTTCTAAGGAGAAGAAAGGAGCAGGGAACTGTGCCAAATGTGGCTGAGAAGAGGAGTAAAGTGGCCGGGTGCACTGGCTCACGCCTGTGATCCCAGCACTTTTGGAGGCCAAGGTGGGTGGATCACCTGAGGTCGGGAGTTCAATACCAACCTGATCAACATGGAGAAACCCTATCTCTACTAAAAATACAAAATTAGCCAGGTGTGGCGGTGCATGCCTGTAATCCCAGCTACTCAGGAGGCTGAAGCAGGAAAATCACTTGAACCCAGGAGGCGGAGGTTGCAGTGAGCTGAGATCGCCCCATTGCACTCCAGCCTGGGCAACAAGAGCGAAACTCTGTCTCAAAAAAAAAAAAAAAAAGAAAAAAGAGAGAGAGAGAGAAGAAGTAGAGTAAAGTAAGAATAAAAAAAATTCTCCTAAAGGAAAAAAAATCTTAAAAAATTTTTTTTTAATTTGAAGTTCCAGGGTACATGTGCAGGATGTGCAGGTTTGTGACATAGGTAAATGTGTGTTATGGTGGTTTGCTGCACCTATCGACCCATCACGTAGGTATTAAGCACAGCATGCATTAGCTAAGGAAAAAAGCATCTTGATAGAGTGTTCTGCCTACTGCCTCCTCTTCTTCCCTGCTTCTGCCACCATGGTCTGGCTTCTTTGCCCACAACCACCTTGTGAAGATCACCAGTACCTTCCCACTATCGCATCCCATGATTCTTCCTTTGCCTTCACTTTTGACAGCTTCTCTGCAGCATTTGGGGGAGGCATTAGGGGCACACCGTAGACAAAACAGACAAGAATGCCTGCCCTCATGGTGGTGACATTCAAGCGGGGGAGAATGATAACACAGTAGATAAATGTATAGTGTCAGGTAAGACTGAGGCTATGGAGAAAAGTAAAGCAGGAAAAGGGAGAGAGGGTGCAGAGGGAATAGAGAGATGGGTTTTATTAGAAGAAGTGGCTAGGAAAAGTCTCTCCAATCTTGCCTTTTTGGCCATGCTAAGAAGCACACGCTTCATCCTAAAGCAAAGAGGATGTTCTAAGACAGTTAAGTGGTGAGTAACATGAACTGATCTGCTTTATCAAGAGGGCTGGGATGCAAAGGCAGGCAAAAAAGCAAGAGAAAGGATGTTCCAGGTAGAAGGAACGATGGAAGCCAAAGCCCAGAAACAGAAAAGGATAACATATCATTGTAGAAACTCTTAGAAGTCTGACGTTGCTAGAGTTGAGAGAGAGGTACTTGGAGAAAAGCCACAATCTTGGGCTTCATTTATCAGGACCTTGATTATCTCATCCATGAAATGGAAGTTAATAAAACAGACATTGATGAGATCAAAGAGACCATCTATCAAATGCCAAGACTAATCTCCTGCAAACAGCAGGCATTAACAAATAATAACTATTACTATGAGGATGGCTTCCCATGGAGAATTCAGTAGCTGGCGAATTACAGGCTCCAGACTCGGGCTGATAATACCTGTCATTTTCTTAAAGGTTATACTGAGCCCACCATGTGAAGTCAATACTGCTTCTTAGGCTCAATTTAAAAGCTTCCCACTGTTTTTATAGAGATCTGTTGACATGATTTATTGGGAACAGTGTCCATTAACATTTTTAAGTGCTCGATAAACCCCCAACCACCCTAGTAAATTAATCTTAATAAATACACAGCAGAAAGGACTTTACTCACTGATCAGCACGTGATACTGTGTCTAACCTGCTGACTGTTGTGGGAAAGGCTGGAGTGTGTGGAACTGTGAGCTGACTGAAGACAGAGAGGAAAGACATTACAAAGTACCTTTGCTCATGGTCTGAGGAATCTGCATCCATCTCAGCCTCAGTTTCTCCACGTATCAGAGAACAGGTAACAGGAAGTTTCCTAAGTCTCAGTCACTTCCATGGCTGTTGCCAAATTCAAACACTACCTATACTACTATTTATTAAATAACTCTTCTTAAAATAAATCCAGGTCTAAGATCACTACCTTTACTTCATTTGAAGCAAATTCAAACTTCTAATGATAGCAACTACTATATATAAGATAAAAGAAATATACTGGATTGGATTAAAAGCAGATGACACAGTGGAGGAGAAAATGTTAGTAAACTGGAAAACACAATGACAAATCAATTAAAATTAAACACTTAGATTAAAACAGACAGCAAAATATGAAAAGAGCATGACTGAACTGTGGAATGCATCACGTGATTTAATATACATAGAATCAGTGTTCCTAGGGGAGAGAAGAAAGGAGGAGGCATAAAAAAAATTGGAACAATTAATGGCCACAAATTCTCAAAATATTATGAAAACTCTACAAATACAAAGCCAAGAAGGCTAACAAACCACAAGCACAAGAAACATGGAGAAAACTATACCAAGGCATACCTTAACTAAATTGCTGAAAACCAACCAGAAATCATAAAAGCAATCAAAGGCAAAAAGGATGCATTATATACAGAGGAAACAGAGATGAGAATAGTAGCAGATTTCTTATCAGAAATAATACAACCTAGAAAAATCCACAGATGAACCATATTGTAAGCCATAGAATAAAATCTCAATCATTTTAAAAAGGTTCATGTCATCCAAACTCTATTGTGAAATCTTGTGGAATTAAATTAGAAACCAATAACAGAAAATGCCCAAATATTTGGTGGTCAAAATTCACTTCTAAATAACCTATGAATAAAATTAAAAAATTAAGAGGGAAATAAAAATGTATTTTGAACTGAATAGAATGAAAAATGTAACATATCGAAATGTGTGAGATGCAGTTATAGCAATACCTAGAGGCTAATTTATAGCATAAATGCTCACATTAGGAAATCTCAAAGGAATGACCTCAGCTTCTAGTCTAAAAACATTTAAGGAAGAAATAATATTAATTTTACAAAACCTTTTCCAAAACATTGATGAGGATGGAATATTTTGCAACTCATTCCATAAAGCCAGCATTACCCTGATACAAAGAAAAACATTACAAGGAAAAGAAAACTACAGACCAATGTCCATCAAAAACATAGGTTAAAAATTTCTCAGTAAATTATAGCAAACTAAATTTAGCAATATATAAAAATAACACACCATGACTAAGTGGTGATAATCTAATTAATCCAAGGTTGGTTTACCACTTGAATTTCAATCCATGTAATTCATAATATTAACAGTCTAAACAAGAACAGCCATAAGATCATTTCAATAGATGCATAAAAATCATGTGATAAAATGCAATGTGTATCACCAATAAAAAAACTTTCAGCAAACTAGGAATAGAGGAGAAATTCTTCAAACTGATAACGGACATCTATGAAAAATATTATAGATAACACCATACTTAATAGTGGGAGATCCAACACGTATCCCCCAAAGTCAAGAAAAAAGCAAGAATGAACATCTGCTTTTGCCATTTATATTCAACATTTTACTAGAGGTTCTATCCAGTACAATACAGCAAGAAAAAGAAAAGAATCAGAGTCCATATTGGAAAAGGAAAATTAATACTGTGTTTATTTGCAGATGAGATCATCTCTGTTGAAAATTCTTTGGAATCTAAAAAAAAACTATTACAACTAATAAGTGATTTTAGCAAGGTTGCAAGACACAAGGTTAACATACCAAACTCCGTTGTATTTGCATAACATAGTAATGGACTATTGAAATTTAACAAAATACCATTTACAATAGCAACAAAAATATTAAATATTTAAGGATAAATCTCACAAAAGATGTGCAAGGCCTGTACAATAAAAACTATAAAAACTTTACTGAGAGAAATTTTAAAAGACCTAAATAAATGTAGAAATATGTCATGTTCATGGTTTTAAATATTCAGTATTTTAAGCTATCATTTCTTTCCCAAATTAATCTTAATTAAATTGCTGAAAACCAACAAGAAAATAATAAAAACAATCAGAGAAAAAAGGACACATTATATACAGTGGAAACAGAGATAAAAATAACAGCAGATTTATTAAACTCAATGCAATCGCAGTAAAAATTCAAGCACACTTTTTTGTAGAAATGATCATCTAATTTTAAAATTCATATGGAAATTAAAAAGATCTGTAAGAGCCAAGACAACTTTGGGAAGTAGAATAAAGTTGGCTTAGAGATGTTAAATAACTTTTCAAAGGTCAAATGAAGACTCTTTTTTAAAAGACATTTGAGACTCATTGGGGTCTCATCTTGTCCCCCAACCTGGGCCTATTCTAGGTAGGTATTTTCAAATACATTTTCTCATTTCTTTTTTAGTGTAAACCTAAATGCTTAGCATTATTAGCATCCTTTCACGGACAAAGAAACTGAGACTCAGGTAAGCTAAGTGACTTGTCCAAGGTCACTCAGTTTTTGTCCAAGTTCTTTAAAATCACTGGCTTTCAGAACAAGAGAAGGATAAAGACTAACTTAGAATTCCTTGTCTTTCCTTCTTTCATTCATTATTTTTTTCTCTCTTTGACTTAGAAAGCATTATAAATAACACATTTAGCTTAAGAATTAGGACTAAGAAGAACCACCTTTGGTGAACAGGATAACGGCTCCAAGGTGATAAAATAAGATGTGCTCAAAACCCCTTCCTCTGTTTCTTGTATCGGTTTTTTTTTTCATGTAAATGACTAACTTAATTTGCTTTCCTTTCCAGAACACTAGCAATTAGAATCTTTTTCAAATGTTCTGACATCTACTTTGCTAAGATTCATTCCCACTTTCTCTTATGACAATATCCATACACCTGTTTGATAATAGGCACCTACTATGTAAAATGGCCTTATAATAAAGTCCTGTGTGTAACACACTGTCAAGGCCAAGGGGTGGGCTACTTATTTCCCGTTCCATTTGCCATAGCCCAGTTCTACCAGAGAGGAGAGTTTGGATGAGTTTCGAATCTGTTTTAATGGAATTTGGAGTATCAGTCAAGCAATCAGTCTCGTGTATTAAAGATGTACTGTATGCTCAGCGCAGTGATTGATGCTAATGCAAGGTAAAAAAGAACATCCCTACGCCTCAAACTGTTTTTCCTTGACAGTCCTATAAGAATTACCTGAAAGCCTTGTTTAATTTGTACCTTAATGGCTCCTATATCCAAACAAATGCCTCCCTTCCCTGTTTCCCAAGAAAGAATTACACGATTCTACACCCACTCATAAATCCTAAAAACTCAAAGTCTCTTTATTTCTTCTACACCAACTAGTTCTCCAAAGAACCTGAGAATAATATGCATACACTCTGTCCCCAGGAGAAAGCTGTCTCCCACCCCCTCTGAATACCCACCTTTCTGGCTACTTTTACTAAGTCTTACATTACCTACTTGAGAATACTGAGGTTCATATGGGCTAACTTGTCTTCTATTAATAGCCACATCCTAGGTCCACCTCTGCCATTACATTATCCCCTTCTAATTAATCCAAGGTTGGTTTATCACTTGAATTTCAATCCAAGTAATTCATAATATTAACAGCCTAAAAAAGAACAGCCATAAGATCATTTCAATGGATGCAGAAAAATCATGCAATGAAATGCAATGTGTATCACCAATAAAAAACTTTCAGCAAACTAGAAAGAGAGGTTGTAGTACCTAAGGAAACAAATCTTTAGAAACTTTCCATTTCTAGCACCGATAGAGGAAAAAAAAACGAGGGTTTTTCTTATAAGGTAGAGTTCAAACTTTCCACCCTCAGCCCACTTATAATTTTGTCTTGCATATGGTAGGTATTCAAAGGACCCCCTGCCTATAAAAGAGGCTGGAAGATCTAAGAGTCAAGGGATAAAGGACCTAGAATGCAGAGACAAGAAAGACTCATTCTGTTCTTCACAGCTTGGGTCCTGACCATGGGTCTGGACCAACGTAGGAGGGGATGGCTGGGACAGAAAAATGCCTTTGAGTTCTTATAGACTTGGCATTTTAGCTGTAGGGGGACAGCCAGGGTTTAGATGAGAAAAATGCCCAAAGTCAAGACCCAAATGAAAGAGTATAATTAACTGGGTCAGAAGCTGCTCAGAAGGATGTTGCAAGATAGGTTCAGAGAAGTTGCTCAGAAACAGGACAGATGAGTGAGGACGTGTTAGGGTCCAGGTCTTATGTGAGGCTAGCCACATGGGCAGATGAGTCCAAAACACAAAGACCCAAGCAGGGGGGAAAGATATCCTGAGTGACACCACAGAGCGACCCATCAATGTAGCAAAGGGCTCACCACGCCTTTTGACTCTGACCATCCTGGGCAATTCTATTTCCCACAGACATCTCTAAAACCTCTGGACAGCCTGGAGCACAATAGACTATAATTCTCTCTGCCTCCAACTCCCTGGAGCCAGCCAGGACAGAAAAGTGAGAATTTCCACGGCTCCACTGAAATACATAAGTCTTTGGTTCTAACCAGGGTGTGCCTTTTCCTGCAAATTATTTATAAAGCTTTGGTTCAAATGCCAACCTAACTTCTCCTGCCATGGGGAATGGGGCTAGGAAGAAAAATTAGGGTCATTTCATACCAATATCTACCCTGA
Source organism: Homo sapiens (assembly GCF_000001405.40). Lineage (NCBI taxonomy): Eukaryota > Metazoa > Chordata > Mammalia > Primates > Hominidae > Homo > Homo sapiens. The sequence goes on along the minus strand of NC_000016.10, from coordinate 13,160,934 downwards.
GGCTAAGAATTTACTTGTTTCCTTGAAGCCATCCAGCCTGAAAAGGAAAGTGTTGATTTCTTGCCTACCCTGTCTCAGCCAGACGCAGCAGAATTAGGAGGCTCCAGGGCAACATCACCGCTTCTCTCCTGTGGGCATGTTTCTAGCAGAAGTATTCTGACACATCTATGCAAGCATTTGACAAGGAGGTTGTGAAATGGGAGGTCCAGAGGGCTGTGCCTTTAAACTAAGCCCCTGGGGGGTGTTAAAATGGTCCCAACCTGCCCCAAAGAGCGCATAATAAAATTTTCTCATCAGATTTTGGTTCTCACGCACCATACTTAGGTTTGCACTTCCTGATTTGACTGCATTGACAAAACGTGACCCAACTTAGATGCATCCCACCTAACCCAGTGTAGAACCTCACAGTCTGCATTCAGCATCATGATTTTGTAGAAAATAACAACTCAAAGGGACCAGGGCCACCTATGCAGTGTGATATATTACTGGAGGAGGGATTCATGTTAATCAAGCATAAACTTAAGTGCCTCTTGGGTGAATAGAATATACTAGACACAATAGCAGGCAGACACCAAAAAGTAGAAGGCACAGGTCTGACTTATAGGAAATCTGATTGAACAAATCAAGATATCAAGCACTATTAACTAAGCTGTATCCACCTCCTCTCTCTCTCTCTCCCTCATTGCTCTCTATCCATGTTAATCCTTCATCTGTACCCAGAACACACCAGCTCACGCCTGCCTCAGAATCTGTTCACCTGTGATTCCTTCCACCTGGAACTCTCTTCCCTAGGCCTTCATATGGCTCAGCCTTTCTTAGAAGGCACCTCATTGACCTCCACACTTAAAGTTTCCCAATCTTCCCTGACTTCATTGTTTCAGTCTTCCTAACACTCACCCATAGCAATATAGAATTATTTTATTTCTTGTTTATTTTCGCTTTCCTCTACCAGAATGGAAAATTATCTGACAGCAGATAGCTAGTTGGTTTTATGACTTACTTTATTTCCAGTGCCTGGCACATAGTAGGCCCTCAACAAATATTTGTGGGAGAAAGAACAGGAGTCAGGAAGAAGAGGCAGCAATATGAGCTTCAGCAGCATTCAAAGATGGCAGAAGTTTCTGCGGAATTAATCATGGACAGCTTCACCCAAGGGCATGGACTTGAACCTCGGCCTTAGAGAATGGGCAAATGATGTGAACATATCTGTGAGTCTGTGTTCTCCTCTAAGGGAGGCCAATTGATATCTGGAACCTATGGAACTTGTAGAAGGCTTTGGTGGAACTGAAATATAGTAAATCTTTATCAAGAGAAAAGCGTATGCTCAAAGGATGCTCTGATTAATGAACCAAGAGCCAGTCATCTTCATATCTATCCCTCTGCTGAGTGAAATTTTACTCCAGTTTTAGGCAAAAGAGCGAGACTACTCCCAATCCTGACCTCCTCCTGAGAACCAAACAGTACTGGGCTTTCTTCTCTCACATCTCGAGAACAGCTGTGCTCAGGAGCATCTGTGAGCCACTGGGGATCTGGAGATAAATCAGCATCATGGACAAAGGCAGTCTTTCCTCTTCCACAGCTAGGAAAAGGAAGCCTTCTGGGAACCACCCCAGAAACTCAGACCCTGGAGCACCTTCTAGTAACTGGGGCAGGAAACCAGCATTTGTTGAGTGCATATAATGTGCTAGGTATTATGCCTAATTCATGTTAATTTATGTAACTTTCACAATATTCCTAGAAATAGGTCTTGTTTTCCAGATTGTACAGAAGAGGAATCCACATTGTAGTTGACAGTTTAGTTTCGTTTTTTGTTTTTGTTGTGTTTTTGCTGGGTTTTCTTTTGTTGTTTGTTTTTGGTTTTGTTTTTTTTTTTTTTGAGACAGAGTCTCGCTCTGTCACCAGGCTGGAGTGTAGTGGCGCAATTTCAGCTCATTGCAACCTCCGCCTCCTGGGTTCAAGTGATTCTCCTGCCTCAGCCTCGCGAGTAGCTGGGACTACAGGCGCATGCCACCATGCCCAGCTAATTTTTTTTTTTTTTTTTTAGTAGAGATGGGGTTACACCATGTTGGCCAGGATGGTCTCGCCCTCCTGACCTCGTGATCCGCCCACCTCAGCCTCCCAAAGTGCTGGGATTATAGGCGTGAGCCACCATGCCTGGGCTTTGCTGTGTTTTTAAAATCATCTTCATCACCTTCTCCTATGTTTGGGAGCTCCCCATCTTATGGGCCTTGGAAAGAAATGGAGCCTCCCTCCAACAAGTTGAAAAGACCAAATATTTGCTTTCCCAGCCTCCCTTGTGGCACAGGCAAGAGCATGTGACCTAGGCTTGGCCAATCAGATGTGTCTTTGAATTGGGAGCTGGTAGCCCAAGTAACAGGGACAGTGAATAAGCCATCTTGAGAAAAGTAACACTGCGGCAATATCCAGTGCGCACTGTGGGCAATAGCAGGGTCCTCCCAGGACAGCTTTTGTGGCATGGTTTTGGGGGTAGTTCTGGCTATTTTTTCTCTCTTTGTTTCTTCTCAGTTTCTAAGCCAGTTTCTCAGACATCCAGAAATTCTATGAACTTCCTTTTAATACATTCATTTTCTGCTGGGATCATTTAGAGTTGGGTTCTTTTGCTTGCAACTAAGAACTCAGACTAATTCCATTGCAAGGAAGACAAGCAAGTCCCAGTCAGTGAGAGGCAAAGCTGGGATCTGAATGTTGGTCAGTCTGAAGACAAAGCCTGCTTCTCCATTATGGCTACACTGCTCTGAGAGGACATACTGGAAAAACTGTCGCCCCATTTTACAGATGAGGCACAGAGAGGACAGGGAACTGTTCTGCCTGAAAGTGACTAAAGCCCAGGTCTGGCCCCAAGGTTCCGGTTCTTTCTAATATACCACAACTCACCCTTAACCAATCATTCTCCACCACCCCTTTCTGACATAAAAAACTTGTTTCAGACTAACTGAGGAGCCCATGTTAGAGGGGCTAAGAACCCTGGAGATGAGTCAAAGCAGGAGAGTGTTGAAAACAAACAAATGGAGCTGAGGCTTCCTGAGCCTTGAGCAGCCTTTTATGAAGCCCTCCTCTCAGAACAAGACTCAAATCTGTGTTCACTGACAATTCCTGGGAGACTGAGAGTGGGAATGAATGAATGCCTCCGGATTGGGGGCTGGCAGAAGGGTTGTCTCCCTCCTTGGGAACAGGCAGGGAGGACAGCTGACAGGCAGTGGCAGTCATTCAGGGGTAATGCTGAACTGCCCTGACCCTTTTTATGTGCAAAATGGAGATAACACCACTAGCTGCCCAGGTCTGCCTGAGAAAATCAGCAATAGCAATTTTAGTCACAACACATAACACTGAATATGTACCACATCCTGTTTTAAGTACTTTCCATGTATGAATTCCTTCAATCCTCACGAAAATCTTCGAAAATGGGTATTTTGTGATCTCTGTTTTACTGATGAGAAACTGGGGGACAGAAAGGCTAAGTAACTTGTCCAGTTACAGCAAATAATTGGCAGAGCTGGGATCTGGACCCAGGCATTCAAGTTCCAAAATCTGAGATCTCCCATTCTCTGCTAATCAAGTATTATCATGTATGCAACAGAGCTTTGTGATGCTAAATTGCTTCACATATATTAGTGCGAAGCTTCACACAAACAACTTCCTTAATGCTAGGATAGATGAGAGGCTCTGAAAGGGTTGATTCAAATCTTTCTTATAGCCCAGCACTCAGCACCACATAAAGCATCTTAGTGGGATGGATGGATGGATGGATGGGGGGATGGACGGATGATGGATGGATGAATAAACACGTAAGAAGAAGATTCAGATGACAGCAGGGGAGATGGAAAGGAAAGAGCCATTTGGAACCAAGAAAGAGTGGAACACAGAAACAAAGCTCTAAATAGGAATCCTCTGATGCATACTTGAAAAGCCCTCAGCCAGGTTTCCAAAGGAAATTTGCAAATTGCATTTATATACATTCTATATAAAAAACACTCAGTAAATGTGTTTCTTCTTTCATGCCTTCATCTTTTGATGACGCACATGATGTGGAGAAGCGCAAAGATGAGAGACTACCTGATTATACGTATCCATAGTTAGGAGTGTGCATAGGGTTTGGTGTAACAATGTAATCCCGCAGGTGTGCCTAGCTATTGGTCTGCACAGTTGTGCAAGGAAGTAATTTTTTTTTTTTTTTTTTTTTGAGACGGAGTCTCACTCTGTTGCCCAGGCTGGAGTGTAGTGGCGCGATCTCAGCTTACTGCGAGCTCCACCTCCCAGGTTCACGCCATTCTCCTGCCTCAGCCTCCTGAGTAGCTGGGACTGCAGGCGCCCACCACCATGCCTGCCTAATTTTTTGTATTGTTAGTAGAGACGGGGTTTCACCATGTTAGCCAAGATGGTCTCGATCTCCCGACCTTGTGATCTGCCCACCTCAGGCTCCTAAAGTGCTGGGATTACAGGCGTGAGCCACCATGCCTGGCCAAGGAAGTAATTTTATATGTGTATACAATTGCACCTATCAATGAGTGTTGGCAGGATTGTGTGCATATACGCGTGTACACACAATTAATAATGGGCTAACACTCATTTAGAGTTTACTACATGCCAGGCTCAGTGCTAAGCATGCTGGCAAGTACCACCTCATTTAATCCTCACAGTGGTCATTGATGCACCCAGTTACACCCATGTATATGGCTCTGTCTGAGCTGCGTGTACACGGTTTTCTATTAGGTAAGCACCGGCTCAGACTGGCTGCCAATTTTCTGCTGCTTAACCTAAGCTACATGAAGAATGCCAGGAAGGCACACTTTCCTGGACTAGAAGCAGTAACAGTGAATTAAAAGACAGATCATGAAGTCCCTTCAAAATACCATCCACTTAAGAAACAGCAGACACCCAGCTTGCGTTTTTTTGCTGTGTAAACACATTCCCACCACCCCACTCACTTAAATAAGGCTCCTCCACTTTGGCATCCCCGCAAACACATTTTTTACAGTTTCTTTTTCAAAAACAAGATTGCTCCCTCGGCAACTGTTTCCAAGCACATTCCCTCATTCTGGGAGAGGGAAGAAAAAAAAGCAGAGAAATCCTCTTGTTACTATACAGGGAACATGGAATAGGGGTAGGGGGAGAGGGGGAAGTGGGGAAGAGGCAGAGAAGCAAATAATATCATGGACTTCACCAAATGGAATTAACAAATGTCCCCCACCCCAGCCACGTTTCCCCCAGGCCCAGTAATTGCTAATTAGTTCAAAGGCTGTGGCCTGGGTACCTTGACTAGCACAGTGCCCTACCCCCACCATATGTGCATATGTACGTATGCACACAGACACACACACACACACCACACACACAAACAAACACACTATGAAAGGCCAGAGGCCATCCCCTGCAGAGCAGTCTGGTAGAGCTAATGAGGAGACTGAAATTATCTCCCTCAGAGGGGTCATCTAGTCAACATCATTTTCTCAACATTATGTTGACTACTTAAGAGCAGCAAAAATAGTCCCAGGGCAGGTGGGGAGGGGTAGGACCCTAGAAGAAAAGAACTAAGCTACCAACTTTTTCCATTTCAATCCATTTCATTCCAATATATGCCTTTAACTCAATAAATAATTATGTTCCATCCAATTCGTTCCATTCTGTGATATCCAAGTATTCCACTCCACATCATTCCAATACATTCCACTCCAATCTATTGCATTCTAAGCCACTCCATCCCATTTAAAGTCCAACTCATCCCATTTGATCCCAGTTCAATCCATTCTGTTCTAATCTACTTCCATTTCATTTCATTGCATTGCAACTCAGCCTCTTCCATTTCAAGCCATTCTGTCCCCAGTTCATTCTACTCCAGTATATTTCATCCCATGTCATTATTTCATTGTCTTCTTAGTCATTTTAACCTATGCCAATAACTCCTACAGGAAGTATTTCATCATCATCTACAATCTGAGCAGCCATGTGTACCATGAGTGATGTCTAGAGAGGGATGTCTAGAGAGGGACAGAGTTCCCATCTCTGCAGGCTTCTTGGGGAGGCAGAAACAACCCTGACAAAACATCCTGAGAACAACCACGTAACCGTGTCTGCTTTCAAAAGCTCAGAAAAATTAAGATTCACAGCAAAGGAAAGACCCTAAACCTGAAATCCTAACTCTCTACAGGGATCATGAACGAGAAACCAAGACCACTTTGGTGCTCTGCAGAGAGGAGGTAAAAAGCCAGGCTGATTAGTGGTCAAATTCCAGACCTTTTCCTTAGCAGCTGTATTAGACAGGATTATGCTGCTGCATCCAACAGCCTCAAAATCTCAGTAGCTTAAATCAACAAAGTTGTATTGCTCACTCATGATTCTTCTCTCTCATACATTGCCTGGGGTCTCTGTTCCATGCCATCCTCACTGCCAAGAGCCAGTTAACAGAGCAACTTCTATCTGGATCATTACCCATCACCATGATGGAGGGGAAAAGCACATGGCTAACTGTGTATTGGCTCCTAAAGCTTCCATCCAGAAGAGATCCGCTACATTTCTGCTCACCTTTCACTCTCCTAAGCAAGTCACATGCTTCTACCCTCATTCAAAGGTCAGAGAACAGAAACCACACTTTGAGATGGCCAAAGAGCAGGGAAATTCTCTTGTGCTTGGGAGGAGAACAGGAAGTATTTGGTGGGCAATGCTAATGACTACCACAACAGCTACATAACTGTAAACCCCTAACTTAAATTTCCCCAGTCTCCCCACCTGTAAAATGACGATAATTAAAATCTACTTCTTAGGTTTGTTATAAATATTAAATGAGATAGGTGTAGAAGAAACTCAGCACATGATAGGTGCTTAATAAACGGTAATTCCCTTCTCTGAGCCTCTGCAATTATCTCCCTGCCAAAATCCTTGCAAAAACACCAGAGACACAAGCTAGATGGCTCTTATCTGGGAACAAAGAGGAGCTTTCAACCCACCCCCACCCCCACTCCCATCCCAGCCCTCAGATCTGTTGCCTCTATTTGCAACAGGAGCTTCAGCCACGTGCTTGTTGGTGAACCATCTGCTTCACAAATGTAATTATATCACAACACTGATTTCTGATGGGCATAGACCAATACCCAGAGATGCTGCGTTCCCAAACATTGCAGAAAAAAGTACCATAATCTCTGGAGCAGAAGTGTAATCAAAATGAGCGATCATCAAGTGCAATATTTTCTCATGCTCCAGAGAAGACTGGCAAACATCCTGGAACATCAGGTTTGATACCCTCCGGAGGGCCACATTTCTCTGCTTGCCGGAGCTTGTACTGGGATGAAATTGGTACTTTGGGGCATGCTTTTGCCTTTTCTGAAGACCCTGTGGGAGGCAGTGCTTGAGAACCCTCTCTGTTGTGGAAATCCCACATTGGAGTTCCACCACAAGGTTCTCCAGAAATGGGCATGAGATACATCAACAATCTACTGTACACCACACCTGTTCCATGTCTATCAATTTATGCAGCCGGAATTTCTCAAGCACCTCCTCTGAGCTAGGCCTTGGAACTAATTGTGATTCTCCAATTCTCCATCCCTGAGTGGATTACAACTACCAAGCTTTCCATTAAAAATCCAATATAGAAACAAACATTTAAAGGCACACTCTATTATAGGCATGTGGTTTTTTTTGTTTTTTTTTTCTGGTTGAGCTCTATATCCATTTCCTAAGTTGGCTGTGACAAACTACCACAAACTTAGTGGCTTAAAACAACACAGATTTATTATCTTACATGTCTGGAGGTCAGAAGTCCAAAATGGGTTTCACTGGGCTAAAATCAAGGTGTCAGCAAAGCCGTGTTCCTTTCTGGAGACTTGAGGGTAGGATCATTTTCTTACCTTTTGCAGCCTCTAGGGACTGGCATATTCTTTGGCTCAGAGCCCCCTCTCATACTCAGATATTCAGCTGTGGCTAATTACATCACTCTGTCACTCTTCTACCTACCTCGCCTACATTTAAAGAAAGCTTGTGATTATAGTGGCATACCCTGGTAATCCAGGAAAATCTTCCTCTTTAAAGTCAACTGATTAGCAACTTTAATTTTATCTCCAACCTTAATTCTCTCTTGCCATGTAACCTAACATATTTATGTAGTTTCCAATTATTAGGATGTGCACCTCTTTGGGGGCCCATTATTCTGTCTACCACAATATCTATTCTTCCTTCTTCAGATAGAGTCTTCATCAATTCATCAAACTGGGTGTTCCATCCTTGCCTGGCAAACTGGGTGTTCCATCCTTGCCTGGCACATGACTGGACATGTGACCCAAGATTGTCCTGGCATTTAACCCTGCCCCTGGGATTTGAATCTTGAGTTGAGTGACCCAATAATGGAAAATGATTGACATCCAATCATTTCAGTGACAGGATATGCTAGTTCCAGAACTCTGAAACTTCCCTCATCTCCCTCCTTCCTAAAGTGTGATTCTCTAGAACATCTTCTGATTCTGTGAGCTATTAATATCTCGCTTTTCTTCCAATAGATCATGTATTTGTTTAAGTCATCCAAAGTTAGTTTCTCTTGCTTATAACCCATGAGCCTTGGCAGCCTCAAATTCAAATAAAGACACAGAGAGATAAACAGAGAAACCTAACAAGCCTAAAGATAGGCAGACACATAGACAACCTCTCCTGACTTGTATGGAGGACAGAAGATTTATTTTTGGGGAAAAAAAAGTGTCTGAAATAAATAGCTCAACTAGATGAATTTATTTCTAGGGAGTGGTAGACTTTTCATATGCATCTCTGGGTATTTTTATAGTTCCATTGTTGGAACTAGCCCCTTTTATTTATTTACACTGAATGAAAAAAGCAGTATGATAATATGCACGAAATAAGGTTTCTGCTTTGTTTTCCTCCCTGATCTTCTTCTCACACAATTTAATCTAAGAATCCACATGGATCCCTAGAGGTAAAGGCGGCAGAAATGACTGCAGTTTCTGTCCATTCATTCATTGAAAACAAATGATAACACCTACTATGTGCCAGAAACCCTGGTGATGCGGAGATAAAAAGTCTGACTCCCTGGACACAAGGGTCTTATTCATTTATTCACCTAAGAATAAATTCCTGAGAAAACCTACTACAGGCCAGCGAATCCATGGCTCCATTCTCATAGCAATTCAAGACTAGTAATAAAAGCTATTAAGTGGGCATGTACTGACGTGCAGAATGATCATCAGGGAAATCTGTTTTTCTGAATGAGAGAAGTGTATTTGGCTAATTTATAAGAATCTAAAACGTATTTAGTTCAAGAGCTTGTAAAGAGTTTGTAAATTATGAATTCATGTAAATTTGGAAATATTCTTTATATAACAAGAGTAGAGATAGTTACTAACTGAGGGGATTTGAGGTAACATGTCTGGGTGGATAAGATATATCCAGACACAGGTGAAGTAATAAGCCTACAGCTGTAGGGTCTTCATATTCTTGGGACCATAAGAAGAAGGTGAGCTGGTTGTTGTTCAGCCACATTGAGAGAGGTTGTGATCCCTTGAAAATCAAAGTGACTGGGTGTGGTGGCTCATGCCTGTCATCCCAGCACTTTGGGAGGCTGAGGTGGGTGGATCGCTTGAGGCCAGGAGTTAGAGACCAGCCTGGCCAACATGGTGAAACCCCATCTCTACTAAAAATACAAAAATTAGCCAGGTGTGGTGGCGGGCGCCTGAAATCCCAGCTCCTCAGGAGGCTGAGGCAGGAGAATCGCTTGAACCCGGGAGGCAAATGTTGCAGTGAGGTGAGATTGCACCCCTGCACTCCAGCCTGGGTGACAGAGCAAGACTCCATCTAAAATAAAAATAAAAATAAAAGTGACCAGGTGCCACTCTTAGTTATCCCCATTCATTGAGCTCCCACCTCATGCTAATGATAATATAAGAAGAAAACCCCTATGAAAGTGAAGTCGGTAATAATTGGGGTAGAGTAACTCATATTCTGCTGGTTCAACCTTAGAAAAATTGAGATGGTGTTTGGGAGAGGTTTGAGATGAGGGCAAAAAGGAAGAAATGAGGGAAGGATTATTTGGGGATTCAATAAAAAGGAAACGTTACATTGTGGTTTTGATTGCATCTTGGATATAATCCCTACCTGGGGTTTCTTCCATGGTCATGGTTGAATCCCAACTAAGTAAATCAAGGGTTAATATATGCACATGGCTTTACCTGCCCTGCTTGCCACCATTACTGCTTGCAGGGGTGGTGGGAGGTCCCAGACAATGCCTCCGCAATGATGCTGTGCAGATGAATCACCTCCTTTTAAAAATTCATATTCTGATTCAATAGGCTTGGGGTAGGGCTGAAATTCTGCATCTCAACAATTTCCCAGGTGGTGATGACACTACTGGTTCCCAGAATAAACTCTGGGTAGCAAAGCTAAGAGTAGAATAATCTCACTATCTTGGAGTTTGTTGTGAGCCCTCTTTCTTAGCTACTTGCTGTGTCTCTTGCTGCTGACAAATAGGGCCAAGTCTACCACAATAATGAAGGATGGCAGGGGGTTGGGAGACATGGACGTCACCACATCTAAGGAGCAGTGACAGATCAGAGGAAACCCAAGTCTGCCTGGGGGTGTCAGGGAAGGCTCTCCATGACAAGTGGCATTTGAGCTTCCTCTTGAAAGGTGAGTAGATGTTTGCCAAAACCAACAAGGGAGAGGATGGCAGTGCATGCAGATGAGACAGCATGAGAAAATACAAAGAGGTGGAACAAACGCAGTAGATTTAGGGAACTCCTGAAAGGCCAATTTGGGTGAAGAGGAACAGGCTGCATTCAAAGGAAAAAGGAAAAGAATGGGGCCTCCTTAGAAGTCAATCTTGGCCAGGGTTGACACTCTGGACTTTTAACTAAGAAAAACAGGCTAGTTTTTTTTTTTTTTTTTTTTTTTTTAATGATGAGGATGATAATGACCATTGAGCATTTCCTATATACTGGGCACTGTGCTAAGCTCTTTTCATGATTATCTTTTTTTTTCCTTTTTTTTTTTCTTTTTTTTGAGATGGAGTATTGCTCTATCACCCAGGCTGGAGTGCAGTGGCATGATCGCTGCTCACTGCAACCTCTGCTTCCTAGGTTCAAGCGATTCTTGTGCCTCAGCCTCCTGTGTAGCTGTGATTGCCGGCACCCACCACCACAACAGGCTAATTTTTGTATTTTTAGTAGAGACGGGGTATCACCATGTTGGCCAGGCTGGTCTTGAACTCCTGACCTCAAGTGATCCACCTGCCTTAGCCTCCCAAAATGCTGGGATTACAGGTGTGACCCACCATGCCTGGTCCCATGACTATCTCTTTGAATGTCAGAGCCACCCCCATTTTAATGTTGGGAAAAGAGAGGCTCAGAGATGCAATGTAATCCGCTCAGGGTCAAGGAGCTAGTAGAGCTAATAGATGAGGTGCCAGAAATTGACCTGATGCAACTCAGGGTACCCTGTGATTAACCACTACGCTATACTACCCCCAACCTGGCAACACAGTGGTTCTTCTCAATCTCTGCTGGTAAGTGGATTCAGGAAACCCTCTGTGACCCTGTGCCCAGTGAGCATGAACCACAAAACCCAAGGCATTGAACGATAGCCTCTCCACCCCATACCCCCTCCTCTGTATCCCCAGCTGCCCTTCAATGCCAGGCTCAGGACATCAGCCTGGGCAGCTGGAGTCCCAGCCCTTTTCCCCAAACACTTGTCTCCCATCAAGAGAGTTTCAGAAGGAGCATATGGCAAGATAGGATCATTTTTCAGATGTTGGTCTGGGCCTCAGTCCTTACCAAGCAGGGTTTTTGGTGTCAAGGAGACTCATCTCACTGGCTGAGGGCACCACTTCCCCACATTTATTCCACTCCATCCCTTCACCACAGCAGTAAATATCCCTTTGCCTAGAACACCTGCTGCTGCTGGTGGTGGATGAAAGGGTGTTGCACTTCCGTCACTGAGGGTAGAGAAGGCACTGACGTCAGACATCAGAGCTGTTGGAGTTACATAATCCCAGAAGCTGCTTGAGCATGGAATAAGGCCATATTTAACCTCGGGGGAGCTAAAAATAGGCAAATAGAATTTTATTTCCCCATAAACTTTTTAGACTTAAAATTTTTTTTTTTTTGGTGATTCTAGGCTAGGATTGTGTGTGGCCTCAGGCAATTTTTCAATGTTGAATTATGATCCCTGGGAAATAAGTATGGTCTATATGCAGGGTATAGTCATGATGTGTGTGTGTGTGTGTGTGTGTGTGTGTGCTTGTGTATGTGTGAGAGAATGAGGATGTGAAGAGTGGGTGTGTGAATGAGAATGTGTGTGTCTATGAGATGTATGCATATGAATATAGACATAGGTATAGATGATAGATATAGATATATTAATAGATATAGAGTGAATGTGGACTGTGGTTTGCTTTGGTGAGATGGTGTCGATATGAGTGTCAATGTGACGTGGGTGGGTAGGTGAGTGTGAGGTATATATGTTTTGTGGGTGAAAAGGTTTTGATGCAGTTATGTGCTATATGTCTATGGCCAAAAATATGGATTGTGTGGGTGTGTCATGGAAACTGCGCATGGTGTGTGTAGTGTGGATGTGTTTGCAGGGGTGTGTAAAGAGTGTGTGAACCCAAGGCATTGCATCTGCTCTTGCCTATGTGAGTGTGTGGTGGACATACTTCACGGAGCGTGGGGAATATGTGTTTGTGTATATTCGGGTGTGCGGGGACATGTGGGAAATGCATGTAGGAAATGTGATGTGCAGGGGTGATGCACCAGAAGTACGGGAAGGGCACGAAGGTCATGTAGGTATGTGCTGGCAGGTGTGTATGTTGTGAGTGTGCATGCCGTGAACAGTGACACCAGGAAAGACAGTTGCAGAGTCCTGAGCACCCCTCCCCAATGTTTAGAACACCCTAGGTCCTTCTTCAACATATTTGCAGAGATCTATTAGAAGTGTTCTCCAGAATGCTGTCCCCCTCTCGGACCTCAGTCCCTAACTATCCCTTTTACTGGGCACAAAGTATTTGGGGTGAGTAGCATTTCTTGGCACATGTGAGCTTCTCTCAAGCTATGCTCAGTAGGAAAAGATTTTCCCACCCGGTGGAGGTGTCCAAAAATGAAACAAAACAAAAAGAAAAACCATAAAGCCTATCATGAGCAGAAACAGCCCAGAGTTAAAGCTCAGTTCAGGCTGGGCGTGGTGGCTTACGCCTATAGTCCCACACTTTGGGAGGCCAAGGCAGGCAGATCACCTGAGGTCAGAGTTCGAGACCAGCCTGGCCAACGTGGTGAAACCCTGTCTCTACTAAAAATACAAAAATTAGCCAGGCGTGGTGTTGTGCACCTGTAGTCCCAGCTACTCGGGAGGCTGAGGCAGGAGAATTGTTTGAGCCTGCAGGCGGAGGTTGCAGTGAGCCAAGATCACGCCATTGCACTCCAGCCTGGGTGACAGAGCGAGACTGGAAAAAAAAAAAAAAAAAAAAAAAAAGCTCAGTTTACACTTTTTTGTAAGAATGAAGAAAACACAGTGTAGCTTAGAAGAAAAAAAATCCCTAGCCTTAAAGTTTCTAGTTCCTGCTGTCACTATTTTATGACCTGACCTTGGGCAAACCCTTGGTTGTAGAATCTTGTCTTAACTCTTTCCCGCTCCAGTCACAGCTATTCAGTGGCTCCCCACAGCCCTTAGATAGAATTCAGTCTCCTTATCATACCCTCAAAGACCCTGGCCCTGCTAGTTTCTTATTTCCTACCATTCTTCCGTGTCACCATATCTTCTAGGCTCACCCATTTACTGACTGTTCCTCAAAGGCAATGCTATCTCAGCCAAAAACAATATGCATCTTGCTGTCTTTTGTGCTCAATAAGTCCCTCTTATTTGCAGAAAGAATAAGGACACATTATACTATACTCACTCATTCATTCATTCATTCATTCACTCATTCATCCCAAATATGTTGAGCAATTGATAGATTCCAGTGGATCATTTAGGCTCTAGAATGTGCCAAACAAAAAGTATGCTTCTTTCCTTTATAAAGCTTATAAACTAAAATTGACTGAAATCAGACTTTTCTCCAGAAACCTCGTCCCATAATCTATATCTGAAACTGGAGGGAAGAAGAATTTGGAGAACAGATCCCATTCATTGAGTTGGTGCCCTGTTAATACACCTAAGAGCATGATTTCAGGATTAGGCACATCTGGGATTGAAACCTGATTCTGACAACGTTAAGATGTGCGGTCTTGGACAAGTTTTTAAACTTTTTGTACTTCTGTTGCTTCATATAATAAACCATCTCAAAGGGTTGAATGAGATATTGCCTCATTCCAAGGGCTCAATAAATGTTGGCTTTAAAAGCTGTGGACCTAGACTACAGACAACAATAATTGATCATACATTTTCAAATAACAAAAAGAGTACAATTGAGTTGTCTGTAACACAAAGAAAGGATGAATGCTTGAGGTGATGGATACCCCATTTACCCTGATGTAATTATTATGCATTACATGCCTGTATCAAAATCACTCATGTACCCCATAAATAAATACACCTACATGTACTCACAAAAATTAAACACAAAAATTAAAAAAAAATAAAAGCTATGCACCTAACTTCCTCCTAATAGGCTTGGATTATGCCCTTTTCATATCCTGAATGCAGGAAACCTGGCTTCATTTCAGAGCCTAGTCCATTAGGCTGAGACCTCCAGCATCTTCTCAATTCAAATAATCACTTCCACTGTCAATTTTATTTTCATTGAGACGGAGTCTCACTCACTCTGTCACCCAGCCTGGAGTGCAGTGGTGCAATCTCGGCTCACTGCAACCTTCCCCTCCCGGGTTCAAGGGAAATTCTCCCACCTCAGCCTCCCAAGTAGCCGGGACCACAGGCACACACCACCACACCTCGCTAATTTTTGTATCTTTAGTAAAGACAGGGTTTTGCCATGTTGGCCAGGTTGGTCTCAAACTCTCGACCTCAAGCAATCTGCCTGCCTTGGCCTCCCATAGTGCTGGGATTACAGGCGCGAGCCACCTCGCCCAGCCCTCACTATGAATTTTAAATCAGGTATTGGAATGTCAGTTCTATGAAGACAGAATTTTTTTGTGTGTTTTGTTTACTGATGTAACTTCAGGGTTTAGAACAATGCCTGGCACACAGTAGGTGCTCAGTAAGTATCTGTTAAGGTAATGAGTACTGCACCTACTGGCAGATTGCAATTAATCTCTCCAACCATCACTATTATTAATAACTCACTTTCCACATGCACTATACAATGTACTCCACACTTCATCTTTAATTCTCTCAACAAAAATCACGATTATTCCCTTTTGTAGGTAAGCAAGCTAAGTAATCTAGGACCCAGTGAGGTCAGCACCTTCCACGCAGCCACACAACTACCTTTTTTTGTTGTTGTTGTTGTTGAGATGGTGTTTCGCTCTTGTTGCCCAGGCTGGAGTGCAATGGCACGATCTTGGCTCACTGCAACTCCCGCCTCCCGGGTTCAAGCAATTCTCCTGCCTCAGCCTCCCGAGTAGCTGGGATTAAAGGTGCCTACCACCACACCTGGCTAATTTTTTTGTATTTTTAGTAGAGACAGGGTTTTGCCATGTTGACCAGGCTGATCTTGAACTCCTGACCTGAACTGATCCACCCATCTCGGCCTCCCAAAGTGCTAGGATTACAGGCGTGAGCCACCACGCCCAACTCACATAACTACTAAGTGCTAGAATTGGGATTTGAGGGCAGGGCTGGTTTCAAAAATGGACTATGCTGCAATGCAGGTGCTCCTGTCGTTTCGGGAGATGCTGAGAATCCTCTGTATCTCTCATCCCTGCGATAGGGTCTGCAAGCCACCTGGCAAGGAACACATGGGAAGCAGCCAGCACTAAGAAAACAATAGGGTCGAAGAAACATTGTCAATCACTGCCAGAAAATCATGACACTAATTAAGAAAGATGCTCCCTCCTCTGCCAAAAGCTCTATCTTCTTGCAGGGATCAATAAATCAAAAATAATTGTTTACTTTGCCTAACCTCCCTCCTTCTCTCTTGCCTAGATTTTTCCCCCTTCTTTCTTTGTATAATGTGAAAGTTGATGGAGGAGCCTCATTTTCACTAATGAAAGAAACTTAATTTTTTGGCACTATATCCCTCATTAAGAAGAGCAAAATCCACTTAGTGGCGGCTTCCGCTGCCCTCCATTTGTCCAAACCAAGGCCCAAAATCAACAGAAGTCCAGTTTCAGCATAAAACTTTAGCTTCCATTAAATCTATTTCTATTGTTTAGCAAAGACATTTAAGATGATAGAAGTCACTAAAAATGATAGCAACCCTTTTCTCTCTATTTTTTTAGTTCCATCTCTTCTTTCCCCGACCTCGTAATATGCACATGGCCAACAGTGAGGTGATCCCAAAGAACTCAGAACCTAGAAGCCAAATTACCCACTGAATACAAGATGCACACCAGAGCAGAGATAGGTGATGTTCAAGAACTAGCCCCAGCCAGGCACGGTGGCTCACACCTGTAATCCCAGCACTTTGGGAGGCCGAGGCAGGTAGATCATGAAGCCAAGAGATTGAGACCATCCTGGCCAACATGGTGAAACCCTGTCTCTACTAAAAATACAAAAATTAGCTAGGCATGGTGGCACACTCCTGTAGTTCCAGCTACTTGGGAGGCTGAGGCAGGAGAATCTCTTGAACCCAGGAGACAGAGGTTGCAGTGAGCCAAGATCTCACCACTGCACTCCAGCCTGATGACAGAGCGAGACTCCATTAAAAAAAAAAAAAAAAGAACTAGCCCCTCCAACTGCAAAATAATCTCCCATACTAGGATATTACACTAATTCATCTGTCAGAAGGCTTCTTGATCATCCATACCTTCAATGAGAAAAGTAAAAGAAAAAGACATTGACCATGCCCCTCCCAAACATATGGTACCCTATTTAACCAACTGAGTTTATTTTATGAAATAGATCAAATGCTCTTGGTGACAAATGTGCAGCAATCAGATTTCTGGGGGATAAAATAAGTCCTAATTTATAAGATTTTCCAATGATCATGGTGTAAATATCCCCACCATGGTCAACTATAAGCAGTCGATGTAAAGTCACTGAATGTGGATTTGGGAAGAGATGTGAGCAATTGGTCCTTATGAGTCACTCAGGACAAGCTAGCTCAAGCATTGCCAATGGTACTGCCTCAGGGATTGTAATGTAGCTTCCTATGTGGTTTGGCCCATGGGGGAGAATTCATTTGCCTCTGCATTGTCTGTTTGATGGCTGGCTCTTGTCTTCAATGGAAAGAGATATATTTGCATGATGGTTTATACATCAATCTAGTGGGAATCAGTCCCTGCAGCATGATCACATCAAGAGGGATCACCACTAAGGCTGGGGAGCACGGTAGGGAAATGGTGACCAGATCACAGTACAGCTTCCCATAGGGGACCCATGCAGCTGACCCACTGGCCTTTCCTCTGCCTCATGTGAAATTCAAATCACCTTCTGTTGTAACTGCTTCCTTCCTGGATGGCTCTGAATTCCAGAAGGATAGGTACGGGGATATATTCATCCTTGGTACACCGTGGTGTTAGGCTAAAAGCTTTCATGAAGTAAGCAGGCTAATTAGAATAAAGGAGAGGCTGGGCATGGTACCTCATGCCTGTAATCCCAGCACTTTGAGAGGCCAAGGAGGGTTGATCACCTTAGGTCAGGAATCCAAGACCAGCCTGGCCAACATGGTGAAACCCTGTCTGTACCAAAAATACAAAAAATAGTTAGCCAGGCCTGGTAGCACACGCCTGTATCCCAGCTACTCGGGAGCCTGAGGCAGGAGAATTGCTTGAATCCGGGAGGCAGAGGTTGCAGTGAGTCGAGATCACACCACTGCACTCCACCCTGGGCAACAAGAGCAAAACTCTGTCTTAAAATAAAATAAAATAAAATAAAATAAAATAAAAGGAAACAGCTACAGAGGTTCTTCATCCACCCTTACAGAATGCTAAGTTCATCCCCACTAATTTGAATATATCCCCTCCCATTAAATATATAAAAAAGGAAATTAGGAAGGGCCATATAGCTCTGTTACAGTCTCTATAGCATCCTGAATCATGTCCCCTCTAAAAATAAATCCCTAGCCAGTGTGCTAATGTGCTTTCAGTGTGTTCAACATGGTAAGGTTGCTGTATCACCATGGAAACATCCCCCCCACTCTGTGAAATAATGAGATGGTAATAAAATAAAGGTAATAATGAGATGATAATAAAGTAACGAACTTGGAGTAAACAAAAGACAGGGTACCTTGAGCCAGATGATGAAAAATCAAAAGGACTATCTGGCAGAAGGAGAAAGAAGGCATTGCCTGCAGACTTCACAGGAGAGGCAAGGAAACTACAGACAACTCTATATGAAGACTTGGAGTTTGAGTATTGACTACCGGTTCTTACTTACTTAGATAGTTCCCACTGCAGCTGGCCACAGAAGCGTACAATAAATTAGCTCTGATTACCTGCATCTAGCCAGAGCATGAAAACCCAGTGAAACCTGGAAAAACTCAGAAACTGCAAAAAATTAAACTGCCCGCCTCAGGCAATATAGTTCGGGGAACTCAAACTGAATAGCTACAGAAGGGAACACGTGGGCTATTACTGATCTGGGCTTAGGGAAGACCTAATAAGTAATCGTGCCTACACCAAGCAGCTTGGGCCTGCTAGACGCCCCATTCCTAGCCAAATTAGAATGATTTCTAGACTCCCACTTCGCCCAGTCCACACGTAGACAAGAGAGACCTAGAGTCATACCCAGCAGAACCACCTCGAACTGGCTATGGATTCAATGCTGAGCCTCAGAAATGCTCCTAGAATGGGGACACTGTAATGTTGTTTCAGGTAGAATAGAAAGCTGTGTTTATTTCAACTTGTGCAGTGCGTAATCTTTCTACAATCTGAGTTAATTTCCTGCTTCAGCATGGAAGATCTACAGATCTGTCTCTCCAGGGTTGTCAATGTGAACTCTTGTTCTCAATGTCCAGTTATTACAGACATAAAGGATGGAGGAGGTAAAGGGAGGCAGTGATTAGCCATTATGTTAGTAGACAAATCCCCATGACTTGCCTATTTCCTTATTTGACTAACAGCAAGTAATGTTGACTACTTAATTGAAAGACTTAAATGACAAACGAGGGCAAGGAGGATACAAGAGCTCTTCATATCACCTTTGCAAGTTTTCTGTAAATCTAAACTATTTTATTTTATTATATATATATATTTGAGATGGAGTCTTGCTCTGTCACCTGGCTGGAGTATAGTGGCGTGATCTCAGTTCACTGCAACCTCCACCTCTTGGGTTCAGCGATTCTCGTGACTCAGCCTCTCCAGTAGCTGGGACTACAGGCACGTACCACCACACCTGGCTAAATTTGTATTTTCAGTAGAGATGGGGTTTCACCATGTTAGCCAGGATGGTCTCGATCTCTTGACCTCATGATCTGCTTGCCTTGGCCTCCCAAAGTGCTGGGATTACAGGTGTGAGCCACTGCACCCAGCCCATCTCTTTAATAATAAAAAATGAAAAACAAAAGATGATAAGTGATTTCTAGTTCATTGAGATTGTGTGTAGGGTTCAAGCTATTCCTCAGCTCATAAAGTGACTGCTGTAATAGGCAAGTCTGAATTTAAGTCTCTTGTTTAAATCTCTCCATTGTCATTATCACCATGGTAGAAAAAAACCTGCGTAGAAAAAAGACTGGAAGGAAATAAGCAAGAATAAGAGCAATGGTTGCCTTTAGATGGTAGGATTCCATATGCAAAGTCAATGGATTTTTTTTTCTTGCTTTAATTTTTCTTTGTCCTCTAAATTTTCCATGATTAATTATGAAGGATAAGGGGATTCGGTGAAAGGCTTCACTGTTGTTCTACCATCTACAAGATGAATCTCCTTCAAGTAATACACCAGGGCTTTCATGATCTGGTCCTATTTCTCCAGGTTCAGCATCCTCCATTCTCCTTCCCCCTTTACATGCCAGTATTTCTAGATAATCCTAAGTGCCCACAGTTGTGCCAGACATGCTCTGTGACTTTGTACATCCAGTCTCATACTTTCAAATGCCTTCTAACTTCCTAGTCTAGTTATTGGGTGTTTCATTCAAAACCTAGCTGGAAACCTTTCCTGACCCCTCAAACCCTCCCTACAGAATTCACACTCTCCCATCACTGCTGTCCACATGTTCCTATCATTGCACTTGTCACAGTAATTGATACTGATCTATTCACATGTTTACACAGATTATGAGATAACTGAAGGCAAGGATAGTGTCTGATGTATCCCTGCATCCCCAGTACCTAGTACTGTGTCTGAACTTGCAGAACTTGCTGTAAATTAAATGCAGAACTTGCTATAATAAATCTGTGTTGGGTGGATTTATTAAATGGACAAATAAGGAGATGTTTAGGTACCCCCAGAAAGGAGTACCATTGGCCAGGTGCAGTGGCTGACGCCTATAATCCCAGCAATTTGGGAGGCCAAGGCAGGTGGATCACCTGAGGTCAGGAGTTTGAGACCAGCCTGGCCAACACAGTGAAACCCTGTCTCTACTAAAAATACAAAAATTAGCTGGTTGTGGTGGTGGGCACCTGTGACCCTAGCTACTCAGGAGGCTGAGACAGGAGAATTCCTTGAATCCGGGAGGTGGAGGTTACAGTGAACAGAGATGGTATCATTGCACTCCAGCCTGGGTAACAGAGCAAGACTCTGTCTAAAAAGAAAGGGAAGGGAAGGGGAGGGGAGGGGAGGGGAGGGGAGGGGAGGGGAGGGAAGGGAAGGGAAGGGAAGGGAAGGGAAGGGAAGGGAAGGGAAGGGAAGGGAAGAGAAGAGGAAAGGAGAAGAGAGGAGAGGAGAGGAGAGGGGAGGGGACTATCTACTCGCAAAACAAGAAGGAATGACCGAGGGTCAAAAGCCAAAGCATAAAGCCAGAGCCAAGCTGGGCAGTCAGGTGAGAGGTGGGTGAGGCTGTGACAAAGCCACCAGGATATAGACAGCCAGGGACCTCAACTGAGTCAGAGCCAGTAGCTTAATGAGTGACTCTGAAGAGCAAGGCCTGCCTCTTCTGAGGTTCCAAGGTGACAGTTTTAAAGCTGCCTTGCTGAGCAATGCCAAATAACAGGTTCTAACCTGACTTGTCTTGTTTACTCATATGAACCTTAAATTGTTAGGAACAAAATGTCCACCTCAGATGGTCAATTCCAGTGGTTTGGAAACTGAATTTTACGAAATCTGGAATTCTGAAGAATTGTTTCCAAGACAGGGAATGCGGAGGAGACTCGTGCTACAGACCATGCCATGCACACTTCAACTAGGGCAACTCTGTTTATAGCAGGCTTCCATATTGGCACTCCACAGGAAATCCTTAAGGGAGTGGTTCTACTTTACCGATAAAGTAAAGGAAGGGATGAAGGGAGAAAAGAAAGACAGGAAGGAAGGAAGAGAGAGAGAGAAAGAGGGAGAGGAAGAGGAAGAGAAGAAGGAAGGAAGGAAGGAAGGAAGGAAGGAAGGAAGGAAAGAAGGAAGGGAGGGACGGAGGGAGGGAGGGAGGGGAGGGAGGGAAGGGGTGTGAAGAAAGGAAAAGCAAGTGAGAGGAGGGGATGGAGAAAGTTAAAAAAAGAGGGAAGAAGGAAGAGATAGAGGAAGGGAATTAGAAAGAAAAGAAAGATGGCAAGAAGAAAGGAAGGGAGTGAGGGAAGGGAGGGAGGGAGATAATAGAGGGAATAAAGTTAAGGAAGAGAAATGAAGAAGTGAAGAAACAAATTACAAATAAAACCCAACCCTGCAATGAGAAAACAGTCAGAAAGGATGATATTTCTGAGGCCACAGTGGAAGGTAATGGCACTGTAGTGGTGACAACTTCATTCCTCTAATTCGCAACTTAGTACCCCACGTTTGAGGATAGGAGTTGCATCAGCTACATCTTCCTCCCCTCCATCCCGCAATGCTTCAGGGTGTCCTAATAGATGCTCCAAGCCCAAGATGTCCAATGAATCAAAAAGCAAAGGTAAAGGTGGGTACCATGGAATTAAAAACTGCAAATAAGGGGTCAGACACTCTGGCCATGTCAGGAGCCATGAATCCTACAAAAAAAAAATAATAAAAGTTTCCAAATAGGAATCCTCATAACATGCTCACATGAATGGGGGAAAATGACTCATAGGGCAGCAATTCTTTGCATGTGAACAAGAGATGATATGTGTGGAACACTCTAGTCCTCCTAAACGGCTCAAAGACTCCCCTTGTGAGACATCCATCCATAATTGTGAACCACTAAGGAAAATCTTTCTTCAAGAGTCTACAAAAGACAACTTGAATGAGGCTGAGAGGAGGGGTAGTTCGTGGAGTCTAAGGTCTGGGGGCTGCCATATCTGTTCATTCAATTTATATTTTCTGAGAATCTCCTATATGCCAGGCAGTGTCATAGGAGATGAATCTACAGTGATGAAGATGCCGCCCCTGTTATCAAAAGCTTAAGGTCTAAAAAGTAGCCATCCTGATTATAATAGTGTGATAAGGATGAAACAGTGTAGGAGAAGGACACTGTGGAAAATGTAAGCACCTATTCTAGGAAAGGAAGGTCAAAGAAGAGTTCCTGGACCATTGGTCTCAAGTTCCAATCTATGAGTTACCCACACATTTTATTAAAATGCAGCTTCTGATTCAGTTGCTCTGGGATGAGGCCTCAGATTTTGCATTTCCATCAGGCTCTCAGATGCTGCTGCTGTTGCTAGTCCACAGAACACAGGTAGAGAAGCAAAGTCCTAGAGCACAGCCACTCAAAATATAGCCCAGGGACTAGCGGCATCACCATCACTTTTGGGTGTGCATAAATGCAAATTCTCAGGCTTTACCCCAGACCCACCGAGTCAGAATCTCTGGAGCTAAAGCCCAGAAATCTATTTTACCAAATTATCTGTGTGAACTATCATTCATGTAACATCTGAGATGCAGCATCCTTGGGAATCTACTTGCGCTTAGTCCTGAAGAAAAATACGAGTTAGCCATGAAAACAGAGTGAGAAAATGGCATTTCAGGCAAAGAAACAGCTGGACAAAGCCATAGGAAGAGGAATGAACTGGGGCCCAGGAATAGTTAGATGCAGCATGCATGATCAAAGAAATGAGGCAGGGAACATGATTAAAGATTTGATCCTCCAGCCAGGTGCGGTGGCTCATGCCTGTAATCCCAGCACTTTGGGAGGCTGAAGTGGGCAGATCACAAGGTTAAGAGATCAAGACCATCCTGGCCAACATGGTGAAACCCCATCTCTACTAAAAATACAAAAATTAGCTGGGCGTGGTGGCATGCACCTGTAGTCCCAGCTATTCGAGAGGCTGAGACAGAAGAATCACTTGAACCCGGGAGGCGGACGTTGCAGTGAGCCGAGATCTCACCACTGCACTCCAGCCTGGTAACAGATTGAGACTCTGTCTCAAAAAAAAAAAAATAAAAAGATTAGATCCTCCGTTATGGGCTCTCTAACGAGCCTCCCTAGTGTGATCAATTCAACACTATTTATGCTAATAGATGTAATAAGTGAGTTGATCTTTTACTTATCTCAACTTGGGGGTCACTCATTCATTTTCCAGGTTTCTTGAGACATATTTTTTCATGAACTCAGACTCCAATCACTACTGCCGTATTAGGATCCCCACACAACAGCATCTATTATGGATTCCACTATCTGCCTCCCATTTCAGAGCCAACAAATATATTTCATCCAACTCCATCTGGCCAGATACAGAAGGTTAGGATTGTTGCCAAGGCAAAACTGGACTTGACTTCTCACAAGCTGAGACAGGCTTGAAAACTCCTGAAAGGGAAAGGATACATTCTGTTGAAATGCCATGGAGAATGCAAGGTGGTATCATGTGTGTCATCACTTCCTAATTCTACTCGGAGACAGACATCAATAATTAATCCTTGTTCTGTTTCCTGCAGAACCTACAAGCTTTTGCAGAAACCTTCTCAATCTAACTCCTTAGGAACCTGCCAATGACCGAGAAGAGCTTGCATCTAAGAGGAAATCCTTCTCATCTTTTAACCCATCTTTCAATGAGACATTAGTCAAAAAAAAATTTTACTGGGCATAGGAGGGAACAAAAGGCTGCCGTAATTTTTCCACATGGTGTGGACTTATCAGTAGAAAGGACTCTTATTCCAGAGTCATCAGGTGAAGTGATCAGACTACCTATTAAGGAAGGAAATTGGCTGGGCATGGTGGCTCACGCCTGTAATCCCAGAACTTTGGGAGGCCAAGGCAGGTGGATCACCTGAGGTCAGGAGTTTGAGACCAGCCCAGCCAACATAGTGAAACCCCTTCTCTACTAAAAACACAAAAAATCAGCCGGGAGTGGTGATGGGCACCTGTAATCCCAGCTAGTCAGGAGGCTGAGGCAGGAGAATCACTTGAACCTGGGAGGTGGAGGTTGCAGTGAGTCGAGATTACACCATTGCATTCCAGCCTGGGCAACAAGAGCGAAACTCCAAAAAAAAAAAAAAAAAAAAAAAAGAAGGAAACTGTATATTTCACACAACGAAAAGAAGAGAAAGCAGAGAAAGTGCACATTTACTGAGCCCCTACTATGTGACATGCACTTTGGCAAGAAATTTTTATTTATAAAATAGTTCATTTAATCCTCAGACTACCTTATAGGGTAAATATTGCCCTATAAGTGCCCAAGTTAAGTGACTTGCCCACTGCCAATCAGGTAGTAGATGAAGAGCTAGAATTCAAACCCAAGTCTCTCTAGATTGAAACATGGGTCATTTCCCACTATATTCTAATAAACAGAGACATCAAGAGAGATATTACTAATTTAAACAAAGAACCAGACTTCAGAATAGCATATGCTTCAGCGTGGATATTCTTAGAGAACTTTGGCAGCTAAAAGCTAGTGTGTTCTCTTAAAGGGCTATTCCTGGCCCAGAACTCTCAGTTTCAAATGGCCTGGGACTGACATGTCAGCTTCTGGTTGATTCCAGAAAGGACCTGATAGTGGAGCCCTGGAATATCTACCCCAGAAGCACAAAACCCTTAAGCAACAAAATGGTGTTTTTGCCAGATGAAACCTCAAAGAATAATCTATTGCCTTAATTACTAATTCTGCAATCTGGTTTGTTTCCTTTTGCTGGCCCTTGCATCTATCTTGCTGTTGGCGTTACTGTATACTATACAAGTAATTATATTATGATTATTATTACTATTATAATAAGGTCAAAGATTGAGTTCTCCAGAAGCAGATGTTGAGATACAATTTGGGATGCAATACATTAAGCAAGGAATCAACACCTGTGACAGGAAGGCTGAGGCAACAAGATTGGGCAGAGGGAGAAGTTCAACTGCAACCAGGCTAGCATGGGACAACCCAGCAAGGAGATCTGGATGGAATATTGTCCATTGGGGTTGTCCTCCTTCTGGCAAGAATGGGCCAAACTTTGTATATATGCCGCATTCAGTGATTGGATGTTGGCTGCCCTGGAAAGACTATGATGATGTAGATCTCTACAGATGAAGGAGCTGTTAGTTGCAGGCTATCTGCTGATCACACTCCTTGAAGCTGTGCAGAAAGTTCTTTTTTGAAGAAGGATCCAGGTGGTGCATCTCTAATTACCAAAACTAGTGATAACTATTGGTATTTGAATAGAGCTTTACAATGTGTGACAGTTTCATACCTGCTGATACATTTGCTCCTCACAATCCAGATCTGATCATGATATCCTGTAGTAGATTCTGTTGTTGTTCAAAACATTTGCTGTTCTTCCCTATGGAAGAATTGCTTCTTGCTCCCATTGATGGCAACCTGAGTCATGTGACTTGTTTTAGCTAATGAATTGACAGCAAGGTGAGTCATGTGACTTGCTTTGGCCAGTGAATTGACAGCAAGCTGAGTCATGTGACTCGCATTGGCCAATAAGATCTGAGTGAATGTGAAATGTGTACCTTCTGAGCAGAAGCTTCAAGAGTCATTGCAGGTCTCTTTTTCCCTCTCTGCTAAGAGTCCAGGATGTCCCACAGGTGGCTGAAGGGGTGGCTCCTTCAGCATAGATTCCTGAGTAAAGGCCCATGGAGCAGAGCTAGAGGCACTCCATACATTGGACGATGACATATGTGAGATATAGGCTTGTGTTGTTTCAAGCCACCAAGATGTTTGAGGATACTTGTTATGGCAACATAACTTAGCCTAGACTGACTGAAACACCTCTCATCAACTACGAGGCATAAAGCCCAAGCTTCTCAGCAAGACTGTACATGATTCAGCCCCTGCCCATCTCTCCAGCCTCGTCTCCCACCATACTCACCTCCACCTCACCTTTGCTCCGGCCACATCAAACCCATTTCCCTTCCTGAAAAAACAAAAAAATCCTATCCCTTCTTTAAGATTTAACTCAAATATTCTCTACTCTGTGAAAATTTTCCTCACCCCTTCTCCATAGGCAGAAATAACCCCTCCTCTCTCCCCCATTGGCCTGGGAAGAAACCATTTTGCTCATCCCCATCCAGTCCCTTGCACATTGTCAGGCACTCAAGAGAGGCTCAACAAATATTTACTGGAATAAATAATAGCTAGCATATACTGAGATGTTAGTGTGTGCCAGGCATTGTGCTATGTGCTTTACGTACATTATTTTATTTAATTTTAAATTAAATTAAGATAGGTATTATTACTGTTCCCTATTTCACAAGTGAGAAAACTGAGACCCAGACAGGTTAAGTAGCTTAGTTTACACTTGGCAGTAATAGACCCAGGCAGTCTGGTGCTACTACCCACTTCTTAACCACTGTGCTGTTGTGCAGCAATCCGTGTATGACCAGATTCTAACAAAGTTTCTTACACCTAGTGGACACTCAATAAATGGTAGCAGTAGTGTATCGAGATCAAGATGATTGTAGAGTCTGCTCCTAGTGCAGGCATAGAGTACATTGTCAGTAGGAAATTTTTAAACACTAATAGAATCACTAAGATTTTATCTGCTTTATATTATCACCATGCACAAGCAATTTGAAACAATGTCGATGATAAAATATTCTTCCCTGCCAAAGTGAACCATTTCCATTTCACACCCCCTTTGATTTAACACTGAATGGTTGCTAAATGAATGAATGAACGAGTTGATAGAATTGATGATAATGAGAGTGATGAAGATGTAGCAATTGACAGAGAACAAGCCAATTACTTCCATGACTTTCAATTAAAGCAAAGCCTATAGCCTGGTTTGACACGTTGCTTCCCTTGGGTAATGTGGGCGAAATGTGAGGGGAAACCAGCCAACCCAGCTGGAGGGGACTGGCATTCAGGAAAGGAAGAAAATAGTCCGCTTTTCATATACAATGGGGCTTGCATCACTCATCAACCTGAGATGTGGGGACAGAGAAATATCTCACCCTGGTGCCCTGCCTATGCCAATGGCCAGAGCTATAGAAATGTAAGGAGCATTCGGGAAGGAACTGGGAACCTGAATTGATAAAGACACCACTGGGCAATGAGCCAAGTTTAAACAGCCCACTACTTACCAAACTATTACTTTTTTCAAGAAAATGAGAAATGAAAATTATGGACATTCCTTGTGAGCAAATTCTCTTTCTTGAGCCTTTGATTATAATCTTATGGACATTTCATCATGAGAGAGGCTAGGAATTTCAACATTTGCACACTTTCCTCCACATCAATGAAAATCCCTTTATACTTGGTAGAAATCAAGATCCAGAAAAATAAAAACATATCTAAGATTCCACCTAGCTCTGTAGTCCCAGTCTGGGGGACTGCTCACCTTATTTGTCTACGTTTTGGCCTCCTTGGACTAGATTGTGAGTTTCTGGAATGTAGAGGCAATATCTCATTCCTCTTTGCTTTTTTAGCTACAGAAGTAGTCTTTGGTTTGTTGAATGAAAAAATGATGGCTTTGCCTGTCTCTGTCATGATCAGACCTGGGTGACTCTTTCCTAATACACCTTCCCCAAGTGATGGACAAGGTCACACAGAATGTCCCTCCACTGGCCCCACCCCAGTCATGGGGAAGATCTAGAAGTTCTGAGCCATCCCTAATTTTTTGTTTTATAACAGAAAAGTTTCTTACAACTTGTTCACTTTTTCCCAGAATTTTTCTCCAAAGACCTTCAATTCATCTTATCAGTGAGAGGGTCTCACTCAGAAGATAATTGCTTTCAATACCTTTCCTTACTGCCTGTTAATTTTTCCCTTCATCAGGAAAGCATGTGTCAGAAGTAGCCAAACAATCACAAGGAGGAGACAATGGCTTTAGACCCACTGGTTCTTAATGGGGGCAGTTTTGCCTCTAGGATTAAGGGGACATCTGGCAATGTCAGGACATATTTTGGTTGTCACAGATGGGGGAAGTGGATGCCACCAAATCTAGGGAGTAGAAGCCAGGGCTGCTGCAAAAATGTACAAGACACTCCCCACAGCAAAGAATTATCCAGTCCAAAATGTCAGTCATGCCAAAGGTATGAAAATTCTGAGTTAGAGGCATTGAAGTTTAAAAGCAGTAAATACATGAAGTCACAAATCCCATTTTGGGAAAAAAATAATAATATTAGCAGCAATAGCAGTAAACATCTACTAGGTATCAGACACTCTTCTAAGTGCTTTACATTTAACTGTTTTCATTCTCATCCGACAGTCTTCTGGGGATACTATTACTATCCCCATTCTACAAATGAGGCAACTAAGACACACAAAGTCACCCAGCTAGTAACCATCAGAGCTGCTATTCACACCTCGATTGTCTGCCTCCAAATCTGTATTCTTTACCACTCTGGCCTATTGGAAATCAGGGAGGGTTTCTGTTCTGGCTGATACATTCATTTTTAGAAACAGACACATTGTCCTGTGCTTGTCGCTGTGATTAGAACTCAGCAAAGCAAGGAGTTTGCACTTGTATAGGTTTTTGCAGGAAAAAAGCTGTCAGGACTGAAGACTAAACAGTGACTAATGTTTGTAATTAGGGAGAACAAATGGCAAACCCATGAGTCCGGGATCAGCGTCTATTTCCACCACAGTGGTTAATAAGGGAGGATGGTATCATGGAAAGAACATTATCTTAGGAAGCAAGAAACATGGATTCAGGACCAGAACTCTGTCCCAAATAGGTTGTGAGGCTTCAGGCAAGTTCCTTAGACTCTCAGTCATGATTTTCCTTTTTTGGGATTTTCCATTTTCACTCCTTGGGGGTTGTATAGAGCAGGAGTTGAAGAAGTGTGGCTCATAGGCCAAATATGGCTGTCACCTGCTTTTGTAAATAAAACCTTTTTTTTTCCATCAACTTTTAAGCTCTAGGGTACATGTGTAGGATGTGCAGGTTTGCTGCATAGGTAAACATGTGTCATGGTGGTTTGCTGCACAGATCAACCCATCACCTTGGTATTAACCCCAGCATCCATTAGCTATTCTTCCTGATGCTCTCCCCTCCCCACAACCTCTACAACAGGCCCCAGTGTGTGTTGTCCACCCCTGCCATGTGTCCATGTGTTCTTATTGGTCAACTCCTACTTGTAAGTGAGAATATGCAGTGTTTGGTTTTCTGTTCCTGCATTAGTTTGCTGAGGATAATGGCTTCCAGCTCCATCCATGTCCCTGTAAAGGACACGATCTCGTTCCTTTCTATGGCTGCACAGTATTTCATGATGTATATTTTTTACATTTTCTTTATCCAGTCTATCATCAATGGCCATTTGTGTTAATTCCATGTCTTTGTTATTGTGAATAGTGCAGCAATGAACATACACATGCATGTATCTTTATAATAGAATGACATATTCCTTTGGGTATATAATACCCAGTAATGGGATTGCTGGGTCAAATGGTATTTCTGCTTCTAGATCTCTGAGGAATCGCCACACTGTCTTCCACAATGGTTGAACTAATTTACATTCCCACAACAGTGTAAAAGCATTCCTTTTTCTCCACAACCTCATCAGTATCTGTTGTTTCTTGACTTTTTAATAATCCCCATTCTGACTGGTGTGAGTTGGTATCTCACTGTGGTTTCGATTTGCATTTCTCTAATGATCAGTGATGTTCAAAAGAAGACATTCATGCAGCCAACAAACATATGTAAATAAAGTCTTGTTGGAACATGGCCAAACCAGTCTTCTACATATTGCCTGTGGCCACATTTGTGCTACTGTGGCAGGGTTGAGGGGTTGAACAGAGATTGCATGGTACACAAAGTCTAAAATATTCACTATCCAGCTCTGTACAGAAAAAGTCTGCTAAGTTCTAGTGTAGATGTATTTCATTGCAGAAGATTTTTTTAAACCTATGAAAATAAAAAGTCATACCTAAACCTATGAAAATAAAAAGTCATACCTGTGTTATATACTACACTGAAACTCTGTGTTGCTCTGATAAAATCACATATGTGAAGTACTTTGGAAAAGTACCAAGAAATATAAGGATGTGGTATCAATATTAAATGATAGGGATGGTATCATGTAGCAAAAACAAAACATAACAAAACAAACAAACAAACAAAAAAACATAGAATTAGGGATGAAGCACACCTGAGTTTGAATCCAAGTCCCACCAATTATTACTGTTGTGATTTTGGGAGAGCTATGAAATTTCCTGAGTCCCAGTTTTCTTCCCTGAGAATAATATGAACCAAGGAGAGAGAATTATACTTAAATCTTAAGGTTGCTGGAAGGATTAAATAAGACATAATCAATGATTGACTCATTTTTTCATTGGCTATGTCATATTGATGTCCCATTGTGTGCCAGGACCCATGATAGTCACCAGACATACAGATGTGCTCAGAGAGCCCATGGTGCCAATAGACCTTCATTGGGGTCTCATGAAATAGATCTTGAGGAAGAAATTTCAATACATGAAAGTTCTTTGAAAATTGTGAGGGTCATTCAACTTAAGTGGTAGCATTACAATGACTGCTACTAATGGCGAAGAATGTTTCAAAGGTACAAAAAACTAGCTGGGTTCCCAGTTGTGTGTAGCCTCTGTGGAGTGATGAGGGATTCACAAGAGTGGAGGAGCTTCACTCTGGGAAGGGAGAAGGAAAGAAGGCACACAAGTAGAGCAATAGATCTGAGTCTCTGGTTGGACATGGGGTAAGAGATGGTAAATAGGAGAAAGGATGGTGTGAAAAAGGCAGGTCTAGAGGTCAGACTTCCCCTGCTGAACATATGGGACCATCCATTGAAGATGCATCCTTTTCTTGCAGAGACCAGCTCCTCTGAGCCCTCCAAAGAAAGCCATGTGAACACACATCCACAGGGAGCATAAACACAGCCCTACCTGTGTACTGTAGCAGAGGGTGTATGCATCTTTACTAAAATGGTTCCCTCTTCTTCCTAGGAAACCAGCTAGACCAGATGTACCAGGCTTCTCTACAATTAGGTATAGCCATATGACAGTTCTGGCCAATGGAATGTAGATAGAAGTTATGTTTCCCACACGAAGCTTGGTCTACTAAAACCCTCCCATCTAGTCCCCAGTCTTTCACTCTCCCCTTGTCTGCTGGTCAGATGCAGAGGACCTAGAGGAGGACTCCAAGAACTTAGGAGAATAGTGGAGCCAGAGGATGAAAGCTGCCTGAGTCCCTGAATGACTGCTTGGAGCAAAGCTCACTGTACTGTGAATGAGAAATAAACATCAATTATATACATGCATTGAGAATTTGGGGTTGTTTTTCTTCTTCAGAGTTCTAATTAATCCACAAAATTTTCTTATTTTTTCTTTTATATTCACTGTCACTGAAACAGAAGCATCTGCAATGAAAATGAAGACAATAACTCTGTCTTCTTATTCACTCTTCTTTCTAGAACAATGTCTGACATAAAGAAGATGCTCAGATAACATTTGTAGACAAAAATATTGGCAAGTTAAGGGCAATATAAATGGCAATGACATAGAGTCATTGGAAAGACAAGATAAAAGCATATCCACAAAACCACTTCTGTAAACAGCAAAGTTTTGTTCTGATATTAATTCTATTATCCCCACAGAGGTGGATTTGCACATGAACAAGCACAGAAAGTATATACAGATATGGCAGCGCCAAGTTCCTGTGCCATCATGGGTACAACACACGTACACAGACACAGCATAAATGAATTCCTAATGAATTCCAACAGCATGAGGAGAACCAAAAGTGCTCATATCCTAAACAGGATCAGGGACTTTCAGCTCCCATACACATGTGGGACCCAAGTCTGCCTCCCAGTGGGACATAAGCTAGACTCACAAAGTCATAGAATCAAACCTAAGGTTTGGTCCCAACAATCTGGGCATGAATAAAAATGTTAACTAACACTGACCTAATTCTTTCCAGCTGTCTGGCACTGTGGTAAGAGTGTTATATGCCCCATCTCAGTCATGATCATTCTCTTACCAATCCTACATGGTAGGTATTATTATTGTCTTTACTCCACAAGCCAGAAAATTTAGGCTTAGAGAGGTAAAGAAAAGCGCTCAAGGCCACCGAGCCAATGGAGCCTCCTAGCTGCTAGGTTGGAAGCACACAAATTTACCCTCTGTTCCACCACTGTGTTTCTTCATCTATGAAATGGGAGCAACCACACAACACCTGATAGGTTTGTTAGAAGGGCGAAATTAAATTAGACAATGCACATAGAATTCCCTGCAGAACACCTGGCACTAAGAATGGGCCCAAAAATATGTCACCTGTCTTCTCTTCCCTTCCTTTCCTTCACCCAGGAGAGCCTTTTTGTGCTAATCAAGGTTCTGGGCTCAGAAAATCAGCAGGAAGTAGAGACTGTGTCCCCAAGTGACTCTGTCACCAGGGCCAGCCAGTATACACCAAACTCTTAATAGTATTTAAACTCCGTCTGGGCATCTAATTATCTTAATGATGCAGAATTCAAAATAGCACAGTCTGTATGCACCCCAGGAAAGGTCCCGTTCACAGACGTGGGCCTATTGAGCCAGAGAAAAGCATCTAATAAAAGAATTGAACAATCGCAGTGCTTAGAACTGGAAGGGCTAAGAGGTCAGCATCAGAAGCTGGGCTCTCCCAGCAGTCCAGGCCTCTCCCTGTGAGCTTCTCTCCAAAGCGCTACATCTGGACTTCAGCCTCCTGTGCTTGGGAGCTCTGGCTCTTTCACTGTGATTTTATGGCTTAATCCCCACAACAACTGTGTGAAATAGACGTGGTTAAGCCCATTTCACAGACAAGGGGACTGAGGCTTACAGAGAATTGGGTCTTCTGGAATAAAAAATTCCTAAGCTTACCCTGGAGCCCAGTGCATGTTTACAGCTTAAGAGTGCATCTTTTGGAGGACAGCCAGAGAAACTCTGCAGGAGCTGACCTGTCAAGCTGCTCTCCCTCCCCTTCTCTTCTCTCTGTCTCCTTCCCTTCCAAGTTCCGCTTCTCTTTACTTTTCTTCCTTTATTCTCTATCCTTTTCTTGTTTTCTCTCTTTTCTTTCCTCTTTTACTTGTTTCTCTCTCTCCCTCCCTCGATCTCTCTCTCCCTATCCCTCTCTCCCTCCTCCTCTGTCTCCTTCTCTCTCTTCCTCTCTCTCCCTCCCTCTCTTTTCTCTCTCCTTCCCTCCTTCTCCCTCCCTCACTCTCTCACCCCTTCATCTCTCTCCCTCCCTCACTCTCTCTCTCTCCCTCCATCTCTTTCTCTCCCTCCCTCCCTCTCCCACCTCCCTCTCTCTCCCTCACTCATTCTTTCTCCCCCTCCCTCTCTTTCCCTCTCTCCCTCTTTCTTTCTCTCTCCCACCCTCACTCTCTCCCCCTTCCCTCTCTCCCTCCTTCACTCTCTCTCTCTCTCCCTCCCTCTCTCTGTTCCCTCAGTCTCTCTCTCTTTCCTTCCCTCAGCTGTCTCTCTCCCTCTCTCTCTCCTTCCCTCAGTCTCTCTCCTTCCTTCCTTCGGCTCTCTCTGTCTCCTTCCCACAGTCTTTTTCCTTCTCTCCCTCTCTCTCTCTCCTTCTCTCATTCTCTCTCTTTCCTTCCCTCAGCTCTCTCTCCCTCTCTCCTTCCCTCAGTCTCTCTCTCTCTCCTTCTTTCAGTCTCCTCCTCCTTCTCTCTTCTTCCCTCAGCTCTCTCTTTCTTTCCCTCAGTCTCTCTCTCTTTCTTTCCCTCAGCTCTCTCTCTCTCTCTCCTCCCCTCAGTCTCTTTCTTTCCCTCAGCTCTCTCTCCCTCTCTCTCTCTTCTTCCCTCAGTCACTCTCTCTTTCCTTCTCTCAGTCTCTCTCTCCCTCCCACTTTCTTCTTCCCTCAGTCTCTCTCTCTCTCCCTTCCTCAGTCTCTCTCTCCACCTCTCTCTCTCCCCACCCCTCTGCCTCCATCTCTTTCCCTCCCTGTCTCTCTTTCTCTCTCTCTTTCCCCCTTTCTCTCCCTCTCTCCCTCCCTCAGTCTCTTTCTCTCTCCCTCTCTCCCTCCATCTCTCTCCCCCTCCTTCAATCTCCCTTTCTCTCTCATCCTTCCTTCCCTCTCCATCCCTCAATCTCTCTTTCCCTCTCCCTCTCTCTCTCCCTCTTCCTCTTCCTCTCTCTGCACTGATTAACTGCCCATTCTTTGCCTGACCTTATGCAATGCTTTGGTTATGTGCAGATCAATTAAATATTGTATCTGACCCCAGGAACTCATACTCAGCTGGAGTAGAGGAGCAAAGAGGAAAACAGATCATGACAGCAGTGAGGTCAGCGTTATGATAGAGGAATTGGAGGAGGGCCCCAGGGAAGGCTTCCTCTCAGGCAGCCTCTGCATCCCTCTCCAAACTGCTGTGCAAACTGATCTATGCACATGGGGCTGCCGAATCTTTGTGAGCCTCCATATACCACTGAGTTTCCAATAGGCTATAAGAAACTAAGGGATTGCCAGTAGCTAGAATATGTCAATGAGTTGGATTTCACCTCCTTCTCACCTCCTGCCAATTGCAAATATTGATGGCCATTTCTGAGATAGTTATTAATCATTGTTAAGAGAAAAAGAAAACAGGTTGCTTCTGTACTCTGACCCTGGTAACAGTCAATAGCCAGTAATGTTAGATACCAACCAGCTAAGGTCCAACATCAGCCTCAGAGCTGATCAATGCTCAATATTTGTGTGAATCAATCAATGAACAATAAACAAATAAATATTTCTTGAGCACTTGTGATGTTCTTACATCAGACTAGGTTTTGCCGTCAGCAGCATTTAATGTCAAGGTAGTCTTGTGTAGAGGGAATAAAGTATCAAGTTTGGAGACAAACAGATTTTGGTTTCTAATTGTGAGGTTTTGAATGAGAAACACCAACTCTATGAGGCTTAACATTTCATTTTTACAAGAGTGGATAGTGTAACCTACATTGCATGATTGTTGATCAAATTGTAGACTAATATAGTGTCTCATCCACCATAAAGTAAGAATGTGGCAAATTACACTTGTAGTTTCTAAATTCATGACTGTAAGCCATCACAATGGTTCTGTGAGATAAGTGTTACCACCCCTCGTTTGCCAGGAAAGAAGTAGAGACTCAAAGAGGTGAAGCTACCTGCCCAAAGACACACTGCTAATAAAACAGGAAACCAGGATTTGAGACACTCCTTCCACCCAGGACACCTCATCCCATTAGGGAAGTTGCCATCAGAAAAATCAGTGGTGTCTATTCAAATATTTTGCCCATTTGTTATGAGATTATTAGTTTTATTCCTATAGAGTTGTTTGTGCTCCTTATATATTCTGGTTACTAATCCCTTGTCAGAAGGATAGTTTGCAAATATTTTCTCCCATTCTCTGGGTGGTCTCTTCACTTTGTTGATTGTTTCCTTTGTTATGCAGAAGCTTTTTAACTTGATGGGATCCCATTTGACCATTTTTGCTTTGGTTGCCTGTGCTTATTGGGTATTACTCAAGAAATCTTTGCCCACTTCAACGTCCTGGAGATTGTGTCTCATGTTTTTGTAGTCATTTCATAGTCTGAGTTCTTAGATCTAAGTCTTTAATCCATTTTGATTTGATTTTGGTATATGGTGAGAGAGAGGGATTCATTTCATTCTGCTGCATATGGATATCCAGTTTTCCCAGTACTATTTTTTGAAGAGACTGCCTTTTTCCCAGTATATATTCTTGACACTGTTGTCAAAAATGAGTTTACCACAAGTGTGTGGATTTGTTACTGGGTTCTCTATTCTGCTCCATTGGTTTATGTGTCTTTTTTTTATGCCAGTGCCATGCTATTTTGGTTACTATAGCTCAGTAGCATAATTTGAAGTCAGATAATGTGATTCCTCCAGCTTTGTTCTTTTTGCTCAGGATAGCTTTGGCTATTCTGGGTCTTTTGTGGTTCCATATAAGTTTTAGGATTGTCTTCACATGTCAGGTCAGTCCAGATCATGGTGGATGCCCATGGGCTCACAGTTACATTAACCTGTCTGGGGCACACAGAGTCCAAGGTGTGCCCATCCCTGTCTGATCCCAGCATTCCCTAGAAAGTAATCACATAAACTGCTAACAGTGAACGGCCCCCAGATGCTTCATACTCTAACAGGTCCAACCTTTCTTGGGCTTGGGGAACTGACACCATCCCTCCTCCATCTCCCTACCCTGGCTAATATGTTTGGTAAGATGGCAACCTCTCTCCAAAGCCTTTCTTTCCTCTCAGTTTCAGAAAGCTCCAATTTGGTGACTGTTCATTATCCCCCCATTTAGACAATTTTCAACACACAGTGGAACCTTCAAATAGTGTGAGCAATGTTGTCAATCTTCCTGCATGCTGCCTCTGTCAGGCTTTAAGAGGTAAATTGACTGCACAGTGGGAGAGGAATTAGGAACACAGTTTCTATTAATAGTAAAGGGCCCCTGAAGTTCAGTCATGGGAAGGGGGCATTAGAGTCACCTGTATACCAAGGGCTAGGCTAAGTGTCTTCCGGTTAGGACTTTCCTCACAGGGGGAGTATTCCCAGCTGCAGGATACGATGCGGTGCATGGAAAAGGGAACAGTCATACATTGAGTGCCAGTTGTGTGCAAAGCACTTTAATAATGTTATCTCATTTCATCATCAGAACAACACCAAGAGTTAGAAGCAGTATTCACATTTTGTGGTTGAAAATAGAGAGGTAAATTCCCCAGTTCCCACAGCTCATACATGATGGAGCCAGGATTTGAAATGTGGCCTTGTCTAGCTCCCATAGTCCCACTGTTAGCTACCACTTTGCCACAAGAAGGGCTTGCTTCCTGGATTCTTCTTTAAGCCTCTCTCTTGTCCAGACTGGGCTGCTTCCCATAGAGGTAGTTCAAGAATTATAAGTTCACTATCTCAAATGAAGCCTTTACCTATCCTCATGGGATTCTCAGAAACTGCCAGCTGTGTTCACCATCTATCTCAGACCTTTGTTTTCACAAAGATAGAATCCACCATCACCTTATCTGTGCCATTCAGTATAGCACTTCTTCCTGTGTTACTTAGAACAGCCACTTCTCTTCTTCATGAGTAGGTATCAAGGATATAGCAACTAGACCACTAATCTCTATTTCATATCCTTAACAGGCACCATTAATCAATTTCCCATCGAGCAGCCACTCCCAATGGATTAGACTAGGCACTCAAGATTTAATCTTCTTGCCACCCATGGCCCAAGCCAATCCCAGCTCCTAAATGAATGAATGAATTTATCCTTGTTGAATAACAAAGTCTCTTCCTGCCTGCCCCGCTTCCCAAGATAGCAGAAAATCAAATTGGCCATATTCTAATGTATCCATTTACTAACTTGTCTTTTTAATTTTTCTGTCTCCCATACATCCTCAGGAAGATTTGGACCCAAATAGATATCCTAGTTCTCAAATCCTAGTTCTATCCTGTTTATTTGCATTACATGACCTTAGGCAAGTTGGTTTCTCATCTATAAAACAGAAATGATAATAATATCTTTTTTGAGATGGAGTCTTGCTCTGTCGCCCAGGCTGGGGTTCAGTGGCACAATCTCGGCTCACTGCAACCTCCGCTTCCCGGGTTCAAGCAATTCTCCTGCCTCAGCCTCCCAGGTAGCTGGAACTACAGGCACCTGCCACCACACCTGGCTAATTTTTGTATTTTTAGTTGGGATGAGGTTTTGCCATGTTGGCCAGGCTTGTCTCAAACTCCTGACCTCAGGCGATCCTCCTGCCTCGGCCTCCCAAAGTGCTAGGATTACCAGTGTGAATCACCATGCCCAGCCCTTTTTAATATTTTTAAATCTTAAAACCTAATAATATGGTTTGAGTATGAAAAAAGAAAACATACTTAATGCATCAAACACAGTGCCTGGCACAACAGACAGTCTGCTAATGTCAATGTCCTTCTCCCCCTTTTTTCTGCAACAGCCAATAATTATGCTTGCCTGTTTGCTCCTTATAGAAAACTGGGGTTGAATAACTCTATACAACCCTTCAAATCCAGGTGACACTCTACCTATTTCTTTTGCAACCTGTTCTCGAGAAAATATGCAAACATCTTAGGAGCTTCTCTTTCCCCCTTGACCATCACAGCCTGGCTGCCTTCCTGTAGCACAGAGATTTTTTTCTATTGCATTCTCTCCAGCATTTAGGAAGGATGAGATTGTTTCGTCCCTCTGAAGATAACTGCTTGCCAGAGGCAGGAACAATTGTTGGTGGCTTGGCAAGAAGTGGCCGTGTCCTAAAGGGATATCAGAAGAGGACTTCTGGGGAACCTTGGCTGAGCAGCAGCAAAAGAATTCGGCAGTGACTGACAACTGCCTAAACCTGAATGGTTCACAAAGGCTGGATTTCTTACTCTCAAAGCCAGAGTCAGTCCCAGTGTATTTACTTCTTCAACAAAAGCATTGAGCCCCTACTATGGGCAAGGCATGTGCTAGATCCCCCGACCAGTACTCAATGGACTCCTGCAATGGGCTGTCAGCTAAAAATATGACATCTGACATGGATTGAGAGTTTCCAATGTGCTGGGCACTGTGGTAAGTAGTTTATGTGAACAGTATCACTCAATCCTCACGGGATTGCTTTTATTATCATTTTATCGAAGAGGAAACTCAGGCTGAGAGGGAAGAATGCTAATTATGTCTGTTATGTAGGCCTGTTCTGTGTGTGTGTGTGTGTGTGTGTGTGTGTGTGTGTGTGTGTGTGTGTGTGTATGTGTGTATAGGTGTTTAATGTTGTGACCTATTATAAAAGCAATAGTGTTCATTGTAAAAAGAATTTGAACAAAAACTGACAAAATGAAGCTTTGAAATTGCCCATTCCCCTTCCCTGCCCCCATCCCCACGGAGTTAGCATTGATGCAGTTTGGTGTGGATGCTTGCAGAGCAGATATTGCTTATTCAAAAAAGGTATATTAAGAATAATTATTTGTATATTAGACTGCTTATTAGAGTTTTGAATTAATATTTTAATGTTTATATTTTCAGTTAAAAAAGTAATATAAGATTATTACAGGAAATGCACAGAATGCAGAGACAAATAATCTTTATTTTCGAGATGGGTTCTTGCTCTGCCACTCAAGCTGAAGCACAGTGGCACGATCATACCTCACTCTAGTCTCAAACACTTGTGTTCAAGCAATCCTTCTGCCTCAATCTCCCAAGTAGCTGGGACCACAGGTACACATCACCACCACACCTGGCTAATTTTAAAATTTTTTGTAGAGAGGGGAGATCACTATGTTACCCAGGTTGGTCTCGAACTCCTGGGCTCAAGTGATCCTCCCACGTCAGCCTCCCAAAGTGCTGTGATTACGGGCGTGAGCCACCATGCCCAGCCCAGATTATTTTATTTATTTATTTATTTTAATTTATTAATTTTTTTGAGACAGGGGGTCTCCCCCTGTGGCCCAAGCTGGGGCTCAATGAATGCAATCATAGCTCACTGCAGCCTCACCTTCCTGGGCTCAGGCAATACTCGCACCTCAGCCTCCAGGTTATTTTAATCGCCTATGACACTACTGCCCAGCCCTGCAGTGGGCCAGGGAACTGTAGTATAGTGATGGGAAGACTCCTAGAGGCTGGAAACAAGCTGATATGAACAGAATCACAGCTCTCTCCCTTGGCAGCTGAGTAGCTTAAAAAAAGTTCTTAATCCCCCTGACCACCTGTAAAATGGGCTGTGAAAGTCTCCTGAAGAACCCTATGTGCTTAGCAATCTGACTGTCATACAGGCATTTAAAAGGCACAGAAAAGCTGTCAATCCTCTTCCCTCGCTAACAGTATTGTTATTTAATCAGCCCTGCCCCTCTACGCATTCTTCCTCTAAGAAGACAGCCTTCCCACAGCTCGGGGCATCCTGGGTGTTTCTCTCCCTTCTTTGCCAACCTTCCAGGGCTATTTCTCTCTCTCAGCATTTTCCTGTCTCATAAATATTTGCAAAAAGTCAGGCTGCTCTGTCTCATTGTGTTTTCACGCCTTGTTTTGCCACCTTCTTAGCAGAGTTGGTTTGACATAAATATTTATGTGAAAAAATATGTTCTCTCAGTCCCCAGCGTTCTCCGCCCTACATACGACCATGGGAAACCTTTGGGGCACTATGAATATGGTGCTTCCATGCAGCCTGGTGGTGCACAGGGGTCACCAGCTTCATCCTTTTCGTGGGGAAGGAACAGATGTTTGCTGTGCAATCCCCTGTTAAAAAGTCCCCTGGTAACAGGTCCTTGCAGATAAGCCAAAGGGCTCCAGTGCTCCAAAATGGAATCTATCAGCTTTCACTGCACTACTATCAACAGCCCCATGGGGTTCCTGGGCGAGTAACTCTGCGTTCAAACTAGCTTGGCCAAAGATAAGAAATATTTATATATCTAATTGCATATCTGCACCCTTCCTTCTTTTAATCCACTTCCAGTGCTACTTGCAGACACCTATCTGTCCCCTTCCTCTCGTGACCAGCTGTAATTTTGCCATCTCTAAGGTTATGCCAGCTCTGATCACCCCATGCCCACCTGCCCTTAAGACCACACTGTCCTCCTCCCTTTATGTCTCCCTGTCATGTTCCCATTCTTTCTGGAGTCCCTGCCCCATCTTTCCGAGATCATCCACCACTCCTCTTCTAAAAAACTGTACATCTTTGCTGTTATTGAAGGTGGACTTAGATGACAGCTTAAATCTCATGCAATCCACAACAACAAAAAACTATTAACTCCCTTTCAATATTAAGTACTTGCCTGAAATAACTAGTTAGCCAAGAACTTGGTAACATGTTTACCTTGAGCTAAACGTAAGATCCATCGAACAGTCCTCTAGGGCTCTGATTAGGGGAAGAAATCAGATACAGCCCAGTTCACCCCCAGACCTCTGAAGAAAACAGCAAATAAACTGCTGCCACATCTTTTGGGAGGTACTATAAAGAGTGACAGCTTAATTATAATTAACTTATTTGTTATTCGTGATTATTAATGATTAGCGATTGTTAATGATTATAATGATTGTTAGTAGTTATTGGATGGTTTATTAATATATCATTGCCTATAATATAAATGATCATTATTATTACTAATTAATAAACATGTACTTTAGATCAACAAGTGGAAATGTGACATAAACAATCTACTGAAAGAAAAAGACCCTGAGACTGGCTCAAAAATCAAAATCTAGTCCTTATTCCTATGTCATACTGAAATTGTATGATGAGTTATTAAAAGGAACAGTGTATTCAAAGTCAGAAAACCCAGGTTCTAAAATCAATGATAACATTTCAGCCTGTGTGACCTTGAGCAAAGCACCTCCCTTCTTCCAGCATCTGGTTTCACAGCTGCAGATCTCGCTCCCTCTTGAGAGGGAGAAGCTTAAATGAGATAAGAAATGGGCAAAAGTGGGCCAGGCGCGGTGGCTCACGCCTGTAATCCCGCACTTTGGGAGGCCGAAGTGGGCGGATCACCTGAGGTCAGAAGTTCAAGATCAGCCTAGCCAACAAGGTGAAACTCCATCTCTACTAAAAATACAAAAACATGGCCAGGCACGGTGGCTCATGCCTATAATCCCAGCACTTTGGGAGGCCGAGGTGAGTGGATCACCTGAGGTCAGGAGTTCAAGACCAGCCTGGCCAACAAGGAGAAACCCCGTCTCTACTAAAAATACAAAAAAATTAGCTGGGCATGGTGGAGGGCGCCTGTAATCCCAGCTACTCTGGAGGCTGAGGAAGGAAAATGGCTTGAACCCGTGAGGTGGAGGTTGCAGTAAGCTGAGATCACGCCATTGCATTCCAGCCTGGGCAAAAAGAGTGAAACTCTGTCTCAAAAAAAAAAAAAAAAGAAAAAAGAAAAGAAAGAAAGAAATGGGCAAAAGTGCCGTAGACTTTAGTGTACTAAGGCCTTGCTCCTCAAGGTGTGGTCACCATCGGCATCCCCTGGGAGCTTGTAAGAAATGCAGGATCTCTGGGCCTGCCCCAGACTCACTTACTCAAAATCTGTTTTTCTTCATTTTAGCACAATCCTCCAGGTGATCCACATGCACCTCACCTTTTGGGAAGCACTGTTCTAGGTGGCTATCTGACCTTCCCAGGAATTAAGAAGACAAGAATGACTGCCTGTTCTTGCTGTCTCATGCCTCTGTGCATGTTGATTTCTCTAATAAAATGTCCTGTTCTCTTCTTGCCTGGCTAATTCCTCCTTGCTCTTTAGGGCTCAGCTGAGAAAAGCTCCAGGAAGTATTCCCAGGAACACCCACACACATACCTCCCTGTCAGGTTGCCTGACCTTCCTGTGTGCCCCTCTATCACAACCTTGACCAGCTAGACTGTATTACTGGTGAATGTGTCATCTCCCAGCTCTAGATTGTGAGCTTTTTTTTTTTTTTTTTTTTAGACGAAGTCTCGCTCTGTCGCCCAGGCTGGAGTACAATTGCGTGATCTCCACTCACTGCAACCTCCGCCTCCCAGGTTCAAGCCATTCTCCTGCCTCAGCCTCCTGAGTAACTAGGATTAAAGGTACGCACCACCATGCCCAGCTAGTTTTTGTATTTTTAGTAGAGATGGGGTTTCACCATGTTGGCCAGGCTGGTCTCGAACTTCTGATCTCAGGCGATCCGCCCACCTCAGCCTCCCAAAGTGCTGGGATTACAGGTGTGAGCCATCACACCAGGCTGACTGTGAGCTTTTTAAGGGCATTTCAGTAAGCACCTATAATATGCAAAAGGCTCCCGCAGAGCCAGAATACAGAAACTGATTGTCAGTTTCCTGATGATGCTGTAACATATTACCACAAACTGAGTGGCTTAAAACAGCAGAACTTTTTTCCTCTCAGTTCTGGAGGCCAGAAGTATGAAATTGGGCTGTTGGCAGGGCCATGCCCCTTCCCAAGGCTCTAGGGAAGAACCCATCCCTTGTCTCCTCCAGCTTCTGGTGGCTCCAGGATCTCTGCCGTGTGGTCACATTTCGTCCAGTTTTCTTCTCTGCATGTCTCTCTTCTGCGTGTCTGTTCTAGAACAATTGCTAGCAGATTTAGGGCCTAGGCAGATAATCTGGAATGAACTTGAACTCCTTACCTGCAGATGCTTAACTTGGTTACATCTGCAAGACCCTTTTTACCAAATAAAGTCACAGGCACAAGTTCCAGGATTAGGGAATTTCTGGAAGGTCACCATTCGGCCCACTCTGCCATCTCACAGCAGGTATCCAAACACACGTCTGCTGTATTTATGTGTATTTATGTGTTTTCACTTTACAGATGCAGAAACTAAAGCTGAGAGTGTTGAAAAACTAATAAAATAGGCGAGGCACAGTGGCTCATGCCCATAATCCCAGCAGTTTGGGAAGCCGAGATGGGAGGATCACCAAGGTCAGGAATTTGAGACCATCCTGGCCAACATGGTGAAACCCTGTCTCCACTAAAAATATAAAAATTAGCCGGGCGTGGTGGTGGCGCAGGCCTGTAATCCCAGCTACTCGGGAGGCTGAGGTAGGAGAATTGCTTGAACCTGGGAGGTGGAGGTTGCAGTGAGCCGAGATCACTCGCCACTGCACTCCAGCCTGGGCAACAGAGTGAGACTCTGTCTCAAAAAATAAAATAAAATAACCTTTCCAGTATCACACAACTAAAATACCACTGGGACGTATTGCTGGCCCCTAGGTGTTTGTCCCTAACATATGTAAAGGCCCTAACCTATATTAA
The DNA here is from genome assembly GCF_000001405.40 of Homo sapiens. Taxonomy (NCBI): domain Eukaryota; kingdom Metazoa; phylum Chordata; class Mammalia; order Primates; family Hominidae; genus Homo; species Homo sapiens. The sequence continues at coordinate 13,116,873 of NC_000016.10, read as the reverse complement.
TAAGTGTAATGCATTTATCACATGGTCACTAATAATGCTGTCCTACCAGTCCTAGTAGTCTTCGAGGTTGTGTTAGGCACTATTCACGTATGAAACCTCCTTTGTTCAGTAATCCTCAAGGGTAGACAATATCTTCACCATTTTTCAGAGAGAGAAACTGACACTCAGTCTAGATTAGCAATTGGAACCCAGGACTACCTGGATCCATTCACACACTTAGGAAATACTTGCTGAGCACCCACCATGCTCCAGAAATGATGGGATTCAAATGCACAGTTTTCTAGACTGGTTTCTAGGCACAGGCTCACAGAACATAGCAACTAGCTCCAAAGCCAGTGTCCTGCTCACTGTCCCATGCTGCCCAGCTCTTAACAGACATCCCTGCTGCACCTTCTCAAATCACTTTCACATCTGAAATTTCAGCTCCTTCCAGAGAGACCTTCAGCAATGTCACTCTGCCATACTATAAACCATGGTGCTCTGACAAGCTGTCTCAGAGCCAAAGACCATTAAAGACCATGTATTTATTTCCGAGGAACACTTTGGAAAGTGTCCATGAATGAGAACCTGGGGCACTGACATCTTCATGCTGTATCATATATGTCCCACTCCTAATGCCCCCATGCCAGGTAGAATCCACCGTTAATTCTCTGCCAACTTAACAAGGGTAGGTATGATGTATCCCAGGCATCAGCTTATGTGCACATTTGAGTGACAGATGGAGATGAAACAAAGTTACAGAGATCAGTAAGTAAGGAGCTATCCAAGCTTTGAGAAACTCACAGTCCACTGAAGGATTCAATCCATGGATAACACTACAGATATAATCGCAATCATAAGGCAGAATGAAGAATTAAAATCTGTCTTAGAGATCCCAGAGTCGTTCATGCAGGAAATGGTATTTGAATTTGGCCTAAAAGGATGCTTAGATTTCCACAAGCAGAGATGAAGGAGGATTATAGGTCATCAGAAGGGAAGGTATTTCTGAGGAAGAAACTCCAAGGGTTTTGTTCATAAGATAGTCAGTGTTGGAAGGAATTGTTAGTGCAGGGTTTGCAAAATGAAATGCCTGCAGGTAAGCTACTAGTCAGCTGGTATGAACCAGTATAATGGGCTTACCAGTTATTCTTGGCCAGGTTTAGTCTGACTAGGCCATCATATGTTTTTATTATTTGGTGCCTGGGGCATACGGTGTTGGGAGCAAGCCTCCCAAAATCTGGCCATAAACTGGCTCCAAAACTGGCCATAAATAAAATCTCTGCAGCACTGTAACATGTCCATAATTGCCCTAACGCCCAAGCTGGAAGGTTGTGGGTTTAAGGGAATGAGGGCAAGGAACACCTGGCCCGCCCAGGGCAGAAAACCGCTTAAAGGCATTCTTAAGCCACAAACAAAAGCATTAGTGATCTCTGTCTTAAGGGTGTGTTCCTGCTGCAATTAATTCGGCCCATCCCTTCGTTTCCCTTAAGGGATACTTTTAGTTAATTTAACATCTATAGAAACAATGATAATGACTGGTTTGCTGTTAATAAATAGTGGGTAAATCTCTGTTCGGGGCTCTCAGCTCTGAAGGCTGTGAGACCCCTGATTTCCCACTTCACACCTCTATATTTCTGTGTGTGTGTCTTTAATTCCTCTAGTGCTGATAGGTTAGGGTCTCCCTGACCAAGCTGGTCTCAGCAATATGGGTTGTTAAATATTTTGAATATCATCCCTGCTAAGGAATCAGGCAAGAAAACTGAGTGGCTAAGTATATGAAATAGGACATATATAAAATAGGCAGCCAGCAAAATGAAAAACAGGTAGATACATAAATATGATAATGGTGATGAAGAGATAGATAGATGGATGGATAAATAGATAATCATGATAGATAGATGATCGATAGATAGATAGATACATATATAGATACAAAGATACAGGGAGAGAGAGAAGGATGGATGGATGGATGGATGGATGGATGGATGGATGGAGTTAGATGTAATACTTAGCTAGTTATAAACATATATAAAGCCCCAAAGCATAATGTTAAGTGAAAACAAGCAAGATGCAGAATGAAATTTAAAATATAATAAAATTCACAAAAATTAAAACACATACAGATTATGGACACATAAATCTATATGTAAAAGTTAAGAGACTAGGAATTAAGCATAAGAAAAAAACACATAAAATTCATTACTATAATTGCCTGGTCGGGAGAGGGTGGGGTGTTGAAGGCAATAGAGAAGAGGAAATTTAAACATTATCTGTAATGTATTCATTCTTATGTTAAAGCAATAATATTTGAAGACATGTTGTTAGCAATAACCAAATGTTAACAATTATTGATTTGAGGTAGTGGGGACCTGGGTGATTGTTACCTAGTTCTTCGTATTTTTCGTCTTTTTTTTTTTTTTTTTTTTTTTGAGATGGAATCTCACTCTGCCACCCAGGCTGGAGTGCAGTGGTGCAATCTCGTCTCACTGCAAGCTCCGCCTACTGGGTTCAAGCAATTCTGCTGCCTCAGCCTCCCGAGCAGCTGGGACTACAGGCGCCCGCCACCACACCCAGCTAATTTTTTGTATTTTTAGTGGAGATGGGGTTTCACCATGTTAGCCAGGATGGTCTCGATCTCCTGACCTTGTGATCTGCCCGCCTCAGCCTCCCAAAGTGCTGGGATTACAGGTGTGAGCCACCACGCCCAGCCTTTTTCGTATTATTTTTAATTTCCTCAAAATAAAAATTATAATTTAAGAAAAAGAAAACTGGCAGTGGGGGAGCCTTCAATATTGTGAGTTTGCTAATTGTTAAGCCTCTGTGCTCTTAGATCAACAGTCATTTATTTCTAGGAATATTTTAACCATCACAGGTAACAAAATTCTCCGGAATTTTTCCAGGCACAATTCCAGGTTTACAGCATGTCCATGGTAAGCGCTTTGCTGAATGAATGAACAAATGAATAATGGAGTGACAGAAGAAGGCAGTGACCCCTGCCAGCCAGCTCAGGGCAGAAGCCTCCATTGACTGGGAATCAGGTGATAATTCCTCTTGACGATTACCAAAAACCCTTTTTGTCCCTGAGATACAGGCCTGGACCTTTTTCTAGTTTCTATTGTGTTCATCCCTTTCTCCTCCATGGGTGCCAAGAACACAGCCAGAAAAGGCAAACAAATGAGGCCAGTAATTTTCAGGACACTCTCAATTCCTTGGCTGGGTCCCTGCAGCAACTGAATATTAAGCACATTAACTCTGACCTCCCTGCCCAAATTCCTTTGTATTGGACGCAATAATGAGCCTCTCAGGCAAGACAATTTTCCCAGAACTTCAATGTCTATTTCTGTCCGATTAGTGCCAAGTCCTGAAGAAGGCTGCCAATTAATTCAGAGATGCTATACCAAAGCTGGTCCTCTCCTATTCTTGATCACGGGATATACAGATCAAGCAACAATCTCCAGGCTTGGTAGGATGGACACTCCCTGGAATACGTGATCTCTCTAACACTAACCCTGACTGGCTGAGACAGCCCTCTTACCAAAGAGACAGCAGATACTCTGTGACTGGCCCCTTGAGGGAGCCATTACCACCATCATCACTGCAACAAATGAAAACACTTTAGTTTAGGTCAGTCTAGGCCTGAAAACCAGGAAGATGTTCTCAATTTTTTTTTTTTTTTTTTTTTTTTGAGATGGAGTCTCATTCTGTTGTCCAGGCTGGAGTACAGCAGGATGATCTTGGCTCACTGCAACCTCTGCCTTCTGGGTTGAAGCGATTCTCGTGCCTCAGCCCTGCGAGTAGCTGGGATTACAGGCATGTACCACCACGCCTGGCTAATTTTTGTATTTTTAATAGAGATGGGGTTTTACCATGTTGGACAGGCTGGTTTCAAACCTCTGACGTCAAGTGATCTGCCTGCCTTGGCCTCCCAAAGTGCTGGGATTACAGGCGTGAGTCACTGCGCCTGGCCTCAAATTTTTTACTCTATTGCCTGCAAGCTGAGATGGAATTAGGGTAAAAAGAGACCCTAATTCTAAGTGACACCGGATTTAGTTTCAGGAAGAATGTCAACCCCACACATTCTTTGGCCATCACAAAGGCGAGTGGGAGCCATGAACCAGAGGGGCCTTTTAATGGCCTCTGAAAGGCAATGCCAAGCACCTCCTCCCAACAGAAACATCACTGAGAAGCATCCAAATAAGAGATGAAGCCACTCACAAACCAGAAGAACCCCTTGACTGGTCTTTAATTTGTTTTGTTAAAAAAAAAAATCACGAACTCATGCTTCTCAATGAGAGGTATTGTATAAAATTGCCTGAGTTTGTTTGCTCAGAATTGACCCCAGGGATTCCAGTTGATTCAGTAGCTGTGGCGTGGGGTCCCAGAATGCATATTTGGAAAATGTTCCTTGAGAGATTCCAAGGCATAAAACCTTGGTAAAGCTCCATAAAACCAATATACTCCAACAGTGTGGCTGGCAAATGAAAATCAAAACCTTTTTTTTCCTTCCTCCCTGCCTCCCTCTTTCCCTTCTTCTTCACTTCCCATCTTTCTTCCTTTTTTCTTGCTTTCTTCCCTCTTTCTCTTATTTTTTCCCTTCTCTCCTCCCTGCTTCAATTCAACAAATATGCATTGAATTTCTCTTATTAACTAAAACACCAAATTGCTCTCTAAACATATCAAGAACTAAAGCTTTATTTGGCATCTGACACAAGTCCTCAGGCCTTTTTCTGACGAATCATGAAACAACCTAGTCCATCTCCTTTAAAAACAAACAAAAAAAAATCCTTACCCTTTTGCTGAGTGGTATGACCACCTGGGCATAAGATAGAAAGGCCTTTGGAGTCATTTTTAGAAGACAAATGGGAAAGAGCAAAGGCCCGAAAGTCAGACAGACCTGGTTTTGAGTCTACTACCTAGCTGTGTGTCTTTAGGCAAGTTTCCTAACCTCTCTGAGCCTCAGTTTTCTCATCTGCAAATACAAGATGAAATGGGTTTCCACGAATGTCTGCCTCAACAGATGATAACTGAAGACCAGATGGCCTCTCACCTATCCAGGAACAATCATAGTCTCCTACCCTCCTTTAAACACAATTCTGCCACACATTTACAGAATCCAAATCTTTGGGGAGAGGCAATTCAATACTGCATTGAATACTTAATATTCAATACTGAATTGCTTGAGGTTACCTGGAATAGGGTAAGATTTGAATTTCATCCACCTGGTTAAATAGAAGCTCCAAAAAGAAAATTATCTTAATAATAAAAAATAAATTTCAAACTAATAGTAATGATAGTTAATGTTTACTCTGGCCTTTCTATGTGCCCACCAATATGCTAAGTGTCTTACACAGATAATCTCAGTTAATCCTCAAAACAGGGAGGTGTTTTCAGTCTGACTTTACAGATGAGAAAACCAAGGCACAGAGGACTTAAATAAATTATTCAATGATCTTCTGCAATCAGGATTTGAACTCAGGGAGTCTGCCATCTGAGATCACCTTAAGAAATAAGGGAAGCTGTTTTTTTGTTTTTGGGTTTTTTTTTTTTTTTGTAATTTGTTTAAGTTCTTTGTAGATTCTGGATACTAGCCCTTTGTCAGATGGATAGATTGCAAAAATTTTCTCCCATTCTGTAAGTTGCCTGTTCACTCTGATGATAGTTTCTTTTGCTGTGCAGAAGCTCTTTAATTTAATTAGATCCCATTTGTCAATTTTGGCTTTTGTTGCCATTGCTTTTGGTGTTTTAGTCATGAAGTCTTTACCCATGCCTATGTCCTGAATGGTATTGCCTAGGTTTTCTCTTAGGGTTTTTATGGCTTTCGGTCTTAAATTTAAGTCTTTAATCCATCTTGAGTTAATTTTTGTATAAGGTGTAAGGAAGGGGTCCAGTTTCAGTTTTCTGCATATGGCTAGCCAGTTTCACATCTCTTGTATGTCTGAGTTTACTTCTTAAGGGCTACAGTTAAATCTTAGAAGCCACGTACTAAATATTTTTTAATACCTTCAGGCCCATGAGGGGAGGATCAGTTACCACTAAGGAGCCCAAGTAACATTGGCATCTGTTCAATTTAAATGAATATCTTGTCTCTTGGACATACAAAGACTCAATTCAGTACCAGCTGTCTGAGACCAAATTCCCCAGCTTTCTCCAGGATAAATGAGGCCATGTGTCACTCTACAATCACAGACTCTCCCTTCATCACAGCTCTTTGGCTGGCTGATTGGCTCACTGACCTGTCACACCATCAGATGACTGTTTCCGAGTCTCCAGCAACCTTTGAGTCTTGCTCAAGTTCCAGCTCTCCTCTCCCTGTACTTTTTTTGGATGTTGAAATAGATGCAAGCAGTCATTGAGGCTGAAAAGGGACCATTTCTCAAACATGACTCATTTGTCCCAGAGAAACAGGGAGCACACATCACATTCTTTTCATACCAGCTCCCAAAGTTCACCTTTCCAGCATGACATTCCTCTTTTCGTCTCTTGCATGAAAAGCCCTTTTCAGCACGGAAACATCGCAGCTGCTTTTACAGCCACTGCATCTGTCCCATCTGGAGAAAAAGCCACGTTCAGACAGCCACAGACGTCTTTGTGTTCCCCCTTCCTTGGGGTTGGCTGTGGCAGGAATGGGAGGCTTGGCAGAATGACTAGTAGGCGGAAATGCTCCAGCAAATGGCTGGGCATGGAAGGACCTGAACATTCCATTGCAAATATCTCAGTTGCAGCCATGTGTGGAGGGCATTCCAGGTTATGAGAGATGCTCAACACAACCCTCTATATGTGGTGGGGAGAGCACTTTGACACAGCTTAAAAACCAAGCTATTCCTTTCTTGAAAAGTTGAATATAATCTTAATATATATTACCCAGCAATTCCACTCCTAGGTATCTACTCAAAAGAAATGAAAACATGTGTCCACAAAAGGCTCACAAGTGAGTATTCATAGCAGCATTACTCATAATATCTCAGCATTAAAAAGAGCTCCAATGTTCGCCAATGTGTGAATGGAGTGGTCTATCCATATGATGGAATATTATGCAGCAATAAAAAATGAAGAATTTATACCTGCTAAGACAGGGATGAACCTCAAAAACATGCTAAGTAAAGGAAGCCAGACATAGAAGATCACATACTGTATAATTCCATTCACATGTAATGTCCAGAAAAGACACATCTCTAGAGCTAGAAAATCAATTAGTGGTTACCTGAGGTTAGGGATGAGAACAGGCACAAGGATCTTATTGGGGTGACAAAAAATGTCCTCACACTGGATGCTCATGATAGTTGCACAAGTCAGTAAATTTTCTAAAAATCATTGAATTGTATACTTAAAATGGGTGAATTTGATGTTATGTCAATTATACCATCATAAAGTTGGGGGTTTTTAAGTCATTAAACATTCAGCTTTTATGAACAACTGAGTGATGTGTGTATTAAGTGCCTTGCAAGATTTTCACCCACCAGCCCATCCCTGAGCATGAGGAGAGATGCAAGCAGGTGGTGAGTAAGGAGAAATGAGTGAATGAGTAATAAGCCAAGTTGGGCCTACCCTTGAAGACCACAAGTGGATCTTAGCTGGGCATGGTGATGCCTGCCCGCAGTTCCAGCTACTTAGGAAGCCAAGGTGGGAGGATTGCTTGAGCCCAGGAGTTCAAGGTCACCCTGGGTAACACAGCAAACCCATCCCTACAAAAAAATAGAACAATTAGCCAAGCATGATGGCACATATCTGTAGTCTCGGCTACTCAGGAGGATGAGGTAGGAGGATCACTTGAGCCCCAGAGGTCAAGACTGATGCCTGCAACACTCAGTAATTCACACACACACAAAAAGATAATAATTTTGATTTTCAGAATCCCAAAATGCTCTGGAGTCTAGAGAGAGCCAGGTCAAAGCAGCCACCCTGAATCATCATATACCTGTCACACCCCTGGAGAAAACAATCCATTTGTCCCTTTTCACATGATGCTGCTCAGCACGCTCTGGAAGGTTTTAGCTCAGGACACTACACTTTAGGAGAAACATTGAGAAATTGACCATACCTAGGGATACTGTACTCAACTTGGGGCTCACAACACTCTCTTGTGTTACCATTGGTTGTGATGTGGGCTTTTAAAAATTCTTAAATAAATAAATGAAAAAGATCAAATCAAATTCAATATTTCCCCCAATGGTAAAAAGCAATCTTGCTCCATCCTAATCTGCTTCTAATTCATACGCTGATTTTTTTCCCTCTAGTATTACATGATAAATATTTTCCCAGAAATTAGTAAGCATGCAGTCTCATGTGTCTTGAGGTAACGGTTGGTTTTCTAATCAAAGATGCTCTCTTTGGGCCAGGCACAGTGGTTTAGGCTTGTAATCCCAGTGCTTTGGGAGTCCAAAGTGGGAGGATCACCTGACCCAGGAGTTTAAGATCAGCCTGAGAAACTTAGCAAGACCCCAAGACTCCAAAAACTTCAAAAAATTAGCCGGGCATGATGGTGCCTGCCTGCAGTCCCAGCGACTCAGGAAGCCAAGGCAGGAGGATTGCTTGAGCTTAGGAATTTGAGACCAGGCTGAGTAACATAACAAGATCCTATCTCTACAAAAAAACAAAACAATTAGCCAAGTGTGGTGGCACACACCTGCAGTCTCAGCTACTCGAAAAGGTGAGGTAGGAGGATCACTTGAGTCCTGGAGGTCAAGACTTCAGTGAGGCGTGGTCAGGACACTGCACTCCAGCTTGGGTGACAAAGCAAGACTGTCTCAAAAAAGCAGGGTGGGGCCGGAGGGGGGCTCTCTTTGGATATCCTACTTAACAACACCTTACCCTCCACTCCCTGTCCTCCTACCAAAATTTCTTATTTCTCAGCTCTGATCACCACCTAACATATTACATACTCATTGTCTTATGAGAATGTGCCCTCTACAATGTCCATAACACTCCCTTTAAAAATAAATCAAACTGACTGAGCATTATAGGACTTACTATGTGTAAGGCTTTTGCTACACCAGACTAGACCCCAATTCATATCCTCCTTTCCCATTCAAATTTATACTGACTCAAAATTAAGGACTAAGTCTGTGCCTTATACCCACTGCCACTGCCCTCATTCATCCCCATTGTTTCCAAATGGCCTACTGGCCTTCAGTTTCACCATCCACTATTCATCTTCCAATCTATTCTCATGACAGTTAAGGCTCTTGATCACCTGGCCCCAACCTACCTGATCAATCTCACCTGCCACCCCTACTGCAGCTGTCTTAGTAATGAAATTACTAAGCCTCAATGTCCTGCTTCCCCCTGAAGAGCCTTCTTCCCTGTAAATTCTGGACCTATCTTCACCTTGACTGCCTACCTAATTATTTGATCTTTGCTAGAACTAAAGTTAAGTTAACTCTGTGTGTGTGTGTGTGTGTGTGTGTGTGTGTGTGTGTGTGTGTCTGTTGTTTTTTTGTTTGTTTGTTTGTTTGTTTTTGTTTTCAGACCGAGTCTCTCTGTCGCCCAAGCTGTAGTGCAATAGTGCAATCTCGGCTCACTGCAATCTCTGCCTCCTGGGTTCAAGCGATTCTCCTGCCTCAGCCTCCCAAGTAACTGGGATTACAGGTGCCCACCACCACACCTGGCTGATTTTTTGTATTTTTTTAGTAGAGATGGGATTTCACCATGTTGGCCAGGCTGGTCTTGAACTACTGACCTCAGGTGATCTACCCACTCGGCCTCCCAAAGTGCTGGGATTATAGGCATGAGCCACCACAGCCAGCCCAACTCTGATCTTTAACAAGCTTATATTATTTTGTTCATTCCCTCACTCGGGGAATAAACGCAAAGCTCACCATTTTAAAACACCCCCTTTGTCGAATAAAAATTTAACTCATTAGTAGCAAAAACCAACTTCAGCTAGCTCAAAGCAGAGAGAGAGAGAGAGAGAGAGAGAGAGAGAGAGAGAACGTGAGAAAGAGCAAGTTTATTGATGTGACTAGAAAACTACAGGCATGAAATGAACAATATGATCAGAACTCTCTCTTTCTTTGTCCTCTTGGTTCTGTTTCCTCTGGGACGGCTTCATTCTCAGAAAAATCCTTTCCCACCTGGTGGCTACACAGCTCACTATTTACATGGTTCATTGTACTTATCATCTCAGAAGGATGTAATTTGCCACTTACTGATTTTTTTTTTCTAGCCAAAGTCCCAGAGAAGGCACAGATTGGCTCATCCAGGTCACATGTCCACCTTTGAACCAATCCCTGTGATCAGGGTAATTCAGCCTTCTGATTGGCCAGGCTGCTGAAGGTCTTCTCTCCTTGGAGCTGGAGATTAAGGTAAACCCTATCTAAACTGCCTCGGTTGAAAATATACAGGATTGAATGTCCCAAAAGAAAACAAAAATGTGTACCACATCTGGTATGCATCAAACACCAAACATGCATCATGTCACCAAATCTTCACACACACCCTGGGTAGGTATTATTATCCTATAACAAGGAAACTGAGGTTCAGAAAGCTTTAACTGAGTCACCCAAAGCCACAGAGCTAGTAAGTGGTGGAGGTGGACTCTGATGCAGGAACTTAAACTTGCACCAAATTTGCTACTGTACATCAGGCTTCATGCTGGGCCCAGAAGATACACAGATGAAAAGTATACAATCTTTGCACAAGGGAGGCAGATGTACCAGCATACAATTATAAAATATGCTATAATTCACACCAAAATTTGGAAGGTAGCAGAGCTCAATAGCCAAGCACTCAGGCTCTTGAATCATTAAAAGCTGGGTTCTAATTCCAGCTCTGCCACTTACTAGCTATGTGACCTTGAGCAAGTTATTTGATCTCTCTCAGGCTCAGTTTCCTCATCTGCAAAAATAATAATGGCATAGGGCTGCAGGGACAAAGGTAAAGAGGCAGAAGGTAGCACACTACCTATGGGAATAGAGAGACCAGGGCACATGGAGAAGTCAACCCTTGGTGAGATCCAAGAGTAAAGTGTGTCTATGATAGAAGCCAAATGATGAAGACTTCAAGTGCCAATAAATCATCTGAAAGGGCGCTCTCAACTTCAACATGCTCAATGTTCCTCAACCTAGAAGCTCTGTACCCCGGCCAGGCAGAGCCAAGTTTTTAATAAGCCCAAGAGGAGCTGAGGAACCTATAAGGATGGAGTCTGTCAGCCCCTGGCAGCTCTCCTCAGCAGATGAGCTTGATTCTCCCTGACAGCACAAGCAACTGCCATGCCCAAAATGAAACTGGCTGCTTAGAAAGTTCAGCTCCCTTTCTGTGCTCTATTTTCTTTCTCCACAGACTCATAGCCATCCTGCTGGCACGGGCCAAGACCTCCCTCCTCCGGAGTCTCCCCACAACCAGTCTAATTGGGAGGCTGCGGGAAGCCCCATGGGGACATCCTACCCATCCTCTCTCCTTCTAAGCCTCTCTATGAGAAGCATTGCAAAAATAGGAAGCAGAAGCCCAGGAGCCCGGGAAGACCAGAAGACCTGTTGTGGTAAGCAAGTGGGAGGGAGGGTGATGGCCTGAAATGTGGTCCAGACAGGACCCACTTGGGACAGCATGCAGTAGACAGTAATAGCAATGCTTACCGCATCTCCTCCAAGCTTAGACACCTTCCATCCACAGATGCACCACATATTCAGAAACACTTTCCAAAATAAAAGAAACCCAATTATTTTGCTAGCCGTATACTCCTATGGTACATTTCAAAATGTTAATAATATAAAGAATGTCTTCACAGCAAGGAAAGGCAACCATAACAGAAATTAACTTTTATTGAGCGTATAATAGTATATCAATATTAAGTTTTTAATATATTTTATTGTTTATTATTATATTTCCTTGACGTTAAACACTTCTCAAGCTTTAACCAGTTTCAATTTTTACAACAACCCTATGAAGTAGTATTTACGCCCATTTTATGGACAGGGAAACTGAGGCTCAACCAACGTAAGTAATTGACAGTGGCACAGTTAGTAAGCAATAGAGGAAGCTATTAAGCAATTAAGGTCTGTCAGAATCTAAAATCATACTTTTTTAAAAAATAAAAAGTTTTATTGATATGTAATTTGCATACCATAAAACTCACACATTGTAAGTATACAATTCTGTGATTTTTAGTAAATGTATAGAATTTCGATTATCCTCCAGTTTTAGAACATTTTCAGCACCCCCAAAACGTCCCCATGATCATTTGCTGTTAATCTTCACCTCCATCCCCACCCCAGCCCAGGCAACCACTAATCTACTTTCTTTCCCAATAGATTTGCCATTTCTGGACAATTCATAATGGAATTCTGCAACACGAGCCTATACATCTGGCTTCTTTCATTTAGCATACTGTTATTGAGGATCACCCATGTTGTAGCAGATATCAGTATTTCATTCCTTTTCTATTGCTGAATTATATTCCATTATATGGATATACCACATTTTGTTTATCCATTTACTAATTGATTGACATTTGGAGTGTTTCCACTTTGGACTATTATAAATAATGTTTGTATGAATATTCATGGATATGTCTTTGTGTGAACATATGCTTTCACTTCTCTTGGGTGGATGCCTAGGAGGGAAATCGCTGGGTCGTATAGTAAGTTTATATTTAACATTTTAAGAAACTGCCAAACTGTTTTCCAAAGCTGCTGCACCATTTTACATTCCCACCCAAGCTCATACTATTAAATACTACTATATCCTACCTTGAAGCCAAACTGGAATTCAGACATGACTGAGAATATGGAAAGCTGGTAAACCTGGCCCCCTTAGACAACCGTATGAGGGCATTAGCTGGGGATGAAGAAGAAAGCAAGAAGCTTTGATGTCACAAAAGAAAGAAATGAGGTTGGATCAAGAACCAGACACATGCATGCCTCCTGGAGCAATTTGGAGATGGAACAGATGGAGAAACTAATGGCTGTGTTTTCGTAGGACTCTAGAACAAAGCCCAAGCAGGATGGCTTTGGAGCTTGGAGAGTGGCGTATATCCCAGAATGGGGGAGAGATGACTTCTTTCCAATGCTCTGGAAATCTTTAGAGTTAGCACCTTCGTAAGCATCTGGACACAAAGCCTATGACATGGTGGCCCATGGCACCCTCAAGAGCATCTCAAGATACAAACGTTGACAATGAGGCCAACATGGAAGAAAAAACATGGTGGACACTATGAGATGAATGCAGTCAGCTGAAAGCAAGGGTGAAATAACCCCACCACAAGAATTATCAGACAGAAGAGAGGAAAGCTTTGCATGGGCAGAAGTCCTGTATATGTGAATGAAGATAAGAGCCAGAAAATGTGCACAATTCCTGTTACTGTGACTTCATCTTACTCACAGACTGAGAGGCCTAGGCAGGTTGGGTTACTGTGTTCAAGAGCTGAGCTGAGTCTCACCTGAGATTCTTGTGGCTCTGCAAACACCTGTGTCCCTGGCTTTCTTCCCATTCATTAGCCCCTGGTCTTTCCACTCACCTGCTCATGGGACATTAAGGACACTCTGTGACCTCAAATGTGCAATAATTCATCTCAGAAACATAATCATTTCCCTCTATGTATAACTAAAACTCTATAAATCAGGCTTGCTGGAGAAAGATAAATCATGAAACTCATGCCAGGAGAAGATCTTTGAGAAGGGGGCTTTCAGCTCGCCCCAGGAGATAGACAAGAATGAAACTCTGGGGTGTGAAGTTCCGGAAGAGTGTTTTCTTCAATATACAGCATGAGCTTTGGAGTCTGACACACTAAATTCAATCCCAGCTCTGCTACTGACAAGTTAAATGACTTTGGATAAGTCTTGTTATCTCTTTGCCTCAGTTTCCTCAAGTTATAAATGAATCAACTACTCTCAGGCTGTTGAGAGGACTAGAGAAAATGTGTTCAAAGAGATTGGCACAACCTTCAGTAAAAAATATAAACAAAAGTTTTTGAAAGGATAAGAAGAGTATTTCTATATGCATAGCCTATGAGGAAGTGCCGCCTCCCTCTGCCAACCCATGAACTTGTCTCCCTTCTGAATGAAAAGTCTGGAAGTTGAGTGAGCAATTTATCCTTTTAAATTAAGATGACTCTTGGCCTAGGCAGAATAATAGTTATTTTTCCCGGAACAGCGACTACATTGGGTGCCACATATTGATTGGGGATTAACAGGGACAAAACAAGTCATGGAGAGTGAATTCTCCCCAACCGTCTAGGGGAAGCAGTGAAGCATTATAGCGGCAGAGAAACAGGGATGGTGTGGGGAAGGAGAGGGGAGTCTAGAGGGAGGACAAAAGGAGGAAAATCAATTATGACATCATGGATGAAATGTTCCCAGAGTCCCAGCTGCAACCCTGACTTTGCTGTGTGATAAAGTTGCCCAAGAAGGCTACATTAGGACATCAGATGGGACAAAGGGAAAGTCTGTTCTCTCCCTTGCCTCTCAGTGTTCCAGAATAGCATCAGTGGCCACGGAGTTCACCCTTAGAGAAAGAGACCTCCTGGGCCACGCGGTGAGGACAGAAGGACCTGGAAGAGAAGAAAGTCAACCTCTGGAACCCATGGGACAGTTCAGAATTCTACCAGAATAGCAGCCCTATATCTGTTTGTAATTTCATCTGAAGGCTGCTCTATCCTGTGACCTGGATGTTGAGCTGGTGCACAGTGCTAGGTGTTTAGAAATGCAACAGGTAGCACAATCATAACTGATCATTGATCAGAGAGAACACATGGCATTCTAGTCCTAGGGTTGAGCATGTCGGTTCTCGTAGACAGGACACAACCCCAGGTGAGCCTTCCTCAGATTAGTAGCCCCAACTTCAAGGGATGCAAACTCAAAAGCCTCAGGGAGGGAGGGGACAGTCGGGGAATGTAAATAAGTAAAGTAAACTGCTGGGTGAGTAGGGAGCACACACCTGCACCTGCAAGAGGCAGCCATTCTCAGCATTACCCAATCATCCATGCAGGAATTCAGGCCTGGCATGGCCAGAGTCTCCTGATGCTTTGCATCAAGAGAAGCTCACATCTGGAATTTAGTGTGAAGTCCTTTTTCCTCCATTTTATTTATTTATTTAGTTTTAATTGATGAATAATAATTGTGCCTATCCCTTCACACCTGTTGGAATGGGTATTATCAAAAAGACAAACGATAGCAAGTATTGGCGAGGATGTGGAGAAAAGGGAACCCTTATCCACTGTTGGTAGGAATAGAAATTAGTACAGCTACTATGGAAAACAGTATGGAGGTCCCTCAAAAAATTAGAAATAAAACTACTATATGATACAGCAATCCCACTTCTGGGTATATATGCAAAGGAACAGTGTGAAATATTTTGATTTTCAAAAGCCAGCAACTAGCTTAAAACATTTTTTTAAATAAGACCATCAACCCAAACACAACATGATTGTTGGCCAGATTGGCCTGACGCCTTCAGTTTGGTTACCTGGCACTAACCAGTATTTCTCTGTTGGGTTTTCATATGTATGTTTGTTTCCAGTATATATTTCTGTATTCCAGACTTAATGAGTTATGATTGAAAAATTAAAATTGTATATATTTAGGGTATACCACTTGATGTTTTGATATATATATTCATTGTGACATAATCGATACAATAAAGCTAATTAACACATCTGTCATCTTACATAGTTACCATTTCCTTTTGTTTCTTCGTGTGAGAACACTTAACACCTACCATCTTGACAAATCTCAAGTATACAGTACAGTATTGTTAGCAATGGTCACATGGCTGTACATTAGATCTCCAGAGCTCATTCATCTTGCACAAGTGAAACCTGGTCAATATCTCCCCACTTCCCTCTCCCCACAGCCCCGGAAACATAGACACACCTGAAAGGCGTGATACTAAGAGAAATAAGCCAGGCATGGAAAGACAAACGTTGCATGAATTCCACCTAGATATGGAATCTAAAATAGCCAAACTCGGGGTGAGCACAGTGGCTCAAGCCTGTAATCCCAGCACTTCGGGAGACCGAGGTGGGCAGATCACCTGAGGTCAGGAGTTTGACCAACATGGCAAAACCCCGTCTCTACTAAAAATACAAAATTAGCCAGGCGTGGTGGCTCATGCCTGTAATCCCAGCTACTTGGGAGGCTGAGGCAGGAGAATCCCTTGAACCGGAGAGGCAGAGGTTGCAGTGAACCAAGATCACATCACTGCACTCCAGCCTGGGCAACAAGAGCGAAACCTCATCTCAATAAATAAATAAATAGCCAAACTCGTAGAAGCAGAGAGTAGTATTTCTCTGTTTTTAAGGACAGCTTATGCTATCCTTTCTCCTGGAGTGCACACTTCTGGAGGCCCCGAACAAGGAGTCAACTTCTCAATCTCTTGGACAGTCCTGAGCACATTGCCAGCCCCAGAATATGAATGAGCTGTCATTCCTGTACAAGCTATACCCACAAGGTAATAGGAGCAAAAAGGGACATTCAGACCCAAGTCCTGTGCAACCTGCTACACCAGCCCGAGGGCTATGCAGGGCACCACAGAGTCCTCCTGTGTGTGTTCTGGTGCATATCTGGGATTCACTCATTCACCTGGGCACATGATTACAAACAACAATTTTCTAATGCCAGGTCCCAATTGACCTACTCAAAAAAATAAATAAAATAAAATAAAACAAAGCCCAAATCCTTGTATTCAGTAAACTGGGTGTATGCTTGCCAAAAAGGTACTGCAAATATGTTTTGTTCTGAGTGGTGTTTAAAAAGACAAGTTGAATTACTAATCCATAGATCAATGCAGCACAATTATATGTTAAAATCTGCATCTCTGAGTTCTCTTGAGGAATCAGCTATGGTGACACTGAGCTGACATTCCTACATAACAGCCACTGGCTGGAGGTAAAGAGTGGTCTCCTGAAAGGGCCGTGTGTCCCTCACTTTGCTACAGTCCCCAGACCTCCTGCTGAGTCCCATCCAGCCTGGCTCCTGTCGGTGTCTGGATTCTTGATGCCTGCCTAAGGTGTAAAAGGAAATATTCAGGGACAAAAGGCTCAGAGGTCAACAGGGAGCCTCCTAGGCTCTCTAATCTCCTGGATTTTTCTCCAGCTCCCCTGGAGGCCCCTGGGATTTGTAAAGTATAACTCTGATCACATTACTTCTTGGGTCAACACTGGAAGTGGTTTCTAACCCACTCAGAGAAAAAGGCAGTGTACAGAATTGCCATGAGGTCTGAGACAACTGGCTGAGCCTAAAAGGAAGATTCTTATCTCCTGCTTCTGCCCCCACCAACCCCGTCCCCGCTGCCCATCGGGGTCCAGCCATGCTACACTCTTCACTGATTTTAGGAGGCACAGAGCACACTCCTGCCTCAGGGCCTTTGCAGTTGCTGGTCCCTCTGCTTGGAACACTTCCCGATATCCTCACTGCCCACTCCCTCCACCCCATCAAGTCAAGGCTGAAATGGCATCTTCTTAGTGATGTTGGCCCAGAACCACAATTCTACTCTCAGCCTGCTCAGAACTACAATTCTACCCTCTCCCCAGCATTCTTTGTCCCCCACCCTTGTTTTATTATTCTCCCTTGTGCTTGCTACCTTCTTATATATTATCTAGTTTAGTTATATTTTACTTTGCTTATTATCTGTCTTCCTGCTCCAGGAAAGTCCCATCAGAGATGTGTGTGTGTGTTGTTCATTTTTTCCCATCACTTCAATTAGGGATCAGCAACTTTTTCTGTAAAGTGCCAGAGACTACATATTGTAAGCTTGTGAGCCTGTCATTGTCACAACTACTCACTTCTGTTGTAGCAGCATCAGCCATAGATGATCGGTCAGTGAATTGACATGGATGTGTTGCAGCAAAACGTTATTTGCAAAAACAGGCAGCAGCTGGATTTGGCCTGAAGGCCATAGCTTGCCAATGCCAGATCTAGAACAGTGCCCCACAGGCATTTAGTATTCAATAAATATTTGTTGAATAAATTCAGCAGCTTTTAATGTCAGCCCCACCTGTATACAATCCTTTTCTTTTAACTAATGACTCATCCCTTTATTTACTCTTCACAACCAGCCCATTTTGCAGATGAAGAAACCAAATCTCAGAGAGACAAAGGGGGTTGCCCAAGACCGCAGATCTAGGAAGAGATTGAGCCAGATTCAACAGAGCTGGGAGCCTCTCTGAGTCCAGAACCACCCAGCCTTTTTGCAATTTCATCTGACTCAACTCTGAGTTCCGTTCCTGGAGGCAGCAACAGCCACATGCACAGAGTGGATGGGAGCCTGCAGTTGCTCCTTAAGGAGGAATCTTTGGACATCCTGCCTCCTGCAGCCTCCAGAAACCACTCAAGTCCTTTGGGTTGATTCCAGAAGTCACTTTCTCCAGGCCTCCTTCCTGTCTTATTGTAGCCTGAAAGTGGCTCATGGGTTTTACAAAGAGAACCTCCCCCCTTTCTCACTTGCAGAGAACAAGATTCAGAAATTCCAAAGGCAAGAGGGAAAACACAGGGCCAGCAAGACTGAGAAAAGTGGTGACTCCCTGGGTTGCTGGGATCTTAATGGGTATATGGTAACACAGAACACCTAATACTGAAATAGAATTAAAGAAAAGAAGAGGAGCCATTAACTGTAAGAGCTGGCATTTATGGATGCAATAAAGGCCACAGTGAATCCCTGAATGGGATTCGTGGCAATCCAGCAGGGAGTGTATTTTTGCTCCATTTCTATGGATGAGGAAACCAAAGTTCAAAGAAGTTGTTGCTTGCCTGAGGCCCTAAGTGTCATAGCCAGGATCTGATCCCAGGATTTACATGCCTTATCAACATTAAGAGCAGGTACTCTGGAGTCAACTAACCCTGGTCCAAAACCTGGGACAGGTGACTTCATCTCTCTGACCCTCCGTTTCTTCTGCGAAATGGGGTGGTAACAGTGGTGCCAAATTAACAGGCTGTTGAAAGATTGTGCATACATAAAGCACCCGACACAGTGGTTCACACATAGTAAGTGCTCAGTTAATGTTGACTGTATTCTCATTAGTACTAGGGCTAGAATTAGTACTACTATGACTACTAGCTTGTTTGCTCTAACTCAGAATCACAGGATTTTCACCATTGGCCAGGACAACCTGGTGAAGTAGGATGCTGTCTATCATGACATTTTACTGTACTTACTTCTAAAACTCATTCCTGTCCACTCCCCATCACCCAGTGCTATTAAGCTGCACTCTATATAGGAATGACACTTCCGCCAAAGTCAAAGCTACTAAAGACTGCATGATCAGGCCAGGCATGGTGACTCCCACCTGTCATTCCAGCACTTTGGGAGGCCAAGGCAGGAGAATCACTTGAAGCCAGGAGTTCAAGCCCAGCCTGGATAACATAGTAAGACCCCATCTCTAAAAATAATTTATTTTGAAATAGCTGGGCATGATGGCACAAACCTGTAGTCCTAGCTACTTGGGAGACTGAGGCAGGGGGATCACTTGAGCTATCACTTGAGTGATAGCATCATTGTACTCCAGCCTGAGGGGCAAAGCAAAACCCCACTCAAAAAAAAAAAAATACTGATCAGACAATGCCACTATGATGTCGGGCATTCCACCGCGTGATGGCTCATCCCATAAAGTGCCTGCTGTCCACTTGGGTAGATGACCTGAGAGCACTATTCCAAGGGTCAAGGGTCCTGGGTTTAAGGCCAGATCTAACATCAACTCCCTGTGTGGCTTTGGGAAATTCCCTTCCCTTCCCTGGGCCTCAATTCCTCCCAATGTAACATGAAGGAGAGAAACTAGGTAGTCTCCAAGGACCATTGTGGGGTTCTGTATAGGGATTCACTCATTCACCCATTTAGTATTACTCAACAGTCATTCAACAAACACTTATCAAGTGTTGATTATATACCTAAGCCCTTAAGCCAGACACAGTCCCTGTCTTCATGGAGCTGCACTTCTAGTTGGGGAGAGAGAAAATAAATGAGTAAATAAATATGTGACTTGAGAGAGTGAGATGTGCCCTGAAGAGAAATGGAGCCCAGTAGGAATATAGTGTAGGGAACAGAGGGGTCACTCTAAAATAGGCGTCAGAGAATGGCCTGTCTGAGCAGGTGACAAGAAGAGGAGCCATCCATGAGTAAGTCTCAGGGAAGAGAGAGCTCCCAGTTGAAAAAATAGCACATCCAAAAGGCTGGGGTGAGAACAAGCTTTAGATGTTCACGAAACATCAAAAGTCCAAGAAGGTGGAACTGAGCGAGTAAGAAAGTCTACATCTAATAAAGGTTCAATGAATTAAACTTCCAAGATAGACTCTGCCTTGACTCCAAGAAGTTACTCATAGTAAGATTTGGGCACCGTGAAAGGCTTTTGGATAACTACAAGGCCACCAAATGGGCCCTTCCAATTCTACTCAAACATTTTCTCTGCCTATATCAACCTTCCCCATCTTCTCTACACTTAAGATTCAGCTTCAGCATGAGTCTTGCATCAGGATCCTTCCCTGAGCCCCCAGCCCCAGCTAGGTTGAATGCCTCCCTCTGTGCCCCACAAGAGCCTACATTTAACACATGGTAAATGATTATTGCTTTAACCACTTGGCTTCCCCACTAATCTATAAGCTTCTTGAGGGCAGAGATGATATGGCGTTTGTCTCTGCATTCTGTGTCGCAAGGCTTGGGTAAATGAGCTACCTAAGGGTAGATGAGGGCCTTGCCAAAGTACATGCTCAGTACATAATCCAGCTACCTTCTGTGTATTGAGTGTCTACTATAAACAAGGCCTACACTGAAAATTTTAAGTCAATCTCATTTAATCCTCTTAATCATCCTATGACATACATATGATTATCTGCGCTTCATAGACATAGAAATAGAGGCTTAAAGGAGTTAAGTGACTTGTTCATCGTTAACCAGCTAATACCCAGTGAAGCAGGGATTCAAACTCAAGTATTCTTGACTCCAGGGCTTTCACTCTTGACCACCAAAGTAGTGGTTCTCAAAATATGGCCCTTGGACCAGCAGCAACAGCATCACCTGGGAACTTACTACAACTGGAAATTCTCGGGCCCTGCCCCAGACATAAGGACTTGGAAATTCTAGGCAAACTGGCCAACAATCTGTGCTTTAAAAAGCTCTCCAAGTGATCCTGATGCATGCTCGCTCAAGTTTGAGAGCCATTGCGCTAGAGTTGATTGCCTTGCTGTATAAACCCATTCACTATTTATCGAGTATTCACAAGGTGCCTGATAGTATGTGAAATGCTGAGAGTACACTGGTGAGAAAAGATTGTCAACAGCCCCTGCCTTTATGGAACTCGTTGTGCAGTGTTTGTTGAATGAATGTGCTATCCTCCCATACTTGGAAACCCACAGCTAGAATTCAGTTAAATGAAGATGGTCTGGACTGTAGTCCTTTTCCTTCATATGTGGCAAATATTATTCTAAGAGTCATGGGAGCTAGAACAGTTCTGAGGAGGATACTGGAAGCCACCCCTAACCACCACCATTTCCCTTTTCGTTTTCCCTTCCCTAGCCCAGTGAGGTGGCCACACATGGGTATGGCCCCTCTAATCTGCCTTTTTTCACTCATTGCTTCTTCCCCATTTTGTTAAGATGTGCAACCTCTGCAGAATGCAGGGGATCTGCCAACACAGAAACAAAACAGCAAAGCTGACCACTCCCCAGCATCCTCAGCTGAGCTTCAAAGCACAAAAGCAGATTGCTAGACTGATGGCCCTGGGTGTCCCTAAAGCAGAGACAGGAATGAAAAGCATTTCAAGTAGACTAGACACCTGCCAATCTCCTTCTGAGAAACAAGCTCCAAATACACGTTGCCCACAAGTATGGCCAGGAACAACGATTGCTCAGAAAATTCTCTTCTTCTCTCTCACAGTTATCCCTGGGACCTGTAAACCATTTGACAGACCATTTAACCTATCAAGTTTTCTCTATCAAGGAGGAAGAAAATGCCTGATCACATCTAAAGAGGGAAGGAGAGGAGGAAACGGAAGAAATATGTATTTACTGAGGACCTACTGTTTGCTAGGCACTATAGTAGCTGCTTTACATATGTTATTGTTAATTTTTATAACACTTACACAGCTAAATTACTGTCTCTATTTGAAAACAGTAAACCAGGACTCAGAGAGGTTAAGTGAATTGCCCAAGGATACACAGCTAGTAAGAAGCAAAACTTGAATTCAACCCCAGGTCTGCTTAACCATAAAGGCCATGCCCTTGTGGACTATATAACACTTTCTTCCTCATTTTACCCAAAACAAAGTCTACAGGCCAATCAGGAGACAGGTCTAGAAGAGTCCTTCAATGGGGAAAATATATTTTATCCCTGACTTCGAAAGTATAAATCTCATTTAATAGAAGAAACAGTATGTGTGGTATTGACACTGAGACAAAATGGAATTAAAGTTGGCTTTCCCTCCGACTTTGAGAAAATATTCAGAGTAAGTTTTTCTATTTTAGGCACAGTTACAACCGGAGCAGTCAAAGTGAATTAGTTTGGGGGATTTTTTTTTTATTTTTGCCTAGTCATCTGTAAACAAGATGTATTAAAATAATTAAATGCAAATTCGGTAATTTCCGCAACATTTAACTCAAAAATAGCAGATTTTATAAGAATGAGTATATTTAGCAATACATTGGCTCTTAGCTTACTTTTGTCTAATGGCCTATTTCAAAGTCATCTTCCAAGGATGGGAAGTTGCCTGTTTTGTCAACTGTTTTATGCAGTTTCGAGGTGGGGAGAAAAACTGCCTCCTCTACCCACAACTCGTATCAGAGGAGCACGGTTGGGAAATTTGTCATACTTTACCTTATCTCCTTTCTTGTGACAATGACAATCTTTTCTTTCCCAACGTCTTTTCTGCTAGCACAGTGGCAAAGGACAAAGAGAGAATGGAAAAGTACCAAGACACCGGGACCCCAGCAGCCTCCTTGGTATAGGAGACCTGTGAAAGGGCCAGCTTCTGTTGGGACCTACCTTCAGTGGGGGTGGCTGGGACGCAGGCAGAATGGTGGGAAAGGCAGACAAGGAGTAAGGAGCCCACAGAAGGGGAGGGATGAGCCACACCTATTTAAATCCTATGGTGCCTCCCTTCTGCCAGAGGAGCGAATGTCTGAGTCAGCAACAATTGCATCTGAACTAGTTTGCCCTGTCACTATTTATAGGCCCCGCAGTGCTGTGTGGTGTACTTAGAGAGGCCCTTCTCAGTAAAGACACAAACGGATGCAAAGGCAGAGATTGGGGAGGTCAACGAAGCGAAATACCAGACTCCTGAGGAAATCCTCAAAGCACATGTGGGCGCCTGGACAAAAATCCAGGGCCGAACTGCAGCACCAGTTACTAAAGGGAAACGAGACTTTTCCCAGAGACCTGGCTTTCTCTGGGATTTTGCTGATTTATAATCAGCCCCACTCCCCCCACCTCTCATATGCACATGATACCTTGAATTTCAATAGTTAAGTCACTTCTTGCAGGTCCTTATCTGGAAATCCATGACAGCCAGTGTTCATGAAAACTCCTCTTGTATGGACCCTTTGTGCATTATGCAGTTAATCCCATCTAAATCCCTGCAAGATAAGTCTTATCATCAATCCCACTTTATAGATGAACAAACTGAGGCTCAAAGATGGACAGCAACTGGACCAAGATCACCAACTAGTAAGTGGCAGAGATGGGCTTTTCTTAACCCAACAGTTATAGTGACAGGCAGGATCTACGATAGAAGTTTCTCTCATCTAAGTCATCTTGTCACCCTAGGTTGAAGTAAAGCCCTGGGCCAAGACTCAGAACAAGAGGGGTGCAGCCACTTGAACTGGCTGCCCCATGTTCCTCACCCTTTCCAACTCCTCTGCTGCCAACAGAACCCAGGACTCTATGCCCCCGGGAAACTTCAAAGCTATATTCCTTTCCATACCAGATCAGTATTTCCACAAATGGGTTTTGGTGTCAAAAAGTGTTAGGTTCATATCACATCTCTAATGGTCATATAATGTTTAAAAGTCTGATTCTCAATTACGGCTTTCCAAGATGGCCGAATAGGAACAGCTCTGGTCTGCAGCTCCCAGCATGACAGACGCAGAAGATGGGTGATTTCTGCATTTCCAACTGAGGTACCTGGTTCGTCTCACTGGGACTGGTCAGACAGTGGGTGGAGACCAAGGAGGGCAAGCTGAAGCAGGGCGGAGCGTCACCTCACCCAAGAAGCACAAGGGGTTGGGGGATTTCCCTCTCCTAGCCAAGGGAAGCCACAACAGACTACCTGGAAAAACGGGACACTCCCTGCCCAAATACTGTGCTTTTCCCAAGGTCTTAGCAACTGGCAGACAAGGTGATTCTCTCCTGTGCCTGGCTTGGCAGGTCCCATGCCCATGGAGCCTTGCTCAATGCTAGCGCAGCCGTCTGAGATCGAAATGTGAGGTGGCAGCCTGGCTGGGAGAGAGGCGTCCACAATTGCTGAGGCTTGAGTAGGTAAACAAAGTGGCCAGGAAGCTCGAACTGGACGGAGCCCACCACAGCTCAACAAGGCCTACTGCCTCTAGATTCCACCTCTGTGGGCAGGGCATAGCTGAACAAAAGGCAGCAGACAACTTCTGCAGACTTAAACATCCCTGTCTGACAGCTCTGAAGAGAGCAGTGGTTCTCCAGCATGGAGTTTGAGCTCTGAGAACAGACAGACTGCATCCTCAAGTGGGTCCCCGACTCCCATGTAGCCTAACTGGGAGACACCTCCCAGCAGGGGCCAACAGACACCTCATATAGGTGGCTGCCCCTCTCGGACGAAGCTTCCAGAGTAAGGATCAGGCAGCAATATTTGCTGTTCTGCAATATTTGCTGTTCTTCAGCCTCTGGTGGTGATACCCAGGCAAACAGGGTCTGGAGTGGAATTCCAGCAAACTCCAACAGACCTGCAGCTGAGGGACCTGACTGTTAGAAGGAAACTAACAAACTGAAAGGAATAGCATCAACATCAACAAAAAGGTCATCTACACCAGAACCCCATCTGTAGGTCACCAACATCAAAGACCAAAGGTAGGTAAAACCACATAGATGGGGAGAAACCAGAGCAGAAAAGCTGAAAATTCTAAAAACCAGAGCGCCTCTTCTCCTCCAAAGGATCGCAGTTCCTAGCGAGCAACGGAACAAAGCTGGATGGAGAATGACTTTGACAAGTTGACAGAAGTAGGCTTCAGAAGGTCGGTAGTAACAAACTTCTCCGAGCTAAAGGAGGATGTGTGAACCCATTGCAAGGAAGCTAAAAACCTTGAAAAAAGATTAGACGAATGGCTAACTAGAATAAACAGTGTAGAGAAGACTTTAAATAACCTGATGGAGCTGAAAACCATGGCATGAGAACTTCGTGACACATGCACAAGCTTCAGTAGCTGATTCGATCAAGTGGAAGAAAGGGTATCAGTGATTGAAGATCAAATTAATGAAATAAAGTGAGAAGAGAAGTTTAGAGAAAAAATTGTAAAAAGAAATGAACAAAGCCTCCAAGGAATATGGGACTACATGAAAAGATCAAATCTACATTTGATTGGCATACCTGAAAGTGATGGGGAGAATGCAACCAAGTTGGAAAACACTCTTCAGGATATTATCCAGGAGAACTCCCCCAACCTAGCAAGGCAGGCCAACATTCAAATTCAGGAAATACAAAGAACACCACAAAGATACTCGTCGAGAAGAGCAACCCCAAGACACATAATTGTCAGATTCACCAAGGTTGAAATGAAGGAAAAAGTGTTAAGGGCAGCCAGAGAGAAAGGTCGAGTTACCCACAAAGGGAAGCCCATCAGACTAACAGTGGATCTCTCAGCAGAAACCGTGCAAGCCAGAAGAGAGTGGGGGCCAATATTCAACATTCTTAAAGAAAAGAATTTTCAACCCAGAATTTTATATCCAGCCAAACTAAGCTTCATAAATGAAGGAGAAATAAAATCCTTTACAGACAAGCCAATGCTCAGAGATTTTGTCACCACCAGGCCTGCCTTACAAGGGTTTTGAAGGAAGCACTAAATAAACATGGAAAGAAACAACTGGTACCAGCCACTGCAAAAACATGCCAAGTTGTAAAGACCATCAATGCTATGAAGAAACTGCATCAATTAACAGGCAAAACAACCAGCGAACATCATAATGACAGGATCAAATTCACACATAACAATATTAACCTTAAACGTAAATGGGCTAAATGCCCCAATTAAAAGACACAGACTTGGACAAAGAATCAAGACCCATCTGTGTGCTGTATTCAAGAGACCCATTTCACGTGCAACGATGCACATAGGCTCAAAATAGAGGGGTGGAAGAAGATCTATCAAGCAAATGGAAAGCAAAAAAACAGCAGGAGTTGCAATCCTAGCCTCTCATAAAACAGACTTTAAACCAACAAAGATCAAAAGAGACAAAAAGACCATTACATAATGGTAAAGGGATCAATTAAACAAGAAGAGCTAACTATCCTAAATATATATGCACCCAATACAGGAGCACCCAGATTCATAAAGCAAGTCCTTAGAGACCTACAAAGAGATGTCGACTCCCACATAATAATAATGGGAGACTTTAACACCCCACTGTCAATATTAGACAGATCAGTGAGACAGAAGGTTAACGAGGATATCCAGGACCTGAACTCAGCTCTGCAAAAAGGAGACCTAACAGATATCTACAGAACTCTCCACACCAAATCAACAGAATATACCTTCTTCTCAGCATCACATTGCACTTATTCTAAAATTGACCACATAATTGGAAGTAAAGCACTCCTTAGCAACTGTAAAAGAACAGAAATCACAAAAAACTGTCTCTCAGACCACAGTGCAATCAAATTAGAACTCAGAATAAAGAAACTCACTCAAAACTGCACAACTACATGGAAACTGAACAACTTGCTCCTGAATGACTACTGGGTAAATAATGAAATGAAGGCAGAAATAAAGATGTTCTTTGAAACCAATGAGAACAAAGACACAATGCACCAGAATCTCTGGGACACATTTGAAGCAGTGTGTAGAGGGAAATTTATTGCACTAAATGCCCACAAGAGAAAGCAGGAAAGACCTAAAATTGACACCATAACATCACAATGAAAAGAACTAGAGAAGCAAGAGCAAACAAATTTAAAAGCTAGCAGAAGGCAAGAAATAATTAAGATCAGAGCAGAACTGAAAGAGATAGACACACAAAAAACACTTCAAAAAATCAATGAATCCAGGAGCTGGTTTTTTGGAAAGATCAACAAAATTGATAGACCACTAGCAAGACTAATAAAGAAGAAAAGAGAGAAAAATAAAATAGATGCAATAAAAAATGATAAAGGGGATATCACCACTGATCCCACAGAAATACAAACTACCATCAGAGAATACTATAAACATCTCTATGCAAATAAACTAGAAAATCTAGAAGAAATGGATAAATTCCTTGACACATACACTCTCCCAAGACTAAACTAGGAAGAAGTTGAATTTCTGAATAGACCAATAACAGGCTCTGTAATTGAGGCAATAATTAATAGCCTACCAACCAAAAAAAGTCCAGGACCAGATGGATTCACAGCCGAATTCTACCAGAGGTACAAAGAGGAGCTGGTACCATTCCTTCGGAAAGTACTCCAGTCAATAGAAAAAGAGGGAATCCTCCCTAACTCATTTTATGAGGCCACCATCATCCTGATACCAAAGCCTGGCAGAGACACAACAAAAAAAGAGAATTTTAGACCAATATCCCTGATGAACATCAATGCGTAAATCCTCAATAAAATACTGGCAAACCAAATTCAGCAGCACATCAAAAAGCTTATCCACCATGATCTTCATCCCTGGGATACAAGGCTGGTTCAACACACGCAAATCAATAAACGTAATCCATCATATCAACAGAACCAAAGACAAAAACCACATGATTATCTTAACAAATGCAGAAAAGGCCTTCAACAAAATTCAAGTCCTTCATGCTAAAATCTCTCAATAAACTAGGTACTGATGGAACGTATCTCAAAATAATAAGAGCTATTTAAGACAAACCCACAGCCAATATCATACTGAATGGGCAAAAAGTGGAAGCATTCCCTTTGAAAACTGGCACAAGGCAAGAATGCCCTCTCTCACCACTGCTATTCAACATAGTGTTGGAAGTTCTGGCCAGGGCAATCAGGCAAGAGAAAGAAATAAAGGATATTCAATTAGGAAATGAAGAAGTCAAATTGTCCCTGTTTGCAGATGACATGATTGTATATTTAGAAAACCCCATCATCTCAGCCCAAAATCTCCTTAAGCTGATAGGCAACTTTAGCAAAGTCTCAGGATACAAAATCAATGTGCAAAAATCACAAGCATTCCTATACACCATTAACAGACAGACAACCAAATCATGAGTGAACTCCCATTCACAACTGCTACAAAGAGAATAAAATACCTAGGAATCCAACTTACAAGGGATGTGAAGGACCTCTTCAAGGAGAACTACAAACCACTGCTCAGCGAAATAAAGGAGGACACAAACAAATGGAAGAATATTCCAAGCTCATGGATAGGAAGAATCAATATCGTGAAAATGGCCATATTGCCCAAGGTAATTTATAGATTAAATGCCGTCCCCATCAAGCTACCAATGACTTTCTTCACAGAATTGGAAAAAACTACACATATGGAACCACAAAAGAGCCTGCATTCCCAAGACAATCCTAAGCAAAAAGAACAAAGCTGGAGGCATCATGCTACCTGACTTCAAACTATACTACAAGGCCACAGTAACCAAAACAGCATGGTACTGGTAACAAAACAGATATATAGACCAATGGAACAGAACAGAGGCCTCAGAAATAATGCCACACATCTACAACCATCTGATCTTTGATGAACCTGACAAAAACAAGAAATGGGGAAAGGATTTCCTATTTAATAAATGATACTGCGAAAACTGGCTAGCCATATGTAGAAAGCTGAAACTGGATCCCTTCCTTACACCTTATACAAAAATTAATTCAAGATGGATTAAAGACTTAAATGTTAGACCTAAAACCATAAAAATCCTAGAAGAAAACCTAGGCAATACCATTCAGGACATAGGCATGGGCAAGGGCTTCATAACTAAAACACCAAAAGCAATGGCAACAAAAGCCAAAATAGACAAATGGGATCTAATTAAAGAGCTTCTGCACAGCAAAAGAAACTACCATCAGAGTGAACAGGCAACCTACAGAATGGGAGAAAATTTTTGCAATCTACCCATCTGACAAAGGGCTAATATCCAGAATCTACAAAGAACTCAAACAAATTTACAAGAAATAAACAAACAACCCCATCAAAAAGTGGGCAAAGGATATGAACAGACACTTCCCAAAAGAAGACGTCTATGCAGCCAACAGACACATGAAAAAATGCTCATCATCACTGATCATCAGAGAAATGCAAATCAAAACCACAATGAGATACCATCTCACACCATTTAGAATGGCGATCATTAAAAAGTCAGGAAACAACAGATGCTGGAGAGGATGTGGAGAAACAGGAATGCTTTTACACTGCTGGTGGGAGTGTAAATTGGTTCAACCATTGTGGAAGACAGTGTGGCGATTCCTCAAGGATCTAGAACTAGAATTACCATTTGACCTAGCAATCCCATTACTGGGTATATACCCAAAGGATTATAAATCATGCTACTATAGACACACGCACACGTATGTTTATTGCGGCACTATTCACAATAGCAAAGACTTGGAACCAACCCAAATGTCCATCAATGATAGACTGCATTAAGAAAATGTGGCACGTATACACCATGGAATACCATGCAGCCAAAAAAAAAAAAAAAAAAAAAAAGACGAGTTCATGTCCTTTGCGGGGACATGGATGAAGCTGGAAACCATGATTCTCAGCAAACTATCACAAGGACAGAAAACCAAACACCGCATGTTCTCACTCATAGGTGGGAATTGAACAATGAGATCACTTGGACACAGGGCGGGGAACATCACACACCGGGGCCTGTTGGGGGGTGGGGGGCTTGGGGAGGGATAGCATTAGGAGAAATACCTAATGTAAATGATAAGTTGATGGGTGCGGCAAACCAACATGGCACATGTGCCCTAGAACTTAAAGTATAATAATAATAAAAAAGAAAACAGATGAAATAAATTTTAAAAAAATAAAAAATAAAAGTCTGGTTCTTAGAAAAACAAAATCTTCCTTATAATGTATTAGAATCTTTCTCTCTCCTGCTTCCATCCATTGGTGGTTGTTTTCCTCAGAAGGCAAGCATACATCTCTTTGCCTTGACATGTTCTTTTTCTCAATTTTGAAATACAAATATCCTAAATTTTCTTCTAATCCATTTCCCTGTCTCCATTTTCACTAGTACCATTTTGGCCCAAGACACCACAATCATCTCTCACCTATACAACTGAAGCATGTTTCTTATCTACTCTGGACTTCTTCCAATCCATTCTCAAGTCTCCTTTTTTTGCATCCTGGTCTATCTTTCCTAATTTCCTCACATCTGTCTTTCAATTTACTACCTCTTTCTGAAGCTATATCTGATTTGTTGTTTAACTCTGAAATTGACTATTTAATTTCAATGACAATATTCTTCTTCTTTTTTTTTTTTTTTTTTTTTTGAGATGGAATCTTGCTTTGTCATCAGGCTGGAGTGCAGTGGCATGATCTCGGCTCACTGCAACCTCTGCCTCCCGGGTTCAAGCAATTCTCCTGCCTCAGCCTCCCAAGCCACGGAGACTACAGGCACATGCCACCATGCCCAGCTAATTTTTGTATTTTAGTAGAGACAGGGTTTCATCATGTTGGCCAGGATGGTCTCAATCTCTTGACCTCATGATCTGCCCGCCTCGGCCTCCCAAAGTGCTGGGATTACAGGCGTGAGCCACTGTGACAGGCCAATGACAATATAATTGATTTCTATAAATTTTAGTTAGCTTTAAAAACAATCTTCCTGTTTTTTTCTTTAAACAATACTCTTGTGTTTTCATTATGGCCTCTCATTCTTTTTTAAAAAAATTCTCTTTGATCATTTTAAACAAACTTATTTTATTGTTTCTTTCATTTGGTTCCTTTGTTTCAAGTTCTTGAGACATTACTACTTATTGTGTGTGCTAACTTTCCTTCATGTGAGATGCCTAATTACCTGGATTATAATTTTTTATTAGAACCTTCAACAGAGGTTCCTTTATTCTGTAAAAGTCCCCTGAGTCAAGGGATATAGAAATAAGACTGCGAAGGTAGCTTGTTCACCAGGTGTTTTTTTAGCCCTAGATTAGATCACACCTGAATTTCTCACATTAGAATTCCTACACCCAGGCGGTGCACCTACACATAACGTAGACTTGACCTTTTACTTTCTCACCAGAGATTTTCTTTTATCAGCCTTGAACCCTGGGCAGGCGACAACCTTCCTTATAGCTTCTTTGGATATGTCAACAGAGTTTTTCTAGCCCTTCATAAAACAGGCGAAGTCCTAGCCTTATTTTAGGAATGTCAGTTGCAGCTGTACATTTCACACTGGCTCTAGGCCATGTTACCTGTCTCTTGATGAGACATCGGCTTTTATCAACACAAGCCTTTATGTTTTAGAACCTATATCTATGTTGGAGCTCTTCCTTTTTTTTTTGTCTAATCCTTTAGACAAAATACTATTAGCTCTTCCTTAATAATTATTTATCTTTCTTTCTTTTGGAGTATAGGTATCGACATAGACATAGATATATAGATATATAGACATAGATATAGAGAAATAGTCTCAACTAGGTCTAAGTGTTTTGAAGAAAAAGAGGGCCATGCCAGTTGAGTCTGCAATGCTGCCAGTTGAGTCCACCATATTGGTAAGGATATCCTTCTCAATCCACCACAATCAGAATGATACTTCTACAACACAAGTCTTGTCCTATTACCTGCCCCACAAACACACACATTTGGGACACCTTCCTGCTTACCTTCACTTTATGTCTTCCCTTTTATTAAAGAACTGAATCTCCATCCTCATCTCCAATCAAACCCATTCTCACCATGATCTCCAGCCACCCTGGTCTTTCTCAAATAAATTGGCCTCAAACAAAACCTTCCCCCCTTGGAAATCATTCATAAGCTGTTCCGTCTGCCTGGAATGTTCTTCCAGCCCCTCCCTCAACCCCTTTTTCTCATTAAGTTCTCTTCATTCTTTATATCTCCATTTGTTGTTTAAGCCAGTCTGTCTATGGTCTATGGTCTATGGTCTAAGCTTAAGAGAAAAGCTTTCTGGCCCCAAATGAGGTCAGGTCCCTCAGTCATATGTTCACACAACATCCCGAACCTCTTCATAGCACGTACCATCATTGTCATTTAAATCCCATGAAGGGTAGTTTAGTTAATTATTGCCTTTCCCACTGGACTGTAACTCCAGAAAGAGGAACCTGTCTGGAGTGTGCAGTGCTACACCCCCACCACCTAGTACAATAAATATTTGTCAAGTAAATGCAAGATTTCTCTTTCCAGCCCTGTCTGTCATTCTCACTCTAAGGCACCTGAGCTCACTGCATTTTCCCACAAGCCTCTCCTGAAGCAAGAATACTGTTGTCTGGAAGGTTTATTCACTGCCTGATCAAGATTTGTTCTAAGCAGCAGGGAGGTCATTGAGTTCATGGGAACATATTTCCACAAAGCAACAGCAGCTCCCTTCATTGCCTGTTTTCAAAAAGAAGCAGCAGAATGAGATTTGTGGGGTTCAAAGGTGGATATGATTATGCAGGTTTGGTCTTGGGTCTGCCTGACTCTCTCTGTGAACTTGGATTGCTTGGTCTTTTCTGGCCCTCAGGTTCCTTGTTTTTAAAATAAAGGGCTGGGCAGATAATTTATAAGAAACTAGCCTTTTTTCTTTTTTTTTAGAAAACTATGATCATATGAATAACCTCACTGCAAGAGGCAAGAAATTTGCCTCCTCATTTCTTCTCTAATGCCTGCTAGCAGTTTGACCTTGGGCAAGTTGCCTGATCTCTCGACTTCAGTTCTCCGGTCTATAAACTAGAGTTAATCCCAAATCCTGCCTCCCTCCCGCTTTGAAACCAGATTGTATCCATCATGGTGTGGTGGATACCGTTGGTGCCCTGCCCAGATTCTTTTCACAGCAGGTGTCCCCATCCCCCAGAGGCTGTGAATGATGATTGCTAATGGCTCACAGCCACCTTCGTCTATGGAAAATTGGCTCTAGCTGAATGGGAGCTACCTTGCCAATAAGGTTTCTTTCCCCACCCCCTGAAGCAGCCCATAGACAAGGCAGCCCATAGTCAATGACAAACACAAGCAGCCCATAGTCAATGACTAACATGAGAATATGGAAGGCCAGACCCTCGCCTCAAAGTGGAACCAGCTCTGAGATGCAATTGATGCTTAGGGCTTCGCATGGAATCAGGCTGAAGAATAGCTGACCTAGCTGGTCTCCTTTCCCTGCCACATCCTTGCTGAGTTCCTTGCCCTGCACAATCTTGCTTTCCTCACTACCCTTCTCTGGAAAGTGTCCCTCTATAAATCACTTGCACAAGAATCCCCATCTCAAACTCTGCTTCTAGGGAATCCAACCTAAGATGCAAAGTGAAGCCCTCTTGTTTTGCATACATCATCTCATGGAACGCCTACAACTATTCGCACAATGATGCACTTCTATGATCATTGTATAGAGATGACGCATGAGACCATGAGAAGTTGAGCAACTTGTTCAAGCCTGAATCTTAAAAATGTCTCCATCCTGTTGGAGTAGCCATCCAGCCCCATGGAGTAGCCACGAACTGCCAGGAGAAACAGAGAAGGAGAAATAGTGTCTGCTTCTCCTCAAGTTCCTCCTTTGCTAGTCCTCTGGTGACCCCACTGTTGGCTGCCCCTCCCCTCTATCCACCAGCACTAGGGGAGCACAGGCTTACTTGGCACATCAGTTCCCAGCTAAGCTGGGTGCACAAACACACATGGCAGTGGCTGCTAATGGGGCAAAACTCCAGGCAAACCTGGAGAAGACAGCCAGTGGAAAAGTTGGCCCAAACCCCAATTTCTACATCAAAAGGCAATGAAGGAGGTGATGGACTCTCTTAAGAAGGAAAGGGTTTTCTCTACAATTTGCACCTTGGTCACCTCTGGATGGGATGAACTTTCCATCTTTTCCTTATTCCTATTTTATTTAAGGAGTGGCTCTTGGGCAAGAGACTTCAGCCCCCCACCCACACATGTACAAACTACCATTGCAAAGAGTACTTTCATTGCCTTTCCAGTATCCATTCTCCCCATTCCTTTCAATCATAATCTGCTTCTCATTTGGGGAACTTACCTGTACACCAATCTTAGCCATATGGTTTAGACGGGACTGATCTTCCCCTTGGTTCTAAGGATTGACCTTCCTGGCATCTCCCAGACACTGATCCCATTCAAGCCAATGAGAGAGAAAGAGAAAGAGAGAGAATGCCGGGACATGAGAAGGAGGTACCTGCAGAGACACTCTCTCTTCTGTGAACGGGATGTGCTGAAGGTGGAAATTGTGCAGCTGCTGCAGCTGTTTTCAGACCAGAAGAAAAGAGCATAGAGCTACGATGACCCACCAAGAGGTGCCCGAGGATGGAATGAAAAGGCAAAGAGAGAGGAACTCAGGTCTTTAAACTACTAGATTAAGCCCCACATGAACTGGGCATCATAACTTGATTTTCCTGTTGCTTTAGTCAATAAGTTGCATAAATTATTTAAGCCAGAATGTTTTGCATTTTCTTATTGTATACAATGCAAAAAGCCTTGCATGATATGTCTCTATTCTGCGTTCTCAAGGGAGTTAAACACTTCTGGTTAATACCTCACACTGCTTCAAATAATTCACACCCTGTAAGCTTCACTGTCCTTTTATTTCCCCTTTGGGGGGTTCTGTTGTTGTTGTAGTCGTTGTTGCCTTAGCAGTTACTTAATGAGTTGGCGGTAACTCCCAAGTAAGGTGAAATATTGAAAAGATAATTAGTGCAGCTCATGTCTCCACTTACATTCCCAATTCTGAATCTAGATGAGGGGCAGTAAATTGTGCCACACCACCACCATCACTACCACACAAACACACACACACACGCTAAATCTAGTTGATCAGTAGAAACCTTTTTTTTTTTTTTTTGAGATGGAGTCTCGCTCTATCACCCAGGTTGGAGTGCAGTGGCGCAATCTTGCCTCACTGCAACCTCTGCCTCCCGGGTTCAAGCAGTTCTCTGCCTCAGCCTCCTGAGTAGCTGGGATTACAGGTGCCCACCACCATGCCCAGCTAATAAAAACCCTCTAAAGTGCTGTGTTGAGAAATATCCTGAGATCCATTCCTGCCTAGGAGGAGACAAGCGCTCTGATTATCTGGTGATATACACCATAGATGTGGAATCACGGGTGGAGGAGGAGGGAATGCACACATTGGCTACCTCGGATCAAAAAAAAAAAAATACCTTGAAGGCTTGCCACAATGTCTAACTTCCCTTGCAGCCAGCAAGTCTTTCCTCATGTTCTACCTAAATAATTTATAATGCAATTTCAGCCCAGTTTCCCTTGGCCTATTCACAGTAGCCGTGAGGACTGGCTTGTCAGCCTCGCCTGACCCTTTTACATCCATGATAAAGAGTGCTATAAAGTTGTCTTTGCCATCTCATCATCTTCCCGTGCTAAATGATCCCTTCCCACAGCTTTGGGTCTCAATCTAGACCAGGCACTCCCTCTCCATACAAAATGACTGAAAAGTCCAGATCACAAAGAATGCCTGCGTTTTGGAAAACACATTTTCTATCCATCCCTAGGTACAGCAAAAACTTCTAAATTAAATAAAATGAGACTAAGAATGGTTTTGAAAACCCCAATTCTCCATCATTTAGGGCTATGATTTGAATGTTTTTGTATCTCTCCGAATTCATATGTTGAAGCTAATTCCCAATGTGATGGTATTTGGAGGTGGTGCTTTGGGGAGGTAATTAGGTAATGAGGGTGGAGCCCTCATGAGTGAGATTATAAGAAGAGACATGAGAGAGATTACCTCTCTCTTGGCCATGTGAGGATACAGTGACAAAGCCACCATCTGCAAACCAGGAAGCCAGTCCCCACCAGATACCATATCTGCAGGCACTTCGTCCTTCGACTTCCCAGTCTCCAGAGCTGTGAGAAATAAATATTTGTTGTTTAAGCCACTCCGTCTATGGTCTGTGGTGACTAACACACATAGTAACAACCTTCTTCCACAGCATGGCTATTTTATGTCTCCAGTGACAGTCAATAGCCAGCAAAAGTTGGGCATTAATCACTGCAAAGCATTATTCACTAGGAATTCTGGTAAATGATAACTAAAGAAAAGGAGTTCCCACACCTACAAACACACCATCTCCTCAGTCCTCTCAATCCTGCTCTTCTTTTAGGAAATTTGCTCTCCTCCAATGTCTGTGGTCTTGGTGAAGCTAGAAATTATCAAGTCTCATTCTCCCTTACCCATGAAGGGGCAGACACAGGATCCACACTAGACCAATGGGACACTTCTTGGGACTTTACATCTTAAATGAAACTAGGCTAAGATAAAAATTGGAGCTGACCAAGTGGTGGTGTTTTTTACTTATTTATTTATTTTTTTGAGACGGAGTCTCACTCTATCGCCCAGGCTGAAGTGCAGTGGCGCAATCTAGGCTCACTGCAAGCTCCACCTCCCGGGTTCATGCCATTCTCCTGCGTCAGCCTCCCAAGTAGCTGGGATTACAGGCGCCCACCACCACGCCCAGCTAATTTTTTGTATTTTTAGTA
The DNA here is from genome assembly GCF_000001405.40 of Homo sapiens. NCBI lineage: Eukaryota > Metazoa > Chordata > Mammalia > Primates > Hominidae > Homo > Homo sapiens. Next base: position 13,080,205 of record NC_000016.10, on the reverse strand, counting down.
GAGATGGGGTTTCACCATGTTAGCCAGGATGGTCTCAATCTCCTGACCTCGTGATCCTCCTGCCTCGGCCTCCCAAAGTGCTGGGATTACAGGCGTGAGCCACTTCGCCCGGCTGAGTGGTGGTGTGTTTACAAGATGGTCCAATAATCCTGCTTTCTAGACGCCTAAAATTTCCCTGGTTTCTGGATCCCCCGGCCTTCCCTTCTCAAAGGCATTCAATATATTTTGATTTCCTTCATGCTAGGAAAGGTTGGTTTCTGCTGCTTGCATCAACGAACACTAATGTGTAGTGTTAACACCACAAGAAGGTGTTTCCTGGGTTTTTTAAACCATAATTATATGTTAAAAAAACAATCATTTCACACTTTTGCTGGCATTACATAAGAGTTTTGTCCCAGAAATCAATGGCAAAAATTCTCCATGTATAAACTGAACAATGTCATGACAATAGAATTTTTGTCAAGGAACCCGAGTAATCTGAAATTGCTTTTGTGATGTTGATCTAATGTCTCATTAAAATTAGGCAAATCAAGGGGAATGCAAATGCCATCAAACAGAGAGCATTGTCAGGAGAAAATGGATCTTCCAGGAGAAATGCGTTGTTTATAGGGTGTTTATGATTGGCACAAGCAGCCTCCTCTTGTTAAAGCACTTTTTTGGGGTGGGAAAAATGAGTGTAATTTGCTAATTGCACAGCGCAAATCACTTAACAGTATAATGGGTTTCATGTTGTCATTTTTAATGGCCTACCTTTTTCTCTGTGCTTCTTTCATCATTCTAGAATGCTAACAACAAAAACAATCATATATAGTAAAAGCTTATGATAGGTAAGACACTGTACTAAGAACTTTACCTGCATTATCTGAATCCTTCCTCATAAGAACACAGGAAGTAGATTCTGTCATCATCCATGTTTTCCCAGATAAGAAAATGGAAGCTTGGTGAGAAGTAATTCCAAGTGGGCAAAGCTTGTAAGATACACAGGTGGACTCTAGATCCTGTAACCCTAACTACATATCATGGCATTGATTGTGTCTTCTACGTGCCAAGGGCTGTGCTCGGCATTTCACATAGGTTCCATGCCATGTTTCACCCTCACCACAATTATCTGAGGAAAGTTCTATTAGCCACGTTTTAAAGAGGAGGGAATCAAAGCTCAGAGGGATTAAATAACTCACACAGGGTCACTTAGCAAGATTCAAACCCAGGCTGTCTGGCTGCTGCATAGTCCCAGCTCTTATCTATTCTGTTATGCTTCTTCTAGAGAACATCAGACATGCCCTCCCCTTTTACGCTCCCGGTTAATTTTTAAAGTACTTTTGAAGACTGTGAGCACCCCCACTGCCCTGCAGCATCTCCACCATCAGGTTGCTGCAGAATTAAATGAGGAGACATGGACTCCATCAAACACTTAGAATAGAGCCTGGCACACAGTAAATGTGTATCAGCCCTCCTTATCCAAGGGTTCAACCAACTTGGAATCAAAAATAGTTGAGAAGGGGCCAGGCGTGGTAGCTCACGCCTGTAATCCCAGTACCTTGGGAGACCAAGGTGGGCGGGTCACATGAGGCCAGGAGTTGGAGACCAGCTTGGTCAACATGGCAAAACTCCATCTCTACTAAAAATACAAAAATTATCCAGGCATGGTGGTGCATGCCTGTAATCCCAGCTACTCCAGTGGCTGAGGCAGGAGAATCTCTTAAACCCCAGGGGCAGAGGTTGCAGTGAGCCAAGATCACCCCACTGCACTCCAGTCTGGGTGACAGAATGAGACCCTGTCTTAAAAAAAAATAGTTGAGAAAAATAAATAAAAATACAACAATAAAAAATAATACAAATAAACAATACAGTGCAACAACTATTTACATAGCATTTACATTGTATTAGTCATTATAAGTAACCTAGAGACGATCTAAAGTATTCAGGAGAAAGCCGTAGGCTATATGCAAATAGTATGCCATTTTGTATGAGGGACTTGAGCATCTAGAGATTTTGGTATCCTTGGGGGGTCCTGGAACCAATCCCCTGCGGATACTAAGAGGCAACTGTGTACACATTTGCTATTTTTCTTTCTTATCATTATTACTACTCAAGAGAATCAAACCTGTTTCCAAACATCTTATAAGCACCTGTTTTAATTCCAACTGCATGTGTGTTTATTATTATCACTGTGGTTTTAGTCAATAAAGCCAGTCCCCTGGGATTTCTATTGCTTGAGCTTCTGTTTGTCCTCCTTGCCTTCTTTTTACTTGTTTGCCATATTTTTTTCATCATTATAGTATAACTTGCTGTATGTCCTCATAGGCAATCAAAACAAAGAAATGTGTATATGGTTGTTCTTTTGTGTAAATTGGACTTTCTGCCCCCAATTAATCCAAATTGACTAAGGCTGGCTGTAATTAGAAGTGGCAGCTGTTGCACTCCAACTTCCTTTCAGGGCTTCCTTCTGAGCATTTTTGTTGGAAAAGGAAAGGAACTGAATGAGGGTCTGAGCCAGTTATGCCCACCTGAGAGTCACATGCCAACTCCTGATGTTTCTCCAACACTTGACTTTGATGCAGGCAAGGTGGAGCAGGCTACTACTTCTCACCTGGGCAGAGAAAATGTACTAGAGGCTTTTGGGTGTTTCCCCATCCCCCAGTTTTCTAAGAACTGCTCCTCAAACATGGAAATGGACCTCAGGGGTCATTTTTATACTAAAAAGCCCCACTTCATGGCCATTCCTGATTGGGCCAGAGAGCATCACCTGGTACAAGGAGCACCAATCAGATTCTTTCTCCTGGAAATTTGAAATTGAGTGTGCAAAATCTTCCTTGGTCTGGGTTTGTGCTTCAATATGAGGACAAGTCAATGTGGGGGTGTTGAGCTTGCCATGCTGAGGGAGTCATCTTTTACCATATGGATAAAGTAGAGAACACTGGTCTGGACATAGAGAGGAATTCAGAAGGTTAAAAAAAAAAAAGAAGAAGAAGAAGAAGAAGTGAAAAATAGAAACAGAGGAGACAGAGATAAAGCCAACTGCTGTGCAAATCTGAGATCAGACGCTGTTCAGTCCAGGGTGAAAGGCGGAATAATGATCTTAGTCCTGGTCCTGGTGCTGCATTAGCTGGACTGTACTTTTGCCCTTGGCATCTGTGAGGTATCCCTGGCTCTTTCCAGTGAGTAAGCCCTTTTGCTCTCTCCAGCCTCCGTGGGATTTTGCTTCTTGCCTCAAACCCGGTTGTAACCCAGGCAAAGTGTCATTGACACTACGAGCTAAGGTCATGTTATTTTAATTCGTGGAAATGACACTCAGAGTGATTTAGTCATTAATTCAACAAATATTTACTGAGGGCCTACTATGTACAGGGACCATGACAAGTAGGGATACGGTCTCAGACACACTATAAACAGCTATTCATCTGTGGAGGTGACAACCAAGTAGATTCCTGGAAAGAAATGGAGAGAAAGTAAGGAAACCAATCACTGCAAGAGGCTATTGCCGATGTCACATAATGAAGCTTCAGGAAGCTCACCCAGCTTCCAGCATGCCTTGGAGGTACTGGAGGAGAGAAAATGGGGAAATAGGAAAAGGGCTAGAAGAGGGTCTGCAAAACTTAGCTTTACTTTGATTTCAACTTCCTAGCTATATGAACTTCCAACAAGTCAACCAAATTCTATCTTGTTCTATACCTCTAAAATGGCAGAAGGTTGGGTGTGTGCAAGACAGAGGGTGGGGGAAAGGAGGGAGCAGGGGGAAGTGGGCTAACTAAAAAGTGCATAGGTAAAGAAGTAATGTCATCTATAACCTTATACCCTGGTGCCTCAAAGCTGCTCAGATTTAGAATATTTGCAGAGGCAGAGTAGCATCTTAGAAAAAACAAAATCTGTTTCTCAGCTGGGTGCAGTGGCTCACGCCTGTAATCCCAGCATTTTGGGAGGCTGAGTTGGGCAGATCGCCTGAGGTCAGGAGTTTGAGACCAGCCTGGCCAACATGATGAAATCCCGTCTCTACTAAAAATACAAAACTTAGCCAGGTGTGATGGCGCATGCATGTAATCCCAGCTACTTGGGAGGTTGAGGCAGGAGAATCGCTTGAACATGGGAGGTGGAGGTTGCAGCAAGCCAAGATCGCGCCACTGCACTCCAGCCTAGGTGACAGAGCGAGACTGCATCTCAAAAAAAAAAAAAAAAAAATCTATTTCTCAATGGGGGTTGATTTTCTCCTTAGGGGACATCAGCAATGTCTGGAGACACTTTTGGTTGTCACAACCGAGCTGGGGTGTGCTACCGGCATCTGATGGGTAGAAGCCAAGGATGTTGCTAAACACCCTAGAATGCACAGGGCCATCCTCCGCAACAAAGAATCATCTGGCCCCGAATGCCAACAGTATCTAGATAAGAAACACTGAGTTAGACACATCCTGCTTCTGTCTTACCAGCTGTGTGATCTTTATCAGGCTACTTTTTCTGCTGGCCTACTTCATCTTCTCTAAAATGTGAATCAATAGTACCTTCAGAATAGACATTTTACGAAGCTTAGCTATGATAATATGTGAAGCGCCTTGCATAGAGGAGATGAACAATGCCACCAATAGATATTATGAATGGAATGGGCCGCTCCTGCTCAGCAAATCCAGAAAGCCTTAGGTTGAGTTTTCAGAACGAGAAGGATCCCCTGGGGAGCCCACGACCCTAGCTGACCATTCCTCCCAGCCTGCTGCGTCTTCCCGTCTTCCTGTCTCTTGCAGGCAGGAGGTGCACCAGGACAACTTGGATTCAAAAGACCCTCCCACGGGTTCAAGGCATGATGACGTACTCAGGATCCCTTGGCTTCGGGGCTCAGGGAGCCATGCAAGCTCCTCCTGCCAGCCAGCCTCTCTGTCTCTGGAGGGGCTGACACCAGGTGCTAGAGATCACAACATGGTGAATAATGGAAACTTCCCAAGTATGTAATTATGCAGCATGTTGACTTCATTATGCTATCCAAGCAGATGATTAGGAAATTCCCATGTCCCTGCTCTGCTTCCACAGTGGTCCTACCTCCCAGATGGGAGTTGGGTAGCTGAGCCTCATGCCTGTGGACTCTGCTAATCTCACAGCCAGGCCCCAATACTTTATACAGTGTGCTGGGAGCACTTATGGTAGGGGGCAGATATAGGGTCCTAACTGGGTACAATCATCTCTACCATAAACTGGTTCACTTTGTTCTCCTGCCAACTGCAAAGAAGCAGAGAAAACTAGCAATAAAAATAATAGTAATGGCCAGGCACGGTGGCTCACACCGGTAATCCCAGCACTTTGGGAGGCCGAGACAGGTGGATCACCTGAGGTCAGGAGTTTGAGACCAGCCTGGCCAACTTGGTGAAACCCCATCTCTATTAAATCACAAAAATTAGCCAGGCATGGTGGCATGTGCCTGTAATCCCAGCTGCTCGGGAGGCTGAGGCAGGAGAATCTATCGAACCTGGGAGGCAGAGGTTGCAGTGAGCTGAGATCCCACCATTGCACTCCAGCCTGGGTGACAACAGCAAAACTCCACCTCAAAAAAAAAAAAAGAAAAAGAAAAAGAGAAAAGAAAAGAAAAAAATAATAGTAATGATGATAACAATAAAAATAGCAGTACTCCCACAAGTGTAGGAAGCTGGCTGAAGAATATATCTCATTTGGCTGGGTATGGCCAGACTGCAGAGAGACAAAAGGTATTTACTCACCGTATCCTCAAGGCTAAATGCTCTCAATTTTTAGTGTGCATAGAAACCACCATTAAAAGCCTATTAAAAAAATGTTCATCCTTGGGCTGATCCTTGGGTGGGTAAGAAATGGAGAGGCACAGCTCTGAGCCATTGGTTCTCAAACTTTATTGTGAATCAGAACCACCTGGAGGGCTTTGTATTGGTTTTCTGTGGCAACCATAACAAATTTCTACAAACTGTGTGCTTTAAAACAGCAGAAATGGCCAGGCATGGTGGCTCATGCCCGTAATCTCAGCACTTTGGGAGGCCGAGGGGGGTGGATCACCTGAGGTCAGGAGTTCGAGACCATCCTGGCCAACATGGCAAAACTCCATCTCTACCAAAAATACAAAAATTAGCCAGGCGTGATGGCGGGCGCCTGTAATTCCAGCTACTCGGGAGGCTGAGGCAGGAGAATCACTTGAACCTGGGAGGTAGAGGTTGCAGTGAGCCAAGATCACGCCACTGCATTCCAGCCTGGGCAACAGAACAAGACTCTGCACCCCCCACAAAAAAAAAAAACAAAAAAAAAAACGACCAGCAGAAATTTATTCTCACGGTTCTAGAGGCCAGAAGTCTGAAACCAAGGAGTCCACAGACTTGGTTTCTTCTGGACGCGCTGCAGGAGAACCTGTCCCATGCCTCGTTCCTGCTTTCTAAATGTTACCAGCTATCTTTGGCGTTCCTTGGCTTGTATCCGCCTCGTTCCCATTCACATGGCCTTCTCTGTGAATCCTCTCCCCTTTTCTTCTAAGGACACTTGTCATTGGTTTGAGGACTCACCCTTATCCAGGATAACCTCATCTCATAATCTTTACCTTAATAACATCTTCAAAGATCTCTTTGTCCAAATAAGGTCATGGCCACAGGTTCTAGATGGACATGTCTTTTTGCCACCATTTGACTTTGCACTGCAGATTGCCGGGCCCCACATCCAGCATTTCTGACTCACTAGGTCTGAGCTGGGGTCTGAGAATTTGCATTTCTAACAAATTCCCAGGTGATGCTGCTGCTGATGATGCTAGTCCAGGGACCCCACGTGGGAGATCAATGCCCTTGGCAAATACTCCACATCCAAGTGACTTTGTGTTCTGGTAGTTAGCAAGTGCCAGATGTCTACATTGAACAGAACTGTGAAAGATGGCAAAGACTCTTTGCTCCCACTTTTCATCCTCGACCACCTGATAAGTTTCCTACCCTGAGTCCCCAGGGACCTCAATTAATCCTCAAGAAATGATAAGTCCTGTTGTACAAAAAAAAAAAAAAAAAGAGAGAGAGAGAGAGATAGGAGAGAGTTGGGCTTAGCCAGACCTGGCTGTGCATTTTGCTACCTGTGTGAGCTTGGATGAACAATTTCATCCCTCAGAGCCTCAGTTTCCTTCTCTATAAAATGGGAATAAGGGACGAGCATTGTAGCTCACGTCTGTAATCCCAGCACTCTGAAAGGCCAAGACAGGAGGATCACTCAAGCTCAGGAGTTCAAGACCAGCCTGGGCAAAGTAGCAAGACCTTGTCTCAAAACATAAAATAAGGCCAGGGATGGCGGCTCACACCTGTAATCCCAGCAATTTGGGAGGCCGAGGTGGGTGGATCACTTGAGACCAGGAGTTTGAGATCAGCCTGGCCAACATGGTAAAACCCCATCTCTACTAAAAATACAAAAATTAGCTGGGTGTGGTGGCAGGCGCCTGTAATCTCAGCTATTCAGGAGGCTGAGGCAGGAGAATCCCTTGAACCCAGGAGGTGGAGGTTGCAGCGAGCTGAGATCGTGCCACTGCACTCCAGCCTGGGTGACAGAGCAAGACTCCGTCTCAAAAAAAAAAAAAGATTTTACTTTTTTAAAATAAAATAAAATGGAAATAAGACTTTTGACTGACTTGATCATAGGTCTTGAAAGGATTGAATGAGATGATACATGCAAGCGTAGGAGCTGCTAGAACTAAAAATCACAGCAACTCAGCGATTCTGCTCAGTGACCCAGATGGGATGTGTGATGGGCACAAGACAGCAGGAAGGCCTCCGGCTGGAATTTCGCCAAGAGATAACTAAAAGGTAGCAGGTCCTGCCCCATCACTTCCTCCCCTGGCCCTGCAAAGCCCTGAATTCCTCTCCACTCCCCACCACCAAGCTACTGCCCCACCGGCCATGTCTCCAGAACCCATGATGGTAGTAATCACACCAGATGTTGCCAAACTCCACTGTGGTTCCTGAGGACAGGCTTCATTAACTTTGATCCGGCAGGCTTACCTGCATTGGGTACTGGCTTTATTTCCAGCCACCGCTTCTCAACCTCACTCAAGTGGCTTTGACACTTTGAGGACACTGGTGAGATGGCCTGGGCCAGCCAACGGTCCACTAGGAGACTGATGGGCACTGAAGCCTTCCAAAGCGACTGAGCTGGAACCAGGGGCAGGGAATCATTTAGTCCCCGGGCACTGCAGAGAAGCGGAGTTCTCTCATTCACATCCCTGCAATGTCAACAGTGAGCAACAGTGGGCAGGCCCTAGGCGATTTGGGAAGAGCGGGTGTCAGAAAGCCTGGGGTTTGGCCAGCCACGGTGGGTCACACCTATAATTCCAGCACTTTGGGAGCCTAAAGCAGGCAGGTTACTTGAGCTCAGGAGTTGGAGACAGGCCTGGGCAACATAGTGAAACCCTTTCTCTCCATAAAAATTAAAAAAAAAAATAAAAGCCGGGCATGGTGGTGCATGCCTGTAGTCCCAGCTACTAGGGAGGCTGAAATGGGAGGATGGCTTAAGTCTGGGAGGTGGAGGTTGCAGTAACCTGAGATCGTGCCACTTCACTCCAGCCTGAGTGACAGAGACTCTGTCAAAAAGGAAAGACAGGAAGGAGGGAAGGAAGGAGGGAGGGAGGGAAGGAAGGGAAGAAAGGGAAGGAAGGAAGGAAGGAAGGGAGGAAGGGAGGAAGGAAGGAAAAAGGGAATGGAGGGAGGGGAAAGAAAGGAAAGGAAAGGAATGGAATGGAAAGGCCAGGGTTAAAATCGAGGCTGCATCACTAACCCATGTATAACCTCTAGAAATTTCTCAATGTTCTGAGCCTCAGCTACTTTATCTGTAAAATGGAAATAGTAGGAGGAATTGTTGGAAGGATTCCATCAAATAATCCATGTTTAAGCCCTCATCAGAGAGCCTGCCAACCATACAGAAAGTGCTCAAAACCACCCTGCTAGTTGATTCTTATCCCTAGTATGGGAAAACCAGAGGGATAAAATCACAGGTTCGTAAGACCAGGCTGGCTGTACGTATGACCCTGTCACTCCTTTTTTTTAAATTGTAAAATAAACATAACATAAAATTTGCCATCTTGACGATTTTTAAGGGCACGGTTCTCTGTCATTAAATACATTCACATTGTTGTGCAAACATCACACCATCCATTTCTAGAATGTCTTGTCATTCTTGAATGATAAGCAAGCAGGTGGAACATGTTAGTTCCTGAGGACTTCAGAGCTCCTCAAACTGAAAGGTTACTCAAGAGAGAGAAGAACCAGGCAGGTCAAGGATAAGAGTGGAGGAAAGCAAGAGAACATTAAGGAGCTATCTAATCTATCCTCATGGTCCCACATCTTCCCTCTTTCCTCGGGGCTCCTCAGGGAAGGCGGCTGTGAGGACTTCTTAATGATACAACACTCCTGGGTTCGAATCCCGGCTCTGCACTTAGCCACTGTATGACCTCAGCCATGTTATTTATTATCTCTCAGTCTCCCTCTCCCAATCTGTAAAACCTGGAGAAAGATAACACCAACTGCATAGGTTTGCTAATGAGCGAATGCCTATAAAGAGCTTAGCAAACAGTGACTGACATATAGGTGTTAGCTATGATTGTCCTGGTGCCCCGCCCCCACTTCCCGGCCTCCTGCCTTTTTGGAAATTTGTTCCTGGGTGGCCTAGTTCTGCAACTCTGAATCCTCATTAGGACAGGAATTCCTTCCCAGGCTGAGAAGCCCTAGCAGCCACGGCACAGCCAGGTTTCTTTGTATCCCGGAGAATGTCCCTCCCCCAAAGGGGAATGAGGACAAGAATCACCCAAAAAATCTGCCCGCCAACCCAGAGTCAGGTCCCAGCCTGGCCAATCGCATGTGCTCGCCCTGCGGTGGTTTCCTAGGCAACCAGTACTCCTGTGCCAACACAGAGACTGGGTGCTGGGCATACGGAAGGAGGAGAGAAAGAGAGAGGGAGGGAGACACAGAGATGGAGGCAGAGTCCGGGGGACAGAGCAACATGAGGGGCACGGGGAGAAAAAATGGAAAAGGATGGGAGGAGGGAGAAGAGGAGGAATTCCATGTCTTCTTTGGCAGTTTCCACAGACACATGCGTGCACACACACACACACACACACACACACACACGTACTTTAAAGGGTTGATGTTTTTAAAGGAAAAACAGCTAAAACCACAATACATAAAATGGAAGCCCCCAAATTTCCAAGTGACACCCTTTCTCTTAGTCCACGTGAGCTGCTACGACAAAACACCAGAGCCTGGGTGGCTTATAACAGAAATTGATTTCCCACCGTTCTGCAGGCCGGGAAGACCAAGATTAAAGTGCTGGCAGATTAGGTGTCTGATGAGGACTCATTCCTCATAGACACCTCTCTTCTCACTGTGTCCTCACAGGGCAGAAGGGCCAAGGGATCTCTCTGGGACATCTTTCATAAGGGTACAGATCCCATTCATGAGAGCAAAGCCCTCATAACCTAATCACTTCCCAAAGGCCCCACATCCTCATCTGCACACACTGAGATTAAGTTTCAAGACATAAATGTGAGAGACCATAGCACCCTCACTGGTATGGGTACACACACACACATACATACACCACACACATTTACATTTATGTACACAGACACACACATTGCATGTACACACATGCACACATACATCACATGTACACACACATACACATGCACGCTTATATACATACACCCTACACATGCACACATTGTGTGTACACACATGTATACACATATACACATGCATGCATTGTGTGTACACATATACACATACACATGCATACTTTGTGTGTACACACACATATACACATACACATACACACACATGCACACATTGTATGTACACACATACACATTGCATGTACACACACGTACACATGCACATATATACATACACACATATGCATGCGTACATTGTGTGTACATGTATACACATATACACACGCATACATTGCAGGTACACACACGCACACATTGCATGTACACACATATACACATACACATATATACATGCATACATACACACATTGCATGCATGTACACATGTATACACATATACACATTGCATGTACACACATATATACACATACATGCATATGTACACATATGTGCATATACACATTGCATGTACACATGTATACACACACATACACATTGCATGTACACATGTACACACATACATATACACATTGCATGTACACACAAGAATATGCATACATTTATATGTATGCATACGCACATACACACATTGCATGTACACACATATATACATACATGCATATGTACACATATGCGCATATACACATTGCATGTACACACGTATACACATACACACATACACATTCCATGTACACACATGAATACACATACACACATTGCATGTATGCATATATATACACATACATGCATAAGTACACATACACACATTGCATGTACACACATATATGCATACACATATTGCAGGTGTGCACACATACACACATGAATGCACACACCTGCACTCACACATTTATACACACACACATCTCAGACCCTTTTACCATCACAGGTTGCAGGGGATGCTAGGCTTCTTAATGGCCCAGCCACAGTACTTGTTGGGATTCAGAAAACCTGTGAAAGCCATGGCTCAGAATCACGTTTGTTTACGGAGCTGCTAGGATGGAATACAAGAAAAGTCTAGACTGACAACCCATCCTCTCTCCATCTAAACTCCAGGCCACTCCTAAACTAGACTAACTGCTGTGCAGAGTTCAGTGCTGTAAGAGGAGTATTCCCAATGTCCCCTAGTGAAGGGAGAGTGAGAATAAGTGTACAACAGGTGTCTGTGTGGGTGTTCACACACCCTTTTATGAACCTTTTTATTTTCAGGTCCACAAACCCATAGAAAAATAGTAAAAACAACTATTTGCATTGCCTGATTGCAGCCACACAAGAATGACTACTGTTGGCTCATTTTATGGGTCGAGAAACGGAGGCCTGGGCAGGTAAAGAGTCCTGTTCAATGGCCCACATCACAATGGAGAAACTGAGGCAAAGGAAGGTAAGAGTGTTGTTTAAGAACACCCACACCATGGATGGGGAAAGCAAGGCACAGGAAGGTTGTCCTAGGACCCAGAACTCTCATTTATGAACCCACAGTTCCAGCCCAAGGAGCCTGATCTCAGAGCATATGTGGTCAACCACTCAGCTCTTTGGCCCTCCCACAATTATGGCCCCATCCCAGCCAGCCGGAAACTGACTGTGTGTTGGAGAAGGCAGACAATTAAAAAGGTGACATCAGTGTAGCATGGTGAGCATTAATGCCGGTGTCCGGGGGTTTGAGGAAGTGACATCTCAAGTGAGATCTGAAGGTTGAGGAGGAATCAGTGGGAGGACAGGAGAGTGGTGAAGGCAGCAGCGTGGGGGCTGCCAAGCAGAATCTAAATGGCGCAAAGGCCTACTGCAAAGCTGGGTTGGAGTGAGGCTGCAGCAGGCACAGCAGGTGCAGGCGGACTGGGGACGTGAGCAAAGGCCAGCTAAGACAGGGCCTGAGCTGGAACACTGAGTTACACTCTCCCCTGAAGACAATGCCAAGGCATTGAAATTTTCCTTTTTTGAAACAGGGTCTCATTCTGTCACCCAGGCTGGTTTGCAGTGGTGCAATCACAGCTCACTGCAGCCTTGACCTCCTGGGCTCGGGTGGAATTTCTAGGAGAGAAATTACATGCCACATAGAACACATTGGCCTTGGCCAAGAGAACAGATAGAAGGAAGCAAGTCCAGCAGGGGAGACACAGAATCCTACCTGATTCTAACCAAAATGGCAGATGAGGAAACCAAGGCACAGAGAGGAGAGCTTGTTTGCCCAACATCACTCATCTAGAAAGTGAAGGAATCACATGTGAACTTGAGTTCATCAAATGCCAGAGCCCAGCTTCTGGGCACCTATGCAAGCCACTTCCCATCTAGGTTCCTTCTAGGTTCATCAATCTCTTGGCCAACAAGGATCTGTAAGAGATTCCACTGTGTCCATTTCTCCTGCATCAGGACCAGATCCCACACCCAGTACTGGGCAAAGAAAATAAGTGTAAGCTAAGTCAAGCATGCACTCTGTCTCTTCAAGGTGTTATCCACTTCAAAGTTTAATTCTCCATATAGTGTTTCTACCTGTGTCCCTCAAAGCTTCCCCAGGCACTAGCTCCCACAGTTCCTTCCTATTTGAACATCCACCCTAATACCCAAAGCATTTAAAGCTCTAGGGGATCTTGATGATACTCCAGCCCAATACAGTAGAAATACTTTCCCCAAAACCAGTGTTCAGACTGTGACCTAAAAGCAGACATTTAGAACAAAACTTCTAGAGTCTCAATGCAGGAGGATCCTGGAATCCAGTGCAACCATGCCACTTATTTGCTAAGGGACCTTTGACAAGACTGGGGAACATAAAATATATCTGTAAAATGTAACTGACATTACATATAGAGGCCCTGATCTTGGTTCACAGGACTGACAATTGTTATAGCACATATTTACTACATGCCTACTTTGTGCCAGGCATGATGCCAGGTACTTTACATTCATTACACGTTTAATTCTCAAAACACCCTTATGAGGCAGGCATGGTTAATATTCCCATTTTACAGATAAAGAATGTGAGGCTTATAGAAGTTAGGTGACCTTCCCGCATTAACCCCATTATCAATCAGTTCATTCAATACATATATTCATTGAGTGCCTAGCACGTACTGGGCACTCCAGATACTGGAATTACTCATTTGAACATCAGCAACAACAACAAAAAGATGGTTTTTATGAAATTTATATTCTATAGAGAAGAGACAGAAAATGAATAAACATATCAAATATAAATAAACATGGTAATGGTGGTAAGTGCCATAGAGGAAAAAGAAAAAATAAAAGATGCTATTGTATCAGTCAGAATTCATTAGGTTATGCTGCAGTAACAAATAGCCCCTAAGTCCCTAGAGCTGGTCCATTTCTGATTCACACTACATGTCAAGTGCAGATAAGGAAAGAGATATTTCCACTGTAGTCACGCAGGGACCCAGGCCGAGAAAAGTGCCATCTCCATGCATCTTCCATCTCAGTGTTATCACCATAGCAAGAGGAAAAGGATGTGGAGAATCAGACACTGGCTCTGAAAGTTCGTATCTCCCTCAGTGAGGGATGGAGAAAAAATGTGGGGGCTTCTTTGAGTAGAGAGGTCTGGAAAGACCCTTTGGATGGTAAATTGAAGGTCTTGGGTTTGAACCCTAGCCTTTCACAAGCTTGCACTTTCCACTGGGCCAGGTGACTAGGATAAATTATTAATGACCCTGGCATAAAAGACAGTTCATACACCATGCGTATACAAGACTAAGACTTGCAAATTGAGCTGTGGAAGTCAGTCCTTTGTCAAGGTCTAGCTCAGAGTGATGAAAGACCTGCAGAGTCATCCTGACAAGCGGAGATTCTAGGAGCACCAGACAACAGTCTTTGCTTCTGCCTTTCTTGGAAAATTCAAAGGACTTACACCTTGGTTCGGAAACTTTTATTTTCCTTTCTCTGTTCTTTCCTACAGAAGAGCCACCACGTGGGAAACGTGGCAAGCCTTCGAACCCTTCCTTAGCAACAGAAACTTTTAATTAGTAAAAGAACATTAAAAGCAGAAAAGAAATCTCACCCAAGAGCTAGAAACATGGGCAAAAGCCCACCTGATGGTGCCTAAAGTTATCATTTTTTATATCAAGTGCTAAATAACTGTGTTCTTTTCATGTGAACAGAGGTAGTTTCAGTTTGTCATGCCCTAAACGTGGCTTTGGCCTTGAATTCTGTTTTCTTCTCTCTAAAACTTTCACTGGTTCATAGTTTATAAATACACCTAGTCCCAACCCCAACATTGAGCTGGTATCCAGGCTGGGATGCACCTCACATAGGGGTAAGGAGATGGGTTTGAAAGAAAAAGAGAAAGGGACAGGGATGAGGGAGTGGGAGGGAGAGAGAAAAATCAGTGATAAGGAAGAAGAAGGTCAGTGGCAATAAAGTGAGATCATTGCCAAGGATGCAAAACAAGGGGAGAAGAAGATGAACGTGGAGGAGTGACATACCAGGCAGACAACTGATACCCTTGTTAGGTGAGGACCATGGTCTGGGAGATCTAGGGGAGATAAAGGCAAGATATCTTAAGCTAAGGCCAGACTGACCACATTGTCAAATGGTTACTTCCCACCATCCTCCCAAGAGGTGGGGTCTCTGATCCCATGTCACAGACAAAGACACAAAGCTTAAAGGAGGAATGCAGTTTGTGATCCATCAGGTCTCAGCTCAAATGTCACACCTCAGTGAGGCTGCCCCTCCCCAAAGCACCCTCTTCCAGTGTCTCACCCTCTCCCTTGGCTGTTTGGTTTATATCCCACTCTGGTGAGGGTAATCTTTCTCATCCATTTGTTCTCTTTTTTTCTTTTTTTTTTTTTTTTTGCCTTACAACTTTTATTTCGTTGTTTAAAAATGATAAAGGTAATACATGTTCATTGTAGAAAAAAATCTGAAAACAGAAAAATTTGAAGTTTTCTTTTAATATTTTTAGGAGAGTCTCTTTTGTTTTCTGGGTAGATTTGTAATGCAAACTTCCGTTATTGGCTACTAGTGGTATTGAACTGGAAAGTGTGCACATTTGTGCATACACATATAATGATCCTTATATCATTCAAAATTCTTATGTACATTTTGCTTGACTTTGATATGCTGAAGGAATGGTGTGTTTAAAATTCTTGTATTATTATTATTTTTCTTTTCATCTTTTATTTTAGGCTCAAGGGGAACATGTGCAGGTTTGTCAGTGGCATACCACCCTGAACGCGCCTGATCTCATGTGTTCTATTCTTTCTTGTCTACCTCTACAATAGGAAGATAAGCTCCCTAAGCAAGGTCACCTGTCTCTGAATTTGCTGCTGGTATCTCCAGGATCTATAAAAGTACCTAGCACATAGTAGGTGCTCAATAAGTATTTGTTGACTGAATAAATGAATGACTGTGGCCTGGCATTAAAACTATTCAAATCTTGGCTCTCAGTGCAAAAGTTGAGTCAAAATACACTCTGGAGGCTGAGACAAGACGATCACTTGAGCCCAGGAGTTCAAGTCCAGCCTGGGCAACACAGTGAGACTCCATCTCAAAAACCCTCAAAACACAGGAAATTAAACGTGGACGCAATAATGTGGGTCCAAACACTGAGTGACAACAGAAGAGCCACGGGCCTCTGGTGCCAACACAAAGCCTGCTTAGGCCTGGAAGCCTTAAAATTATCTCCTTGGTAGGGCAGAGCCAAGGGCTGGTGTGGGAGTCGGAAGTCAGAGACAAGAGCCCAGCCTGGCTGTCAGAATGGGTTAGGGCTACGCAAAGAGTGGGCTCTGGACAAACCCTTGCTTTTTCCTGGTCCAAAAAGGCTGAGGGCCGCATAGGGTCATACTCCCCATATCGTCTCCTGGCTGACACATTTCCACCTGGTTCTGCTTCATGGTACCAATGTGTGTGTCTCTGTTATAGTCTTTGCAGTATACGCACCCTTCCTTGGATACCATCACTGACTCTCGCTGGAAAGTGGTGAGCTGTCAATGCCATTGCGCAATCAATAGAAATATCTCGCTTTCCTGATGTAAAGAAAGAAGAGGATGCTGAAGGACCCAGTACTTAGATGAACATTCTGCGCCATTATTTCATTGACGCCCCACAAGAACACACGGAGGCAGAAGTTAGTGTCATTTCCACTTTACGAGATGAGAAAACTGAGATTCAAAGATAATAATGGTGATGGTGAACATGCTTTGTGTACTTTGTGAATGCCAGGCACTAGCCTAACTATAGGACATGGATTTTGTTTTTTTTTTCCATTTAAGGTCCCGACCAACTTTAAGATTGTGCTTTCATTAAACCCGTTTTACAGATAAAGAAACTGAGGGCCAGGTGCAGTGGCTCACACCTGTAATCCTAGCATTTGGGGAGACTGAGGTGGGCAGATCACGAGGTCAGGAGATCAAGACCATCCTGGCTAACACAGTGAAATCCCGTCTCAACTAAAAATACAAAAATGTAGCCGGGTGTGGTGGCACACTCCTGTAGTCCCAGCTACTCGGGAGGCTGAGGCAGGAGAATCACTTGATCCCGGGAGGCTGAGGTTGCAGTGAGCTGAGATCGCATCACTGCACTCCAGCCTGGGTGACAGAGCAAGACTCCGTCTCAAAAAAAAGAAAAAAAAAGAAAAGAAACTGAGATAGGGTCACTCAGCTAGTGAGGGATGCGTCCGAAAGCACGCCCAGGCAAGTGCATCTAGCCTCGCCACTGTGGTCTCTCCCTCGGGAGCCAGGATCAGGGTACCAGGGTGAGGCTGGTGAGCCACTTTCCTTGGGTGCACAACTTACAGGGGCACCAAGAAACTCCATCATCGGAATAAACAGTATTCAAATGCAACAGTTTTAAAAATCAAAAGTAATTCTAAAAATCCATGTTGAACAAGGTATCAAAATTTTAAATAAATGCAAAATCAGTAACTCTACTCTGCCAAGCCAAATTAGTCAGGGGCAAAAGGAAAAAATAAGTAATACTCCCCTCCCCCTACTCCAGGAAACTCCTCTGAGTAATCTAGTCTCAGGGGCTCAAAAGCACCATGATAACTCACACCCTCAACTAATCAAAACCCCACTACTCTCTGCAGCACTTTAGGAAACATTCTGCAATGGAAGCCTCAGTAAAATCTACTGAGCTACTCAAGACCCAAAAGGACCCCTGTTGCTCAGTTGTGGCAGGTAAGACACAGAGAGGTTAAGCAATCTGCTCTAGGTCACACAGCAATGTCCACTGTACCTAGATGCAGTCCTTGATCTACTCTGCGAAAACTGCAGGTACAAAACAAACCATCATCTTTGTCCATAGGATTTATCTGAACACCTCTGCTGTCTTCCCAGTGTGCACGGAGTCAGGTGATCACTACAGCCAGGGTTACCAGATTTGGCAACTAGAGACACAGGACTCCCACTTAAATGTGCATTTCAGATAAACAATGGATTTTTTTTTTTTTAGCGTAAGTCCCCTGCCATACTTGAGGTATACTTCCACTAAAATGCCACCCGTTGTTTGTCTGAGATTCAAATTTATCTGGGGGTCCTGTATTTTATTTGGCAGCCCAAGCTGCAACAGACTTGGATTAATAAAAATAATCGGAGCTGGAACTTGACTGGGCACTTCGCCTTCCCTACTTGCTGCCTGCCTCACTCAAGTCCAGCCCCACCGGCCTGCTCTCCTTTCCTCTGGCGCATTGAGCTCCGTCCAACTTAAGGAACTTGTGCAGGCTCTTCCGTCTGCTTAGAATGCTCCTCCCCCCACCATTCAATGGCTCTATATCTTTTTTAGCCTTTGAGTCTTGGCTTACATGCTGCCTCCTCAGAGAGGCCCAACCCATCACTTCGTATCCCGTTTCTTTCATTCTGTTGGCCTTTTGTTTGTTTCTTCTACAGCAGAAATCACAATTTGCAATGACGTTATTATGTAGCTGGTTAATGGGTTGGGGTTGCTTCCTGTAATGAATTGCAAAGCTCCAGAGGGCAGGAGCTATACCTGTTTGGTCCATCTGTATCTCCAGCACCCAGCACAGTACCCTGCATATACTAGGTCCTCAATACATATGTTGAGTTAATGTAAGTATTGGGCACTCCCAGTCTAGCTAATGCATTCTCCAAAGTGGCCTTATACCCAAGTTCCCTTTAATCCGGACAGTGCATAAACCTGCCAAGTTCAAATGTTTTGCTGATATGTAACAATCTTAGATTGTCGGACGAAGCGACTTGCAGACTGCTTTCCTGAACAACAATAACAACCAAAAAAAGGATTATATAACTCTAAATGGGAGAATAGGCATCAAAACTATTTCCTTGCCTAACATCATCCTGTTATTATTTTGACATCTGTGTAGGCTGCGGAATGATTCTTTTAACGCCGTGTGTGAGGCGTATTTATATCGCTGGCTGTAGCACAGAGCATATGCAAAGGCTTCAGATAACTATTCTAGTAGGTCTTGCCTGTAGCCGTATCAGGCCCCGTGTGGAGGGCCTGAAAAAGCATTCCTGTGTTTACTATGTTTAACGAGGATTGGCTTCCAAGAGGCAGGGCGATAAGCAAGCCCTGCTTTTCCGGTATACCAGTTCCTTCAGTCCCAGTGGAGACAGGAGCATTGGGACCACAAGGTCCCCGATCCCCATACCATGCACCATGCCTTGGAGGGGACATGGAAATGTGTCAACCAGGAGACGATATGGAGAGTATGACCCCATGCGGCCCTCAGTCTTTTTGGACTAGGAAGAAGCAAGGGTTTGTCCAGAGCCTACTCTTTGCATAGCCCTAACCCATTCTAACAGCCAGGCTGGGCTCTTGTCTCTGACTTCCAACTCCCACGCCAGCCCTTGGCTCTGCCCTACCCAGGAGATAATTTTAAAGCTTCCTGGCCTAGGCGGGCTTTGTGTTGGCACCAGAGGCTCGTGGCTCTTCTGTTGTCTCTCTGTGTTTGAACCCACATCATTGCTTCCACCTTTAATTTCCTGTATTTTGAGTGTTTTTTTTTTTTTTTTTTTTTTTTGAGATGGGGTCTCACTGTGTTGCCCAGACTGGACTCAAACTCCTGGGCTCAAGTGATCCTCTTGCCTCAGCCTCCAGAGTGTATTTCAAGAAATAAAAAGTAGCACCTACCATCGCCCAAGGCTTGCTGTACCCAAGCACCGTGCTAGGCTGTTTTCAGTCTTCACCATCACCCTCTGTGATCCGTTCCAATCTGCCCATTTCTCAGAGAAGAAAACGGAATCCTAGAGAGAGGTTAAGAAACCTGCCTCATGTCCTCTGGTTGATAAGACGCAGAGTAGAGAATTTCATCCCAGTCTGCTCCTTCCAAAGGCAGGCATGCATTCTGGGGATGGTTTGATCAAGATCATTACCTTCCTCACCAGCAGCTTCTGTCAGAGAAAGGAAGGAGAATGAAATCTAAATGGTTTTCCCAGGAACGCTGTCCCTCCAGCTTCAATAATGTGGCACATCGGGGCGCATTGAGAGAACAGAGGAAACCGGCACCTTGGAGCCAGGCCCGTCTGGGATTTAGTGGAGCCACCTGCACTTAACTGTCATGTGACTCTGGGTGAAGGTCATGATCTCTCTGAATACTGGTTACCTCGCCTGTCAAATGGGGGTAATAATCAGAATTACTGCCTGTATTTGTTTGCTAGGGCTGTTAAGATAAAGAACCACAGACAGGATGGCTTAAATGACAGAAATCTATTGTCTCACGGTTCTGGAGTCGGAAAGTCTAAGATCAAGGTGTGGGCAGGGTGGGTCCCTTTGGAGGCCTCTCTCCTGGGCTTGTCAATGGCTGCCTTCTCCCTGTGTCTCTTCACATCACCTTTCCTTTGTCCAAACCTCCCCTTTTGTAAGAACATCAGTCATACTGGATTGGGGCTTACCCTAACGACCTCATTCTAACTTGAGGTCAGAATGTGGTTATATAATAATATCGGAATGTGATATTATTTGCAGATAGACTCTTCTTTTTATTTTAAGTTCAAGTTTACATGTGCAGGATGTGCAGGTTTGTTACATAGGTAAACGTGTGCCATGGTGGTTTGCTGTACCTATCAACCCATCACCTAGGTATGAAGACCCCCCGCATGTATTTGCTGTTTATCCTGATGCTCTCCCTCCCCACCTGAACCTTCTGACAGGCCCCAGTATGTGATGTCCCCCACCCACATGTCCACATGTTTACAGATAGACTCTGTACCTCTGTAAATAGTCTATCTGATAGGCCAGGTGCGGTGGCTCACGCCTGTAATCCCAGCACTTTGGGAGGCCGAGGTGGGCAGATCACGAGGTCAGGAGATTGAGACCATCCTGGCTAACACAGTGAAACTCCGTCTCTACTAAAAATACAAAAAATTAGCCAGGCATGGTGGCGGCCACCTGTACTCCCAGCTACTCGGGAGGCTGAGGCAAGAGAATGGCATGAACCCGGGAGGGGGAGCTTGCAATGAGCCGAGATCACGCCACTGCACTCCAGCCTGGGCGACAGAGTGAGACTCTGTCTCAAAAAAAAAAAAAAAAAAAAAAAAGATAGAGTTTTTACAGAGGCAAAGAATAATATCAAATAATATCACATTCAGAGGTACTGGGGGCCAAGGCTTTAACATAGGAGTTGGGGGAACACACCATTCAATTCCTAATTATTCTAAGAATGTCTTACTGGTTAATACAGAAAATGCATATGGAAACACCTTCCCAAATGTCCACCCCCCAAACCCACACTCATCACGTGTCTTGGCCAAATGGTCTAGAATTATGTACTTCCCCTTGCTGAGCTATTGGTTAGTTAGTGAGCAACGGTATTATGTGTGCTGGTCCTGCCTGGATCCCTAGCTATGGGAGACATCTCCCACCACACATACACATTCACACACACACACACACACACACACACACACAAATACACCACACCACTGGTCAATGACATGTAGCCATCATGGGGGATGGCAGCCCTGAACCTGTACAAAAGCTTTCAACTACCTCTCCTCGAAAGATGACACTTTTCCCTTACATTGGGCTTGGAGTGGAAGACTAGAAGAGAACTTTTGTGGCTCTAGGATTTTATTCTGAGCTCCACCCCTTCTCAGCATCACTGCTGTCTTCCTTTCCTCCCTAGGCCTCACTTTGCTCATCTGGAAAATAGGAATAATGGTAAGTCATGGTAGTTGTGGGAGTAAATGAAGGAAGTAGTGTAAAGAGCCTCATGGCTCAGGGATGGCCGTAGCAGTTACTTGTCAACATGAGTCCCCCTTGTTATAATCACCAGGGAGGCCCTGAGTAATAAGAGGGCACAGAGCAGTAGGTACCCTGGGTCCCAATTTCAGCCAATGCTAAGAATCACCCCTTCCCCATAGAGGCACATTCTGTAACTCTAGAACTAGTCCTGGGAACCTGCATTTTTAACAAGCTCTCAGGTATTGTATGACCAGGCAATAAGCAAGCCAAATTGTTATTCACTCAATCACTGGAAAAGCATCTTTTTAAAAAAAAGTTCATATGCCTGGGCTTTGTCCCACCCCAGCCCTATTGCATCAGAATCTCTAGGGAGCAAGATTGGCATGCTTGTATGTGGAAACTGCTCTCCATCCATTTCTGAGGTGCACTGTTGATTAAGAATCACTTATTTAACATATTCACCATGGAATATTATACAGCCATAAAAAGGAACGAGATCATGTCCTTTGCAGGAGCATGGATGGAGCTTGAAGCCATTATCCTCAGCAAACTAACACAGGAACAGACAACTAAACACTGGATGTTCTCATTCATAAGTGGGAGCTGAACAATGAGAACACATGGACACAGGGAGGGGAATATCACACAATGGGGCCTGTGGTGGTAGGGAGGAGAGAGCATCAGGATAAAAAGTTAAGGCATGCAGGGCTTCATACCTAGGTAATGGGTTGATAGGTGCAGCAAACCACCATGGCACACGTTTACCTATGTAACAAACCTGCACATTCTGCACATGTATCGCAGAACTTAAATAAAATTAAATTAAAAATAAAAAAGTATCACTTATTTAGAGCAAGCAGTTCTCAAACTATGGTATGCATCAGATCCCTTCGGGAGTGTATTTAAAATGCTGAGTCCTGGGCTCTTACTCCCCAAAATCTGATTTGATGGATCTATGGTGAAGCCCAAGAATCTACATTTTAATAAACCTCCCTGGAGATTGCAGTGAGCCAAGATCGCCCCATTGCACTCCAGCCTGGACTATAAGAGCAAAACTCTGTCAATAAATAAATAAATAAACCCCCCAGGCAATTAGGATACGGTGAATCCGACACTCCCTACTTTGAAAACATTCCCTTCTAAGCTTGTTGGATCCTAAGGAGGAACAGAGCACCTGCCTTCCATAAATGAGAGTCCCATCCCATCCATCCAGGGCTGTCTTGTGAAAGGCAAGCCTAGCTCAAATCCATGAACGTTCTATTGTTCGGCTCCCTGGAGGCTGCCACAGCTGGAGGACTGGCCCTCTGAGCCTCACCTGGGTACAACCCTCCAGCCCCAGGCAGGAAGGGCATTACATGCTCAGCAGCCCCCTCTGCTAGCGGGCCTATAGCACCGAGGCCCATTCCTTTAGCTTCCAGTTTGTATTTTCCTTTTGCAATATGCTTTCTGGATCGGGGGCGCCCCATACTCCCCTTTGCTAGCCTCACAGCTAACATACCACAGAGCCTGTGTTCAATCCAAACCTACACACCTGCCAGATTCACTATCTCCCTAAGCCCCGCTGTGTCTACTTTCTCTCACTTCCTCCTGCTAACAGCGAGGTGTTAACCAATCCTGAGAATGAACGCTTCGTGGCATGAATTCAAGTACCCTTTTCCCACCCTAATAAGCTAATGCCTATGTAGCACTCACTGACTGCTGTGTTTGGCAGTCCTTTTAAGCACTCTGCATACATTGACTCACTGAACCCTGACCACAACACTGTGAAGCGGAAGGCAAGTTTTATGGGAAAGGAAACTGAGGTACAGACAGGTGAGGTGACTTAGCTAAGACCACACAGCTCCTAAGGAGCAGGCCCTGAGTCTGAACTCAGACAATCTGGCCCAGAGTCATGCTATTTATTACCCAATAAATCCTTCCAACCCATAACTGATATTATTCTAGTCTTCCCTTCAGTGTATGTGTCCCTCCCCATACCTAACACTGGTCTACATGTCTGACCTGATGTCTGTAGGTGATTCCAACATAAAGAGATGGATCAACACAGATCTCATTGACCCAGGGAAGTGGATTTGAGGAGCAGGACTTTATCTCCTTGCCTTCAGGCCTCTATTGCATAATTTGACTTTTCCCTAGACAAACCATAGTTTGCCTCCACCCTGTAAAATGTAGCTCTTCTTCTACCAATGCCTCTTTGATTCAAGTATACACCCCCAGCACACTTCTGTCATTTAGTGCTGTGTCATGCATGCATGCTTCCTCTGTTCTCCTGCTGCCCTGGGATAAAGTGTTCAGAGTTGAGCCCATTTAAGCGCATGGCCCCTATATCCTATATATTAATTCAGCCAATATTTCCCAAGCACCTGCTATGTGTCAGGCCCTGAACTGTGCCCTCAGAGGTCCATGCTGGGTCTCTGCCCTCCTACAGTTCACAGTCCACATGACAGAGGCGGATCTGCCACCCACTGTGCATACTTGCGTCCCAAGCTTCATGAAAACCACATGTGTGACATCAGCAACAGTCTGTGCATCTAGCTGGCAACTTCCCTGTGGGCATCACTCAGCAAAGGCTTGTTGGACTTACTGGCTGTTAGCAAGGCAAGTTGGTAATTTGTTCCATCACTCTCACCTAAGCACGAGATTTCTTAAAAAACAATACATCTCGGTTGAGTAATGAGTTAAGGGAATATCAGCTTTGCTGCATCCTCAGTAATTCTGATGACTTCTCTGTTGCCCTAGAATGCATTTTAGTGTTTCCCTGGGTGGCACACAGCCTCCAGAGTGCTATGAGGGAAGAGGGTGAGTGGGCATGGAGGGAGAATTTAGAATTCTGCTCAGCTCTTGTAATTCAGAGTGGGATGCTGGCTCGTACTTCAATGGGTCTGACAAAGTTACATTACAGTGCTCCTGGAATTGGAATTCAAACTGTGAGAGCCAAGACACTTTCTCATGATCACCAAGAAGACTGTAAGGAAACAGAGTCTTTGGGGTACAGAAATAGAGAGAAGGAGCCATTCATTCAACCCCAAATACTTAGGTGGAGTTTACTATGCATGAGTTCCTGCACTAGAACCAGAGAGACAGTGAGAAGCAAAAATTAACATAGTCATTACTCCCAAAGAGCCTAAAAGAGACACAAAACAGCACTGTGGTTATGGGCACAGACTCTGAAGCAAAGATGTCTGAGTTCTAATTCTCGTTCTATTTACCTGAAGCATGGTCTTGGGAAAATCACTTACTTTCTCTGTGACTCAGTTTCCCCACCTGTAAAATGGGCATAATCACAGTTCCCTATCTTATGAGGTTTCTGTGGATTATATAAAATAATACAACTGAAGGGCTTAGAACAGAACAAATTCTAAGAGTGTGAGCTATTATTATATGATGATGGCCAAATTAGGAGAAGGCCTATTAATTTAATAATGATATGCATACATATAAACTTGGGGCAGCTTGTGATTGTAGGACAAAGGGGTTTGCTTTGGAAACGTCACTGAAGGTCTCCCTAAGAAAGAGCCATATAAGTAGAAATTTGAAGGACAAGTAAAAGCAAACTAGGGTTAGACTAGAAAGAAGAGTGAACCAGTGGGGATAGCATGTGCAAAGGCCCCGTGGCAGGAGACAGCGTGGAAATTTCCATGCACTGAAATGAAGTCAGTGTGGCTGGAAGGCAGAGAGCAAGTTGAACATCACTCATGAGAGGGGCTGGAGGTGCAGAGAGAGGCCAGAAGCAGCCCGTGTTAAAGATTTCTCTCTATTCTAAGCATCTGCCTCTAGGCAAGTCTAAACCCTCTGCATACGAGGTATTCATTATTTGCCTTTTTATCAACCATCTCAAGAGGAGTTTAACAAACTTCCTTAGCAAAATCCCATTGTTGCCCTGAAAATAAGTCAAATTTGTCCCTATGTTTAAAAGGAGATTATAATAGAAAGTTAAAGACATTCTCTTTGATTCACCAATAAGAATTTCCATGGACATGTATGTAGTCAAATGATTTCAAGACTTCTTGGTTCCTAGAAATATCGGGGAGTTCAAAATAGAACAGTCATCATTTGCTGCTTAGGAAATTTCAATGCTATACCAAAGGATGGATGGGAAAGAAGGAGGGTAACAGTCACTGAGGCCCAACAGTGCACCAGACGCCAAGCAGACCGTGGGAGCCACAGGTTTTTCTTATTTCACCTTTGCATCCACCCTGTAAGGTGAAGATCATCGTTATCCCCATTTTTATAGATGACAAAACTGAGGCTCGTTAGGTGGAGGTTTGCTTAAGGCCAGTGTTTGAATCAAATGCCAGGCATGGTTCTAGGTGCAGGAAACACACAGCTGTGGTTTCTGTCCTCATGGAAGTTACATTCTAATAGGGAAGACATACCAAAAAAGCAAATTCATATGTGAACAAAATAATTTCAGGATTGATGTGGGCTTTAAAGAAAATAAAGCAGGTTATATGAAAGAGAGAGAAGAGATGAAGCTTCCAGCTGGAAGAGAAGAGGCGAGACTCCTCCAGCTGGAATCGTCAAGGATACCGACTCTGGGGAGGGTATCAGTGGGCTTCTTGGCCTCATTGCTTTGCTCCCTCATACATAATCTTTAACCATCTTTAGAGCCAAATAGTTCAGGTGACATGTTCACCAAGAGTTATTACAGAAAAACTATTTTATTTTCACTGCTAGAAGAATTCACTGGACCTGAGACCTGGACCAGGAAGCCACGTCCCATATGAGAGGTGGAGCATTCCAGGCAGAATGAAGAGTAAGTGAAAATACACAGTCACTGAGGCAGGAATGAGTTCAGTGGGCTTAAGATACACGAAGAAAGATCAGGGAGGTCTGAAAACTGAAGAAAGCAACAGGGAATCAGGCAAGGTGAAGTCAGAGAGAGGTGGTAGGTGATGGGGTAGAGTCCAGATTTTAATCCATGTGGATGGGAAAACTCTGGAAGGGCACCATAATTGAATGATATAATCTGATTTGCATTATTTAAGAGAACAGTTGGACTGCTGCAGAAAGAATAGACTGTAAGGGGTTAACATGGTTGCAGGGAGACCTGTTGGAGGCTTTGGCTATAGCTTAGGTGAATGATGATGGAGACTTGGACCATGCTGGAGGTAATGGAAATGAAAGGAAGTAATCAGATCGTCAACTACATTGCAGAGGTGAGATGCCAACACTTGATGAAGGATTGAATGCAGACAGTAGAAAGGAAAGGGGGCTGCGTGCGATGGTTCACACCTGTAATCCCAGCACTTTGGGAGGCCGAGGTGGGCGGATCACCGGAGGTCAGAAGTTCGAGACCAGCCTGGCCAACATGGCGAAACCCCATCTCTACTAAAAATACAAAAATTAGCCAGTGTGGTAGCAGACACCTGTAATCCCAGGTTCTCGGGAGAATGGGACATGAGAATTGCTTGAACCTGGCAGGCGGAGGTTGCAATGAGCCAAAAGCATGCCACTGCACTCCAGCCTGAGCAACAGAGCAAGACTCTGCCTCAAAAAAAAAAAAAAAAAAAAAAGAAAGGAAGGAAAGGGGATCCTAAAGGATTTCTTTGTTGGTAATAGCTGTGCCAACTTGAGTAATTAACTTAAATTCTCCAAGCCTCAGTTTCCCCAACCAAAGATGGGAATAACCACACCCATAGTGAAAGCTTCTGGGTAGTGAACCAAATACCTATCCAGCACAGGGCTCAGAACAGGTGGCATTTTTTTTAAATCTGTTTTTCCCTTAGTATGTTTGAGGTTTGGCTACCACTGAAAAAGAACAACAGATGGTTAAAGACATTTAAGTTAATCCAGGAAAATAGAAACAACTCCCCAGCAACTTGGAGCCATATGGATTTCTTGGTTGGGTGAACTCATCTAAATAGGGTTTTGCAAAGTGTCTGTCCGTCAGTTGTATTTCTGCCATAGATTGGGTTCAAGACTCAATTATTTCAGTGTAATTGGCAGCCTTTAGTTTTTGAGATTCATGGTTGATTCATGACTCATCAATCAGAGTGGGACAAGGGAGGAATCTCTCCTAATAATGACTGTTGGTAGAGCTCTCACAAGACAGTGGGCTTCTTGGCCTCATTGCTTTGCTCCCTCATACATAATCTTTAATCATCTTTAGAGCCAAATATTTCAGGTGACATGTTCACCAAGAGTTATTACAGAAAAACTATTTCCACTGCTAGAAGCATATTCAGAAAGGAGGGGGGAAAATGTCTCTAAATCACTAACAAAAGCAGAAAGCCCTTCAGAGACTGGATTCTAACTTGTCTGACACCACATTGCTTGCTTCTTTTTTTTCTTTTCTTGGATTATTATTACTTTTTAATGACTGGGGGTTTCTACCGTAAACTAGATTTACTCATTTCTCCTTTGGGGATTTAAGACTTGCAATAAGAAATTATTAAAATTTTTAAATGCTAGGCCGGGCGCAGTGGTTGACGCCTATAATCCCAGTACTTTGGGAGGCCGAGGCAGGCGGATCACGAGGTCAGGAGTTCGAGACCAGCCTGGCCAACATGGTGAAACCCCATCTCTACTAAAAATACAAAAATTAGAAGAGTGTGGTGGCGGGCACCTGTAGTCCCAGCTACTCAGGAGACTGAGGCAGGAGAATTGTTTGAACCGGGGAGGCAGAGGTTGCAGTGAGCTGAGATCGTGCCTCTGCACTCCAGCCTGGTGATAGAGCAAGACTCAATCTCAAAAAAAAAAAAATGTAAATTTTATAAAAACTCAAGAACTGTACAGGGGAGTAATTGAAAGCAAATTGGGCTCTGATTCAAGGTAGTCTTGAAACTCTGGAAATATGGGCTGGCTTTCAACATTCACTTTTGTTT
The DNA here is from genome assembly GCF_000001405.40 of Homo sapiens. NCBI lineage: Eukaryota > Metazoa > Chordata > Mammalia > Primates > Hominidae > Homo > Homo sapiens. The sequence continues at coordinate 13,051,648 of NC_000016.10, read as the reverse complement.
TGGTCATTTGTTTGTTTAAACTATCTTGCCCTACCTAGCACAATGGTTGTTCAATGCCACTAAATTTCCATGAAGTAAAAAATGAAATAAAAAATGAAGGCAAGTGGATGAGAAGGTGTGTAAAGTGAAGATATTTTCTGAACCCCAAATTGAAGCACGCAGGCCACCCAGAAGTAGTCGATATTCATTCAGTACTGAAATGGTTTTGCTGTGTCCCCATCCAAATCTCTCCTTGAATTTTAATAAACCCGAGTCAAGGGCAGGGCCAGGTGGAGACAATTGCATCATCGGGGTGGTTTCCCCCATACTGTTCTTGTGGTAGTGAATAAGTCTCACAAGATCTGATGCTTTTATAAATGGGAGTTCCCCTGCACATGCTCTCTCTTGGCTGCTGCCATGTTAGATGTGCCTTTACTCCTCTTTTGCCTTCTGCCATGATTGTGAGGTCTCCCCAGCCATGTGGAACTGTGAGTCCATTCAACCTCTTTCTTTTACAAATTACCTAGACTTGGGTATGTCTTTATTAGCAGTGTGAGAACAGACTAATACAAGTACGTACTCAGTAGGATGCATTATGCAAAAGCGTCACCTCAAGGAATATTCACCTCTGCCCTCTGAGATAAGGATTACTATTAACCTCACTGTTCAGATGACAAAATGGAGGCCCAATGTCACACAGCTAAGAACTGGTAAAAACAGAACTCCAGAACACACTGTTATACTGCTTCTATGCATAGGGGTTTACCCAGGACAGCAACATGGCAGAATATTTAAAATTGAGATTTTCCTGGTGGACCCTTCTTGATGAATCTTTAGGAGATTAGGATGTCCCATAAAAACAGCTTGAGCACAGAAGCAGAATGACTGAGTTCCAATCTGTTACTAGCTTATTGAGGGGATGAGGAGAGACAGGTAACTCTTCCATGGCCTGGCTTCCCCAGTTAGATTCTAAGATAATGGTTACTGCATTTTTTTATTACAGTTGTAATATATGTGTACTATAAACAATTATAAAATGGCTGGGCGTGGTGGCTCATGCCTGTAATCCCAGCACTTTGGGAGGCTGAAGAGAGCGGACCGCTTGAGCTCAGGAGTTCAAGATTGGCCTGGGCAACATGATGAAACCCTGTCTCTACTAAAAATACAAAAATTAGCCAGGTGTGGTGGTGTCCACCTGTAGTCCCAGCCACTTGACGGGCTGAGGTAGGGGGATGGCTTGAGCCTGGGAGGTAGAGGTTGCAGTGAGCCAAGATCACACCACAGCACTCCAGCCTGGGTGACGGAGCCAGACCCATTTAATTTCATCTCAAATTTAAAATGTATATATATAAAACTGTGAACAAGTAAAAAAAGGAAAAAATTAATTTATCCATAATATCTTCATCCAGAGATTAATTTATATTAGTTATTAATAATATTCTGTTCTACATCAACAGATGTATATCTACATCCATATCTCAATCAATATCACAAATAAGACCATATTATTGATATGATTTTGTAACCATGCATTTTAAAAACTTACCAATATATCCTAGACATCGCTCCATGTCAATAGTTATTCTATATCATCATAGTACCTCCTCTATGTAGCATCCCCTTATGGGGGCATTTAGTTTGACACCTCCAAGATGATTTCTTTAGAAAATTGCTAGAAGTTGTTTCTCTTCTTGAGAATACATATATCCTCTATCCTTGAAGACTTACAAGGACAAATATGGGGCAAATGACAAAACAAACGGAAAAGTACCAGGAGTGGGGTTCCGGATGCTGTACCAATGCACCGAGAGGCAGGATCAGAACCCCCATTCAGACCCTCCCAAGTTTGAGCATTTCAGGAGGTGAGAATCATCTGGAAGCATAAGTGGAGGTGGAGGCAGGAGGGTGATGTCAGGGCATTTTGACAGCACTGCCCAAGGAGGAGAAGCAGCAGGAGGAAATGAGGACTCATTATCCTTTTGGAATTTTTCCTTTGTCTAATTTTCCCCTTTTGACAGAGAAGATTTAAGTTATGGATAGAGAAAAAAAATCATGCTGTCAAGAGCTGTTCTTGTTTTTGTTACAACACATGCAGCCAGGCCCAGTATCCCCTACTCCATCACCACTATCAGCAATTCAGTGGGGGAAATAACCACAGGGACACATTTTCCTCCCTTGGGTGTAAAGAGCAAAGCCAAGCTAGGTCATTTCCTGATGAATCCCCATTTCAAACCTACAGTGAAAGTTGCAAGGGAGCAATTGCCTACTAAAAGCATAGGGCTAGGCACCTGATAGACAATCTTACAATGAATCCTACGTCATCTGGTCAACCTGATTATTTTACAGATGGGGAAAGGGAGACTTGGAGATGATCTTCAACTTGCCAGAAATGAATCCTAGATATCTATGAGGCAAAATACCAGGAGTAAGCCTGCAAATCCAACACACACAGACACATACACATACACACACACACACACACACACACACACACACACACACACACACACACATACTCCTAACCAAAGCTTAGAATGGCAGCTCAAGCCTTTGGATCTGTCAGTAATTTCCTGGCTAGTGCCTGCTGAACCTGGAACACAAAGCAAATTTTTTTAAGTTACTTTTCTCTGCAGAGTCCAGAAGCTCACACACTGGACCAGAAATGTTTCTTGAATGACTAAAGGATTTAATGAGTTGAATGGCAGACTCAGTCAATAAGTAATAGGAGAATTAAAATAGTAAATGAATGTGTGGTATGTGAATGCATTTAATTGAATAATTCATATCTGAATGATCGACTCAATAAATCCCTCACATATTCAAGCAGTTATATCTCATAACCTCTACCTATTATGGAGTTATCTTGAAGTCCAAAGCTTGTCTTAGAACAGAACTTCTTTTCTAGATTCCTGGACCCATAAAGTCCTTTTTAAAAAATGCTGTAAGTCAGCCAGGTGCGGTGGCTCATGCCTGTAATCCCAGCACTTTGGGAGGCCAAGGCAGGTGGATCACTTGAGGTCAGGAGTTTGAGACCAGCCTGGCCAACATGGTAAAACCCTATTTCTATTAAAAATACAAAAATTAGCCAGGTGTGGTGGTACACACCTATAATCCCAGCTACTCAGGAGCCTGAGGCAGGAGAATCACTTGAACCTGGGAGGTGGAGGTTGCAGTGAACAGAGATCATGCCATTGCACCCCAGCCTGGGTGACAAAGCTAGACTCCGTCTCAAAAAAAAAATGTTATAAGTCCATAAACTATTTTTGGTGGCTCAAAAGGCTTACTAGAAATTGCACAGTCAAGAGATGCCTGGATTTGCTTTAGGTTTCACAGATGCCTGGCTCCATATCATGCTGATCAGAAGTTCTGATGATCCCATCTGATTTTGAGTTATGCATCTACCATGGAAAAATCAGACAAATTATTTGTTACTTCATCATCATACTTTGAGATATGCCATTTATCAAAACAGGAGTATATGGGAAAACAAATAAGAGATGAGTTATACGCTGTGCAAATGTTGAAGTCATGCTACCTGAAAGCTGAGTCCTCTAAATCCTTCAAAGAAAATCCTGGTTTGGAGCGTGGTCTCCCAGAATAATATCCTTCAGAAGGCCTCAGAAGTCTCAATGGTGGGCACTAAGCAGGAATCCTGGATGCTGAAATTAACAATGAGTCTTGGAGTCTTCTGGACAGGGCCTGAATCATACTTCCACATGGTATAAAACTGTGCTTGTTTCAATGTCCCTCTACATGAAGGGACATTTGTAACCTGTACCTTAGTGGGCAGTGGTAATGATCCCATGAGATAATGCATTGTAAGCACTCAACGTAAGGTCTGAGACATGGCAAGTGCTCAGTAAACTTTAGCAATTTTACTATTAAATAGTATTCATAGCAATAAGCCCATAGGGTTGTGTGAGCCTCGAGTGAGATAAAAGATGCAAAGAATCTTGCACAGATCCTGGCACACGGGAGGTACTTGATAGATGTTTATTTCTTCTCACTTTTTCCAGATGGTCTTATTGGGAATTTTCTGTATTTATTGCTCTTCTGCAGGGCAAAGCCATTATGCAGTAAGCATCCAGGCACCCTCCCGAAAGCAACCATCAAAAAGACAATCCCCAGGTCCTGGATCAAACCTTCCCAGAGCTCTTTGGCTCAAAACCAGGCAAGCAGACAGATTGCAAACTTCTTTCCATTGCCTAAGAAAATTTGTTCAAAGTAAAAACTGCAAATCTGCCACAATCTGGGGCTGGATATGTTCTAGCAGAAGCCCAGCTGAAGGCCCTGCCCCTGCCCCTAAAGGCTCCCAGGAATTTTCCTGATCTTTTTTTTTTTTAATGGTCTGATTGATGGAGGAATGGACAGCCTGCTGGCCAGTGGCAGGGAGTGAGCTGGCTCCCTTCTTCCCATGATGGGCAGAAGGGGCAGAGAAGAATTTATTAAACCTCTAAGAAAACTGCCAGAGTGGGAATTTTCAAAACACTGATCCTGGAGGTATTAAATCAAGGCAAGTAAAAAGAGTTGAGAACTGGGGAGACCCTTAAGGAATAAACTTCTAGCCTTTTTCGGTTTATCATTCTAGAAAATTGCTAACCAGGGCCACTGGAGAGAGAACCACATACTAACCATCATCTCCAAAATGAATACGATTTATCAGGCTTCTTCTCTGTGTCCAGCACTGAGTGGAACAGCATGCAAGGCACACAGGGGGTAAGAGCCACAGAGATCATGAGGGGTAAATAATCTGCAGGTTCCAGGAGGACATAACCGGGGGAATGGTGCTGCTACTGAAGCATAAGGCTGAGCAGAAACCAGCCAGGCCATGCAGAGGAAGAGTGGTTTAGGCAGAGGGAATAATGTTATCAAAGACTTGGAGGTGAATGAGATGAAAGTGTCTAGGGAACTGAAAGACGTTCATAATGGCTGGATTGGAGAGGAGAGAAGCGAGAAGTCAAAGCAGACCAGAGCCCAATCATACAGGGGACTATGGTTAGGAATTTAACTTTCTTTGTTAAAGCAATAGGGAGCCATGGATGGCTTTAGGCAGAGGGAGGAGCAAAGCAATCAAATTCTTTTTTATGAAACTTGCCCTGCCTGCTTTGCACAGAATATTGATTCTCTCAATAAGTTACTGTGTGGCTATAGGCAATTCACACCTTCTCAAAGCCCCATTTTCTGGAAGATGAGAAAAGAGGACTAATGCTACAAAGCCATAATAAGAATCCTCCCTGGCTTTCCCCAGGGCAGGCCCAAGAAGGCCTTTGTGTTTCACACTCCCCAAGCCATCTAAAAATTCAGCTTTCCGAGTGCCTGAAACCCATATCCAGACTGCCTCTCATACTTAGAAGCAGCTTAAATATCCCTTGTCAGCTCATATAGGACCTAAATTTAGGTTCAGAAAATACAGCCTCCCTCAATAAGGTCCCTTCTGGCTCAAATACAACTATGATTCTACATTCATTATTCATCTTGGCCACAAGGCTGTGTAATAAATACACAGTCAGTCACAGAGGAAAACCTGCTTTTCCCAAGGAGAGGCAGGGAGTGGGGTAGATATCTATCCTGCATCAGCATCACCTCCAAACCACAGACCCTCAGTGATGCCTGATTAATATGCTATTGCATTTGGAGAAAATTAATGGGCTTTGATGGTTATTTGGAGCCTGCCTCCTCAATTCCACTGTGAGAGAGTTACAAATTTAAACAAACATTGACATATAATAAATCCATGCTCTGCAGACTCGTCAAAAGGTCTGACTTAATAGGCCTGACCGTCTTGAAATTTGGATTGAATTCATAGCAGTAACGTGGCCTGGCTTATCAGGAGAGCCAAGCTGCAGCTTGGAGAAGGACAAAAGCCTTCATTCCTAGGCACAGTGCAGACTCCCCCTGGGGGACACAGTGGGGGCAGGGGACAGCACAAAAGCTCCCCAGTCACTTTCTTTTCCATGATCCAGCTTTATTTTCTTTGCAGGACTTATCTGGGTCTGAAATTATCTGGTTTATATCTTTGTTACTGATTTCTCCCTCTCCCTCTCCCTCTCCCTCTCCCTCTCCCTCTCCCTCATCATCTGTAAGCCAAAGCTCTGTGGGAGATTTACCGTGTACCATTGTAACTCCAGAGTTTTCAACAGAGCCAAGCATGTAGTAGATGCTCAATAAATATTTCTTGAGTGAATAATCTTGCATTACTCATGAACCTATCTGTACTACTTAGCCAAGACAGTATGGTAAGATATCTATCTTGTGGAAGATTTATCAGAGGGGTGTGAGCTCTGGAGACAGAATTCCTGCACTCGAATCCTTGCTCTGCCATAAACTGACCCTGATCAAACTAGTCATCTGTCTGTACCTGCAAAATGGGTTAATACCATCTACCTCATAGTAGGCATTCAATGAAATAATATGTGTGAGCTACTTAGAACAGCACTTAGTAAGTATCCAGATGAAGTTTGGCCATTATTAGCTTAACATTTCTATATTGACTCATACTTTAAGCCTAAATACATTTCTTAAACTTTAAATTATTCCCATCCATAATAACAAGCATGTTGAATCTCTATAACTACACTATGAGGTAAATGCTGTTATCGTCCCCATCTTACAGATCAGGAAACTGAGGCACACATCACGGGCATGAAGCCACAGAGCTGAGAAGTGGTAGAGCAGCAGGCTCCAGAATCCATGTGGTTAACATCTGCACCAAGCTGCGCCCTGGAATGTGCACATCACTTTTCAAATAGCAAATATAAGCATCCACATAAATTATAGTTTTTATTTGACTTTTTATGATGGGAGATTTTAAACATGCAAAGAGTAGAGAGAAGACTATATAAAAGGGCTTTAAGTGATCACTTAGCTACCATCCAAGATTCATCTTCAGAACTACCAGTGTGGCATTCGTCACACAATGAAAAACTGCAGCCGTCCGTTTAATCCCCTGAGCAACGCAGCCAGATGCCCTCTCACCTCGGAGCCTTCATACATTCTATAGCCTCTGCCTGGATCCTTCTGCAACCTCCTCATCTGTCCTTACTAACCATCAGGTCTGAGCCCCACGGTGCTTCCTCAAACAAACCTTCTGTTGAAGATTCTTTTTGCATGGTAACCACAGACCTAATTTATAAAGCCATTGGATCTGTGCCCACTAATCTGTAAGATCTATGTCCATTTCATTCACTCCCCTATGGCCAACACTTATTAGGCACTCAATAAAACATTTGTCTTGTAAAAACAATCATTTTATGGATGAGAAACCGAGGTTCAGAAAGGTTCAATAACTTGCCCAAGGTCAGAGAACAAGTAAGTGGCGGGGCTGGAACCCAAACTGATGTCTTTCTAAATCCAAGTCCTTCCTACCACAGAGGAATTTGGTGCAAAAGTAATCACAGTTTTTGCCATTCATGTATTGGGAAAATTATTTTTGCACCAACCTGATATCTGTAAGTGCCACGTGGATTCTACATTTGCGTGTCTGAAATGGGGGAACCCAATTAGACCTCCTTTAGGACCCCTTCCCTAGAGGATTTTCAGATTTGACCTCATGAAACAGACCACAGGTTGAGTCTTCAAAATCCCATAAGCCAGTTTCAAACTCTAGCCAGAGGCTTCTTTTCTAACTGGGGGACCACAAACAGGCTAAGTTTCTTTGGCCAGGCTAAGTTCTGGAAAGTGATACAAAGAGAAATAAAATATTATTCCAGCCTAGGATGAAGCAATATAGATAATCAAGTAAGGACAAGGAGAAGCATAATAAAGTGAAGCAGAGAAGTGAGCCATGGTTACAGGACCCCAGAAGGACAACGAATAGATCCACTGGGAGAGATGGCAGGGGATATCCAGGAGAGAGGAATTTCAGGCTGAGCTCTGAAGGATCAGTCAGTAAAATGTCAATAAATCTAAGCTATTAAGGCATTCTAGGCAAAGAGAACAGCAGAAGACCTGAAGTGTAAAGTGCATGGCTCTGGACTACTGAGCATCAGATCAAGGAGGGATGCAGCTCTGAGGATATCAGGACAGTGAGTTCAAGCTGTGGGAGGTTAAGGAGTTCCCACCGCAGGAGTAGAGATGACAACTTTGGGTCTTCATATTAGGTTAGTGCAAAAGTAATTGTGGTTTTTGCAATTAATATAACGTGTTTTGCATTAAATGTCATGGCAAAAACTGCAATTACTTTTGCACCAACCTGATAGAAACAGGAGAATTTAAAAATCCAATTCAGGAATCATAGAGAAACCACAAATACCCTCCCGTGGTGGGAAGTAGCTAGCTGTTTACTAAGCCCGTTTCTCTTTCCTCCTGGGTGTTCAGCTAGACAATATTTCCCAGACTCCCTTGCAGTTAGGTGTGGCCATATGACTGAGTTCTGCCCAGCAGAATATGGATGGAACTGATATATCCACTTCCGGGACAGGCCTGTTGAGACCTCCCACGGGATATGCCACTCCTCTGACCTCACCATTCCCCCCACCACTTACTGGTTAGATGTTGACACTCAGGTCAATGTTGAAAGCCACATGATAAAGTTGGAAGTTCCTCCATCATCCTGGGTCCTTGAGTGACTGCATGGAGCAGAGCATCCCATGTCTACCTCTACCCTCCAACTGCTGTCCAGGCACCCCGAATTGAACTTTATGTGAATGCAAAATTCATTTCTTTAGTATTAAGCCCCTGAAACTCCAGGGTTTATCTGTTCTAGAAGCCAGCATTACCTTAACTAATATGCCCCTTGAATTAGTTTATTCTATAAATATTCTTTGAGCCTCTACCGTGTGCCAGGGATGCTTCTAGGCATTAGTGATACAGTGGCAGCCAAGGAAAAGGTTTCTGCTCTTATGTAACTTTAGTGGGAGGAGACCGACAATAAACAAGTAAACAAATAAGATAGTTTTTGCCAGTGATAGAGCTAAAAAGGAAACTTAAAAAGATGGTGTGACTAGAGAATAGGGGGAAGGGCACATATCTTAATTAGGGCAATCATTTCCCTCAGACTCTTATCTGAAATACAAAACTTCATTTTAGTACCCACAAACATTCTAGACACCAAAGGACCAGAAAATCATCACAAAGGGGGCACTCTTGAGATCACTTCTATTAAAAAATTAGACACTCAATTCAGAGGAAACCAACTGTTCTTGGCTTGGGAAGACTTTGATGAGAACAACTGAGGCATTCATTTGTTGAGAGCCTGGTAAAATACTTACAAAGAGTGTCTCTGTTTGGGAAGCCTGGGTCAGCTATATTTTGTCCCATCCAATGCTACTGCATTTTCCATTCATTGCAGCCAAGCAAATTGGCCAATAATCCTACACACTAGCTCCTGAAGGTACAAATTCTGTCAATGAGCAGAAAGAAGCCACAAGCATGGTTTCAGTCTTTTACTGAGGGGCAGGTAACGAGTGCCTTCTGGAAGCTAATCAACATGAACACACAGTTCCTGGCTGAGGTAAAGGTAGCGACCAGTGCAAGATTCCCAGTGTCCTTGTGGCCACTGTGTTTTGCAGACTGTCTACCCAACAGATCAGGGAACAGCTTGGCAATAATCCCAGTTATTACAATACAGAACTGCCTCCATAGTTGTTGGTAATTGCCACTGCCCTGAGAACACTAAATATCCCCCTGATTAGCCAGCTGCTACAATCCCTCCTCAAAATCCCCTTTGCCTCTCACAATCCAGAAACCAAAAAGTCAAAGCCGGGTATTAGGCAAGAGGGAGAGGGGGAGCCCCAAGACTTTGATGATTCGATGGTACTCATATGTGCTAAATATTCTTCTTATTACCCCTGGAGCTACATCAGAATCCCCAGGGAGTTTATTAGAATTGCAGATTCCTGAGTCCCACCAGAGACCTACTAAATTGGAATCCATGGCAGTGAGGTCCTGGAATTGGTATTTTATCAGCCTTCCCCAGTGAGCCTCATGTACCCTACAGTTTGAGAACTGCTGGCCCAGGCACGGCTCTGGCATTTTGCTAAATGGAGGGTGAGCTCATTTGTGCATGCAGCTCATCAGATTAGTGGTTTTGAAACTTGATCAGAATGCTTTCTTAAAATCAACTCTTCCTCAGGATTTCAAAACACAAAATAAATCAGAGGGTAGCTACATATAGCCCCTTGTTTGCAAGTCCAACTTGAGTGGCTGGTAGGAATAGAAAGCAGTCTACAGAAGCCATATCAGGGGATACGTGGCTCCAACAGGGAATAGAACAGCCAAAGAGAGGACAAAGGTTTGCACTGGAGGAAGAAGCAGGCTGTTACAAAGCCCTGATGAATGGCAGAGCAGACAGTCAGGGATAGGCCAAGCCCAGGGTAGAGACAACAGCAGGAGTCCTAAGCCTGGGTCAGCCATTATGAAAACTAGAGCCCAAGGCACAAAGAGAGATCAGGTTGTTCAAGTAAGCAGTCTCCATTTTCCCAGAGAGAAAACATTGAGGAAACAAAATTTATTTGTGGGGGCCTGCACTCCTTCTGTGGACCATTAAGCTGCTCTGATAAAATACCATTTTGAACACAACACATCCAGCTCTGAGATGTTGGGAGGCGAAGGTTCATGCATTTTGTTCAGTGCTGCACCCCTGGTACTTAGCCCAGGATCTGCAAAGGCTCAGCCCCCAACGACACAGTACTTGTTAAATGAATGAATGGATGAAGGGCTTTGTGTCTACTGCAGGAACCCTCTGAAGCAGAAGCACACGTTTCCAGGTTGGGGGTCACTTGGGTGAGACTCAGGACCCCACACTTGCTCTCCATTCTGAGAGCCACCAAAGTCAGGCTGGTCCTAGAAAAAGGCTTGCAAAGCTCAACAGGGCAACTTAAAACAAACAATGTTTTCTTAGAACTCTCTACAAACCAGGTGTATTATTCACTTGCACCAAAAATCTACACCTAAGGGCCCTCAGACCTTAGCAGGATAGGAAGAAAGAAAAGAAGCTTTTCTTTACCAAATGACTCTTCAATATTTTTCAATTTCAAAATTCTACTGGGGCATTGTATGCATTAAGCACTGCACTAAACACTGGTGATAGAGCAAGGGGGAAAAGTAGATGAGATCCCTGCTCTCTTGAAGTTTACATTCTAATAAGCAAGTCAGGCCATAAACATGAAAACATGCAAATGAGTGAGATCATTTGGAATGTAATCAATGCTATGAGAATAAATTAAACAGAGAAATGCAAAAGAAAGAGACTGGCAGGGCAGAAAGCTTTTTAGAAAAGGAGGCCATTTGTAGAAGTGGCATTTGAGCTGAAATCTGAATTACAAGAAGAGGGTCATGCAAACATCAGAGGGCATAACACACCCAGCAGTGGTAACAGCCAGTGCAAAGGCCCTGGGGTAGAGAGAAGCACCATGTGTTTAAGGAATAGAAAGCCAACCAATGTGACTGGAACTGGGTAGTCAAGGCAAAAGGAGGGATAGAAGAGCAGGAGCAAGAAGCAGAGATCAGATCAAGCACACTTCTCAGGGCACAGAGAGGAGTTTGCAGGTGGATGGTTTGAGTGGAGTGGTAACATGATGTGATTTGGTTTTAAATGACAATTCTGGCTCTCGTGTAGAGAATGGACTGGAGAAAGGAGCAAGAGAGAAATCAGGGAAATCTGGGAGGAGGCCTTGACTTGGACCAAGAGGAAATGACCTTGACTTGGACCAAGATGGTGCCAGAAAGTGTAAGAAATGTGGATATATTAAGTGGGTGGAGTTGGCAGGACTCAGGGGAGAGAGGAATCAAGCATGCCAGCCACCACTGTGGTGATGAAGAATGGCTTATCATCCCCATTTTTCAGATTAGGAAACTGAAGTCCAGGTCACACAGCTGTAAACTGTCAGGGCCTGGGTCTGAAGCCGGGTCTGAGTGACTTCAGAACCCTCGTGTTCCTTCCTTTCTGTTTTCTTTAGATGGAACTTTTGCTCTTGGCAGTCTTTGACAAAGAACAGGTGTGTGGGGTTTGTGCATTCCCTGTACACCAACTACTCCTCATTTGGAGAGGAAAAATAAACCTCATACTAGTTAATGCCACACTGTTTATTGATTTAGGCAAATGTTTGGCAGCTCCAATTCATCTTCCAGAGGGTAATGTAATAAGGGCTTATATTATACTCTGTGTTTCTCTGGGCTCTCAATATGTCATCCTCCTTAATCTCACAGCCTCCTCTATAAGTTTCAAAAAAAAAAAAAAAAAAAACCCCATGACATTGACACATTGGGCAGGCATGTCTTTTTGCAAATAATGAAGCTGGGGATGAGACCATGGAAAGACCTGGAAGTGGAGGTTCTTTAATCTGTATTACCTTGTACAAGTCACTTAGCCTCTCTCAGCCTCAAATTCCTCATGTGAAAGCTGGTGTAATATCCCTATCCTGAGAATTTTGAGAGTTCAAGTCGAATCATATAAGACATTGCATGTGAAAGTCATTTGTGAAGTGAAATATTTAACATTATGATTAACATTAGAAATTCTTGGCCAGGCGCGGTGGCTTATGCCTGTAATCCCAGCAGTTTGGGAGGCCGAGGCAGGTGGATCACCTGAGGTCAGGAGTTCGAGACCAGCCTGGCCAACATGGTGAAACCCCGTCTCTATTACAAATACAAAAATCAGCCAGGGATGGTGGTGCACACCTGTAGTTCTAGCTACTCGGGAGGCTGAGGCAGGAGAATCACTTGAATCCAGGAGGTGGAGGCTGCAGTGAGCAGAGATTTCACCACTGCACTCCAGTCTGAAAACAGAGTGAGACTCTGTCTCAAAAAATAATAATATTGGGAATTCTTTAGTATTAAATAAAGAAACAGAGACAGGTACTGAGTCATTCAACAAATATTTATAGAGGCTCTACTATGTGTCAGACACTAGTAATTCAGTAGTGGGCAAAATTGACATGATATGTAGTCTTTGCCTCTGTGGAGCTTAAGGTCTAGTGAGGAAGAGAATTAACAAACGATCACACTGGTAAATACATAACTTTGTATGGTTGGTATGTGTGTTTAAAGAAACATACAGGGTGATGTTAAGGGTCGGAGAAGGCTTCCCTGGGAAATGATTGAGCTGAAATCTGGAGGTTATATAAGAATGAACTGCGAGATGATCAACTACAGAGAAGGATGCAAGCGTTCTAGTCAGTAGGAGCAGTACGTGCAAAAGTCCTGAGGAGGCAGAAAGGAGTAAGGCTCACATTGGAGGACCTCAAAGAAGCAAGAGGTTGGAATAGAGCAAAGGAGAGTGGGGTGCAGGGACTAGCACAAGGTGAGGCTGGAGCCAGAGAAGAGGCTAGATTGTGCAGGACCTTGTGGGCCACAGTAAGGTTATCCTAGCTGCTCTGAAGGAAAAGGAGGAAAGGGAGAGAGATGGAGAAAAGAAGGTAAACTGCAGAATAATTAAGCAGATGTTGGGCATGGTGGCCCACGCCTGTAATCCCAGCACTTTGGGAGGCCAAGGCAGTTGGATTACATGAGGCCAGGAGTTCGAGACCAGCCTGGGCAACATGGTGAAACCCTGTCTCTACTAAAAATACAAAAATTAGCCAGGCATGATGGTGCACACCTGTAATCCCAGCTACTCGGGTGGCTGAGGCACAAGAATCGCTTGAACTCGGGAGGCGGAGGTGCAGTGAGCCGAGATCTTGCCACTGTACGCCAGCCTGGGTGACAGAGCAAGGCCCTGTCTCCAAACAAAGAAACAATTAAACAGAACATAGGCAAAGTTCAGCATAGCACGATGCTTTCAGGGATCCCCAAGTAATGCATTAGGGTTAGGATCAAGGTTGGACAAAAGCAAGGAAAGAAACTGGTGGAGTAGTCAGGGCTCTGATTTTTAAGTGACCCTTGATGCTTATAAAGAACTTTACATTAGGAAGTTCAGTTTGGGGGAATGTTTAGCCCATTTGAGAGAAGGTAGTGAATGAATCAGATATACATGTCTATAACGTTCTAAGGTCAAAATACTGAAAAACAAAAGGCTGGAAGTGGGAGGACCAGTTAGGGGGCTGCTTATTCCAGGAAAGAAAGGAGAGTTTAAACCATGGTGATAACAGTGTGAGTGGAAGGAGGTACTCGCAGGCAAGGGCCCCAGGTTTGATTCCCAGGCTAGGATTTTGCCCAATCTTGCAAAGAAGAGTTCATCTCTGCCCCCATTCTCTCATCCACCATCCTGTCCATACCCTCAGACATTGAGGGTCTTTGGCTATAACTTGCACTCTCCCTCACTGCTGCTCCCCTCCCCCAACCTTGGTTAGATGCTGTGCAAAACCATCGCTGCTGATATGCATGTTATGTAACACTTGTTTCTATAGTATGAGAACCGAGAGAGAGAAAAAAAAAAGCTTCCTGACAAGTAATTTTGTACGTAAAAAATAATCTGCCAGAGGCTTGGGAAAATGTACCTGTAATTCTTCCACACATTGGCACTTACACCCGCTTGCCTGCCGACCAATTCTGCCTTCAAACGCCCTGGGAGCAAAACACCATTACACAAGAAAGGCAAGAATGTCCTTTCCGCTTTCAGAATCTGGGACCAACAGTGTGTGTGTGTGTGTGTGTGTGTGTGTGTGTGTGTGTGTGTGTGTGTCTGTGTGTGTGTGTGTGTGTGGTGTGGTGTGTGTGTGTGTGTGTGTGTGTGATCATTCCCTGCTTTCCTTTTACTTACAAAATTACATTGAGAACAATGCCTGATTTCTCAACTGCAAAGTAAGGATAATAATAGTCTTTAATTTACAAGTGGTTGGTGAGACTAAAATGAAATAATTCATATAAATAGGGCTTTACGTGATATTTGGCACGTAGTAGGCATTTATTAAAGGGTTTTTTGAGCTGCATTTGAGTGAGCGCTTACTGTTGCCAGATTTGTGCTAACTACTTTACCTCATTTAGTACTGGGGGTGCTGTCCGTGGTCCTGAATTGCCTTTTGCTGTGGGAGCTTTTTTTTTTTCCTCCTCTGAACTTCAAGAAGCTGATTCTGTCAACCCATATATCATTCTCCAGAAATTCATAACCATGTAATTTTCAGAAAACATAATTTTAGGTCTCTTTGAAAATCAACTTTATGGAGTTATGGCTTATATGCAAGTGCATGCATTTTAATTGTACATTTTGATGACTTTTTACAGATTTATACACCAATGTAACTAGCCCCACCATCAAGATACAGAATATTTCCATCACCCCAGAAAGTCTCATTAGATCTCACCCACCTTAATAACCCCCCAACCTCTGGCCTCAGACAAACACTATTTAGCCTTCGGACACTAGATTTCATTTGTCATTTCTAGATTTCAAATAAATGAAATTATGTAGTATGAACTATTTTATATCTGCCTTCTTCCTCTCTGCATAATTTTTAAAATTGATTTATACTGCTACATGTATCAATAACTTATTTACTATTGTTGTTAAAATATATCACACAAGTAGTTTATCCACTCACCTATGAATAGATTTGGGGGTTACTTTTAGCTTGGAGCTATTACAAATAAAGCTACTCTGAACATTAGTATACAAGACTTTGTGCGGACATTTGTGTTTATTTACCTTGAGCAGATATCTAGGAGTGGAATTGATGTGTCATATGGTAAGGGCAGGTTAAACTTTATTTAAAAACAACCAAACTCTTCTCTGTTGTACTATTTTACACCTTCAGTGTGTGACAATTCCAGTCACTCCATATTTTCACCATCACTTGATATCATCAATCTTTTTCATTTTAGCCATTCTAATGGGTGGTATCTTATTGTGGTTTTAATTTGCATTTCCCTGATGACTAATGACACCGGCATCTTTTCATGTACTTATTGACCGTATATATATCTTCTTTGGTGGATTGTCTGTTAAAATCTTTGCCCATTTAAATCTGATATTAATGCTATCAACAAATCCCAGATCTTTATGATGGAAGTTATTGGCAGGCAGATCACCTGAGGTCAGGAGTTTGAGGCCAGCCTGGCCAACATGGCAAAACCCTATCTCTACTAAAAATATGAAAATTAGCCAGGCATGGTGGTGCGTACCCATAGTCCCAGCTACTTGAGAGGCTGAGACAGGAGAATCACTTGAACCTGGGAGGTGGAAGTTGCAGTGAGCCGACATCACTCCAGTGCACTCCAGCCGGGGTGACAGAGCAAGACTCCATCTCAAAAAAAAAAAAGCTGAAAATTACAGGAACACATAATCATAATCAACCTCAGAATAATGCAATTCACAAGAAAGTCCCCTTTACTCTGAATTATTGAGCTCTGTGGACAAACCTCTATCACCAACATGGGATTCTGGGTGCAGATACACTGTAGGGATGTAGGAAGATTGATAGAGTGAAAAAGACCTGCCATGTTTTCTCAAACCAACTCTTTCCTAGCTGGTTGACCCCTTGTGAGTCATTTAATCTCCATCATTCTCACAGTTACCTACAAAAAATAGAGCTAGTGCAACCTACCTAAATGTGTCATCAGGAAGACCACAGCAATGTACATAGTTGTATGCTGCATAGTGAATACTCAAAATATAGAGCTATTAATTCTATTATATTCCAAACATATCAGTTTTCTGTTACCATAATAACAAATATGTTGGATTTGTTGATAGTATCAATATCAGATTTAAGTGGGCAAAGATTTTAACAGACAATCCACCAAATAATGTTGATGTTAAAACCACCCTCCAAAACACAATAGCTTTTTTTTCTTTTAAAAAAAGCATTTTATTAGCTCCCAAATCTGTAATTGGTTATTTAGTCTAGGATCAGCTGGGCAGATCTTTCAGTCTCAGCTTAGCTCATTCACATGTCTAGTACTGGCTGGCTGTTGACTAATGTAGGACGATCTTGGATGGGAGAAGGGAATGACCTGGGTCTGTTTCACATGTCTCTCCTCCTTCATCAGAGTAGTCTTGGCAATGGCAGAGGTACAAAACAGCAAGAAGAAACACACAAGCGTTCTTCAGCTATAGGCTCAGAATTGGCACATAGTCACTCCTACCATATTCTATTGGCCAAAACAAATCACAAGGCTAGACCAAATTCAAGAGGTAGGGAAAGAGACTCCATGTCTCTTGTGATGGAAACTGCAAAGTCACATGGAAAAGAGTATGCATGGAGGGAGGTCTGAAGAATTGGGTCTATCATTACAGTGTGCTATACAAAGCAATCTCCAAGTGGCCCCCCAAAAATAAACTTAACTTTCTTCCTGCCCTCAATAAGATGTTGCTTCTTCTGGACTAAGGCCAAATATCTATGTTCCAATTCTCCCTGATCTCAGAAGAAAGAACATCCCAATGACCTGACTTTCATAAGGTGTGAGTTGGCATCACTGCTCATTAGCAAGTCTAGCTGGGCCAGGAGGTGAAACAGAAGCTGAGAAATTGGGTCATTCCCAAGGAGATGCTAATGGTGCTCATCACCCCTACCCCCACCAATGCCATTCCTGAATCTTTCCCTCTATCCTACTAAATGAGCTGGAGTCCAAGGAGTCAAGCAGACTACTTCTCTACTTGGGATAGGTAAAGATGCTCGTCTCAGATGGAGGTATTTTTTTTTTTTTTTTGAGATGGAGTTTCCATTCTTGTCACCCAGGCTGGAGTGCAATGACACAATCTCAGCTCTCTGCAACCTCTGCCTCCCAGGTTCAAGCGACTCTCCTGCCTCAGCCTCCCGAGTAGCTGCATTACAGGCATGCGCCACCACACCTGGCTAATCTTCATATTTTTAGTAGAGATGGGGTTTTGCCATGTTAGTTAGGCTGGTCGCAAACTCCTGGCCTCAGGTGATCCACCCACCTTGGCCTCCCAAAGTGCTAGAATTACAGGCGTGAGCCACAGCGCCCAGCCACATGGAGGTATCTTAATAAGCTTCTTTCATTTTTCCAATCATGGGCTGAACCATCTTGGACTTGGATCCTGAAAATAATGGAGGCCTATTGGAGCAAGTTGGGAAGAACTTCCTTATCATGGACATCTACTGGGTAGTGTGGCCAACTCACAACAACCATTCCTATTGGTCTCCCAACCCAAGGACATAACAGTGAGCTCCTGGCAGTTTATTGATACAATAGTACACCACCATCCCCCATGCCTGAGTCTCTTGATTTGAATGCAAGTGGACCCCTAATCCAAGCTGGGTCAGAACCCTTTCTTTTGAATTTAAAGTTGTAATATTCAATCCTTTCTGGGAAGTTTGGACTTGGCAGCTACTACTATGATTATGAAGATCATGTGGATTAGAGAAGCAGAAAAAGAAAGGCTTCTGAAAAAGAAAGAAATGAAGCACAGAGTAGGAAATAGAATCTAAATGGCTTCCAAATCCCTGGTTTTGGTTCTTATAGTGGAAGTGTGTTGGTTTTGCCTGTCCAGTATTCATTCTTCCTTGTTCAGTTATCAATACTTTGAACTTCCTTTGGAGAACCACCTTCCCGCCTCCCTTCAGTCCAGGTCATCAGTCCATTTTCACCCTAATTGTAGGGGAGGGTATGTCACCCAAGCCTAACCAAATATGGGCACTGCATGATGATTTCAGAAATAAGAACATAATGCAGTTAGAGCCGGCTAATCCCAGGATTTAGGCAGATGTGACTAGAAGAAAAAAGCACCCTATCTTTTCTACTAGACTTGAAGCTGTATGGTTGCGAACCAGGAAATTCTGGCCACCATCTGGTCACCATGCGAAGAAAGCCTGCCTGAAAATGAGGCCAACACAGCAGAAGGCAGGTCTGACAAATGGAAACTAAGTCCTGGTAACATCTCATGGTTTGAGTTCCTTGATCTCGCTCTGACTCTAGGGAACTTTGCAATTACAAGCTTTTTGTCTTAGCTATTATGAATTGGGTTTTCTGTTTCTCACAAAGGTCAAAACTATGACTTCCCTGAATTCAGTTGCACTCCTGTCTGTGAGAGATCTCTATCGACTTCCAGCTATGAAGCTTGAGTACCTTCTCTTGCAACAATCAAGAGTCATAATTCAGGACCTTTCTGCTTTCTATTCCATAAGATATAATAGAAAGTGTAATAGAAAGAAGTAGATGAGAACAGTCTAATATTTACTCTGTACTAGGCACTGTACAAGGCACTTTACTTCATTACACAGTCAGTTCTGCTGCTATAGTACAACATACACATTTCTAAAAATTACTGCATTATACAAAATCATGCAATAAAAACTACAGAGTTTATGGGGAAATGAGGTTAGGGGCACACCATTCAAAAACTTCATCAGTGACACATTTTTTTAAAGACAGGAACCTCACATAAAAATGTTGAAAGTTGGGCATTTGGGTTGGTTCCTGGATAAAGAAAATGTGGCACATATACACCATGGAATACTATGCAGCCCTAAGAAAGAAGAGTTCGTGTCCTTTTCAGGGACATGGATGATGCTGGAAACCATCATTCTCAGCAAACTGACACAGGAACAGAAAACCAAACACCTCATGTTCTCACTCATAAGTGGGAATTGAACCATGAGAATGCACTGACACAGTGAGGGAAACATCACATACCAGAGCCTCTCTTGGGGGTGGGGGCAAGAGGAGGGAAAGCATTAGGACAAGTACCTAATGCACGCGGGGCTTAAAACCTAAATGACAGGTTGATAGGTACAGCAAACAACCATGGCACACGTATACCTATGTAACAAACCTGCATGTTCTGCACATGTATCCCAGAACTTAAAGTAAAATTTGAAAAAAAAAAAAGTTGAAAGTTGGATAGACAGTTGCAACACCAGATGTGGGTGGGCATGGCTCACAACTCAGGTAGCTGGCAGATGTTTGAGGTGTGTGTATTTTATGTATTCCTATGTGGCTCAGTTTATTTGAGTGCAGTTTTCTGCATTTGCCTATTGTTTCTCACTGAGGAAATTTCACATGAACAAATGTGAAATTCACATTATGCTCAAATTGTTTCCTGATATATCAATCTCACTTGTGCAAATTCATGTTTTCAGAACAAGTACTGTAACAGAACTGTCTCATATGAGCCTAGCCTTAACCTCGTGATATAGATATTATTTTTTAGGCCGTAAAAAGAAGACATTGAGGCTCAGAGAGGCAGACCTAAAATTCAAACCCACATCTGTCAGACTCTAGTGCTCACATGCTTTTCATACTGGCATGCTCCATCTGAACTCCAGTGTTTCCTGTGATATGTGTATAAATTGCCTTACCCTTGGCTGCCTACTTGTTAAGTCTCAGGAATTACATAAGATCTTGCACTGAAATATAAGCCTTTGCACAGTTACTGGTTGGTGCCTGTATCATACTGGCCACTCTACCTCAGGCATCCCATCTGTAAAATGAAACATTATCCATTTGCTACTTACCCACCCCATGGAGAGGGTGCAATGGCTGAATACACTATTGTCAAGGCAACAGAGCTCGTTCAGTTCCCAAAGCATGAATAACTGGGGTTTCTTCATCCAACCTATTCCAGTGGACAGAGGAGGAAACCAAGGGCCAGAGAAAACAAGGGATTCATCAAGGTCACACAGGAAGGCAGAGGCAGAAGAGGGGTTAAAATCTGGGACTGTGGATCCCCAGTAATTTCCCAATATACCTAGAGTAAGACCCATGGTAATCACAGTGCCCCGCGGGACCTGGTTTGGCCATTGTTTACTTACAGCAGCCCCCTCACCATCAACACAACAGAGACATATAAACGGCTGGAAGATATGGGCTCAGGCTTCTAAGCCTTGCAGTTCTGCAGTCACTTGGATACACACAAATCCACAGCTCATTAATCTGACACTGAGTAACAGCCCTGTGCTAGAAGCCAGGATAATCAATCACTCAACCAATACTTAGAACTCCCCTGTCAGTGACGCACACGTTTTGGCCATGAAGGGGTCCTTGGGATTCATTTTCCCCATTGCGTTCCTCTCCTATAAATGCTTTTGTAGAATTTGACTGCCCAGAAAGCTGCATTTATTAAAGAATAGTTAATTTTTTCCTACCATATTTTATTCATCAAAGCCTTAAAGAGCTGCCCGTTAGTGCCTGTGGTCTACAAGAGGTAACTGTACTACACTGTGACACTATACAATGTTGCTGTAATTCTAGTCAAGAGCAGAAAAACATGATGTTTCAACTCACTGATGTGGTCCGGATCTCAGGTTGAGTTCCCTAAGAAGCAGGCTCTGAAATCATTTTTGAGTACAGACAGGTTCTTGGAAGGTGATCTCAAAAAGGGGAACGGGGAAGTTAGACAGGGAAGGGAAGCAAGCCAATCTAGCATTAATGGGCATGTTACTGCAGTGGGCAACTGGGCTCAATCCTATGAGAAACCCCTGGGAATGCTGTTGAATGTACCTTAGAGTGGACTCACCCAAGGAATGAGAAAGCTGGGTGGCTACCATTGGCTGGGGGCTGCTCCCAGGAGCATCGACTCTCCAGCACTTCTAGAAGCACTTCACCTCACCTACAGGAGAGCAGCATGTCAGAGAAAGCCCCCAGACAGTCTGAGTGGGGGGTTCTTGCAATAGGATTCCATCAGTGCCTATAAGAATGGAGGTACCAAGGAGATGTGGACATGGCGCCAATACACCTGCTACACCTGGCTATAGATAAATACTCCATTTTTAAAAGTCATTCAAAATTCTAAAAACAGTAATTATAAACGACATTGATCAAGTGCTTACTGTGTACCAGGCACTATGCTAAACACTGGATATGAATGATCTCATTCAGTCCTCACAGCAGCATCATGAAGTAGGTCCTATAATTATCCTCCGTTCACAGATGCGGAAACTGATCCTTAGAGAGCTTGAATAAATTGCCTAGGGTCAGGAGGTAAGGAAGAAGCAGAGCTGAGATTTGACCCTCTAGGCCTCTGGCTCCCAGCCTTTGTCTTTCTACTACATTATGTTGTCATAAATCACAAAAGTGACGAGATGGATGTGGATCTATCTAATTCTGGAGGGTGAGAGGTCGACAAGAGAGATGGGTTCAATTGTTTTTATTTTCAGATCCCACAATTAAGTGAGAACACATTATGTCTGCCTTTCTGTGCCTGGTTTATTTCACTTAATGTAATGATCTCTAGTTCCATCCATGTTGTTGCAAATAACAGAATCTCATTCATTTTGTTTGTTTGTTTAGACAGGGTCTCATTCTGTCGCCCAGGCTGGAGTGCAGTGGCACAATCTCGGCTCACTGCAGCTTTGACCTCCTGGCCCAAGTGATCCTCCCTCCTTAGCCTCCCGAGTAGGCTCGGACCACAAGCGTGTGCCACCACGTCCAGTTAATTTTTTGTATTTTTTTGTAGAGACGAGGTTTTGCTGTGTTGCCCAGGCCAGTCTCAAACTCCTGAGTTCAAGTGATCCATCTGCCTTGGCCTCCCAAAATGCTGGGATTACAGGCGTAAGCCACCGTGTTCAGCCAAGATCTCATTCTTTTTATGGCTGAATAGTACTCCATTGTGTATGTGTACCACATTTTCTTTATCCATTCATCAACTGATGGACACTTAGGTTGCTTCCAAATCTGGCTATTGTGAACAGTGCTGCAACAAACAGGAGTACAGATCTCTCTTTGATATACTGATTTCCTTTCTTTGGGGTATATACCCAGTAATGGGATTGTTGAAGCATGTGGTAGCTCTATATATCTACTAGGTGCCCACAAAAACTAAAAATAAAAAAAATTTTAAAAGGAGAGAAATGGGACCTAGCTTGGAAGGTTATATCTAGGGAAGGTCTATGTAGAAGACCTCAATTGCATTTGCATCCATTCCTCAGTCTTCTAGTAATAGCACCTTTACTTTCCTTCAGGGAAGGACTCGTCCCCCACTCACACTCCATGTAGTTTTGAAGTGTTGACACCCCCAGCTGGCTCCAGAACATGATCTAATCCTGACCGATCAGAGAATTTCACCACCATCTGCAGACACAGTGATTGATTCAAGGATGGTCATATGACCCCAGCTGTTCCAACGACCCTCTATGCCATAATTTATCTATAGGAAGAAGCTCTTCTCCATGGGGATTGCTGAGCTGAGGGGCAAAACTGCTGAAGGCTTTTGATATGGTTTGGCTGTGTCCCCACCCAAATCTCATCTTGAATTGCAACTCCCATAATTCCCAAATGTTGTGGGAGGGACCCGGTAGGAGATAATTGAATCATGGAGGCAGTTTCCCCCATACTGTTCTCATGGTAAGAAATAAGTCTCACGAGATCTGATGGTTTTATAAGGGGTCTCCCCTTTCACTTGGCTCTCCTTCTCTCTTGCCTGCCACCATGTAAGACGTGTCTTTCACCTTCCACCATGATTGTGAGGCCTCCCCAGCCATGTGGAACTGTGAGTCCATTCAACCTCTTTCTCTTTATAAATTGCCCAGTCTCGGTATGTCTTTATCAGCAGCATGAAAACAGACTAATGCAGCTCCCTTTATCACTTCCTGGGGAGAACCTGCCTAAGAATGAAGCCACGTAGAGATAAATAGAACCCAATGATAGAGGCAGATTTCTTCTTAAATAACGTTTATTGAAGTGTAACTTATATTCACTAAAATGTACCCATGTTAAGTACACAGTTTGATCAATTTTGACACATACATACAGTCAAGACCACCATGACAATCAAGAGATAGAAGGTTTTCATTACCTGAGAAGGTTGTTTCACATACCTGTTTGCAGTCAATTACCCCCACCCCAGCCCCAAGCAGCCACCGTCTACCTTTTCAGAATCTCATATAAATAGAATCATACAATATACACTTTTTAGTGCTTGGCTTCTTTCAGTATACATTCTTTTTTTTTTTTTTTTTTTTTGTTTTTGAGACAGAGCTTCACTCTAGTCACCCAGGCCAGAGTGCAGTGGCGTGGTCTCGGCTCACTACAACCTCCGCCTCCTGGGTTCAAGTGATTCTACTGTCTAAGCCTCCCAAGCAGCTGGGATTACAGGAGTGCACCACCATACCCAGCTAATTTTTGTACTTTTAGTAGAGACAGGGTTTCACCATGTCGGCCAGGCTGGTCTCAAACTCCTGACCTGAGGTGATCCGCCTGCCTCAGCCTCCCAACACTATACACTCTTCAGTGCCTGCTTTTGAGATTCAGCCATGTTTTGTGTGAATCAATATTCATTATTTTTTATTGCCGAGAATTATTCCATTGTGTGGATGTACCACAGTTTGTTTATTCATTCTCCCATTGATAGACATTGGGTTGTTTCCAGCTTTTAGCTATTATGAATAGAGCTTCTATGAATATTAGTGCAGATTCTTTGTGTGGACATAATTTTCAATTCTCTTGGATAGATACAGAGGAGTAAAATTGCTGGGTTGCATGCTAAGTGTATATTGGATTTTATGCTTCAGTTTATAAGAAACAAAAAGCAGCCTCTTTGGGGCACCTCTAACTAGCTAGATTCCTGGAAATTTTGCTACATGACCCAATAAATATTATTAGTTGCTTAAGGAAGTTTGAGATGGTTTTTACTGCTGCCTATAACTGAAAGAATATTGATGGAGTCCATCCTCCAGATAAGAACATCCAAAAATGTTGGACAGAATTTCCAAAGAAAGCTGAGGACTCTTCACCCAACATTTGTCAACCAACAGTACAATTCAATGTTGAGAACAGAAATCTTGGGGATCCCCAAAGTTTTCGTTGTTCAGTAAATGGGCTATACCCCAAAAGACCCAGATACAGCAGTGGGGGAGGGAGGTATAAACAAGCTCCAGGTCTCTTTCAGGCCATGAAACTCTAGGTAGTTATGGTACCTTGAAGACACAGACAATGACTTTCAACCTTAAAACCTAAATGTTGACTCTGATCAAGGAGGGGAGGGGCACTGGTTTTCCCTTCCCGCAGCCAAAGTCTCTGAGCTTCACATCCTTCTCCTATAAAATGGAAATAATACTAAGCATCATGGCTACTTGTTAGTCTTCCATCATGTCAAGTGCTTTATCTGCATTACATAGGTAGTCTTCAAAATGATGCTATGAGAAGATTCCCATCACTACTCACATTTACAGGTAGGAAAAGTAGGGCTTGAGGAGGTCAGAACTGACCCACAGTGAATATAAAAGGGTGCAGCTGCTGTGAAACACAATATAGAGGTTTCTCAAAAGATTAAACATAGAACTACCATACGATGCAGCAATCCCATTTCTGGATATATAAAAAGTTGAAATCTGGAACTCAAAGAGATATCTGCACTCCCATGTCCATTGCAGCATTATTCACAAAAGCTAAGATACAGAAACGACACAGACATCCATCAACAGATGAATGCAGAAAGAAACTGTAGTAGATGTAGTCATACAATGGAATAGTATTCAGCCTTGAAAAAGAGGGGAATCCTGTTACGTAAGACACATAGATAAGACTTGAGGACATTATGCTAAATGCATAAATCAGTCACAAAGGGACAAATGCTGCATGATTCCACTTCAATAAGGACTCTAACGTCATCAAACTCAAAGAAACAGAAAGTAGAAGGGTAGTTGCCGGGGGATAGGGAGGGGAAAATTGGGAGTTGCTAATCAATGGGCAAAAATGTCTCAATTGTACAAGATGGATACATTCTAGAAATCTGCCACACAGCATTGTCCCTATAGTTAACAATACTGTATTATACACTTAAAATGTTGTTAAGGTGGGCGCGGTGGCTCACGCCTGTAATCCCAACACTTTGGGAGGCTGAGGCTGGTGGATCATCTGAGGTCGGGAGTTCGAGACCAGCCTGACCAACATGGAGAAACCCTGTTTCTACTAAAATTACAAAATTAGCTGGGCATGGTGGTGCATGCCTGTAATCCCAGCTACTCAGGAGGCTGAGGCAGGAGAATCGCTTGAACCTGGGAGGTGGAGGTTGCAGTGAGCCAGGATCACACCATTGTACTCCAGCATGGGCAACAAGAGGAAAACTCCATCCCCCCCAAAAAAAATGTTGTTAAGAGGGTTGATCTCATGTTAAGTGTTCTTACAATAAAAAAGTAAAAATAAAAAGTAAAAAATAAAAAAAAGAACTGACCCGCAGTTAGGAAGAAGGAGGTCAGCATGTGACCTACGTCTATGAGATTGCCAAGGAGGCACTCAACTATTATGTTCTACTATTAAGTGACTATTAGGAATGGGGCTGTGTGTTGGTGATTCCCACCCCTGGCTCAATATTAGGATCCTCTGGAGATTTTAAAGAATTTCAACCCAGTTCACACCCCTCAACAATTAGGTCAGCACCTCTAGAGGTGGGACAGAGGCATCGCTATTTTCTAAAGCTCCTCAGGGGTTCCAGGATCCAGGAGTTCCTCCAAAGTTAAGGACCAGTCATCTAGGGAAGTGGTGTTTCAACCTAAGCATCATCGGAATCACATGAAAGCTTTGTGAATACAGATTGCCAGGCCTCACACCCAGAGTCTCTAATTCAGCAGGTCTGCAGTGTGTCCTGAGAATTTGTAGGTCTAACAAGTTTCCAGGTAATGTCGTTGCTGGTCTAAGAAACAAATGTTGAAAATTACTGGTCTAGAAAGATAGAGGAAAGTAATAATTAGCCCTTGCCTACAAATGTATCCCTGTATAATAAATAGACAATTATAATAATGTCATAAGTGTTATAATAAATGAAACACAGGGTATTCTAGAAACTCAGAAAAGGGGAAATCTAATATACCTAGAGATTCAGAAAAAAATCCAAGAGGAAATGATGTTATGCTGTTCTATAAGAACCCTCTTAACATGTTGGTATCAATGTCCAGGTAATTATGAGCATGCATGAGATAAGACATCCTTCCCCAATATCTGCCCCTTGCACTAGCAGCAAGGTTCACACTTGCATTTGACAGATGTTATTGGCAATTGAGATCCTGGCTGCACAGAGGCTACTTTCATGCAAGCAGAGATAGATGCTAACCAGGCGTCAGGAAGTATCACAGGGACCTGCAGATTCAGCCAACACAGGAACTTTGAGGGTCTACTGTGTAGCAGGCATTGTTCAAAGTGCCGTATGTGGAAGCTCTGTGGAAATGGGTATTGTCACCCCCTACTTTACAGTAGAAGAAGCTGAGGCTCAGAGAAGTGAAATAGCTCACTTGTCATACAGCCCATAAGTGGCAAAAATAAGATTTGAACCCAGATCTCTCGCATTTCAACTTTCTCTTTCTATCACAGTACACTGCCTCTCAGAAAATCCTGCTCAGCTTGCATGAATCCCAGCACTGGTGGGAGTAAGGAATCCAAATCCTTTAATACATATGTATGGGACTGGCTCCCCCACAGTGCCAAATGGCCACAGGTGCCAAAAAGGGTGTTGCATCTGAACCAGCCAAAATCTGTCACCACATCCCCACCTCAAGAGGCTCTGGGCCAACTGGGCTGTCCAGCACCTGGGCTCCAGCTGCCAAAGGCAGGCAGGTGAGCACCAGGCTGTTGGAAGCCCAGGAAGAGCAATGACACCTTCTCTGTTGCAAATGAGATGTTCTGGGCTTGGTCCCTCCCTACAGCTGCCAGTAAGAGGCCATGCAAATGCTTCCTTTATCCTAGAAAGAGTATGGGCTCTGGAAACAGCAGACCTGGGCTCAATTTGTTCTGTAGGTGCTTGAGCTACCTGTATACCTTCTCTGAACTTCTCTCTCCACCTTTAAAATGGAGATAACCAATCCACTAAGTGTTAGTGAGGATTAATGGAGATGAGAAATGAAGAGCTTTAACCCAGTTCCTCGCACATAAAAGGCATCTAATTACTCTTACTTTCTTCTGTTCCTCAGCCTCTCTGTTCCCAGAGTTGTAGGTGGTAAATCATATCCTACAATGTGTTGTTATCATCCCTTCCCATCTTTGTGTTTTACCCCCATCTGGAGTGGGCTGAATAATGTCCCTCTGAAAGATATGACCATGTCCTAACCTCCAGAACCTATGAATGTGACCTCATTTAGAAAAAGAGGTCTTTCATCTATGGAGCCAACAGACACACGAAAAAATGCACATCATCACTGGTCATCAGAGAAATGCAAATCAAAACCGCAATGAGATACCATCTCACGCCAGTTAGAATGGCAATCATTAAAAAGTCAGGAAACAACGGATGCTGGAGAGGATATGGAGAAATAGGAATACTTTTACACTGTTGATGGGAGTGTAAATTAGTTCAACCATTGTGGAAGACAGTGTGGCGATTCCTCAGGGATCTAGAACTAGAAATACCATTTGACCCAGCAATCCCATTACTGGGTATATACCCGAAGGATTATAAATCATGCTACTATAAAGACACATGCACATGTATGTTTATTGCGGCACTATTCACAATAGCAAAGACTTGGAACCAACCCAAATGTCCATCAATGATAGACTGCATTAAGAAAATGTGGCACATATACACCATGGAATACTGTGCAGCCATAAAAAAGGATGAGTTCATGTCCTTTGCAGGGACATGGATGAAGCTGGAAACCATGATTCTCAGCAAATTATCATAAGGACAGAAAACCAAACACCGCATGTTCTCACTCATAGGTGGGAATTGAACAATGAGATCACTTGGACACAGGGTGGGGAACATCACACACCAGGGCCTGTTGCAGGGTCAGGGACTTGGGGAGGGATAGCATTAGGAGAAATACCTAATGTAAATGATGAGTTGATGGGTGCAGCAAACCAACATGGCACATGTATACCTATGTATCGAACCTGCACATTGTGCACATGTACCCTAGAACTTAAAGTATAATAAAAAATAAATAAATAAAAGACAGAAAGAAAGAAAAACGGGTCTTTGCAGATGTGATCAAGTTAATCTCAAGATGACATCATCCTGGATTATGGGGTGGCCCCTAAATCCAGTGACAGATGTCCTTATACAAGTAAGGCAGAGTGCTGGGTATGCTGGCTCCCAGCACTTTGGGAGGCAGAGGCAGGAGGACTGCTTGAGCCCAGGAGTTTGATACTAGCCTGGGCAGCATAGTGATACCCTGTCTCTTTGAAAAATGAAATAATTAGCTGGGTGTGGTGGTGTGCACCTGTAGGCCCTGCTACTCGGGACACCTAGGCAGGATGATCACTTGAGCCCAGGAGTTCAAGACCAACCTGGGCAACAGAGTGAGACCCCCATATCTTGTAAAAATAAAATTAAGGCTGGGCGCGGTGGCTTACAACTGTAATCCCAGCACTCTGGGAGGCCCGAGACAGGTGGATCACCTGAGGTCAGGAGTTCAAGACAAGCCTGGCCAACATGGTGAAACCCCGTCTCTATTAACAATAAAAAATTAGCCGGGTGTGGTGGCACATGCCTGTAACCCCAGCTACTTGGGAGGCTGAGGCAGGAGAATCGCGTGAACCCGGGAGGCAGAGGTTGCAGTGAGCCAAGACCGTGCCACTGCACTCCAGCCTGGGCAACAAGAGCGAAACTCTGTCTCGAAAAAAAAAAAATTTTTTTAATGTAAAAATTAGCCAGACCTTGTGGTGCATGCCTGTCGTCCCAGTTACTCGAGAGGCTGAGGTGAGAGGATGGCTTCAGTCCAGGAATTCAAAGCTGCAGTGAGCTGTGATTGAGTCACTGCACTCCAGCCTGGGCAACAGAGCAACACTCTGACTTGAAAAAATAAAAAGTAAGGCAGGGGGAGATTTGAGACACGCAGATACAGAAGGAACAAGGCCATGTGGAGACAGAGGCAGGAAATGGAATTATGCACCCACAAGCCCAGGAAAGCCTGGAGCCACCAGAAGCTGGAAGAGGCTAGGAAGAATTCTCTCTCGAGACCTCAGAGGGAGCGCAGCCCCACCAAAGCCTTGATTTCAGACTTACTGCCTCCAAATTGGTAAGAAAATAAATTTCTATTGTTTCAAAACCATGCAGTGTGTGGTCATTTGTTACGGCAGCCCTAGGACACTACTATGCTTTCTCTTCCCAGGCTGCCCCCTCAGCCCATGGAGAAAAGAATGGTCAGTTATTCCTGTCTAATAAATAGACTATTATAATAGTGTCATAAGTGTTATAATAAATGACACAGGGGGTATTCTAGAAACTCAGAAAAGGGGACATCCAATATACCTAGAGATTCAGAGGAAATTCCAAGAGGAAATAAAGTTATGCTGAGTTTTATAAGAATCCTCTTAAAATATTGGTATCAGAGCTCAGGTACCGTTTCTTCTTCATCCTGCTCCCGGCCTTCCTGCCTTTTATGAAAGAGATGTTGTTCATCTGATTGTTCTGAGTCAGGTACATGGGTTGAGCCACGTTTTACTAGTGGGTGTGATAACTAAGCCTGAAGTATCAGAAGCCAAGCCCCTCTCCCTAACTCACTTCCTGTCCCCATGCATGGGAGACTCTTCGGCTTCCATCTCTATGTGGTAAATGCACTCTCAGGAGAACTTCTAGAGCAGGACTTCTCAACCTCAGCACTACCGTTTGGATAGTTTCTCACTGTTCATGAGTATTGGGGTTAGGGTAGGGTCCTGTGTATTGTAAGATATTTGAGCAGCGTCCCTGGCCTTTACTCACTAGATGCCAGGAGCCATCAACCTTTCCCAGTGGTAACAATAAAAAATGTCTCCAAATGCCACCAAACACCCTGAAGGAGGTAGGAGGGAGGCAAAATTGTCCCTGGTTGAGAGCCATCGCTTCGAGAGAGGTCTAGCACTCAAGGAGACAGCAGGACCATATAGCTATTGCCGTCCATAAAGTTGAATAGCCAAGTTCAACATCTCCTTAATTCACCCAGCCCTTCTAGATTCGAGAGAGCCAAGAGTAGAAGTCACTATTTCAGTTTCTACACCCAAGCATCTTGCCCCAGCACCAATCACCAGAGAATCCCGGGACTGGGGAGATATTATGTGGTCACAGCTAAGAATCCAGCAGGGCCTTTTGCCCTTGCGTATAATGCTCTCAAAGAAGGGTAAGTGACAGAAATCTGGTTATCCAATTTACACCCTGAATACATGACAATTAGAACTACAAACAGCTAGGAACCTATCCTTCCAAAATACCAGAGGTCTGGTATCATTTAGTATGTTTGGATCCTAATATGCAAAAGAGAAGGGATGGTGGAGATACAAAGGATACGCAGAGACGAGGTCCTTCTCAATACATCTTGAGTGCCATATTATTATGGATGGAAACATTGGGTCCCCTGTAAATTCATATGCTGAAGCCTTGACTCCACAAATATGTGTCTGTATTTGGAGTTGGGACCTTTAAGGAAGTCATTAAGGTTAAATGAGGTACGAATCCAATAAGAAGAGACACCATGGATGGAGCTGGAGGCCATTATCTTTAGCAAACTAACACAGGAACAGAAAACCAAATACCGCATGTTCTCACTTACAAATGGGAGCTAAATGACGAGAACACATGGATACATACGGGGGAGCAACACACACTGGAGCCTTTTGGAGGGTGAGGGTCAGAGGATGCAAGAGAATCAAGAAAAACAACTAATGGGCTGGGCATGGTGGCTCACATCTGTAATCCCAGCACTGTGGGAGGCTGAGGTGGGCAGATCACCTGAGGTCAGGAGTTCAAGACAAGCCTGGCCAACATGGTGAAATCCTGTCTCCACTAAAAATACAAAATTAGCCAGGCATGGTGGCACTTGCCTCTAATCCCAACTACACATGAGGCTGAGGCAGGAGAATTGCTTCAGCCTGGATGGCAGAAGTTGCAGTGAGCCAAGATCAAGGCACCGCACTCCAGCCTGGGTGACACAGCAAGACTCTGTCAAAAAAAAAGAAAGAAAGAGAAGGAAGGAAGGAGGGAAGGAAGGAAGGAAGGAAGGAAGGAAGGAAGGAAGGAAGGAAAGAAGGAGGGAAAGAAAGAAAGAAAGAAAGAAAGAAAGAAAGAAAGAAAGAAAGAAAGAAAGAAAGAAAGAAAGAAAGAAAGAAGGGAGGGAGGGAGGGAGGGAGGGAGGGAGGGAGGGAGGGAAGGAAGGAAAAAGAAAGAAAGAAAGAAAGAAAGAAAGAAAGAAAGAAAGAAAGAAAGAAAGAAAGAAAGAAAGAAAGAAAAGAAAGAAAAGAAAAGAAGGAAGAAAAACAACTAATGGGTACTAGGCTTAATACCTGGGTGATGAAGTAATCTATACGACAAACCCCAGTGACACAAGTTTACCTATGTACCAAACCTGCACTTGTACCCCTGAACTTAAAAGTTTAAAAAAAAGACCGGGAAATGAAGAGTGGTGACAGTTGCACAACACTGCAAATGTACCTAACGCCATTAAATGTACACCTAAAAATAGCTAAAATCAGAGACTTTGTGATTATGTATAGTTAACCACAATAATAATTTTTTTAAAAATCTGAAAAAAAAAAGAGACGCCAGAGAGCTCTCCCACTGAGGAAAGGCCACATGAGGACATAGTAAGAAGCCACCTTCAGCAAGCCGGGAAGGCTTCCCCCACCAGAAAATGGATCTGCCGGAACCTTGATCTTGGACTTCTAGCCTCCAGAACTGTAAGAAAATAAATGTCTGGCCAAGCGTGGTGGCTCACGTCTGTAATCTCAGCACTTTGGGAGGCCGAGGCAGGTAGATCACTTGAGGCCAGGAGTTCAAGACCAGCCTGGCCAACATGGTGAAACCCCATCTCTACTAAAAATATAAATATTAGCTGGGCATGGTGGTGAGTGCCCATAATTCCAGCTACTCGGGAGGGTAAGGCAGGAGAATCTATTGAACTGGGGAGGTGGAGGTTGCAATCATCCAAGATCGTGCCACGGCACTACAGCCTGAGCAACAGAGCAAGACTCTGTCTCAAAAAAAGAAAAAAAAGAAAATACATTTCTGTTACTTAAGGCACTCAGTCTATGATACTTTGCTATGGTAGCTTGAGCAAAGTAATGCATGGGCTGAGGAGTTTGCACTTTGTAGGTCAAGGCTTTCCAGCGTTCTTCGGTTCTGGGACCATCTGCATCATAATCACACATAGGCTCTGGCACACACAGATTACCCCCTGAACTGAATCAGGATCTCTGAGAGTGCTCACCTAGGAATCAGCATTTTCACACACTCACCAGCTGGTATTTATGCACATTCAAATTTGTGTCGCCAAAGTTGACAGGCGACTAGGAATCAATAAAGGATTTTGAGCAGATGTACGCTTTGGAAATATCACCAGCTGCAGTGCCTCTCCTGGACTGGAAATGACTGAGATGGAAACAAGGCACTGAGAAGTCTCCACACCCCCTGCCTGGGACTCTTCCCTCCACCCCACTGCAAATCGCCTTCATCCCGATGGAACCTTCGCCTCTTCCCACATCTTGCTCAAAGTTACAGCTTGTAAAAGGTAAGCCATGAGGTGGAGGATTTGGGTGCTGGGCAAATGCTAGCAGGTGGGGTAGACAGACTGAGAGTAGGAGAGAAGAACAGAAAGGAAACAGGCAATACCAAAAAGCTGGTCTTCACTGGCCATTGCGACAGCTTCTTCAGGAAGCAGGGCCAACCTGCGTGAGACTAGATTCAAATTGGAGGCCAGATCCCTCTTGCTAGATTTGGGATCAGGCCTTTGGAGGCAAAGAATGAATGACAAAGGGAAGCCACGCCAGCAGTAGCCGAATAAACCCTACCCACTGTGAAGCTGTGCTGATGGAGAATGTATCCAAAACAGAGCAAGGAACTTAGGAGGGAGAAGAACAGCTGACCTGGTCAAGGCTCCAGAAGTCACCATCCCTGTCGGGCCAAGGGTCAGCACTCTGAGCTAGCTCCTCAGCAGAGGACAACACAGGATTTAGGTAAGAGTGAATGGTCTTGGTTGTTATAAGGAAGAAAGCCAAGTCCAGAACGTTCTCTTTTAAGTAGCCAAAAATTTCCTTTGAGAAGGGAATACAGGTGGGAGGGGATTTCCTTAAAACTCAGCTAATTTTTTCATTGAACAAGGGGATTGAATGTGATAGCCCTCAAGGCAAAGACATTCTGGATTGAATGCATGAACTAGTAAGACTTGAGTAGATCACCAGTTAGCAGTGTTCATGTCCTTGCAGCACTGGTATCACACAATGAAGTATATGAGCTCTGTCCCCAGTGCTTTGAAGCTGAGGGGCCTTGAGTCTACTACTTAACTATTCTAAACCTCAGTTTTTCTTACCTATAAAATGGGGATAATGTATAACCTACACTGAATAAAGATTCAATGAGATAATCCATGGAAAGCATTCAGCACAGTGCCTGCATATGATTGACACTCAATACCAGTCAACGAATTATTGTTGTTGATAATGATGATATCATCATTGTCAAAGAATACAGACTTTCAATAAGACAGATCTAAATGGGAATCCCAGTTTAGCCAGTAGCTATGAGACTTTCAGCAAATTGCTTAACAATTTTGAGTTTCAATTCCCTTGTTTGCAAAATGAGGTAATGATTCCAACATGGAAGGCTGACAATGTGATAATGAGATAAATTGGGGAAAATGCATTGCACAGAATCCCAAATTTCATACTTTCAGAAGAACAGGCCGGGCACTGTGGCTCACACCTGTAATCCCAGCCCTTTGGGAGGCCAAGGCGGGCGGATCACCTGAGGTCAGGAGTTTGAGACCAGCCTGGCCAACATGGTGAAACCCCATCTCTACTGAAAATACAAAAATTAGCCAGGCATGGTGGCGGGGGCCTGTAATCCCAGCTACTTGGAAGGCTGAAGCAGGAGAATCACTTAAACCTAGGAGACGGAGGTTGCAGTGAGCCAAGATCAGGCCACTGCACTCCAGCCTGGGTGACAGAGCAAGACTCCGTCTCAAAAAAAAAAAAGAAAGAAAAAAGAAACAAAAAAGAAGAAGAAGAAGAAAGGTACCCGAGATCAGAGACCCCAGCATACATGTACACATTCACAGGCCCCTACTCTTTCCCTAAAAATGTATTTTGAAATTCCTAATATCGTGGAATGCTCACAAGGACAAAATTGCCCTCCTTGGGGACTATATTTTTTAATGTCCCCAAAGTGTGACTAAAAAGTACCACAACAACATGTCCCTGATTTTCCAAGATGGTCTTGATCTCATTCTTTTTCCTACAGTTCTCTCCGTAAACATATGAATGAATGCTTTTGTAAAATTTTACATGTAAATATAGTCATAGGCCAGAAAAATAAATCAATAAATGAAACAAAATGTGCTCTGAGTTTCAGTTTGGTTAATTTGCCTTGTAGGATTTGCCTAATATAAACAAAAACGGCAAAAAACAGCAAAAAACAACAACAACAACAACAACAAAAAACCACTACCAAAAACTTGAAGACTAGCTCACCTGAGTCTTCTTCCCAGAGGCATTAATATTCTCTGCCCTCACCACTGCCCATTACACAACCAACCACTTGGACGTATGTTTGTGAACTGATCTTTCTTACTCATTCTCTATTCCCCTGTTCAAAGAAGTCAGCAAATATTTAGATGGCTCTAAAATCCACAGTGTGCAAAAAGACTAGGAATGAGGACTACTTTCCAGGTTAAAGCATCAGGGATGTTGAAGCCGTCAGAGGCTGAGAAGCTAAAGAAATTAATTTAGCCAGGTGCAGTGGCTCACACCTGTAATCCCAACACTTTGGGAGGCCAAGATAGGCAGATCACTTTAGGAGTTCAAGACCAGCCTGGCCAACATGGTGAAACTCTGTCTCTACTAAAAATACAAAAAATTAGCAGACACAGGCCTGTAATTCCAGCTACTTGGGAAACTAAGGCAGGAGAACTGCTTGAGCCAAGGAGGCGGAGGTTGCAGTGAGCCAAGATCATGCCACTGTACTCCAGCCTGGGCAAAAGAGTGAGATTCTGTCTCAAGGAAGAAAAGAAAAGAAGGGAAGGGAAGGGAAGGGAAGGGAAGGGAAGGGAAAAGAGAGAAGGAAGGAAAGAAGGAAGGAAGGAGAAAGAAAGAAAAGAAAGAAAGAAAGAAAGAAAGAAAGAAAGAAAGAAAGAAAGAAAGAAAGAAAGGGAAAGAAAGAAAGAAAAGAGAGAGAGAGAAACAAACAAACAAACTTAAAGAAAGAAAGAAATTTCTCTTTGTGAAATTGACGCCAGATTTCAAGGGTGTTGATGAATCAGCTACTCCGGAAACCTTTGATCTCCAGTAGGGAACCGGTGTATCTACGCATAGGGTAACAGTCCCCTTCAGCTACCAACTACCCAGGAAGCCTGCATGCCTTTAGGGGCAATTTTACGCTAGCATTGACTTTGCAGTCCCAGTAGAATCAACCCCAGATGCTCAAAAGCATTGGTTCAAAAATGAGGGGTAAAAATATATTTAGTTTGTTTTCAGTTTGTTGGGGAGCATAGAGTGGAGTAAAGAATACTGGCTTTGGAGATGCCGACTGGAGTCCAAACATCGGATCTCCCACTCATCAGTTGGGCAAATTGTTTAACATCTTTGAGCTTTGACCTTCTCATCTGTGAAATGGCAGCATTGCCTTTCAAGATTGTCACAAGACTATTAAAAGATTATGTATTCATTATAGCTAAAGCAGAGGTCAGTAAACTTTTTCTGAAAGGGGCAGATAGTTAATATTCTAGGCTTTGTGGGGCCATATAATCTCCATCCCAACTACTCAACCATGTCATTGCAGCACAAAAGGTGCCACAGACAATACATAAATGAATAAGCATGGCTGCATTCCAGTAAAAATAAAACAGGCGGCAGGCCAGATTTGGCCCATAGGCTGCAGTGTGGCTGACTCCTAACTACAGAGCGTACAGCCCAATACCTACACATACGAGACAATCAATAAATGGTAGCTTTGATGATGTGGAGAGCAATGCTGATGAAAGGAGAGAATCCACTAACCAGCCATTTATTAGGATATCTTCATGTCCAACCCTCTGCTGGACATTGAGTGGGGAAGAGGCATATAGGTGAGATCCCTGCCTTCAAGGCAGTATCCGAACATGCCAAATAACTAAATAATGGGTGAAAAGGAATATGGCAATGGAAAACATCACAGGAGTGTCTTTGAAGTCTTGTGAGTTCATAATATTTCAAACAAAAGAACAAAGTCCCACTGTGAGGCCTGATTCATCAAGGCATTTGTATGGGGGAAGAGGAGGGGTTAGCAGCCTTCAGCTGCAGGTTAACATCCTGAATTCCACCCCCGGCTCAGAATTCCTCCCAGCTCTCTGCTGTAACAGACAGCACCACATCTCAGGTTGGTGCAAAGCAGTAACCCGAGATGAGATGCTCTTTGAAATAGCTGCTTTGGGTGTTCATGCTCATTCTGGAGTCAGAAGGAATAACCAGTGGTTTAATGTTTAAAGGCCTCCTGTTGAAGCAATCTCCAAGATAAGGAAATAAGCACAATTGAAAGACAGTGGATTGGATTAATTAAGGACATTATCACTTGCTCTGCTTAATTACCTCCTAGCAGCCCTTCCCAAACTGCCATCAGAGGACGTTAACAAGTGGGCTCAGAAAAAACAAAAAGGGAAGGGTCAAATGATTTTAGGAAATGCCCTTTCTTTGAGATTTATAACTCACGTTAACCTGTTAAACACTCCAGTGAGTCCTGAAGCTGAGAATCCCACGTAAATGCTTTACCTGGGAGGATGGCTCTGGATTCAGGCACATCTGGGTTTTAATCTCAACTCTGACACCAACTGTATTGTCTTGGGCACATTGCTCTAACTGCTCTCTGCCTCAGTTTCCTCATCTGTAAAATGGGGATAATAGCCTTGTAGGATTTGCCTGTCTCACTGAGTTCTTATGAGGCAGGTGCACCTCCTGACACAGTTCCTAAATATGGCAAGGGCTTTAAAGGTATTATTTTCAGGCCAGGCCCGGTGGTTCACGCCTGTAATCCCAGCACTTTGGGAGGCAGAGATGGGCAGATCACGAGGTCAGGAGATCGAGACCATCCTGGCTAACATGGTGAAACCCCGTCTCTACTAAAAATACAAAAAAAATTAGCCAGGCCTGGTGGCGGGCACCTGTAGTCCCAGCTACTCAGGAGGCTGAGGCAGGAGAATGGCGTGAACCCGGGACGCGGAGCTTGCAGTGAGCTGAGATCTCGCCACTGCACTCCAGCCTGGGCGACAGAGCGAGACTCCGTCTCAAAAAAAAAAAAGGTATTATTTTCCAGCCTTGTTTGACCACATTAACCTCTAGATCTAGCACACCTGGGCAAAGCAGTGGCCAGTGAAGGGATGTGACAGTGATGCCTCATGGGTGAAAAGAGAAGACCCTTTAGGAGACACCCTTCCTACAGGCTTATAACAGGATATTTGATGAATAACTGTTTAGCATGTAGGAAGTCTAGACTCTGGGGCATGGGCTGAGCAAACTGACCGTGATCCCTAGCCACGCGGAACTTAGAGTCAAGTGTGGTTCCATTGACAACCCATGAATCCCTTCCAGGAGCCACCAGCCACATGTTCCAGGCAGATGAAAGTTCAGTTTCCCCCGGCCAGGCTCTGAATATCACAGACAAACACCTCTAAAGCCAGGACAGGCCCCAGGCTAAGAAACAAAGGGCTATAGGCGTCCTTGACTCTGGGCCCATCATTTCAGAGGAAGCTGGTGGCAGCTAGCCCCAGCAGAGGACAAACAGCCTGCAGAGGACGTGATTCCGGTCAAAGCTGTAGGCTCCAGAGCTCATTAGCACCGAGCACTGGGAAGCCTTCCAGCCCCAGGGTTCCTGATGCTGTTCACAAGGCCCACCAAGTTGCCAGAAAGACTCCTCTGATCCTAGCACAGATCATGGAAAGGTCCTGCTTCCTCGGCCTTTAACTGCTTAATCAATAATAGCTTCAGAAAGGAAGAGAGAGAGAGACAGGCAGCAGGAGAGGCAGGTCCCCTTCTCCCTGTCTCCCTCCACGCCCCTCCCTCCGGGATGCCGAAAATAGCCTAATTAGATTGTCCCCCTGCCTGGGTACCATGGAGATGGCAAGCACAGAGGCTGTCACAGCACTCACACACCCTTTTGAAAGTTGTCTCTCCTCCCTGTCTGGCCGTGGCTGACTGTTGGAGACACAGGACCCAGCACTACAAGACCAGGGAGGAGGGGCTGTGGCAAGGCAGCAGTAATGGGCAAGTGGTGTAAGTATCAAGCAGAATGCTTACAAAAGCATTGAGGAAATTCCCCTGCAGGCCCTTTATGATGCTGTGGCTAAAGGCAGCCCTAACTAAGCCCCACCTCCTTCTCTGTGACCTGATTGTTTCATCTAAAACACTTAGCAAGCATTTCCCTGCAATGTGTAGAAGGTAGCTTGTTTAGTACCAGGGTACCAGAAGTTTCTCATTATTTATTTGAAATGAAAAGCGTGTGCATCCTTGTCCAGTTGTTTGGTCTCATCCCCCGCACTCTCCCTCCCCAGTCCCTGTGCTATGGCCACATTGGGTGTCTTCCTACACCTCCATCATACAAGCTCAGCCTGACCTCAGGGCCCTTGCACTCACGTTCCCTCTGTCTGGAACTCTCTTCCCCCAAATATTCCCTGGCTGATTCCTCCTCATTATTCCATTCTCCTCTCCCAGGTCACTTCTGCAGAGAGGGCCACTTGAACACCTAAGGTAGCCCCATCTTCTCACCCCAGGGTCACTCTCTATAATATTATTCTGTGTCATTTCTCCTTAAAAATGTTCACTCTGTAAGGGAAATAAGCCAGACACAGAAAGACAAATATTGTGTGATCTCACTTATATGTGGAACCTTAAAAAATAAGAAAAAAAAAAGGGCTGGGCACAGTGGTTCATGCCTGTAATCCCAGCTCTTTAGGAGGCCGAGGTGGGTGGATCACATGAGGTCAGGAGTTCGAGACAAGCCTGGCCAACATGGCAAAACCCTGCCTCTACGAAAAATACAAAAATTAGCTGGGTGTGGCGGCTCATGCCTGTAGTTCCAGCTACTCGGGAGGCTGAGGCATGAGAATCGCTTGAACCTGGGAAGTGGAGGTTATAGTCAGTTGAGATCATGCCACTGTACTCCAGCTTGGGCAACAGAGCAAGACTCTGTCTCAAAAACAAAAAAAAAAAGTCAAAGGCCAGGCACGGTGGCTCACGCCTGTAATCCCAGCACTTTGGGAGGCCGAGGCAGGCGGATCACGAGGTCAAGGGATCGACACCATCCTGGTTAATACGGTGAAACCCTGTCTCCACTAAAAATACAAAAAATTAGCCAGGCATGGTGGCGGGTGCCTGTACTCCCAGCTACTGAGGAGGCTGAGGCAGGAGAATGGAATGAACCCGGGAGGCAGAGCTTGCAGTGAGCCGAGATGGCACCACTGCACTCCAGCCTGGGCGAAAGAGCAAGACTCCAACTCCAAAAAAGAAAGTCAAATATACAGAGATAGAGGTTACCAGGGATGGGGTGGGACGAGGAAATGAGGAGATGTGGGTAAAGGACACAAAATAGCAGATATGTAGGATGAGCAAGTCTAGAGATCTAAACATGAGAACTGTGGTTACTAATAGTGTAGTGTATTGGGGATTTGTGCTAAATGAGTAGATTGTAGCTGCTCTTGCCAAAAAAAAAAAAAAAAATGAGTGCTAATATGAGATGATGGTTATGTGAATTTGCTTCACTATAGTAACTATTTTACTATCTACACGCATCTCATAACATCATGTTGTATACCTTAAATATACACAATAAAATTTATTTTTAAGAAATAAAATAAAAGAAAGGTTCACTGTCTAAAATCATCATTTGTGTGTGTTCACCGCCTGCCCACCTGAGCAAGAACGTAAACTCCATTACAACAGGCTCTTAGTCTCTCTGGTTCACTGCTGCCCGTATTAGGTGCTCAATAAAAATATTTGTGGAAGATATTAGCAAGAATATCGGAGAGGAAGGATCCCATTCAGAAACTTGATAAGAATATTTATTTAACTAGCTTTTTTAAAAATTTGAGACAGAGTCTCACTTTGTTGTCCAGGCTGCAATGCTGTGGCTCTATCTCGGCTTACTACAACCTCTGCTTCCTGGGTTCAAGCGATTCTTGTGCCTCAGCCTCCCAAGTAGCTGCGATTACAGGCATGCACCACCATGCCCGGCTGATTTTTGTATTTTTAGTAGAGACGGGGTTTCACCATGTTGGCCAGACCGGTCTCGAACTCCTGACTTCAGGTGATCCGCCCGCCTTGGCCTCCCAAAGTGCTGGATTACAGGCAAGAACCACCACACCCAACCATTATTCAACTAGCATTTTTCAAAAGCCAGATACTCAGTGTAGAGGAATTCTGATCCCAGTAGTACTTGATGATAAGATTTTAAAGGTTAATGAGAAAAAGACCTATAATGCTGCTGATTCTGATTGTCTGCTTTTATGATTCTATGTACCTGAGATCTCAGCTAAAATTCTATGTCTATTATTTTAATGATTCAACATGTCAAGTATCCTCAGAGACAGTGTTAAGTCTAAGAATCTATGACAGTAATGATCCTGAAGCTACGATTCTCTAAGTCTAAGATACTGTTGGTTTAAGTACAATATCCTATTGTCTGGTGGGGGTCTTAACACAGGGACTCAGTAACCAATTTGAAACATTAATGCATTTTGTTTGATGTCCTTAATGTCAACCTGCAAAGAGGTTTTATTTTTTAATTAATTTATTCCAGTATTTAAAATTTGGAATGTTTCATCTTTTTGAAATTGGAGTTCTGGCTTCTCTTTTTTTCTTTTTTCGAGACAAGATTTCGCTGTTACCCAGGCTGAATGCAGTAGCAAAATCATAGGTCACTGCAGTCTCAACCTCCTGGGCTCAAGCGACCTTCCTGCCTCAGCCTCCCGAGTAGCTGGGACCACAGGTGTGTACCACCACAACCAGCTAATTTTTTTTATTTGATTGCAGAGCTGGATCTCTCTATATTATCCAGGCTGGTGTCAAACTCCTGACCTCAAATGATCCTCCTGCCTCAGCCTCCCAAAGTGCTGAGATTACAAGTGTGAGCCACTATGCCTGGCCTTCTATGTTTCTATAAAAAGGAAAAACAGGCCATGCCAAGCCCCCACTCCCACCAGGCCATGACGGGCTGTAGCTGGGAATTGCCTCCTCCAGGCAGGGCATCTGCAGAGCCATTGATCATCCCGCATCTGGGCCTTTCACTCTTCCCCTTGGCTGCTTGGCCCTTGCAGGCATTTGAGTTTGCAGCCTTGGATATGAGACTTCTGGGATTCTGTGATTTTTGAACCTAAGTTTTAGTGTGTGTTTGAGACTCTTGCAAACTCTGATTACAAATCAGTAAAGCTACAGAAGAGAATCTGCTGCTGTAGTAGCTGCAGCCAGGTTCCTCGGAGGCTTCTGGTTCCGGCTATTGGCCCTTTCACCTTCCCCACATTCCCAGAGTGTTGAAAATAAATGAGGAAGGGCAGGGAAAATGGAGGAGGAAATGATATAGTTCCAGAACGGAGACCTTCCTGAAAATCAAGAAGCCTCCGAGGTTATGATCCTGAGCAAGGTGTGTGCATTCTCATCTCTGTGCCTTTGCTCCGGCTGACC
Source organism: Homo sapiens (assembly GCF_000001405.40). Classification (NCBI taxonomy): domain Eukaryota; kingdom Metazoa; phylum Chordata; class Mammalia; order Primates; family Hominidae; genus Homo; species Homo sapiens. Next base: position 13,009,360 of record NC_000016.10, on the reverse strand, counting down.
CACCTTCCTGAATGTCCTTCCCAATCCCTTCCAGTCATTCAAGACCTGGATCAAGTCTCACCACCTCTACAAGCCACAGTGGTTCTGAACCCAGCTTAAAGCCAGACTGCCTGGAGTCGACGACTCCCAGCTCCTCCACTTACAGCTAAGAAGATCTGTGCTGAAACTTTCTGTGACCCACTTGACTACCTTGTTTGTAAATCAGGTTTAAAACAGTGCCCACCATGAGTTGCTGAGATGTTTAAATTCAAAAAAAAAAAAATACACACACACTCTCTCTCTTAGAACAGAGCCTAGAACATAACGGACATTCATGAAGTGCTAACTTTTGTCACTCTCCATCCCCTATGGAGTCCTTCTCCCCTGATTGACAAAGACTTTGGAACTGTGGATTCTTGTTTGTAAGCTATCTTATGTTGCCCACCTACTGTTTTATGGATAATTTATATTCATTATATTACACTCAGTCAGTCATCAAACATTTCTTAAGGCACTGTATTAGTCTGTTCTCACATTGCTCTAAAGACATACTTAAGACTGGGTAATTTATGAAGAAAAAAGGTTTAATTGACTCACAGTTCTGTATGGCTGGGCAGGCCTCAGGAAACTTACAATCATGGTGGAAGGTAAAGGGGAAGCAAGGCATATCTTACAAGGTGCCAGGAAAGAGAGAGAGAGAGAGGGAGGGAGGGAGGAAGGGAGGGAGGGAGGGAGGGAGGGAGGGAGGAGAGAGGGAGAGAAGGAGAGAGAGAGAGAAAAAAGGGGGAAGCACCGGACCCTTATCAAACAACCAGATCTCGTGAGAACACACTCACTATCATGAGGACAGCATGGGGGAAAATGTCCCCATGATCCAATCACCTCCTACCAGGTCCCTCCCTCAACACGTGGGGATTACAATTCAAAATGAGATCTGCCTGGGGACACAGGGCCAAACCATACAAGGCACTATCTTAGTTGGGTTCCCACAGAAGCAGACTTTGAGACAAAGATTCGAGTGCAATGGTTTATTTTGGAGATGATCCCAGGAAGCCCCAGTTCAGGAGTGGGGATGTGATGTCGGGGAAGAGTGTATTAATGAACATGTTACCACTGTCACAACTGCACACATTCACAATTTGGACCCCTGGAAGAGGGTGTAAAAAAAATCTCAGAGTTGTCCCACCCAAGGAGTAAGGATGCCAGGCTATCAATCCACCAATGTCTATTCTTATTTGACATATTTTTTAACCTGTTATTTACCCACCAGTGCTCCCTAGAGCATTAACTCCCTGGCGCTTCCATTCTTCCCCATTCATATCCCAAACAAGCTCTTATGGCTGGAGAAAACCGTCAGGAAGAGAGTCACAGAGGCTTGCGGTACAAAGCCTGCAGCTGGTGTAGGAGAGTAGAAGAAATAAGGTAGAGCACCAATAGTGTCTGCTACAGTCACCTACAAGTGCAAGACCCTGGGAATACTAAAACCCTGCCCCTTCCATTGTAGGATAAAAAAAGGAAGGAATGTAAACAAGTGCAAGAGGAGAGAAAGATGACAGGGCACAAGAGGGGTGTGAGGAAGGAAGAGGCCAGTTCTACACAGGAGAATATAAGAAACAGCTGCGTAGAAGAAAGATGCATAAGCAAAGGGTTTCAGGCTGACATAGGCAGGCATGCTGAAGGAACAGTGAGCAGATCTGCATGGGCCATGTGAGAGCTGAGGCTGGGGAGTTAGAGAGGGATGGTTCATGATGGGCCTTGTAGGTTGTATAAAAAGGCTTGGGTTCTCACCCTAGGGTCATGGGAGGCCCTCAGGCTTTTCAGTAATGAAAAAATATGACACGGTTGGGATCTTAGATTCCTCTGGCTGCAGGGGAGAGATAAGTTGCAGTGGATAGATTAGTTGGAAGGGAGACCAATATGGCGGCCACAGGCAAGAAATAAAGAACACTTGTGCAAAGAGGGTGGGGAAAAGGAGGCTGTAGGAGATGTGTGATATATGGAAACTTCAGGACTAGAGGCCTATTGGGGGTGGGAGGTTGGAAAAGAGGGAGCAGCCTACGGTGAGTTCCCCATCTCTGGTTTGGGAAACTGGATATTAGGAAGAGCCAACTCCTGAGCCTTATAACACAGGAGAAAGGGATGGTCCAGAGTGGGAGACAATGAATGTCCCTTTGGACATCTAATAGAATGTCAAGTCCAGAGGTCAAGCGAGAGAGTTTAGAGTGGGAGGTTGAAGTTCCTAGAGAACGAGTTAGTCTGTGTTGTACGTTGTATTATCTCTAGTATCTAGAATACACTGGCACATGAATAGAATCCATAGATATCTATGGAATTATTCATTTAACAAGTGAATAATTTGGGGGCTCAACAGCATTGATAGGACCCTGAGGCAGCAGGTATGCAGAAGGTGTCGAGGGTGACAGAAAGAGAGCTGAAGATACCCACAGTTAGAAACAGGCTGGAGAGAAGTAGCCTGAGCTGAATGGTCAGAGAGGTTGAAGAGAAACAGCACAGAAAGTAGAGCATGAAAACCAAGGGTGGGGGACGGGGGATGAGCTTCAGTGATCAGAGAGTGGACAATTGTGTCAAACACAAGGTGTAGTCAGGCAGGCTGCAGGAGGGTACAACAGAATCAGTGACGGATGTCTATTTCCCCCTAATCAGCTGTGAATTTCTCAAGGCAGATTCACAGTCTTGTTGTCACAATGTCTAATACAGTTCATTTTCTCATTTCTTCGCTAACTTGTCCATCCAATAAATATTTGGTAAGCACCTATTGTGAGCCAGGCATTGTGCAAGATTCTGGCAATACAATAATGAACAAGATAGAAAACATCTGATGAATAAGTGAATAAATGAAGTCCCCAGGTGACTTGCAATGTCCTTGGAGACAGAGTCTCTGTGTCTTGCTTCACTGGCATCCTCTTTGTCCTCAGTCACAAGTTGGAGAGACAGAGAACGTGCTTGATAAATACTGTCACAGGTTGGCTGATATGTTGACGGGTGGCAGTGGATGGAGACCCTTCTCCTCCCTCTAGACTCTTTCCCCGCTGCCCATGGCTCATGATTTGACCTCTCCCATTTCAGATTTAGAAGACAAGGAACAGGTGCTTAGAGAAAATGCAGCCACCCAGGTTGCTGAGGTCACTCTGGTCCCTTCCTTTGGGGTGGAAGTAAAGAATCTGGCAGGCATATTTTTCTCTCCTTCAAATCATGCAAACGCTCACATGTGAGTCTCTTCTTTGCACAGATGATATGTTAGCTAATAAAAGCTCATCTGAAGTCAGTCTCTCAGAGTGTGCGCGTGTGTGTGTGCGTGCGCGCATGCTTCACTGCCCATCTGTAGCCCAAGCTGCAGGGACACACATGCCTTTGTGGGTGACTTTGCAATCAAAAAGGACTCCAACATTCTGTGCTCAACTCTCCGAAATAAGAGCCTCCCACTGTTTCAGACCTTCCCCTGCTCATATGCCGAGGTCACCCAAGAACCGCCATGTGGCAGCAACGCCTTTCTAAACAGGCAACAGTCCCTAGGATGTCAATGTCCAAGGAGCAAAGTGTCTGTTGTGAACATCTCTCTTTACCCTCACCAATATTCACTCCCATGTCTCCTCCCCTACTCTCTAGCCATGTGGTTGGGCAAGGTCAACACCGATGCCCGGTTTCAGGGATTGGAGGGTTGGCACATGTCCCAGACCTGGCCAATCAGAAGGTCCTACTGGCCTGAGTGATAGAGGCAGGGATGAGAAGGTACCCAGATTTTCCTGGTAAAAGTCAATCCAAGAACCCTCATGGGAACCAGTAAGCAAGAGAAGCTTGCTTTCTAGAAGCAAAAGGAAGAAAACTCCGGATGTAAATCCCACCTCTGCCATAACTTACTGACTGTGTGACCTTGAGCAAATTACTTAACTTCTCTGAACCTCATTTTCCTCACTGGTAAAATGAGCATGCATCCCTACGGTATTTGCAAGATGACCTGGCACATAGTAGGCGCCTCATAAATGTTGGTTGCCCTTCACCCATACCCCAGCATCTTCTATATTTCCTTAGCAGCTGATCTCCTCTGTCTTATCACCCTCCAAAAGTCTCAAATTTAAATCTCCAGGAGTAATCTCTCTTCAGAACTCCATACTCATATATCCAACACTGACTTGGCTTCTCTGTTTGGATGTCTCCCAAGCATCCCAAACTTCACAGTACCTCAAACTGAGCTCAGTGATACACTCTTCCCTCCACCAACTCCACACACCAGTCACCTTCATCTCAGGAATGGCACCTCCTCTCCAAGGGTCTTAATTGCCTAACCCAGAGATCCAGGACACATTCTTGACCCCTCTCTCCCACCCTCATAAATAAACCATAGCCAGGTTCTATGGATTGCAGCTATACATTTCCTGATTCTGTTTCTTTCTTTCTTTTTTTCTTTTTTTTTTTTTTTCTTTTTCTTAAGAGATGGAGTCTTACTCTTGTCACCCAGGCTGGAGTGTAGTGGCATGATCTAGGCTCACTGCAACCTCTGCCTCCCGCATTCAAGCGATTCTCCTGCCTCAGCCTCCCAAGTAGCTGGGATTACAGGTGCCCACCACCGCGTTCAGCTAATTTTTTTTTTTTGTATTTTTAGTAGAGATGGGGTTTCACCATGTTGGCCAGGCTGGTCTTGAACTCCTTACCTCAGGTGATCTGCCCACCTTGGCCTCCCAAAGTGCTAGGATTACAGGCATGAGCCACCACGCCTAGCAGACCCTGTTTCTTTTTCACCATCTTGTCTATCCCTCCCTGGGCTCAATCATCATTATGTCTCACCCAGATGAATTCATCAGTCCACTCTACACCAAGCATCAAGAGATCTCTTTGTAAAACATAAATCAGATCAAATCATTCCCTCTGCTTAAAGCCTTCCAATGGCTTCCTAGCACTTTTAGAATAAAATCAAAACTCCTTACCCTTGCTCAAAAAGAGAGCATGAACCGATACTGTCCACTTCTGTGGCTTCATCACTGACTATGCCTCTGGTTCTGACTTTGGAGATATTTAACACACTGATCTGGCCCTCAGGCAACCTGAATTCTATTTCCTCCACTGCCACAGACTCACTATTGAGGCTTGACTACATCATGTCCCTTTTTTTGGATCCCAATAAAATGGACAAGTTGGTCACTAAGGATTTTCCAGATCTGTTACAAGTCAGACTTTTCCCTATATCCCCTTTGAGGGAGGCTTAAAGAAGAGACCCACCTTTTGCCCCCTGCAGTCCTCAAACACCTCCTCAACAGGTGGAAAGCAGAGTGCAAAGAATCTGCCAAATGCCTCCACCCTTACATCCTCTCCCTGCCTATTTCTTGATGAACCCAACACATTGGTTCACCCAGGACATCTCTGTAACAGAAGTTGTAAAGAAAGCACCCCCAACACATAGCTTAGCCTAGGCACATTAATTAGTCCTGTCACCTAGAATATTATGGATGTTGTAACTTCTTCTTCTTCTTCTTCTTATTATTATTATTATTATTATTATTATTATTTTGAGACGGAGTCTCGCTCTGTCGTCCAGGTTGGAGTGCAGTGGCGCGATCTCGGCTCACTGCAACCTCCGCCTCCTGGCTTCAAGCGATTCTCCTGGCTCAGCCTCCTGAGTAGCTGGGATTACAGGCACACACCACCATGCCCGGCTAATCTTTGTATTTTTAGTAGAGATGGGGTTTCACCATACTGGTCAGGCTGGTCTTGAACTCCTGACCTCAGGTGATCCACCCACTCTGGCCTCCCAAAATGCTGGGATTACAGGCGTGAGCCACCAGCCCAGCCTGTAACTCATCATTATTTGCTGTCGTTAGTGGTGGTTGCAGGTTGCTTTTATGTCCTCTGCCCTATAATGGGACTTTTCATGCCCGCTGAACAGGTTGAGTTTTTGCACATGGCCAAAACAACTAATTCTTGGAAATACAGCAGCATTTGAAAAGTTTGGAATCCCAGCGAGCTTAGGAAAACAGTGTAGGAGAGTAGAACAAAGTCTCCGAGGGCAGAGAGATCCAGGTCTAAATCTGGACTTGGCCATTTTCTAACTTATATAACCTGGAGCAAAATAGATCATGTTTTCCCCCTGCCTTGAAACATGTCCATGGTTCCCCAGTGACCTAGGGCTAAAGTCCCAAGTCATTCCCATGGCGTACAAGACCTGCAGGGTTTGACCCTTGCCTACTGCTCTAGATCATTTTGCACCAATCCTCCTCTCGCTCTGTGTCAGCCACACTGGCCTTCTTTCTCCTGAAATCTTTCCCACTTTGAAGTTTCTGCACATGTTGTTCCCTCCAACTGGAATGTGCTCCCCTGGCCAACACCAACTATTCCTTCAGGTTTCAGCTCAGGATATCATCTTAAGGAAGCTTTTTTTTGATGGCCTTCCCATCTCTAATGTTCAACCTCGTGTCCCTCTTAGATGCATTAATTCTATGTCTGCAGCATAAATCATTATTGTAATTAAATACTTGCTTGACAATGCAACTTTGAGCCTAAATTCCTACTCCAGCAAGCGCCATGAAGACAGGAACTGGCTGGGCACAGTGGCTCATGCCTGTAATCCTAACACTTTGGGAGGGCGAGGCAGGCAGATCACCTGAGGTCGGGAGTTCCAGACCAGCCTGGCCAACGTAATGAAATCTCATCTCTATTAAAAATACAAAAATTAGCCCAGTGCGGTGGTGCGCATCTGTAATCCCAGCTACTCAGGAGGGTGAGGCAGGAGAATTGCTTGAGCCCAGGGGGTGGAGGTTGCAGTGATCCGAGATCACACCACTGCACTGAAGCCTGGGCAACAGAGTGAGACTGTCTCAAAAAAAAAAAAAAAAAAAGACAGGAACCAACTGACTGTCTCACATTGCAATGCCAGATCCTAGCACAGTGTCTGGCATATCAAGTTTTATTAATTAAATAAATAACTGGTTATGAGACTTAACTTCCTGGAGCCGTCGCTTGTGGACAACGAGGATAATCACGACTAACTCCTAGGATGGTTGCAGGGACAAGCAGTGAAATTCTGCAGGCTTTTATTACCATGCCTGGCACATATTAAAGGATCAATAAAAGGTCACTGTTTAGGGATTTAGAGTGTGGTGTTTACAAGCCTGTCTCTGCCAGTTAGTAACCATATGACATTAAACATGTGACACCTCTCTGATCATCCAGACTTTTGTGAGAACTAAATGGGATATTTTATGTAAAGGTCCTGGCATATCATAGGCATTTTATAAGGCACAAGTGTTATTGCTGTAAGTCAGGTCAGTGTTTTCAATCACCAGGGAGTTTTATGAAACACTGATGCCAGGCCCTATTCCAGGCCAATTAAATCCATTTTTCTGGGCATAGGTATTTATTTTTTCTAACATTTTTACTATGAAATTTTTAAGCATATATAACAGTGGAAAGATTTTTACAGTGAACACTCAATACACATGACCTAACTTCCACATTTAACATTTTATCATTTTTTATCACCTATTTATTCATCTACCCTCCCCTCTACCCACTCATCAACCCATATTGATTTTTTATGCATTTCAAAGTAAATTGCAGACACCAGTATATTTTTCCCTAAGTATGTCAGCATGCTTATCATTTCATTAACTAGAGTTCAATACCTGTTTACATTCTTTTCTTCCGAGATGAAATTTATTTAGAATGTAAGACACAAATCTTAGGAATACTATTTTATGAGTTTGAGTTAAACATTGCATATACATGAGTATAACATTGCATATCAAGATATAGAACATTTGCATCAGCCCAGAAGGCTTTTTTGCCATTCCTCAGTCAATCTGCATCCCCGTTCCCCAGAACGTTTTGATTTTTTTCTACCATAGATTAGTTTGGGGCATTGCAATTTTAAATTCTCTAGAGGAGATTCTTTCTGAAGCCAACATCCAGAACCAAAGGTCTAGGTAAATGTTTCTATCCCAGGGGGTCTCAGGAGAGGAGAAGAAACACCGGGAGTAACAGAAAGGCCCCCCGATCCTTAGTCAGTGGAATCTCAGGATTGGCCAGCCCAGGGAGGAGAGGGAGGAGCAGGTCCCCGGACCCTGCCTGCCCCTAATTATTGTGGCGATCTGGAGTCTGTGCCACAAGCCAACAAGAAAGTTGCATCTCAAAAAGAAGTCACCTGGCTGGGCACGGTGGCTCACGCCTGTAATCCCAGCACTTTGGGAGGCCAAGGCGGGCAGATCACCTGATGTCAGGAGTTCAAGACTAGCCTGGCCAACATGGTGAAACCCCGTCTCTACTAAAAATACAAAAATTAGTCAGGCATCATGGTGGGTACCTGTAGTCCCAGCTACTCGGCGGGGTGAGGCAGGAGAATCGCTTGAACCTGGGACGCGGAGTTGGCAGTGAGCCAATTGCAACACTGCCCTCCAACCTGGGTGACAGAGTGAGACTCCATCTCAAAAAAACAAAGAAAGAAAGAAGCAACCCAAGATGAGGGCAGTTGCCTGACCCCTCTCTGGCTATTTTCATCTCCCAGCTGTCCAGGAAAAAGCTTTATTTCTGAAATTGTAGCCTCTCAGTCTTATACAGCTTGTTCCAAGTGTCTGAGTTTAAATGCCAAGGGGGTAAATCAGTCATAACAATCATAATGGCAGCTGCTCATTCTTGAATGCTTACCATGCACCAGGCACTCTGGGAAGCCATCCCCATGCGTCATCCCCCGTAGCCCTCCTAGCAGACACTGTCAGTGCCCCATCAGGCTCCTGGGGACCCCTTCTGCCTGCGGATGTGGATGCTCCTGCTACAGGCTGACACCTGCAATCGTCCTTGGGGCCATTGGAGCCACCTTGTCCAGACATTCCAGGGAGTTACTCCTCCCAATCTGCAGTAGCCCAGAGCCAGTGACCAACTGACATGAAGATAGAAGAGTTTGGTTCGTTTCCTCAAGGTGGAACAAACTCTGAGATGCCATTTACACTCCAGAGCTGTGCGCAGGATCAGTCTGAGGCTAGTCTCCACCTAAAACCACGTCGTTGTTTAGTCTCCCCTTCCCTACTCTTGCTTTCCTATTTCCTCACAGTTTCTCCCAAGGGCAGCTCCCTTAATAAATCACTTGCATAGGAATCTCCAACTCAGGCTTTGTTATCCCATTTTAGAGATGGGGAAATCAGGCCCAGAGAATTGAAGCAGCTTGTCCCCCCGAGAGTCACCAAGCTAGAACTCAAGGGACCTGAATTTGGTTTCAGGGACGTCTGACTCCAAACCTTTGACTTGAATGCTAAGTGTCCCTAATTCATAGAATAGCCATGAGAATTAAATGACACTTATGCGTAAAAAAGACTTATAGTGATAGAGAAATATAAGGGAGTCAAATTGTTATTCCCAATAGATGAGAAATTCAAGACGAATGGCAGACTGTTTAGGCTGTTTACCAAAACCCATTTCTCTTTTTCCCATGCACATAGCTGAATAACTGTATTTCCCAGCTTCCATTGCATTCTGTGTGGCCATGTGACTAGTTCTGGCCAATGGAATGTGAGAGAAAGTGATGTTGGACACTTGCGGGAAAGGGCATTGCGGGAAGCAGGAGTATATCCTCCATGTTCATCTTCCTGCTGGCTGTAGGAAGTCAACCTTCAGGCACTAATTCCACAGTTCCCAAACTACATGTCAGCATACCCTGTTGGGGCATCACCATAAACTCACCCTGGTGCCATAGGATATTTTAGGCTTTTGAGGGATACACAGCAACATCTATCAGGCCCCATGCAACCTGCTAGGTCAAGGTAGGTAATTCAGGGCTTCACATTAATCACTATGTTCTTTTCAATGACGTCATATCTTTGCAAAGCTGAGTATTTGGCAGTTGTTAAGATAAAAACCAAGTACAGTAGATTCTCATTATCTAGAGTCTGTATTTGTGAATTCACCTACTCACTAAAATGTATTCATAACCCCTAAATCAATACTCATGTGTTTTCAGAGTCATCTATGAACATGTGCAGAGCAGTCTGAAAAAAGTCTGAACCACACAACGCGCCCATTGTCAGCCAAGGTAAAACAAGGTGTCCCTCTGCCTCCTTGTATCAGCTCTCAAACTGTAAACAAGTGTCCTTTTCATGGTCTATTTAGTGCCAGGTTTTTTCCATTTTTGTTCTTTCTGTTGGTGATTTTACTGTTTAAAGCAGCCCCCACGTGTAGTGCTGCAGAGCTGTCTAGTCTAGTGTTCCTAAGCATGAGAAGGCTGTGATGTGCCTTATAAAGAAAATACAGGTTAGGTAAGCTTTCTCCAGGCATGAGTTATAGTGCTACTGGCTGTGATTTCAGTGTTAATGAACCAATAATATATACCAAATAAGGTGTCTTTAAACAGAAACACACATCAAATACATCAAAATACAGGCTATGTATTGATTGGATGACAAAAATGTAGTGACTAAGGGCTCACAGGAACCCAACCCTGTATTTCCTCTAAGAGCAATGGTTAGGGATTTGCTAATTCAGTGTTTGTGGTGACCTTAGAAAATATATCTACCATGAATAATGAGGATCAACTGTACTTTATGAAGATCAACGTAAGCACTGAGTTGTTACAGACATAAATACTCATTAAGTTCTTTGAATCCAACTACTTAAAAATAAGTTATTTTCAGCCTTGGCAATACAGTGAAACCTCATCTCTATAAAAAATAAATAAATAAAATTAAAATTAGTCAAGCATGGGGGCCCATGCCTGTAATCCTAGCTACTCAGGAAGACCGAGGTGGGAGGATCGCTTGAGCCAGGAAAGTAGAGATTTCCATGAGCCACGATCGCACCACTGCACTCCAGCCTAGCCAACAGAGCGAGACATTGTCTCAAAAATAAATAAATAAGAATAAGTGATTTATTTAGCAGAAGGTGCTATGAAAAACATCACAAAGACATTAGCAGTACCATGAACTTAAAGAAAGTCTGTGAACCTTTACCCCAAGGGATGGTAGAGCTACATACCAAAAGGAGGCTGGGTCATGAATTACCACATCGGGAAAAGCTGTTTACCAGCCAAGAACACCTGCCTCAAAGTGCCACATGAGCAAGAAATAAATGTCAATTGTCTTTGAGACATTACACATGTTAGTGCTTATTTTTCTACAGTGGTACAGCCTACCTTAACTAATGCATGGACCTTCCAGGCTCTATGAAGTAAACCTGCTTCCCTATATGTTCCTCTTACTATCAGAGAGAAAATGAAGAATAGTCCAGAAACTAGGCGTGTTCAGCTCTAAGAAAATATTATATTTGGGTGGCAGGATACATTATCCCAACAAATATGTACTGAGCATTACTTTGTCTTATGTACAGGTACCGCAGATACAACAGTGAATAAAATACGGACCCAGTCTATAGTTTTCTCTTCTGGTGGAAAGGAAGAGACATAATCAAACACAATGCATTCTATCCTATTACACGCCGTGTATAACATGGTGTCTGGACGAGAAGGCACCGTTTAAGCTGAGTCTTGAAATATGCAAGCTTCTCAGGTGGATGATTATCTAGAGATATATCTAGAGGCAGAACAAGTTATGTACAAATGTGTGTACACAGAGGTGAAGGGCCTCAGTGAGTGAGCACCATGAAGGATATTTGGCAAAAACCATGTGGTGAGGCCAGATGGGAAATCAGAGTCCAGATGATGAAGGGCCTTAAATTTTAGGTTAAGGCTGGGTATGATGGCTCACACCTGAAATCCCAGCACTTTGGGAGGCTGAGGTGGGCAGATCACCTGAGGTCAGGAGATCGAGACCAGCCTGGTCAACATGGTGAAACCCTATCTCTACAAAAATACAAAAATTAGCCAGGTTTGATGGTGGGTCCCTGTAATCTCAGCTACTGGCGAGGCTAAGGTGGGAGAATTGCTTGAACCCGGGAGATGGAGGTTGCAGTGACCTGAGATCGCACCATTGCACTCCACCTTGGCCAACAGAGCGAGACTGTCTAAAAAAAAAAAAAAAAACTAGGTTAAGCCTAAACTGGAAACATGTCAAATGTCGTCAACAGGAGACTATATAGATAATTGCAGTATACTATGGAATACTACTCAGCAATAAAAGGAATGAATTACCAAGACAAACAGCAACATGGAAGAATTCAAAGATGTCCTGCCAAGCAAAAGAAGCCAGGCACAAAGGGCTATATATGTTGTGACTCCAGATATGGGATGTTCAGGACCATGCAAAACTACTGTGAAAGAAATCAAAACAGTGGTTACCTCTGAGGGATGGGTGGGGCTGAATGAAAAGAAGCATGAGGGAATTTGGGGGGTGATGAAAATGCTCTTCCTCTTGATAGAGGAGTTGGTTGCAGGGCTATATGCATGTTTCAAAACTTATTGATTTATATACTTAAGATATGTGCATCTCACTGTATGTAAATTATACTGATAAAAACTAGTCTAGCCTAAGGATTTGGCAGTTGGGGGCTGCAGAAGTGAATTTCATGCAAGCTGAGTGGTTTTATTCCCCAAAGGACTTGGGTGACTTATATAAAGCTAATTTTGGCATCCATCTTTTTCGAATTTTCTTAGCCACGAAACTTTTTTTAAAATTAAAATATTATTCACCATTCCAAAATACCAGACCTAGAGGAAGCTGTTCTGTTTGAACTACAGATAAGAAATTAAAGGCCCCTTGGAGGCTCTACCCTCAAGATCTCCCCTTCAACTCTATGGGACCCTTGAGACACATCCAAAGACCCTGAGGACCCATAGATCCCAGGTTAAAAACCACTGATCCAGCGGAGCCAGCAAGACTCCTGAGTTCGGTTGCACAGTTGAACACTGCACAAATCCAGACTACGATATGAATTGTAGGAGTGGAGATGTGCAATGTAGTCACCCTGGGGGCCATGCTGGTAAAGTGGGCAAGTCAGCAAGTCAAGCTGACCTGGGAAAGATGGTAAGTGGTAACAAGCACTCAGCCAGAGCATCAGGCTCAGGAGGGTGTTCTGGGGGCCTGTGCCAAACTGAGGAACAGAGCCCTGTTTAAAGGGGACAGCTGCTACTCACCTCCAGCTGATGGTTGCTACGTGGGAAAATGGGCTTGGCACTGCCAGATCTTCACATTTTTTTTCTTCAAGAGAAGCCAAAAATCTGGATCTTATATAAAGCCTCTCGGTTTTTCAATGCTGGAAATTAATTTAATTTGAAAAAAACACATTGTGTAGCTCAAATCAAACATATCTGCCAGACAGATCCACCTTCTAGGCCACCAATTTGCAACTTTTGGTTGTAGACTGTCATCAAAAAGCATCTGAGCTTTTGGCAACAGATAAAAAGAGGCACGTGTACATCACCCCTTTGTGTCCTGGATCCAGAAAACTGAGCTGTCTGCTTTCTGAGAGCAAAGAGACTTCATTTACACCCTCCTTCAATTTCCAGGGAATTATGCAACAAGCATTACCAGGGACATGGGCACAAACCACAACTCAAGAAGCACCATCAGAGCCGTGGGTATGTCCATGCTTTGGCCAATGATGTGCCGGAGTGACCACTATTATGAAAGCAGGAATTTCAAGACTTTCGTACACGCATCTTGACCTCAAGCCTCTCAATATAGGCAGCACTTAAATGGATAAATGAGATAAAACTGCCTAATTAAAATCTGAAGGCAGAATTTTCTTTATAAATAAATACCTAGAAATGAATGCAAACATGTTTTGATCTAATTGTCTTAAAATCTTTCTGTTGTAGGATTACTTTGAGAATTCCTCTGAGGCTTAGGGACCTTAACAGTGGGAAGGTGGAAGGAAATTCAGAATCCGAGCACATCCTTTCTGCTGGGCTGAATGCCAGATGAACATTCAAAAGACACCCTCATTTGCGTTTAAGACATCCCTCCTTAGGCCCATGTCTCTCAAAGTGTGGTCTATAGAACCCCACCATTGAATCACCAAGAAGAATCTTAAAATGTAAATTCTTGAGTTCTACCAGATGCCTATTGAGTCAGCCTCTCCATGAGTGTGGCCAAGGCACCTGCTTTCTCAGCAAGCATCAAATCACATTAAAGTTCAAGAAGTACCAGCCCAAATAGCTAAAAAGAATGAATAAGACCTGCTGTTTGACAGCTCAGTGGGGAGACTGTAGTCAATAATAACTTAATTGTACTTTTAAAACTAATTAAAAGAGTGTAAATGAATTGTTTGTAATGCAAAGGAGAAATGCTTGCGGGGATGGATTCCCCATTTACCTTGATGTGATTTTTACACCTTGCACACATGTTTCAAAATATCTCATGTACCCCATAAATATAGACACCTACTATGTACCCATAAAAAGTAAAAGTTTAAAAAAATTAATTAATTTTTTTATTTTAAAAAAAAAAATACTGGCCCAAATAAGCTTATCCACTCCTGTGGCTTTGAATATTGTTTACATGCGATAAAAAAGCATATCTTTAGCCCAGAACTCTCTTGTGAGCCCAAAACACATATATTCATCTGTGGACTTGATATCTCCACTTGGGAACCTCACAGGTATCTCAGATTGACAAGACTAAAACTGAATTCTTGGTCTTCTTAATCATAGTAAATGGGACCTCTATCCACCCAGCTGTCTATGCCAAAGATACGGACATCCTTGCCACCTCCATTTTCCTCACCCATCACATCATATACCTGACCATGACCAACGGATTACACCAGTCCTACCTTCATTAGGCTCAGTTTTTGCTGCAGTAACAAACAACCCTGAAATCTTAGTGGTTGGATACCACAGTGAGTCAACTATAGTTCTGCTGGGCTTATTCTCAGAATGTAGGTCAAATTCAGGTCCTCGCCACCTGTTTCCTATTTCCAGAAGGCAGGCTGAAGAACCACCCACCACCACTACCACCACCACCATAAATCTGGGGCTTGTCATTCTCATGGCAAGTAACAGGAACACAAGAAGCCAGTGGACACATACAAGGCCTCTGAAAGCCTCTGCTCAGTTCTGCTCATATTACAATCACCAAATCACGTCATGGGGCTAAGCCCAGCATCAGTGGAGTAAGGAAGTGTCTTTCAAAGGAGAGGAGACATTGTTCAATGTCACTGAACAATGACAGCCTCAGTGACCTCCAAAACATATTCCAGGTCCATTCACTTCTCTCTGCTTCCGTGGCTCACACTCTGGTCCAAGACACCATCATCTCTCAACTGGATGTCTACAACAGCCTTCCAACGACTATCCCTGGCTCCCTCAGCCCTTCCAATCGTCTACACAGCAGCCAACATGACCTTTTCACAACTTCTGTTTCCAGTTGATTCCTATTTCACTCAGGAAAGACCCAAATTCCATATCCTGATCTGTAAAACCTTACACAAGCTTCCCCTTATCTCTCTAGCTCTGGGGTTTTTAGCCAGGTGTCTATAAACCTCCATAGGGTCTCTGACTTCATTTTCTCCATTTTCCCCTCTCCCTCCTGCTGCAGCCACACTGGCCTGCCTTCAGGTCCCCCTAACTCTCCTCCCTCTTTCCTGTCCCCCAGCCATTCCCTCTGCCTGGATGCTATTCCCTCCACCTGGAACCCCCTTCCCATTCTCCTTGCTACCTGGGCTTCCTCCTATTCACCTTCCAGATCTCAACTTAACATTCTCTTGCTCAGAATGGCCTTTTGTGATTGTCTGGTCTCAATGGACTCCTCATAATAGTCTCTTAACCTGTGTTTACTACAGATTGAAATTATAAGTGGGTACTTACAATATCAGCTTGATGTGTGCCTCCTGCTACAGGGTAAACTCCATGCAGGCAGGGGCTGAATCTATTTTGCCCACCACCAAGTCACTAGCATTGAACACAGTGCCCATGGTAGATGCTCAGTAATTGGTTGTTGAACAAATGCCAAGCTATCTTTTACTGGGCACCTAGGGGCTTTTTATGTTATTTTATTTTATCATCATGCCTGCTCTAGATGTATTGATTGAAGGAAACTGAAGCTCAGAAAGGTAGAATGATGCACCTAAAGTCACGCCACTAGGAAAAACCGAGACCAGATAGACCAGATACAAATCCAGTTGTATCTACTTCCAGAGTCCATGCAATTAACTACTGTGTTATGTTGCTGGCTCTAGAGGAAACTCAAAGGTAATTTCTCAGGATCTGAAACAAAACTTGTCATGGCCCTGTTCTTTACAACCAAACCCAGCCTCAAAAATAAGGAGAAAATCAAACCCTTATTTCAAATCTGAACCTTTTATATATGAGGGTAGGTGCCTGGGAGCCTCACGGACAGGCCGATGCTACCCATTCTCCTCTCTACCCAACCTCTACCATGAAACTTGTCATCTCTTTTAGAGAAGGAGGTATAAATACACACCAAAAAATTAACTGTCTTTAAAATCCAAGATGGAAATGAAGAGTATGTCCCAAAGCAGTGTGTGCCAAATGGTTTGCACAGACAATCCTACGCTAGAAGTTTGACGTAATCTTCCTATGCCTCAATTTTCCCAGTTATAAAATGGGGTGATAATACTAGTATCTACCTCATAGCACTGTGGGGAAGAATCCAAGAGATAAAGCATGTGAAGTGCTCAGTCATGGCCTAGTACATGGTATGCATTCAGTAAATGTTACCATCCCTGTAATGCATGCCCTTTGAAACATGCAAGACACCGCTTGTCATTTTCCGAAAGCAAAAATGACAGAGTGACACATGTCAACCCTACAGTTACAAAAGTGAGGAAGAAAACTCTGTAATAAAATTGCGGAAAACAGCCTTTTGTTGTGGCTGAAAGAACACTGGCCTCTGAGGCAGAAAAACTGGAATCTAGACCAGATTCTGGCTCTTATCTTGTGACCTGGGGCAATTTTGGTATTTTTGTTTTGGGTTTTTTGTTTTTGTTTTTGTTTTTGTTTTGAGACAGAGTCTTACTCTGTCGCCCAGGCTGGAGTCCAGTGGCACAACCTCGGCTCACTGCAACCTCTGCCTCCCGGGTTCAAGCGATTCTTCTGCCTCAGCCTCCTGAGTAGCTGGGATTACAAGAATGTGCCACCACACCCGGTTTACTTTTTTTTTTTTTTTTTTTAGTAGAGATGGGGTTTCATCATGCTGGCCAGGCTTGTCTCAAACACCTGAACTCAAGTGATCCACCTGCCTCGGCCTCCCAAAGTGCTGGGGATTACAGGCATGAGGCATCACACCCAGCCCTGAGGCAAGTTTTTCCTTTCTGAGAGACTTGGTTTTCTTGTCTGAAGACAAGGGTGTTAAGAATGCTATTTCTCAAACTTATCAGCGTTAAACTTATCATCAAATTTATCATTATCCTACAACCTTGATAGTTGTTATTATGAAATATCTATGTATCTCCCATACTATTACTTATTTCATATTTTTAAATTATATTCATTTCTTCAACAAAATATTTGTTGAGCACCTATGTGCTGGGTACCCTTCTAGACACTGAGGCAAGTTACAGATGACTTTTTTTAAAACTTAATATCTATTTTAGTGTCATCCTAAGCAATAATGTCCGTGAACCCATCGGATGGATAAGCTAAGGATATATTTTTTTTCTAATGTACATAAAAATAAATGCATGACTATTAAAAGGAAAAGGATCTATCAGTATCCACTTATCATCTTGGTGGTACCTGAGTGCTACAAGGTGGATGCTTTTGAACACACAGGCTTGGATCACATCTAAGATCCCTTGCGACTCTTAAAATTGTGCCATTCTAAATTCCTCTGAAGAAAAGATTGACTCAGCTCATCTTCCTCTCTTCCAACCCACTCTGATAGAGCAATGAACAGAGTGACGTTAATTGAGTAATTATTCAGCAATTGCAATAACTTGTTTTCTGAGCCTGAGACTAGGGCCTTGTCAGTTCAAGAACATGCTTGAACTTCTTAGTTCTCTGTTTTCAATTCACACTCCAAACTTCAGGTACTTTCATAGCCTTCTCTTCAGTAAAATGGGACGTTTGTTTACATCCAGGTGAAGGTGTTTTCATCTTCAAAGAATATTATCAACTTTAAATGACCTCTCTATATCTGACAGGGGAAAGGCTCCAAAATATTAACAATCATCATCATCATCCTACTAGACAGCTCTTACCAAACAATGTTCAGTAAGTTTTGCATAATGAGTCAAAAATGTATGTTCTGAGTTGCCTTTGAAATACAAAAAAAGATCTGAAAGGGAAAACTTTCCCAGAAATCAATTAAAATCCCTTACAACTTCAGTAGAAAAATGGGTGAGGGGCATGAACTAATAATTCACAGAATAAATACAAACAATGAATAAGCATATAAAAAGGTATTCAACTCCTTAATAATCAAAAAGAATACCAATTAAAACAACAAGAGAGCAGAGGGTTTTTATTCCAAATTAACGAAGGCTTATAATAATTTTTCATGCTAGCAAGACTGGGGTGAAATAGATTCTGTTGTTGGAAGAATAATATTTCTGTATTTCTGGAAAGCTATTTGATATTGTGTTTCAAGATCTTTCAAAGAAGTTATAATCTTTGAGTTAGTAATTCCCCTTCTAGCAATCAATCCCAAGAAAACCATAGAAAAGCTATGGGTGAAATATGTTTGGTTTAATGCGCAGAGATGTTCATCATGATGGTATATCTAAGAATGGGGTTTCTCAACCACAGTACAATTGACACTTGGGGCTAGACAATTAATTCTTTGTTGTGGGGCCTGCCCACTACATTGTGGGATGTATACCAGCATCCCTGCTCTCTACTCACTAGATGCCAATAGCACCACCCCCCATCCACCTCCAGTTTTGATAATCAAAATGGTCTTCAGACATTGCCACATGTCCCCCAGGAGGCAAAACCTGCATTGAGAATCGCTGATCCAAAAGCAAAACTTGTAAACCTCCTAAATGTCCAAGTATAATAAAATGGTTAAATAATTCATGATGTGAATCAAAACCACAGTGAGATACCATCTCATGCCAGAATGGTGATTATTGAAAAGTCAAAACACAACAGATGCTGGTGAGGTTGCTGAGAAAAAGAACACTTTTACACTGTTGGTGGGAGTGTAAACTTGTTCAACCATTGTGGAAGACAGTGTGGTGATTCCTCAAAGACCTAGAGGCAGAAATACCATTTGGCCCAGCAATCCTGTTACTGGGTATATGCCCAAAGGAATATAAGTCATTTGATTATAAAGATAGATGCACATGTATGTTCACTGCTGCACTATGCATCCAATAGCAAAGACATGGAATCAACCCAAATGCCCATCAATGACAGACTGGATAAAGAAAAGGCGGTATGTGTACACAATGGGATACTGTGCAGCCATAAAAAAGAAATGAGATCACGTCCTTTGCAGGGACATGGATAGAGCCAGAAGCCATCATTCCCAGCAAACTGACACAGGAACAGAAAACCAAACACTGCATGTTCTCACTTATAAGTGGGAGCTGAATGATGAGGACACATGAACACAGCGAGGGGAACAACACACACCAGGGTCTGTCAGGAGGGGTGCAAAGGGAGAGCATCAGGAAGAATAGCTAATGCGTGCTCGGCTTCACACCCAGGCGACGGGATGATCTGTGCAGCAAATCACCATGGCACACGTTTATCCATGTAACAAACCTGCACATCCTACACATGGACCCCTGAACATAAAGCAAAAGTCGAAGAAAAATAATAACAATTCATGGTGTGTTCATATGATAGAATATTATGTATTTGTCTAAAATGTTACTTTTAATGAGTAATTAATGACACGGAAACCTAATCATAATAAAAATGGTATGTGACAAAAAGCAAAGAACAAAATTATTTAAGTAGACATACATTCTTAGAAAAAAACAGGCTGGGCCAGGAGTGGTGGCTCAGTCCCAAACCTTTCAAGCTGAAGATGATGCACCCATGTCAATGGCTGAAAAGAACAGAAGAAAATCCAAAGAGCCACACTCATAAAAAATTAATGAGTTTGGCCAGAAGCAGTGGCTCATGCCTGTAATCCCAACACCCGGGGGAGGCTGAGGCAGGCAGATCACTTGAGGTCAGGAGTTCGAGACCAGCCTGGCCAACATGGTGAAACCCCATCTCTACTAAAAATACAAAAATTAGCCAGGCAGGGTGGTGCACACCTGTAATCCCAGCTACTCAGGAGGCTGAGGCAGGAGAATCACTTGAACCCGGCAGGCAGAGGTCAGGCACCCCAGCCTGACATCGTCAAACACACAAAAAACAAAAAAACAGCCTAAAAGGAAACAAAGCAAATTCCTATTGTCATTATCTTTAGGTGGTAAAAGAAGCAGTTTTCATTTCTGTTTCAAAGCATCTACTGGTTCTATAAGCTCAGAGAATGGATCTTTAGTCTGAAAACCCTCACTTTAAGTTTCAGCAATGCCACTTTCTAGCTCTTACCTCATCTTCTGAGCTGCTGTGGCTCCATCTACAAAACACAGATAACCGTGTGCTTATTGCAAAGAGTGGTAAACAGTAAGTGGAATTATGCAAATAAAATGCTTAGCAAGGTGTTGGCAGGTTGTAAGTACTCAGGTGAATACTTACAACAGGCGAATTTCATTAACAAGTACTCCTTTTTTTAAATTTTTTATTTTTTCTTAGAAAACAGATACAGGCTGGGCACAGGGGCTCACACCTGTAATCCCAGCACTTTAGGAGGCCAAGGCAGGTGGATCACTTGAGGTCAGGGGTTCGAGATCAGCCTGGCCAACATGGTGAAACCCTGTCTCTACTAAAAACACGAAAATAGTCGGGCATGGTTGGGGGGCGCCTATAATCTCAGCTACTCGGGTGGCTGAGGGAGGAGAATCGGTTGAACTGGGGAGGCGGAAGTTGCAGTGAGCTGAAATCGCGCCACTGCACTCCAGCCTTGGTGACAGAGCGAGAGGCTGTCTCAAAAACAAAACAAAACAAACAACAACAACAATAAAATATAAGAAAACAAATACAAAACACCAAGCCAGAAGGAACTTGTCCATTTTCTCTGGGGAGAGACCCTGTCTGAGAATGAGTGATCACGGGTGTTTGGAGGTTTGGCACTGGGCAGAAATCTGTTAGTGGTAGAATGAAGACAGAGATGAAAAATCCAACTGGCAGAAGGGGACGACCTGCGGGAGAATGTTATTTGAATTGGACAGGCTGGTGAGTAAGCTTCAAGTCAAGCGTATTGACGTGTCAACAGCCATGAAGAATTTAACTGACTAACAATTTAAACTACCAGAAAAGGACCTTCCAAAGAGGCACTGGGAATTTGATCTGGAAATGTCACAGTGCCTGTTGTGGTCCATCTGGACTGGAGCCTAGAGACACAGGAGTCTCAGTGCATTGCTGCCTTTGGGATATGGTGAAGAATCTGGAGACCTGGCTTCAGGGTCTTGCTGTCTTGTCCTGCATATTCTTTTTCCTCTTTGGGTATCTGATTATTGGTGTATTTAAAGAAGTAGCATAGCTTAGTATCCAAGAATAGGAACACTGGAGACCAGCCCCCTGGGGTGAATTATGGCTTCTTTACATACTAGCTATTGTAACCCTGAGCAAGTTACTTATTTCATGGATGGAAGCCTCCATTGCCGCCTCTACAAGGACAGCTGAATCTATATTACACAAAATGTTTAGCATCGTGCCTGGTAGCACCTAGCCAGTACTCAACAAAATGGCAGCTCTAATTGCTTTTTCTTTTTCTTTTTTCTTGTTTATTTAAGTTCTGGGATACACATGCAGAACGTGCAGGTTTGTTTTATAGGTAAACGTGTGCCATGGTGGTTAGCTGCACCTATCAGCCCTAGGTATTAAGCCCCACATGCATTAGCTATTTATCCTGATGCTCTCCCTCCCCCAGCTTCCCTGACAGGCCCTGGTGTGTGTTGTTCCCCTCCCCATGTCCATGTGTTCTCATTGTTCAGCTTCCACTCATGAATGAGAACATGTGGTATTCGGTTTTCTGTTCCTGTGTTAGTTTGCTGAGGAGGATGGCTTCCAGCTTCATCCATGTCCCTGCAAAGGACATGATCTCATTCATTTTTATGGCTGCATAGTATTCCATGGTGTATATGTATCACATTTTCTTTGTCCAGTCTATCATTGATGGGCATTTGGGTTGATTCCATGCCTTTGGGATACCATCTCACACCTGTCAGAATGGCAATTACTAATTGCTTTTTTGAAGTTACTCCAAATATACAATTTGAACCTTTCTCAGAGTGGAATTTACCCTTTTGAAACTGCAAACTTGGTATAGATCTACGGACAGAGGCACAAAGGATGAAAGACAACAGCTCTTTAGCCCCATCAAGACTTCTTGGTGTTCCAGGGCTCAACACAACACTCTGACCACAATTCTCTTCCCCCTTCAGCATTGATTTACCTGTGCCAGTTCCTCGGCAGATACTGGGAATATTGAGATGACCAGGAAACAGTCCCTGTCCTCCTCTGCAGTGGAGAAGACAGATATGGAAGAGACAGCTACATTTCACTCAGGTGTGATATCATCTAATGAGAAGAGGAAGAAGTACCCTGTCATGGTGAAGGGCTCAGGCCCTTGAGCCAGACTGGCTGGTTTTAACTCCAGATCTTGCAAACCACATGAACCTGGGCAGGTTCCTTTGCCTCTCTAAGCCTCAGTATTTTCATCTTTAAATTGGGGATAATGGTTGTACTTCTTCTCCTTCGTAGAATTGTCAGGACTAAATAAGAGAAAACCCTCAGAACCATGGCTGGTACAGTTAGTGTTTCCTAAATGTTAGCTGTTACCACTATTAAATTCTGGGAAGCTAGGTGTATGGATTCTAGAAAGACAGTCTGATTCCCTGACTCTGCAGAGGGTGGGATCTTCCCCGTGGGATTCAGCCATCCCCTCCAATATCCAGTCTGAAAAGACCTCCGAGCTCATGATCTCACCACACCTGAATTCCCTTTACCACCACCACACAGGTCCAAAGGAAACTTTCTTGAGAATCAAGATGGACACTTCCATTATTTTAATTACCGCTCCACAAAACACAAAATACTTGTGGCTGTAAAGAGTAATTCATTCATTTTCTAAACGGAAATGAAACTCCAAATTACTTCTAAAAACAATACTTCACCCTCGTCTCCCCAACCACACACAAATAGCAAGCAAGAAAGCAAGAAGGGAAGGAAGGAAAGAGGAAAAGAAAGAGGGAGACCCTTTCCCTGTGTCCAAAGGAAAAAAAGGAAGTATTTCAATATTTTAATACCCACTATGGAAATACTTGTACATACCGGCTATCTTCAATGGGGTTCTGTAGAAGTAGATCCTTAAAGAGGGTTTGTATATGAGCAATTTATTTAAAAACTACTCCCAGTTATGAAAAAAAATACAGTAAAGATGCAGGTGACACAGCACATAGAAAGGAAGGAAGCCCTGAAGCGTGGGGCCTTTAATCGAAGTCCCACAGATGGTAACATCAATCTTATCCCACAGGGGTGCTCTGGAGTGTAAGTCGGCCCCACCGCTGGCCTGGTCTTAGGTAAGACAGCAGGGTTCTCAAATTTGTGCACACAAGAGTAATGAGTTCAGAGTTGTCCTGGAAGCAGGATACAAACTCTTAGGCATTTCTGGCTCTTTATATACAGATAAAGCAGCTCCAGTATCCAGAAAAGTCCTCTGAGAAAGAGCCACTGGTGCTGGCTGTTGGAAGCAAAAGCACAGGAAAGTCAAAGATTGCAGACCACAAAAATGGTGAAAGGGTTCCAGGAGATCTGGGTGTAAGGCCAACATTGTCACAACACCAGCTGTTTGTCATCCCAAACCCTTAGGGAAGAAATGGCAGACAAATGATGACATCTTAGCATGGGGCCTCTCTTCTGGTACTCAACATTACTTTTATTAGGTAATTCACTTCTGGATGAGCTCCTTGCCTCCAGTCTCAGCCCCTTCAGTGCCCAATGGTAACAAGAGTTAAAACGTAATAGAGTGCCCACAGCGTGCCAGGGACCAGGCAGGTGATTTGTCCAACCTCACAAGTTTTCAAGGTGGTCATAGTCTTCTCTTTTCACAGATGCACAAACTGAGACTCAGCAAGTTTCAGAAACTTGGAGAAGGGTTCACCAGAAATAAGTGGTAACAGAGAAATTCCAAGAAATCCCAGATCTGCAGAGCCAGTATTCTTTCCAACACCCTCTCCCATCCAACACCTCTTCCATTTATTTATTTATTTATTTATTTATTTATTTACTTATTTATTTATTTATTTTTCGTTGACAGATATAGTGTAGATATTTGTGGTGTACAACATAATGCTTTGATAGATATATACAAAACACCACCTCCTTTTGATGGAAACGGGGCCCAGAAGCAGATCCTGAGATGAGGATTAATGTGCAATTCATGTAATATATAACACAGTATTCAGGAAGTGCTCAGAGGATAAACCAATGAGGGAGTGGGTTCAGGGGCAGGACAGGGAAGGGAACTAAACTGAGCAAGGGACAATTTCAGGGCAAGTCTCGGCCTCAGCCTAATCCCGTCGGGAGCTCTGGACATACATTAGGCTTCAGAGTTTGTTCCAACTGGAGGCAAGAGAACTGGGCTCTTCTATGCCTGCACCCTTTAGGCACCTCAGGCCGTACAGACTTACTCCCATATAGGGTGGCTCCAGCAGCCCACCAGAATCCTTCAAAGAGTCACAGAGAAGCAAGGCCCACAGAAGCATGCCAAGGAAATCAGAGGATGCCAAAGGAATCAGAGGCTATCTGGAGAACACACAGGCAGCACCCATCAGGACACCCATGGTTCTTATTAAAGCCCAGTAGCTCTTTCAAAAACCCTAGGTTTTAAACCCCAAGAACCAATTTCCCTCCTGTCTGGGGAGAAAAAAGCATCCTTTCCTGATATTCTGAAGATCACCTCAAGAACCACTTACAAGAGCTGATTACTGACTTAAACACAGCTCTAATCTAAGGAAAGTGTCCCATTTCCCACCTCTAGAGAGAGACACGTCATGGAGTAACTTGCCCCTGGATATTCAGCTTTATTCACACAATATCAGTAAATAAGAGAGAATTTGACTGTTCATAGAACTTCAGCAAACTGAGCTCATATTTGGGGGTAAAGTAAAAGGCAGCTGAAATTTAATGTGAAGTCCTCCACAAGGAAGATGATTTTATACATTACAGGGGCTTCAATTTTTACACAGCAGATACTGAATGTACCTTTCATTTCTTTCTGGCACTCAGCACCTCCTCTGCTCATTTCCTTGATGCTAGAGGCTCCAAGATAAAGGAAGCTTAAAGAGGTGGGGATGAGTGCACTGGCCATGGAGTGACAAGGGAAAATTGGTAGGAAGGCCAGGGGCCCCTGGGCTGAAAAACCTGGGATTACATGTATGCCAGGTCCCATATGAAGAGCCCCAGATGGACTAGAACTCCAAAACCAATGTTAAGAAGCAAGTATTTACATTTTTTAAAAAAACACCAACAGCCAAGTAGAATGGGTACCAATGTAGGAATTATGAACAGAAGCCAAAACCAACAACCAAGAGCACTGGTTATCTTAATCACATAGCATTTGGTGATAAGAAACAGAAACCCCTCAAAGTAGCCTGAGCTAAAGAGGACTCTAACTGAGAATCAGGAGTAGAAGACAGAGCTCAAAAGGGTGAATAACGGAGCAGTTAAAAACCAAAACTGGGCCGGGCACGGTGGCTCACGCCTGTAATCCCAGCACTTTGGGAGGCTGAGGCAGGTGGATCACAAGGTCAGGAGATCGAGACCATCCTGGCTAACATGGTGAAACCCTGTCACTACTAGAAATACAAAAAATTAGCCAGGCATGGTGGCGGGCGCCTGTAGTCCCAGCTACTTGGGAGGTTGAGGCAGAAGAATGGTGTGAACCTGAGAGGCAGAGCTTGCAGTGAGCCGAGATTGTGCCACTGCACTCCAGCCTGGGTGACAGGGCAAGACTCCGTCTCAAAAAAACCCAAAACCACTCTCTGCTCTCTGACTCCACATAAGAAAAAATAATGTTTACTGAGTCCCTACTATGTGTTGGATGCAGTGCTGAATGCTTTCCCTGCATTTTCTGACAGTTAACTCACAGAGAATATCTCTGAGGGACAAACATTCCCGTTTTCCAGAGGGAGAAACCAAGGTTCCAAGAGGTTGAAGAAATTTTCCAAGCTCACACAGCTTGAAAGTGGCAGGATAAGGAATCAAAACTTGTCCTCCAAGCCACTCCCCGCTGCCACAAGCCACATAAGCTCTGTCTCAGCTTCGCTCTCTGGGCCTATTATATTCTGAACACTTCTCTCTGCAGCCTGGCTTTTCCTGCCTCAGCAGGCTTGCAGAATGAAAAAATGGTCACCCCAAACCTGATTCTAAATGGCACCCAGAGAAAAACACCACATGGGAGATTTGAGCCTACCCTTATCAACAGTTACATTCAATAGCACCCAATACCACCTCACAAGAGTAGCTGTGTCTTTTGGTTCAAATTCTCAAATAGCCTAATTGGCTTCTTACATCTTCATCTAAGATGATGGGGATGGGGAAGATTTCACCTTACAGAATCAGGACAGCTAGAAGCGAGCGTGTGAGTAAGGAAACTGACAGCTACCTATAATGTCCTCGTTTATTTATGCAATGCTTTTTAAGTATCTTATTCTTTCCAGGTACCAGGGCTTTACAGATGAAGAAATTATCATACCTGCCCACTCACAATGCCTGGAATAGACACATAAGTAAACCATCACCATGCTGTGGCTGAGAGAAACAAGGAGTGCTGCCATCTTGCAAAAAACTAAACCTGGTCTAGCCTAGCAAGTGAAGGGAGATGTTCTGGAGATGGTGTCTCACGAACCCAGTCTGAATGATGAGTTGGCCTGACCTATCATACAAAAGTACCATGCATGCCCTGCTGGGGGACTTCAGGGAATTGGGTAAAATGGGAGGATAGAGAATGTAAAGGAGAATGCCAGAAAATGAGATTAAAAAGGTAAGCAGGGCCAGTTTGTGAATGACTTTCTGCACTAAGAAGTGTAATCATTTACTTGAGAGGCAATATATTCTAGTGTAGTGCTGTCCAACAGAACCTTCTGAGATGATGGAAGTGTTCTAAATCTTTCCTGTCCACTATGGCAATCACTAGCTGTGCACTTGGCATATGGCTAGTGTGACAGAGAAACTGAATTTTTAATTTTATTTAATGTTAATCAATTTAAATGTAAATGGCCACATGTGGCTACTGGCCACCATATTGGATGGCCGAATCCAGCAGTTAAGCTGTGAGCTCTCGAGGCAGAAGTGATACTGGCTCCATCTCCAGCTGGCTGTATGACTCAGAGGAAGTTTCTTAACCTCTCTGTACCTCAGTGTTTCCATTTGTAAAGTAGTGCCTGGCGTATAGTAATCGCATTCAACGACCATAAGTCTAATTTGAAAGTTGATGGGGAGCTCTTCTTTGTAACAAAGTACCACAGACTGGGTGGCTTAAATAACAGAAATGTATGTTCTCACAATTCCAGAGGTTAGAAGTCCAAGATCAAGATGGCAGCAGGGTTGGTTTCCTCTGAGGTCTCTCTTCTTGACTTGTAGATAGCCACCTTTTCTCCATTATCTTCACACAGTCTTTTCCCTTTGTGCATTTCTGTGTCCTAATCTCCTCTTCTTATAAGGATACCAGTCATATGGGGTTAGAGTCCACCCATATGACCTCATTTGACCTTAATTACCTCGTTAAAGACCCTGTCTCCGAATATAGTCACATTGTGAGATACTGGCAGTTAGGACTTCAACATATGAATTGTGGGCAAGAAGACACAATTCAGCCTGTAACGAAGACCCAGGGGATTAAAAATCGAGATGGCCAGTTCTCTGATCATGATGCTGAGCTGGCTAGACTGCTGGCTTCCTCCACCATAATCAACCTTGAAGGAATTTCCAGGAAAGCAGAGGACCTGTGGTAAACTACTGGAGTGGCTGCGTGCTGATTTGGACTGGGATGCGGGGGATGGCTTGAATCTGAGGCAGAAGCTGCCCAGTAAGGCTGTGAAAGGATAAACTGGAATGGGGGATTAGAAGGGTTGAAGGAGTATGGCTCTGTCTGCTCCCCTGCCATTGCCCTGGGGCAAACAGTGCCTGCCCCTATGTCCCAACTGAGAACTCTGCTCCAAATGCTGCCAGAGATAAAATCAGGGCTGGGTAAAAGTTCTGGGTCTGTGAGTGATCGACTGTAGGTTTCTGGTATCTGGGGTTCCCCATCCTAGGACTCACCTACCCCCTAGCCCCTGAACTCACTGGGGCTGACTTGGGGCTCTGGCCTTTGCGCATCCACATTGCCCATCAAAGTACCCAATACCTCCAGGGTAAAGTGAGCTCACAAACCATAATAACAAGATATTTGAGGAGTACAATCATTTTGAAAGAAAAACAACACATTGGGTTACAGATTCCAACAGAAGCAAAAACATTAGAACAGATGGACTTAAGTTTTTTTAATTAGCCTTCTATTAAACATGTTAAAGAAAGAAGGAAAGATATTAACAGCATAAAGTAGGAATAAGAAAATATTTAAAAGAACCAATTTAAAATATCAGGCATGAAAAATATAATGGTTGAAATAAAAAATACAATGAATGGATAATGGACACAAAATGGATACAGCTAAAGAATGAATTAATCAACTGGAAGACAAGATTCAGGAAGTCTTCCAGAGGAAGAAGTCATGACTAAAAAAATAGAAAAAAAATTAAAGGTAAATTATATGGAGTATAGAAGAGAAACACTAACGTCAAAATAATAAGACTCCCAGAAAGAGAAATAAAAGTAGGAGTAAATATTTTAAGAAATAATGAGTACAAATTTCTCAGATTTTAAAAAAGTTCCAAAAGAGAAATTAAAAAAAAAAACATATTTAGACACATTGTAGTGAAAATTCAGAAACTATTAAAAACACAGGAACTTCTAAAAGCACCCATGGAGAAAGAGCACATCGAATTTTTAAAAAGAAAGAAATTATCTTGATGTCAGAATTTTTCATCAGCAATGCTAGATGCAAGAATACATGAAGTAATATTTTCAAATAATCAAATGAGAAAAATAGAACTTAACATATTATATCCAATTAAGCTGTCATTCAAATATGAAAGTACAATAAAAATATTTTCAGATGTACGAGACCTCAAAGATTTGCCATAGAAAGCCCCAAATTAAAACTACTTTTGAATAAATTACACGAATAAGAGGAGAGACATACAGTGGAGATGGTACCAGATGTACAGATGCATATAATCAAATGCCTTGGTAAAGTTTGACGCTGTCTTTAAAGAGTAGCTAAGACCAAATTTTTAAAAGATCATAAAAAGGGAAATTATATCTATAAAAGCACAGGATTAAAAGTCGCAAAACCCTACTCAAAGTGTGGTTCCTTGAATCAGTAGCCTCAGCCTCATCTGACCTTGTAAAAATACAGGAACTTAAACCCCATTCACAACCTGCTGAAAAAGACTCTGCATTTAATATGATCCCCAGGAGATTTGAATGCACATTAAAGTTTGAGAATAGATAATATCAACCTAAAAGAAGTCGTAGTAAAGAAGGAAGAGAAAAAAGGGATGGGAGAGCATGCTAAGCTCGTATTTTATTAGAGGGAAATACAGGCATCTATTTTTGAGAAGAAAACAAGGATGAAAAATTTAAAAAGTGAAACAGACAGAAAGAAACTTAAATGGATAAACAGCAGTCAAAACAAATGTACCACAGCAACACACAACGTTATAGATAAATCTTAGTAAGTGAGGAAAAAAAAGAAAAGAAAATTCCAAAGGATAATATACAGCATGATACACCATAAAATTAAAAAGCAAGCAACATAAAAATATACACGTTCAAGACTATACGAGAAGCAATACAGATATCAAAAGGAAAACAAGTAAATGACGAACCAAGACTGATGATACAAAACTATGTGGTTAGAAGCACATTATTGTCAATATTCTAGCTTTCGTTTGGAGCATGGGCTCACAGGCGCTTATCACATTATTAAAAATAATGAACTATAACTATTAAATATAATTAACTAGACAAAAGCAAGTCCTGCATGGAACGATGGGAGTATGTCATAAACCAAGACTCATAAGCAGTCCAGTTTTGTGTCCCTAAGGTCAAAAAAAAAAAAAACTTCAGCACCAGGCACAGTGTCTTGCATATAGCAGATACTCGAAAAATGTTTCTGGAATTAATCATTACTTTGACAACAATGTAAGGATCTATCAGAGTGAGATCAGGCAAAGACCAGCAGAGAGGGTGTGGCTATAAACCATGCAAGAATTGCTGAAGGCAGGAGCGATGGGAACAATCAAGGAGAGGGTGGTGTCTGAAGGTTTAATGCAATGTAGAATCCACAGGACTCGATGACTGATTAGACGTGGAGATTGGGAGGAGAGATGAGTCAAGGTGTATAACGAGGATTTGGGATCCCAAAAACAGATCATGAGCCATTTCATGTCTCACTGTTTTGTTCCCCCAACATTTCATTATGGAAACTTCTCCAGATACAGAAAATTTTAAAGAAATGTGTGGTGAACACATACATACTAACCATCTAGATTCTACAATTACTACTTGGGTGTATTTTGTCTCACACTCATCTATCCTTCTATCCATCCCTCCAGCCACTCATCAATCCATATATTTTTAAGGAAGCGGTTCTGTTACATTGCAATGGGAAGAAAACAAATTTCAAAGAAAATATCTCATCTCCTTAAACACAGAAACCAAATGGTCTACGATGATGTCAAGCCATCTCCTCATCCAAGGTGATGAGACACTGCTTCAAAACACTCCTTTGGGGCTATTTATCACATCATTCACATTAATAATAAGCAGATTACTTTGGAAGCAAATATTGATGTCCTTAATTGTTGTTTATGGGAGTTTTATGGAAGTAGTAATGTGCATCACTGGCAGTTGCTCTGCAGTTTGGAAATGCACTCACTGCCTAATATTTCAAATTATTTACCATCTACATGGAGAATAATTACATTCTGCATGCTTCAAATAATATTCAGACATCAGTTACAATCAACATCTACTCCTTGGGTTACGTAGTAGTCTTCCTTCTCTATATAAATCGGCTATCATAATTTGATGAAACAGGGCTGCACTTATGAAAATTCTTTCCCAGGGGAGACTAGAAGTCATGCTCATTTCTTCCAGAATAAACAGTAAGCTGTTGGATGATTCTATACCATGTCAGTGGTGCCATTTTGGTAGATGATGGTAGGGTCTATACAGGGGTCAAATTCAGGTTTCCATTTTATTTTCTGGAGAAAAGCATCCCATTGTTGTGTCATCTGCCCATTTCCAAGTACTCCCTTTCTGTTTGTTTCTCTTGCCTGTCTTTGCACCAACTAGTCCCTCTGCAAAAATCCTACCTCTCCCCCATCTTTATTCACCCACTTCACTTCTCATTCTTTTTTTCTTATGCTTTCTTTTTTTTAAAATTTTAAGTTCCAAGGTACATGTGCGGGATGTGCAGGTTTGCTACATAGGTGAATGTGTGTCATGGTGGTTTGCTGTACAAATCATCTCGTTACCTAAGTATTAAACCCAGCATGCATTAGCTATTTTTGCTGATGCTCTCACTCTCCCCCCTCCCCACCCTCAATAGGCCTCAGTGTGTGTTGTTCCCCTCCCTGTGTCCATGTGTTCTCATTGTTCAGCTCCCACCTATAAGTGAGACCATGCGGTGTTTGGTTTTCTGTTCCTGCATTAGTTTGCTGAGGATAATGGCTTCCAGCTCCATCCATGTCCCTGCAAAAGACATGATCTCATTCCTTTTTATGGCTGCATAGTATTTTCCATGGTGACAGGTACCACATTTTCTTTATCCAGTCTATCACGGATGGGCATTTGGGTTGATTCCATGTCTTTGCTATTGTGAATAGTGCAGTAATGAACATACACGCGCATATATCTTCATGATAGAATGATTTCTATTCCTTTGGGTATATACCCAGTAATGGGATTGCTGGGTCAAATGGCATTTCTGGTTCTAGGTCTTTGAGGAATTGCCACACTGTCTTCCACAGTGGTTTTAACTTCTCATTCTTTACAACATTGCTCAAATGTCAGTCCCCAAGAAGTCTTACCTGATTCCCCTAAGTTGAACTGTGCTCTCCCCATCACCACTTCTTCCCCCTATCATGAATTCCCTGAGAGCAAGGGCCATTTCTTTCATTTACGCAACCCCAGTGCCTACTATAGGATTATCCACCCAGGAACCCAGCCCAACCGAGCCTCCATTGTCTGGAACACAGCCCGTCTCCAAGACAGGGGGAAGAGACTGCAGTGAGTCACACAGTGGCTCTTAAAGGCTTCCATTCACATTTCACTGGCAACAGTAAGTCATATGGCCAAACCTCAGGGGCCTTGGAAGAAAAGTGTCCAAGGCATTCTCTGCTCGCACTGCTCCCTCTTTTTTCATGTCTCTCAAGCTTACAATGTTCTCCTCCTCCAGAGAAACCACGCAACCCTCAATGTTCTTTTGATTCATTGTTAAGTGCCACTTCTTTCTAAAAGCTGCCCCTGGCTCACTTTCAGCCACTCTCTGAGGTCCCAAATATTTCTTCCCTCTTCCACCATGCTGTTTCATTTCCTCTGCTTGGGGTGACATTCCAGGCAAAGCCACAGGTGAAATTAGGGCAGGGCTAACTCAACCATGATGTTTTGCTGTCTGCCACTGTCACACTCACCTGCTTGAAACCTGCTTGTTACTTACTTACCCCCTGCAAGGCACACTCGAAATAGAAAGCAACATCTACACCTTAGAACACCTAAAATGATTCAGAGAGATTCTGAGAATGAGGAAAGTACCTTCAGCCTGAATATCTAGAGTAACTGAATTTCAGAGGAATTCAGTGTCTTTCCAAATCCCCATGATTCTGTTGACACAGGAGCGGAATAGGAATTAGTCAGAAAGCAATGCTCAGTCTCAAACCTTTCAAGCTAAAGATGATGCACCCATGTCAATGGCTCAAAAGAACAGAAGAAAATCCAAAGAGCCACACCCATAAAAAATTAACGAGTTTGGCCAGGCATGGTGGCTCATGCCTGTAATCCCAACGCTTTGGGAGGCTGAGGCAGGCAGATCACTTGAGGCCAGGAGCTCAAGATCAGCCTGGCCAACATGGTGAAACCCTGTCTCTACTAAAAATACAAAAAAAGTTAGCTGAGTGTGGTGGCGCACACCTGTGGCTCCAGCTAGTCGGGAGGCTGAGGCACAAGAATCTCTTGAACCCGAGAAGCAGAGGTTACAGTGAGCCGGGATCACGCCACTGCACTCCAGCCTGGGTGACAAAGCAAGACTCTGTCTCAAATAATAATAATAAGTTTATTTTTCTAGAGCAATAAGTAGGAAAGACAACTCATGAATTTGCAGCCAACCCATGATTGGTTCCAACATGTTGCCAAGTGAAACTAATTGAGAATCACAGTAAAAGTTTGATTAGTCAGGATGCCCCGGGTCATCAGATTTGCTGATGAATTAAAATTTAACTAAAAGTTTCTGTTGGCTTAATGTTCACTGGCAAAAAAAAAAAAAATTGCTGTTCAAATAAATGAAGCTATTATCCTTCTTTATCACTCAGGCCACTAAGCATGGCTTCAAGTCCTTCAAGGATGACCAAGAATCTTTCCAAATATCTGGGCCATCTTCCCTCTTTTTCCAGTCCCCCCTCCCAGCCCCACCTACAATTTCCATCTTAAATTCACCAATTCCTGATTAGGCCAGGCCTATTCATAGTGACATGCCCTTACCCCCCCCGCCCCCGTCCCACCCCACCCATTTACCATTGCCTGAATGCCTTTCACTGGTCATTATCACCTAAATATGTTTATTAATCCTTAAACACACAACTTGCATAAATCCAATTATTCTGACAGAGCTAATAACTCTATTCCTTTTTCCTTTCTTTCTTTTTATGGAGTCTCACTCTGTTGCCCGGGCTGGAGTGCAGTGGCGCAATCTCAGCTCACTGCAACCTCCACCTCTGGGTTCAAGCGATTCTCCTGCCTTAGCCTCCTGAGTAGCTGGGATTACAGGTGCCAGCCACTACACCTAGCTATTTTTTTGTATTTTTGGTAGAGACAGGGTTTCACCATGTTGGCCAGGATGGTCTCGAACTCCTGACCTTGTGATTCACCGTGAGCCACTGTGCCCAGCCAATACCCTATTCTTGAACGCCCTCCCCAACACTTTGATTATGTGAACATAATAGCTGTATGTGAACTGCCCCTCTTCCACTGGGTACAGTTTTAGTGGAATTATCAGCAAAGATAACAACACACACTTAAACAAAAGCCCCTCAAGAGCAGGGAATGTTGCTCAGATAAGTAAACACAGTGCCCGGTCACAACAGGTGCTCAACAAATATTTGTCAGATGGATTAATTAATCAATTAATTAAAATATTGTGCATGTAGGTTAACAAGGTACCAATGCTGGAATCTCAGCTGGCTCCATAGCAACCCTGAAAGTTTATATAAATATAGAGAGATAGATATAGATACAGATATGGATGTGATAGATGTAAATGCAGATAAATATAGAGTTATAGATGTAGACATATATAGTTTCAGGTTCAGAATAATTTTCATAATAAGCAACCTAAGAATCCCAGTGAACTGAAGATTCTGATAAATTACAATTTCACATAGACTTAGAAATCACTTGCTAGATGGGAGGCCGAGGCAGGTGGATCACCTGAGGTCAGGAGTTCAAGACCAGCCTGGTCAACATGGCAAAACCCCGCTCTACTAATAATAAAAATTAGCTGGGCATGGTGGTGGGTGCCTGTAATCCCAGCTACTCAGGAGGCTGAGGCAGGAGAATCGCTTGAACCTGGGGGTTGGAGGTTGCAGTGAGCCAAGATTGCACCACTTCACTCCAGCCTGGGCGACAGAGCGAAACTCCGGAAAAAAAAAAAAAAAAAAAAAAAAAAACCACCAGAAATCACTTGCTAGCCATGGCTTATATGGACATGAAAGTCATATTCTTAATTTTTAGAAACTATAGTCTGTGTTTTTAGGGAGTCTTGGTCATTTTTGCCCGCCTGGTTTCCATGCCTCCTTCTTTGGGTAAGAACATGTCAATTTTCCTTTAGGGAACTACCTCTCTTCCATTGGATAAAATTTTAGAGAAATTATCAATAAAGATGTCCTGCCCTCTCCTGGCCAAGGAGTGGCCCAAGCTTGTCCAGATATACGCTTTCTCCCCATAATTTGAGTCATGAGCAGTGAATACAAGGACGGACGCTAGATAGGACTTCATTGCCGTTCTCTAGGGACCTTGGAACTCCCTGGTCCCTTTTCTTCCTAGGCCTTCCACTTTCTAATTGGTCTCTTTGGCTTACCACCAAAGAATCCTGGCAGGCAGTGCTGGAGACCCTTGACTTGTGTCTTCAGCCCACTCTGGGCCTCACTTCCAATAATACTTTGATGCCACTTATGCATAATAAGGAAAGCAAGCATACTTTTATGCCACAGGCAACAAAATCCAGAAGGGTGCTTGAAGAATACGTTACTAATCCCCTCCAGATAATATCCACACAAGAGAAGAGCCTTTTTCGAGGCTATACAGACAATTAGTGGCAAAACTTAGACCAGAACATAGCCTTCTGAAGTCCCAATTCAGTGCTCTTTCCACTGTGCCCAAATCAG
Organism: Homo sapiens; assembly: GCF_000001405.40. Classification (NCBI taxonomy): domain Eukaryota; kingdom Metazoa; phylum Chordata; class Mammalia; order Primates; family Hominidae; genus Homo; species Homo sapiens. The sequence continues at coordinate 12,973,762 of NC_000016.10, read as the reverse complement.
TGCTACTATCCCCACCTCTAGGAGTCTTAATGTAAATATTTATAGTTTAAAATTTCTTAAGAATCATTCACTAGTAGGTAGAGTGGTTGGAAAAGTTCAATGTGTTACATATACACAAGTTGCTTAGCTCATAGGCACTAAAAAAAAGCAACTATCACTAGCATCTGCAGATTTTATTAAGTTCATTTTTGTCTGCAGGAGGAAGGAGAGTGATGGGATGAATTAGTCTGATGCCTCCCAGTTGTCTGCCAAATCTCTGCTCTGAAGTCGAAATGTTTCACTCATCCAGTGACTGCCCAAATGGAATTAACTAGCGTAGTCTGTAGCCTATATCTTTATGGAAGTTAAGAATCACTTCCCAAGCAGCACTAGAATTGAACTCTCCAGCGAAACAACAGGCACATGTTTCTTGACTTTCTATTTCCCTGAAGAATCAGTTCAGTCCAGAGGGCCCTCCTGATCCCATATCATTCCAGGAAACCTGTTAGCATTTGAAAAGGAAAAGAAGGGCAAAAGGAAAACTTTCTGTGAATATGGGATTCAGCTGCCAGGCTCCTCAGGGAAAGTGAATAGGATCCTTCATGAGTCCCTGCTTTTATTCTTGCTAACAAAATCTATTATTTTTTGTGTGGGGGGAGCGGAGGGGTGAAATGGAATCTTGCTCTGTTGCCCAGGCTGGAGTACAGCGGCACAATCTCAGCTCACTGCAACCTCCGCCTCCCAGGTTCAAGCGATTCTCCTGCCTCAGCCTCCCAAGTAGCTGGGATTACAGGCACCCACCACCACGCCTGGCTAATTTTTGCATTTTTAGTAGCTACAGGGTTTCACCATGTTGGCCAGGCTGGTCTTGAACTCATGACCTCAAGTGATCCTCCCACCTCGGCCTCCCAAAATGCTGAGATTACAGGAGTGAACCACTGCACCCAGCCACAAAATCCATTCTTTAAAAAAGCATTACCCAATCTTACCATCCACTGCACCAACACCCTCACTATTTCCTGGGTCACTTATAATTGCATTATCCAATATGGTAGCCGATAGCTACATGCAATTATTCAAATTTAACTCTGAATTAGTTAAAATTAAATAAAATTAAGAATTCAGTTTCTCAGTTGCATTACCCGCATGTCAATGGTCCAACAGTCACATAAGATTAGTGCCTGCTATATTGAATAGAACAGACACGGAGTATTTCCACCTTCATGAGAAGTTGATTTGGACAGTGCTGACTTAGAAGAAAGTCTAAACTCCTTGCTGGAGTCTAAAAGATTCTGTATGATTCATCCTTCCAACATCCCTCACCTCATTATATATCACTCTCATCCTTGCTCACTTAGTGATATACGGAGGTGTGGGTGAGGAAGATGACCCAACCCACAGTGGCCACTCATTTGGTTTTAGGACTTGCCAGACTTTGTTTCTACCTTGGGACCTCTGCACCTGTGGTGCTTCTTGGCTGGAATACTCTTTCATTCTGCTCTTCTGTTTCCTCTTATCTTTCTGTTTTTAATTAAAATATTCTTTCCAGAGAGCCTTCCCTGATCACTCTTGCTAATATATGACACTACCCTTTAAATGTGAGTGCTTACAACCATTGGAAATGATCATAATTTATTTTTATTTACCTTTATTTATCATTATTTATTTTTATTTACATTTTTCCTCCACTTGCCCCTCTCAACACACACACACACACACACACACACACACACACACACACAAACTCCAAGAGAGCAGAGATTTTGCCTAATTTACTTATAACCATATCCCCAATGTCTAGAATTGTGTCTGGCATAGATTAAGCATGCAAGAGAAATTTTTGTGGACTAATTAGACTACAATGCAAAGACAGACCGGAATCTATAGGACAGTTCTCTAAAGAGAAAGCTAAAAGGAATAAACCTGGGTACCACTAAAATTGAGCTAAACACTGATCTGGAAAGGAGCTAAGAAGGTCTTTATTATATTAGCTTTCCTTATTTCTGCAGGATTTTCCTTACTTTGGCTGCTTTGATGAATTGCACCAAAGATCCACCCCTACAACAATGATGATGGCATTCATAATAATGGCAGTCATAAAATTAATCTGGTACGATATGTCGTTCCTACAGCCCCTGCTCCTAAAGAGAGATGATCCACACAACAGCATGGGGTGAGTAGGGAGATTTATAAAGTGTTTAAAAAACAGCATCCCCAGAGCACAGGGAGGAGGCTTGCCTCCCCAGTTATGCAGCAAATTAGGTCACAGTTCCCCACCCCATCCTCTCCCAAGCTTCAGTGGCTGACTCATCCTTCGTGGGAAGACCTCTCTCCCATTCAAGACTGGGCAGCCAGCCAAGAGACAAGAGGGTTTCTGCCTGCCTCTCCAACCCAGCTGGGCACAGTCTCTGTCTCCCCCATAACCTCCTTCCCCATCTGTGCTCCGAGGTGATCTCAGCTTCCTGGCTACTGGCAAAGGCTTCAGGATTTACTAGACAGCCCTAGGAAACAGGCAAGCTGAGAAGTCCTCAACAGCCTTAGCTACACAGAGTCCTGATTTGGAGGGGGGATAAGGGCAGCAGGTGTCACCTTTTAAATATTTGCCCCGAAGTTTTAGTCTTGAAGTTTAGGCTGGAAAATTAGTACCTGTGCAGACAGCTAAAAGAGAGACTTAGCAATGCCTAGCTTCCTGCCAGGATCCCAGGTGGGTGTCTTTCGAGATTTCCTGGTTCTTCTCCTGTCCAAATTCCCTCAGCACTACCAAAGTGTATTCTTCAGTCAATCTCTAACTGTCCACGTGCTGTTTCATTCATTCATTCAACAAATACTTTGCGAGTGCCTCCCATGTATCAGACACTGTTCGAGGCACTGCAGACAAATACAGTAAGTGAATGAAATAGATAAAAATCCCTGCCTCATGGGCTTACATTCTTCTGAACCCACTTTAAAACATATGCCCCGGCCAGGCGCGGTGGCTCACACCTGTAATCCCAGCACTCTGGGAGGCTGAGGTGGGCAGATCACCTGAGGTCAGGAGTTTGAGACCAGCCTGGCCAACACGGTGAAACCCCGTCTGTACTAAAAATACAACAACAACAACAACAAAAATAGCCGGTGTGGTGGTGTGTGCCTATAGTTCCAGCTACTTGGGAGGCTGAGGCAGGAGAATCATTTGAACCTGGGAGGCAGAGGTTGCAGTGAGCTGAGATTGCACCATTGCAGTCCAGCCTGGGCAACAGAGTGAGACTTGGTCTCAAAAAAAAAAAAAAAAAAAAAAAAAAAAAAATATATATATATATATATATATATATATACACACACATATATGTATATATATATGTGTGTATATATATATACATATATGTGTATATATATATATGTATATATATATATACATATATGTATATATATATGTATATATATATATATACACATATATGTATATATATATATATATGTATATATACCCCTAGTGAGAGATAGGGGTCCACTTTCATTCTTCTGCATATGGCAATCCAGTTTTTCCAGCCCATACTTTACCACTACACAATACATCCATGTAACAAATCAGCACTTGTACCCCCTAAATCTGTCATTGAAAAAATATATATATTCCTTAAAAATAAGGATAGTATCTATTATTCTTTTTACTATTATTATTTAATATTTAAATACATAAAGGGAAATAAAGGATAACATAATAAAGCCCATTTATTCACAGTTCAGTTCAAGAAATAAAAAAATTAGGGCTATCCATGAAGCCCCTGTGTGCCTCTCCCCATCTCATTTTTCTCAAGGTATTCGCCATTCTGAATGTAGTGATTATTTTTTCCCTGCATATCTTTTAGATCTGTGACATGGTCCCTAAACAGTTTACTATATTGTTTTGCACGTTCTACATTTTGAATATAGCTTCCAAAACTTACTTTTTTGCGTGCTGATTTAATGAATACAGTTTCAGCTCATTCATTTATTTGTTTTCTGTTTCCAGTGTACACTTCACACTGAAGAACATTTTTTTTGGTGGGGAGGGCGTGGGGATAGAGTCTGGCTCTGTCTCCCAGGCTAGAGTGCAATGGCACGCTCTCAGCTCACTGCAGCCTCCGCCTCCCGGGTTCAAGCAATTCTCCCGCCTCAGCCTCCTGAGTAGCTGGGACTACAGGCATGCTCCACTACTCCCAGCTAATTTTTCTGTTTTTTTAGTAGAGACAGAGTTTCACCATGTTACCCAGGGCTGGTCTCGAACTCCTGGCCTCAGGGGATCCACCTGCCTAGGCCTCTCAAAGTCCTGGGATTACAGGTGTGAGCCACTGCACCCCGCCTGGAGAACAACACTTACAGAAGAGTGTACACTTTATAAGTGCAAGGAGTGATGAATTTCCACCAAGTGAGCACTATAGCATAATCAGCACCCAGACAGAAAAAAAAAAAAAAAATCATCTCCCAAATCCCAGGAGCTCTCTTGTGCTTTTTTTTACATTAACCACCCTCCACCCAGGGTGACAAATTCCATGGCAGGTTCACTGTAGGTGAATGGTGTTTGCTCCAGAATAGAGATTAGCAAACTACAAACTGTGGGCTGAATCGTGTGCACCTCCGTTTTTTTTTCTTTTTTTTTTTTTCTTTTGAGATGGAGTCTTGCTCTGTCACCCAGGACAGAGAGCAGTGGCAGGATCTCAGCTCACTGTAACCTTTGCCCCCTAGGTTCAAGCGATTCTCCAGCCTCAGCCTTCCAAGTAGCTGGGACTACAGGTGCGCACCACCACGTTCAGCTAATTGTTTTGTATTTTTAGTAGAGACGGGGTTTCACCATGTTGGCCAGGCTGGTCTCGAACTCCTGACCTCAGCCTCGGCCTCCCAAATTGTTGGGATTACAGGTGTGAGCCACCATGCCCAGCCTGCACCTCCCATTTTTATAAATAAAATTCTATTGGAACACAGCCACACTCACTCATTTACATATATCATCTATGGCTGGTTTTGCACCACAGTGGCAGAGTTGGGTAGCAACAGACACCCCACATCACTCACAAGCCTAAAATATTTACTACTGAGCTCTTTCCAGGAAAGTTTGCAGATGACCTTTTCCAGAACTTTCCATAAACAGAACCACACACAGTCTGTACACCTTTGTGCCTGGCTTCTCTCACTCAACAGCATATTTGCAAGGTTCACACATACAGTTGTAGCTGTTCATTCTCAAAAATGTATGATATTTCATTTTACGATTACAAAGCAATTTATTTATTCATTCAGCCATTGATGGATATTTTAGTTGTTTCCAGTTTGGGGCTATTATGAATAGTGCTGCTATAAACATTCTTGTCCATGTCTTTTGGTATAGTTCATTCATTGTAATTACTGCAAGGTAATCCATCATATACGTAGACCATAATTTATTTATTCACCCACCTTATAATGGATATTTAGGTCAGTGGTTCTCATACTAGTCTACACATTGGAATTACCCAGGATCTTCAAAACATAGTGACAAATGTGTCCCAGCCTTGAGACTGTGATTTATATGATATGGGATATATGTAGCCTGAGCTCTGGATTTTTTTTTTTTTTTTTTTTTTTTTTTTTTTTTTTTTGAGATGGAGCCTTCCTCTGTCACCCAGGCTGGAGTGCAGTGGTGCCACCTCAGGTCACTGTGAACTTTGCCTCTGGGATTCAACTGATCCTCCCGCCTCAGCCTCCCAAGTAACTGGGATTACAAGCATGTGCCACCACATCCGGCTAATTTTTGTATTTTTAGTAGAGATGAGGTTTCACCATGTTGGCCAGGCTGGTCTTGAACTCCTGACCTAAGGTGATCTACCTGCCTCAGCCTCCCAAAGTGCTGGGATTACAGGCATGAGCCACCATGCCTGGCTTAGCTCTGGAATTTTTTAAAGATCTCCTGGTAATTCTAACATGCAGACAAGTTTGAGAATCACTGATTTAGGTTGTTTCCAATTTTTCCACTATTACCAGCAACATTGCAATAACTGTTATTTGCATGTCTCTCTGTGCCCAGGATCAACAATATCTTTAGGAGCTACACTTAGGAGAGGAATCGATGCTTTGGAGCTCATAGGCATCTTCAATCTCCAGAGTATTTCTTTTTTTTTTTATTTGATGCACTGTTTATTAACAAAATCAACATTGTCCTTGGATGTCCATAACACTGGTTATAAAACAGGGATAATAATATTTATTTATTTTTTATTTTTATTATTATTATTATACTTTAAGTTTTAGGGTACATGTGCACAACGTGCAGGTTTGTTACATATGTATACATGTGCCATATTGGTGTGCTGCACCCATTAACTCGTCATTTAGCATTAGGTATATCTCCTAATGCTATCCCTCCCCGCTCCCCCAACCCCACAACAGTCCCTGGTATGTGATGTTCCCCTTCCTGTGTCCATGTGTTCTCATTGTTCAGTTCCCACCTATGAGTGAGAACATGCGGTGTTTGGTTTTTTGTCCTTGCCATAGTTTGCTGAGAATGATGGTTTCCAGCTTCATCTATGTCCCTACAAACGACATGAACTCATCATTTTTTATGGCTGCATAGTATTCCATGGCGTATATGTGCCACATTTTCTTAATCCAGTCTATCATTGATGGACATTTGGGTTGGTTCCAAGTCTTTGCTATTGTGAATAGTGCGGCAATAAACATACGTGTGCATGTGTCTTTATAGCAGCATGATTTATAATCCTTTGGGTAATAATCCCAGTAATGGGATGGCTGGGTCAAATGGTATTCCTAGTTCTAGAACAGGACCATGTCTTATTCATTTCTGGACCTCCCCAGAGATCATCACAAGTCCTGGCACCCAGGAGGCACCCAGGAAACCTGTTGAATGGCTAGAATCAGGCAAGATTTCAAGAGATTGTCTGGACAGCTAATTATCCTACAGGAAGATGAATATTTAACCACCCAGGACAGATCTGAGTCTTTCCCATGTTCAAAGGCTTGATAACTATGCTGAACATCTTCCTCCAAGGCTTCTTTTTCTTTTCATTCATTTACTCAGTAAATTTTCTTAGCACTTACTCTGTGCCAGGCACTGTGCTGGAAATGAATGAGACAGGGCCTTCTCAGTCTTCCAAGGGGCTAAGTTTTGCATACAGATTATTCCAGAGAAAGGGATATTTTGTACCTTGGCTTCCTAATCTGCAAGTGGGGATAACGAATGCCTTCCTTGTGGAATTGTTATAAAGATTATAAAGCACTGCTGGGCACAGTGGCTCACACCTGTAATCACAACACTTTGGGAGGCTGAGGCAGGAAGATTGCTTGATCCCAGGAGTTCGAGACCAGCCTGGGCAACATGGTGAGACCCTGTCTCTACAAAAAAAGAAAGAACGCACATATCTGGTACATAGTTGGCACTCCTTCTTGTCATACAAGATGCAGAGATAAAGCGCTTTAGGATTTGAGAAGGGAGGAAACTCTTTCATCAGGGAAGATCCAGGAAGGAGATAGCACTGGAGCTTGGTCTTAAAGGCCAAGGGTAGGATTAGGGAAGCAGATGTCCCCTAGGTGAGCAAAATCATAGATGTAGGAAAGTGAAGTATCCAGCACAGAACACATTCAGTTTCAGCCAGTGGTGCCCAACCAGGGAATATTTTGCCCTCTAGGGGACATCTGGCAATGTTTAGAGACAATTTTGGTTGTTACAACTTGGGAAATGCTAATGGCATCCAAGGGATACAGCCCAGAGATGCCAGTAAACATCCTGCAATAGACAAGAAGCCTTCTACAACAGAGAATTATCCAGTCCAAGATGATGCTACAGCCAAGGTCAGGAAACCTCAGTTTCAATGCAGTGAAGTATGAGGTTAAGAAAATGTCCCCTGTTCTTCTATTCCTAAGATAAGCACTTATCGCCCTTTGCTATTTCTTCAATGAAAAACACTTTTTGTCATTCATTTCAATTACAATAGTGTTCTTATTTACTGAGCACTGACTATGTGCTGGGTACTGATGTTTTACATATATCATCTCATTTTATATTCATGAGGATAAAACCCTAGAGGGGAGGTGCCGTTTTATAGAGGACAGTACTCAAACTCGAAAACACCAAGGCCACGTGGCTGCCACGATGTGGGAGGGGGAGTAAACCCCAGACCCTGCACACTCCATTCTATATTGTCTCTCCCTGAAAAAGCAGCCACCTCCTAAGTGACGTTGGAAGCTAGCCAGACCCATTAATTTTTTGCCTGAGTAATTCAGGGTTTGTTCATCTGATTCCAAATCACTTGGGAGAATTGTCTCACAGTTGTATCTCCAGAACTGGTAGAGTGCCTCCCACACGATAGGTGCCCAATAAAAGAGACAGAAAGGAGATCGGTAGTTGCCAAGGGCTGGAGAAAGGAGTAAGGAGGAATGACTGCCAACAAATACAGTGTTTCTTTCTGAGGAGGTGAAAGTGCTCTGGAATTAGGCAGTGGTGATAGTGGAACAATTTTGTGAATATAAGGACAACCACTGAATTGTACACCTTAAAAGGCTGAAATTTTATGGTATATTAATTATACCTCATATATTTCAAACACACATGCATAAATACATGTTTCAGACTTCAAATAGGGCTGTAATATTGATGTAATATGATGTAACACACAATCTCTGAAATTTCCTGGAGGCTGAGATGTCAACACAAAACCAATAACTTGGTGACATTGCTAGACCAAACCTTTCCTGAAGGAAAGGTATATACATATATATATGTATGTGTGTGTATATATAGATAGATATTCATTTATTCGTATGTGCATGGAGATATATATAAGGATAAACTAATGAATCAGCCTAAACATCTACTAGGAGAAATCACCATCATTGATAATCAGTTAATTCCCATGATCACTAATTATATTGCTCTTTTATGCAGAATTATAATAGAAGTATGTTCTCAATTGAGCCTTTTGACAACCCCAAGAAATAAACAGGACAGAAATTATGTTTCCCTCATGCTTACTGTGGAGGGAAACAAGAATCTCAGGGGTTAAGTAACTTCTTTGAGGTTTAACACAGCTAGGAATTCCCTACATTCCCTGTCACGATCTTGAATTGTGTTGATCTGCTCCTCTGTACTCTACAAAAGTCTTGGCAATCTGGTGAATTCTTTCTGTCTCGGGCCAGATTGTGTGTCTGTAAAATATTACCCTTGACCAAGCCACAACATCAGACTTCAGACAGGGCTGTAGTATAAACACATCCTGTCTTAAACTTCCTAGGGGCTGAGCTCTCAAGACAAAACCAAGAAAAACTTGCTGACATTAACATTGCTGGATCAAACCTTTCCTGATGGCCACTGTACCTTTGAACTTTTTAGTTAGGTAGCTAATAAATTCTATTATTTAAGTCAGTTTGAGTTTCTGTTGAAAAAAAAAAAAACAGAAAGTCCAATGTTTTGATTGATACACCATCACCCCTGTGGTTTGTACACCTCTGGTGCTCCATGGAATTAATTTGGGACCTTTTTCATTTGGTCAGGCAATGGATAATTTATTGAATGCCTGCTGTGTGCTAAAGCCCTAGGTGTGAAAACAGTGGACACATTCTTGTTTCCTTCAAGATCAGCTCCATCTGTATCTTGGTTCTAAATCCTTTTCAAATTTAGCACCTTAGACCAGATCTGGCAATGCACTGATTCTTAACATATTCAGAACAGACCTAGGGCCTGGCCCAACTTCAGCAGCAATTTGTTCTAATGAAAACCATGATCTGTCAGTGTTATTAGTCTGTAAGCAGTAGCACTTTGAAGATTCCTTGTTCACAGGAAGGTTTTCATTTACTTAATTATGAGGCTATGACTTGAAGGGCTTCTGAAGCCCCCTTGGTGAGGACCAGAGGGAAGGGATTACATAAATGGTTCTTCCCTCGGCTATGACATCCAAAACATGTAAAAATGCTTGCTTTAATGCCTTCTGCCTGAGGTGAGCATAAGCTAACTCGGGGCTAAATTTTCTGCCGTTCACAACTCAACTCAAAAGCTTCCACCTGTATGATACTTTGTGAAACCTAGACTGGAGAGCCAGAAATGGAAGTATTTAAATCCCACCTGGCACCTTCCTAGCCTTATAATCATAAGCCAGTTATATAATCCCTTTGTGCCTCAGTCTCCACATTTACAAAATGGGAGAACTAATAGTAGCTACCTCCAAGTGTTATGATGAAAATTAAATGACACAAGTATATAAAACATTTAGGAAGGCACTTGGCACATAATAAGGATTTGATGAATGTCAACTATTATTAATTATCCCACACACTGAACAATCTTTCTCTCCAACTCCCTGCCAGCCATATGGTCTCCCTCATACTTTTATGACATCCACCCTGATGTTATGGTTATTTACGTCTGTGTCACATCTCTTGCTACACTAGGAGCTCCTGAAGACAAAGGCCATGTTGCATACACATTTGGTCTCCAGCCCCCAGCTTTTCTTGGAGGAAAAGACAGAGACTATGACCTTGTTTACATCTCCTTCCACCCCCAATACTGGGTCCTGCAGAGATGCACTCCATGTCCTCACCATTCCCACTCATCTCATCACAACAGGCACACATTATCTCACAACAAACTGTCAGCTGACAACTAAGAACAAATGGCACTTAAAGTGCCTACACCCAGGCTCCTGCTTCCCTCAGGCACCTCTGACTGCAAGCAACAGAAACAACTGTGGCGAACCTAAGCAGAAAGGGGTGTGATTGTGTGGACCCAAGGTTGCTAACAGAGTGGACCTGAAGGCTGGAGGACTGGGCTTGGCAGTAGGATCAGGATGGGGCAACAGAAATTGTGCTCCCTCCCTGTATTTCCTGAGCACCCCAGTGGAAGGAGGGTACTGGACTAAAAGAATCTACTCAAGAGGCCAGGCCCTGAAAGAAGAGCTCTGAGTGGTCACACAGCTACCCCTGGTCAGGCCCAACAAGATACACCTAGGAAGGGGGATGTAACTTTCCAAATGAAAATCAGGGTGATTCAAAGTGGCGAGGGGAAATGTATGCTGTCTTAGTCCATTTGGGCCACCATAACACAATACCATAGACCAGTTGGCTTAAACAACAGACATTTATTTCTCACAATTCTGGAGGCTGGGAAGTCCAAATCAAGGCAGCAGCACATTTGGTTCCTGGTGAGGGCTCCCCTCCTGTTTTGCAGATGACACCTTCTTACTATGTCCCAATGGGGCAGACAGGGAGAAAACTCTGCTCTTTCTCTTTCTTCTTATAGGGGCACTAATTCCCTCATGGGAGCTCCACCCTCATGATATTCTAATCTAACTCTAATTATCTCCCAGGGGCCCTCTAAATATCAGCATATTGGGGGTTAGAGTTCCACATATGAATTTGCAGGAAGACCCAAACATTCAGTCCATAACACAAGTGAACCTGGCAACTATCATTCATGCAACTGGGGAACTGGGAAATAATGGTGAGGAAGCTCAGAAAACCCAGAATGACAGCAGCCTGAAGGCCTGGGGTCAACCCTGACTCTGGCTCTCTCACTGTCTGTGTGCAAGTCCTTGAACCACTCTGAGTCTCAGTTTCCCCTTCCTGCCTCCTAGGGCTGTTGTCTTGAGAATTTGAGATCATGTGTATGAAATGACAACAGACAGCACCAGCACATGATGGCCAGGCAGTGGACAGCAGTGCCTTCGCATCGACTGGAGTAAGCCAGGCCAGTGCAGGCAAGACGGGCCAAGCACCAGTCCTCAGCAAGTAAGTCCAGCCATGCCAGAGACCTCCATGCTGGGAGCTCTGATGTTGACGTCGCCACAGGGACAGACACTGATCCCATTTTAATTATTCTTACCAGGCCCGAGGTTCTGGCCACTTGGTTCTCAGTCTCAGTCATGCTGGAAGACTGGAAGGTGTGACTCCCTGGCAGAGAAAGGCCAGCTGTAGCAGGTGTGTGTGATCACACCTGACAGCCACCCAATCTGCAGGGCTCAGCTGAAACCTGACTTGTCGCAAGGAACTCGCTGTTCACAGGAGAGAGCTGATTGGAGGGAAATTTCTAGTGCACTGAACTCCTGTGCCTTCTGGGGCTGATTTATGGGTTGCTTTTGGCAGGGGAATGGGCTCTGTGTTCACTAACATTTTGTAATATATGATGCGGTCACTGTTCTCCTTCTTTCTCCTTCTTCCCCCTTCTTTCTTCAGCTGAAAAACTCTGTTCTCTTCCTCAGTTTTGGCCGGGGTGCTCTGGGGACCTTTCCACATCAGGATACAGACACATCCTTTTTCTGTTACATCTGCAGAGCGTGCCATTGTGAGGAGGTAATATGGTTTATTTAATCCACTCCGTGTTGATGGAACCGCCTCCACTTCTGGCCTCAAGTGGCCTTCCAGAAATGGAATTCTGACTGTGTTATTCTCTGGCTCAAATTCCTTCCATGGATCTCCATTGCCGTCAAGAAAAACACCAGACTCTTCCTCGTGGCATCTGAGACCTTGTGTGATGTTTATGTTCACCTCTCCATGTTCCACTCCGCTACCTCTGCTCCCACCATTCTGGCCTCCTGTCCATCCCTCCAAAGCCCTAGGCCACTCCCCACTCAAGGTTGTCCCTGCACCATGCAGTTCCCTCTGCCTGGGTTGCTATTCCACTGTCTCCCTTCCTTCAGCTGGTCATTCCCACTCATCCTCCGGGTCTCAGCTAAAGCCTGGATTCCCCAGGAAAACGTCCCCTGACCCCTGACCCCTGACCAAATTCCCTCATTCCACACTCTCCTTTCATCATCCCCCCCACATGTTACAGATATAATTACACAAATGATTGCACTGCTAGCTGTTTAGTGTCTGCCCCCCACCACTCCCAAAATAGACTCAAAGCCTTGTGAGAGCAGGAAACGTGTTCACTTTAATTCATCACTGAGTCCCCAAAGCCTATAAAGCGCTTGGCACATTACCAAAATGTTCCTGGAAGGAAAGGAAAACAGGGCTGAGATAGGGAAGAAGGATGAGAGGGAGAGAGAGGGTTGGAGAGGAGGGAAGAGGACGGAACTGGAAGAAAAGGGAGGACAGGTGAGGGGAGGAGATGAAAAGGAAATTAGAATGGATATTAGCTCCCACTTAAAAGTGAGAACACATGATGTGCGGTTTTCTGTTCCTGAGTTAGTTTGCTGAGGATAATGACTTCCAGCTCCGTCCATGTCCCTGCAAAGGACATGATCTCATTCCCTTTTATGGCTGCATAGTATTCCATGGTGTATATGTACCACATTTTCTTTATCTAGTCTATCATTGATGGGCATTTGGGTTGATTCCATGTCTTTGCTATTGTGAATATTGCTGCAATGAACATATGTGTGCACGTATCTTTAGAATAGGGTGATTTCTATTCCTTTGAGTAAATATCCACTAACGGGATTGCTGGGTCAAATGGTATTTCCAGTTCTAAATCTTTGACAATGGCACACATTTACCCACATAACAAACCTGCACATCCTGCACATGTACCCTGGAACTTAAAAAAAATAATAAAATAATTTTTTAAATGGATATTTGCAAATTGCCTGTACCTGGCACTACGCTAGACATTGTGACGGAGGGAAAAAGAATGACAAGTAGGAAAATCTTGTTTGCAGTCTAAGTGGAGATAATTCCTTTACACAAGAAAATGTAACCAGGGTTCAAGGCTGCATGATATCAGGGCCAAACGCCAAATGAGCACACCACGCAAGTAAACACATAAGAAACGTGAAGGCTGTTTTGACCTATTTATAAGGCATTTCTTCAAAGGAAATGCGTAGTTCCAAATACTATATAATTAGAAGACATAATTCCTATTCCTGAAGGAAACCTTTGCACTTTAACATCTAATTTTAAATGTAAACTATCTTTGTGTGGCTGGTTATTAATTTTTTAAAAAGCATTTCAATTCAAAATAAACAGTATTATGTTCCTCCCCCAAACTCATATGTAGAGTGCGGAAACTGTTGGCTGAAAGGCGAGGGCAGCAGGGCAGAGCTGTGCAAAGAGCCCCAGGAATAGAAGGTTGAAGGTCTGGGCTCTACTTGGCTCTGCCACTCATTTGCTGGGTCATCTCGAGCATGGCAGTTCAACCCCCACCCTAGGGGCCTCAGTTTCCCCTTCTACACAATGGAGCTGAATGAAATGATGAGTTAAGGAGGTTCAAGTTCTAACAATGGTTATCTCTCTCCGCCCTGGTTTTTGACCCCTATAGAGGGAAGCCCGTGTCTCAAGTCTGAGCTCTGTTTTTTCTCGAGTCTGAGCTCTGTTTTTTCTCCAGCTGCCCTGAGTTTTTTCTTTTCCTCGAAAGAGGACTACAGTGGACAGTAGAGGGGTGATTCCATCAGAGGTTTCTACAGAGTTTGCAAAGTCATAGCCTTCCCTAGCTTTTCCTCTGCTGATGTGGATACCCCAGAGGAAGCACCTAGCAAATGTTTTCTCAGTGAGTGAAATGAATAAATAAATTAGCTAATGGATCTTTCCTACTGAAGCTAACCAGCTTAACCAGCACCCTGCAGAGGCTGGACATATATCCAATGCCTCTAGTCTTGCATTCCATTCCTTTTTTTGGAATCAGGTTCATTATTAATCCAGTAAAATATTTATGGAGCATCTATGATTAACCAGGCACAGAAAATACAGCATTGAACAAACAAATCCAAACAGGCTCTTAAAACACAAATCAGGTCATGTCACTCCTCTATGGAAAATCCTCCAATGGTTTCCCATTGCAATATAAGATTCCAGCTCTGTACCATGGCCTTTAAGGTTTTGCCCAAGGCTTCCTTTCTGACATTGTCTTGTGTCATCATACCCATTGCCCCCTATACCAGCCACACTGGCCCAGCTGGGATCAGCTAAATCATGGCCAACCCTCAGACCCAACTCTCATGGGAGAAAGAAAAATACTGTTTGTTGATGTAACGTGCTGAGACCTGGGGGTGGGGGGAGTATTTGTTATGCAGCATTATTGCCATAATAGCTGACTAGTACAGAGTACTGCCATTTACTAGATACATAATTTCAGGAAAGTCTTCTAACCTCTTTGAACTTCAGTATGCTTTTAAAGATACATTCATATCTTCCCAGCTGACCTCATGTAGTGACTGTGGAACAACAGATGAAAAGGGCTTTGAAAACTGTAAAAGCCTATTGCAAATATAAGACAGCATCATAAGCACCAGTCTTGCCAGCCCAGACCCAGGGGAAAGTCTGTTGCTGTCCTGACAACAGAGCATGACTCAGCAGTCCAACACCAGGCCATCTATTATGAAGACATATTGTGTCCAGCACATACCCACTCTGAACTGAGGCCCACACTCTGGGCAAATTTCCTCCTGGCATGCCAAAGCAGAGATTTGGGCTTCAGGGGGAAATTTCCACAAGCCAGGAATCAAAAGAGATTTTTACTTCTAAGACTTTATCTGAGAGAAACAATCACAGGTGCACACAAGGTTGGAAGTACAAGGATGTCCATTAGAATTTTGTTTATAATGATGAAAAATGGAAAGCAACCTAGATGTCCAACAATAGAAACTAGATAAATCCATGGTGTACATCCATGCAATGGAATACCGCACTACCTTTAAGATATTGTCAGATGATAACGGTTTTGCAAACAATGCTCCTTGGAAGCCTACAGGAGATTCACAGAAGTGATGTCGGGGCCCATTTGGGCAAAAGAGTGTAGCAACTAGACAGCATTTTGTTTCCTCTACCTCTGCTTCAACCAATTAAACTGCTTTTATCTGTGTTATGAACTGAATGTGCACCACCAAATTCATATATTGAAGCCCTCATCCCCATTGCGATGGTATTTGGAGGTGGAATCTTGGGGAGGTCATTAGGCTTAAATAAGGTCTTGAAAGTCGAGCCCCCTTGCTGGTATCAGTGTCTTTACAAGAATAGAAAAAGACCAGAGCTCTCTCTGTCTCTGGATCATGTAAGGACACAGCGAGAAGGTGGCCATCTGCAAGCCAGGAAGAGAGCCCTCACTAGGAAATTCAAACCCAGCACCTTGATCTTGGACTTCCAGCCTCAAGAACTGTGAGAAGAAAACAAAAAAATACGCTTGTTGTTTAACCCTCTTAGTTTATAGTATTTTGTTATAGAAGCCTGTCATAGACTGAATGTTTATGTACCTCCCCCCAAATTCATATGTTGAAATCCTACCCCTCAATGTGATCCTATTAGAACATGGTGCCTTTGGGAGGTAATTAGGATTAGATGATGTCATAAAGGTGTGAAGCATTTGTGAATGGGATTAGTGTCCTTATAAGAGTTCTGGTAAAGGTTACTTCCCTCTCTGCTCCCTGCCATGTGAGGACACAGAGAAGTTAGCAGTCTGCAGCCCAGAAGAGGACACTCACCAGAACCCAACCACGCTGGCACCCTGATCTCAGACTTCCAGCCTCCGGAATCGTGAGAAACAAATGTCTGTTGTTTATAAGCCACCCACTCTATGGTATTTTATTATGGCAGCCTGAACTGATGAAGACACAGCCCAAGCAGACTAAGAAAATCAGTTATAAATTATGTTTCCAAGCCCTATGCTTGTAGAAAGGGTTCAAAAGAGGCTAAAAGAAGTTTGAAAGACATTGCTAGAGAAGAATGTCAAGGTGCCTCTGCTGAGCTGTGAAAGGGAGTCACCAATGACAAAGCAGCATTTATTAATACAATATGATTTCATTTTGTAAGGGAGAGGGAAGGAGGGAAGGAGGGAGAAGAGAGTAGATGAATACTCTCCAAAATGATACCTGTGTTTATCTGTAGGTGATAAGAGTAAAGGTTATTTTTCATTTATTCTTTCAGTTTATCTAAACATTAAATATTTGGTGATGAATATATATACATTATTGTTAATAAACATATATCTATAACTTTATCTAGGTTTCATATATATCTAAAACTGAAAAATAATGCACAAATACACATTTTTTTAACTTTAGATTTGGGGGGTATATAGGTATTTTGTGTAATGGTGGAGATTGGGCTTCTAGTGTACCCATCACCCAAATACTGCACACTTTACCCAATAGGTAATTTTTCAAAGCTCAGCTCCCTCCCATTCTCCCCTCTTTTGGAGTCCCCAGTGTCTATTATTGCCATCTTTATGACCATGTCTACCCATTGTTTACCTCCCACTTACAAGTGAGAACATGATATTTGATTTTCCGTTTCTGAGTTAATTCACTTGGGACAAATGGCCTCCAGCTGCATACATGTTGCTGCAAAGGACATGATTTCATTCTTTTTATGGCTGCATAGCAGTCCACAGTGTATACATACCACATTTTCTTTATCCAATCAACCATTAAGGGACACTTAGGTTGGTTCCATGATTGCTATTATGAGTAGTGCTGAAATAAACATGAATGCAGATGTATTTTTTATATAATTATTTCTTTCCTTTCAGGCAAATAAAAATGGTGTTATTGCTGGGTCAAATGGTAGTTCTATTTTTAATTCTTTGAGATATCTCTATACTGTTTCTCATAAGGGTTAAACTAATTTACATTCTCACCAACAGTGTATAAACATTCCCTTTTCTCCACATCCATGCCAACATCTGTTGTTTTCTGATTTTTAGTAATAGCCATTCTGACAGGTGTAAGGCGTAGCTCAGTGTGGCTTTAATTCACATTTCTCTAATGATTAGTGCTTATTGGCTACTTGTATTTCTTCTTTTGAGAAATGTCTGTCACGCCCTTTGCCCAGTTTTTAACGGGGTTGTTTGTTTCTTGTTGAGTTGTTTTAGTTACTTCTAGATTCTTGATATTACTCTTTTGTCGGAGGCACAATTTACAAATATTTTCTCCCATTCTGTAGGTTGTCTGTGTACTCTGTTGATTATTTATTTTGCTCTGCAAAAACTTTTTAATTAAAGTAAGTCTCATTTCTCTATTTTTTGTTTTGTTGCATTGGCTTTTTGGGTCTTCATCATAAATTATTCACTTAGGCTAATGTCCAGAAGAGTTTTCCCTAGGTTTTCTTCTAGGATTTTTATAGGTCCAGGTCTTAGATTTAAGCCCTTAATTCATCTTGAGTTAATTTTTGCATATGGTGAGAGTTTAGATGTCAGTTTTATTTTTCTGCATATGGCTAGCCAATTCTCCCAGTACCATTTATTTAAAAGGCTGTCCTTTCCCCATTGTTTTTTTTTTTTTTACTTTGTTGAAGATAAGTTGACTGTAGGTATGTGGCTTTATTTCTGGGTTCTCTATTTGTTCTATTGATCTGTGTATCTATTTTTGTACCAGTACCATGCTCACATTTTTTTTTTTGGCCTATAATAAATAAATAACTCATGGCACCTTGAGAAAAAGCAAACTCAAGGTCTTTGGGACATGAGTTTGTCTCTAGGAATACAACCTTCCACTCTACCCCAGTGGGAAACACACTCAGAGGCACATCTGCCCAGAGACTGAATGTGCTGGTTATTCTCTAGGGTGTGTTGATCACCAACCAGCCTAGAGAGGAGGCCATTGGTTGGAGGGGTCACTTGGCAAGAAAATGAGGAAGCAATGGCCATTAAGTGAACCAAACTATGGAGGAGAAAAAATACTTGTGTCTGGGAATTGGTGGAATCCAGCCAGTCCTGACATGCCCATTGTCTAGAGCCTTTGTCAGGGACAGCAGAGACAATCCCACAGGAAATAAAAGTAGTTAAAGATGTAGAAGGAGGCTTACAAAACTCTCAGGGAGAAATCAATGGAAACACTAGGCAAGAATAAAAAAAAAACAGCAATGCACACCTCCTGGCTTCAGTTTTGTCATCTATTAAAAGGAGATAACCCTGTACCAGGCTATTGTGAGGGAATAACACAAATAATATTGTGTGGAACTGTCCATCACATACCGAGTGCATAGTAGATGCCCAATAAATGCATTTATGCATGCTGTGCCCTCTGGATATGGAAATAACACATGTGCACATAGAAAGATGAGTGATAATAGCATACTGCTTAATACTCTGGCCTTTGGAATTCAGATCCCCAGGCTGTAATCCCCGTTTCACTGGTTAATGGCTGTGTAACTCAAGATGTGCCATGTACCCTCTACAACTGTTTCCTAATCTGTAAAATAAAAATGATAGTAGTATTTATTCCACAGAATATATTTTAGGATTAAATAAGGTAAAAATATAAAATAGCATAAAATCTATTTAGCCCTTAATATGTTCCTAAGAATTAGCTGCCATTATTATTCATTAAAATGTCTAAGAACCAAGGAAAAAGTTCTATTTCTACTAGGCCACATGGAAGGTGTCAAGAGGCACTGAGGGAATAACCTGTCCTCCATCAAACCCTCCACACACACACTGTTCCCCATGTAATCTTCCAACCACATGCACATGATTCCCCATGTAATCCTCCAACCACACAAATCCAAACATATCACCCTTTATTTAAAGTCATTCAGTGGTTCCCCATGGCCCTCAAGATAAAATCTGAGTTCTGTATGCCCATGTTTCTGTCTAAATTCTGCCCACATTTGCTGTTTCATAAGTTGTTATTTGCCCACATGCTCCCTATGCCATGTTTAGACACTTCTACTTCCCTGGGCACACCACATCTCTACGCCTTTGCACAGGCTATTCCTGCTGCTCAGCCATGCCCTTCCTGAGGCCTATTTCCTCATTTTCCACATCTTCAGTCCAACATTGTCTTCCTGCAAACTCGTCCTTCAAGTCTTAAATCATCTCGCCACTTCTGCTGAGTGGACTTGGCTGTTAATTCCTTGTTATGGTTTGACTCTGTGTCTCCACCCAAATCTCATCTCAAATTGTAATCCCCACAGGTTGAGGCAGGGACCTGGTTGGAGGTGACTGGATCTTAGGGGCAGTTTCCCCCATGCTGTTCTCATGACAGTGAGTGAGTTCTCACAAGAGCTGATGGTTTTAAAGTGTGGCACTTCCTAGCTCACTCTTTCTCTCCTACCACCTTATGAAGAAGCTGCTTGTTTCCCCTTTGCCTTCCACCACGATTGTAAGTTTCCTGAGGCCTCCCAAGCCATGTAAAACTGAGTCAATTAAACCTCCTTTCTTTATAAATTACCCACTCTCAGGTAGAATTTTATAGCAGTGTGAGAATGAATTAATATATTCCCCCACTGTCTCAGACTGACACAATATCTTATCTAATATTTCTCAGCAAGCCTGAGCCCCAAGGCTGTCTCTACTTGTAGGCAGTAAAAGAGTAATAGGTCTTATTTATGCCTACTTGATGCTCATTGGGTGCTCTAGGAATGAGAGATTACAATAAATCAATGAATCAAATATTCAATCAATCAATGTCCTTATGCTTTCTGTTGGTTAAGAGTGCTTGGTGTTAGGTGTCTGGCTTCAAAGTCCATCCTAGCACTGATGAACAAGGCATCCTTTGGCCAACAGCTTCATCTTTCTGTGCCTCAGGTTCTCATCTACCAAATGGGCTCATCATAGTTCCACATTGCATTGTCATGAAGAATAATCAGTCAATGTCTGCAAAGCACTCCAAACAATGCCTAGCACAGAGTAGGCACTATTTGAGCTTTGGCCTTTATAAGCTTTGGCTGTTTTTTGTTGTTGTTGTTGTTGTTGTTGTTGTTGTTGAGGGGTTTTTTTGTTTTTCTTTTTTTTTTTACTTTTTTTTAAGGTTCCTCTCAAGGGCCACTTCCTCAAAGAGATGTCCCCTGACCACTCTATCTAAAAGAGACATCCCACACACATCACCTTCTATTCCTTTGTCCTTCTTTATTTTTTCACAGCCCTTATCTTCCTGAAGTTGCATACTTTACTATTTATTTACATATTAGTTATTAGTCTTCCCCATTAGCATGTAAGTCAGGAGCTGTGCCTGCCTCATACACAGTGCCTAAAACACACTCAGTACATAGTAGGTGTTCAATAAACATTTGTGAAAGGAAGAGGGGGCAGAAAGGAGGACAATGTATTAGTTGTTCTCACAGTGCTATAAAGCTACTCCCTGAGACTGGGTAATTTATGAAGAAAAGAGGGTCAATTGACTCACAGTTCTGCATGGCTGGGGAAGCTGCAGGAAACTTACAATCATGGTGGAAGGTGAAGGAGAAGCCAGGCATGTATTCGATGGCAGAAGAAGGGAGAAAGAGTGAAGGAGGAAGTGCCACTTTTAAAACCATCAGATCCCGTGAGAACTCACTCATATCACTAAAACAGCATAGAGGAAACCACCCCCATGATCCAATCACCTCCCACCAGGTCCCTCCCTTGACACATGGGGATTACAGTTCGGATTACAATTCAACATGAGATTTGGATGGGGACACAGAGCTAAACCACATCAGATGATGTCAATTCTGACTTTAAGGAACAAAAGGATTCTAACAGGAGGACACTGAAGACAGAGGAGATTATCCCAATATATCAATGGATAAAAACTGGGGAAGACTCAACCACACGTCAGCTGAAGGGCCCTCTGGGAGATCCTCCACATTTGTGAGGAGGGACCGTGCCACGGGGCTGCCAGAGGAGATGCACAGGCCCAGTGGAGACATCCAATTCCAGCCTAAACAGGTCACAGAAAGTTCTCTGGAGACCAAGAATCATTTTGATGAAGCAATTCCACCTTGGGAAAGCATGAGCTGCAGTGCTGCTGTTTCCCCAGGATTTTGTATTAATTAGCTCCTGGCCTAGGGCATTATATGTTAATTGCTCTCAATTGAAAAATTCCATGTTTACGTCTGCATTAGCAAAAGCTGGGGGAATGTGTTATTTAAAACAAAAAAAAATCATTTAAGTCCCTAGACACTGCCTCCGCCTTCCAGGGTAGACCAGTTGCACAGACCTGCAGAATACCAAGTAGCATCTTCAAATGCCATATTGACATGCATATGTTCCTTTCCTCCAATTGTAAGAAGAAAATAAATGTTTGGTTTTGTTTGTCCTCCTGCATATTTCTCCATCTTCAGCCTCTGAGGCAGGAGTGTTTCATACTCCAAGCTCCCTGAAGTGAAGTTCCCTGCTCCACCGCAACCCCTAACAAAGCTTCTTCCTTTAAAGACAAAGTATCTAGAGGTCAGTGGTGAAGGCAGGGAAGAATCACTGGAAAAAGAATTCTTCTCTAACCAGGAGAGAAATTGAACTATAGAGGACACACTGGTGGTTCCTCCCCCAGATCCTTTTACCAGGCAGGTGCACCCCTCCCCCACCGCCATCCCCAGCCAATATGAGTACTGGCTGCTAACAGTTCACAGCTGATTTTTTTTCTACAGCAGAGGTCAGTGAAATACAGTCCATGGGCCAAATCCAGCCCAACACCTGTTTTTGCAAATAATGTTTTCTTGGAACACAGCCATGCCTATTTGTATATATTTTATGTGTGGCAGCTTCACCTCTGCAACTGCAGAGTGGAGTCACTACAACAGAGACTGTGCACCCTGCAAAGTTGACAATATTTACAGTCTGGTCTTTTATAGAAAAAGTGTGTCGACTTCTACCCCCCAGTGATGTTGCCCAAGGGAAACGTAACGAGAGCCACAAGCGTGAGCCAGGTGTGTAAGTTCAACTTTTCTTTTTTTTTGCTTTTTTGCCTTTTTTTTTTTTTTTTTTTTTTTTTTTTGGAGAAGGAGTCTTGCTCTGTCACCCAGGTTGGAGTGCCGTGGTGCGATCTTGGCTCACTGCAACCTCCACCTCCTGGGTTCAAGCAATTCTCCTGCCTCAGTCTCCCAAGTAGCTGGGATTACAGGTGCCTGCCACCACGCCTGGCTAATTTTTGTATTTTAGTAGAGATGGGGTTTCACCATGTAGGCCAGGCTGGTCTTGAACTCCTGATCTCAAGTGATCCACCCGCCTCGTCCCCACAAAGTGCTGAGATTACAGGTGTGAGTTCAACTTTTCAAGTAGCCACATTTAAAAAAAAAAAAAAATTAAAAGGGCCGGGCGCAGTGGCTCTCGCCTGTAATCCCAGCACTTTTGGAGGCTGAGGTGGGTGGATCACAAGGTCAGGAGATCAAGATCATCCTGGCCAACATGGCAAAACCCCATCTCTACTAAAAATACAAAAAAAAAAATTTAGCCAGCCGTGGTAGCTAATAATCCCAGCTACTCAGGAGGCTGAGGCAGGAGAATAGCTTGAACCCGGGAGGTGGAGGTTGCAGTGAGCCGAGATCATGCCACTGCACTCCAGCCTGGCAACAGTGACACTCCATCTCAAAAAAAAAAAACAAATTAAAAGGTCATATGGTAGATCTATTTTTCGTTTTTTGAGGAACCTCCATGCTGTTTTCCACAGCGGCTGTACTAATTTACATTACCACTAACAGTGCACTAGAGTTCCTTTTTCTCCACATCCTCACCAGCATCTGCTATTTTTTGCCCTTTTGATAACAGCCTTTTAACTGGGGTGAAATGATTTCTCATTGTGATTTTGAGATGCATTTCCCGGGGGAATCCCACTGCTGGGTATATATGCAAAAGAAAAGATACTAGTATATCAAAGAGATATATGCACTCCCTTGTTTATAGTGGCATTATTCACAATAGCCAAGATATGGAATCAACGTAAATGTCCACCAAAGAATGGATAGAGAAAATGTGGTATATATACACAGAGGAATATTACTCAGCCATTAAAAAGAATGAAATCCTGTCATTTGCAGCAACATAGATGGAATCCGAAGACATTATGTTAAGTGAAATAAGTCAGGCACAGAAAGACAAATTATTGCACGTTCTCACCTGTATGTAGGAACGAAAAAAGTTTATCTCAAGGAGCTAGAGAATAGAACGGTGTTTACCATAGGCTGTGACAAGTAGTGGGGAGGTGGAAATGGGGAAAAGTTGGTTAATGGGTACAAAACTGCAGCTAGATAGAAGCAGTAAATTCTACTGTTCAGTAGCACAGTAGGGTAACTATAATTAATAACAATTTATTACATATATCAAAATAGTTAGAAGAGAAAATTTGGAATGGTCCCAACACAAAGAAATAATAAATGTTTGAGGTGATGGATGTCCTAATTACTATTATTTGATTATTACACATTGTATGCATGTACTGAAATATCATAAGTACCCCACAAATATGTACAATTATTATGCCTCAATTAAAAAGATAATATAAAAAATAAGTGAACTTAATTTTAATATGTCATATGTTTTATTTAACCCAGTATATTCAAAATATTATCACATTAGACATGTAAGCAATTTTTTAAAATTATTAATGATGTTGACATCTATTTTTTCAACTAAGCCTTCAAAATCCAGTGTGTATTTTCCACTTACAATGCACCTTGATTCAGACTAGCCACATGTCACATGCTTTGTAGCCACATGTGGCTAGGGGCTGACATTTTGGAAAGGCCTGCTCTAAACTGTACCCCTTGGTTGAATAGGAGGTGCCTCACCCAAACATTTTACCTCCCTCTCCTCAAGGAGCAGTCCACAGCCAGTGACTACTGACATGGAAAAATAAAAGGCCAACCCCATTGCCTCAAAGTGGGGCTGACTGTGGTGCAGTTCACGCTCCAGAGCTGCCCGTGGAATCAGGCTGTGGCTGGGCTCCAGTGGAGACCTCGTTCTTGACTCACTTGCTTCCTTGCCCACTCTCGCAGCCATCACTCCCTTCCAGACTTTTCCTGCTAGTACTCCCATAATACATGCTTTGCATAAGAATTCCTATCTCAGGCTCTGCTCCTAGGGAACTTTCTTAATACAGGGAGAGAAGGGTACAAATATCTACTGAGTACCTATCATGCATCAGACACTTAATTGCCATTATCTCATCCTACCACACAGCCATGCAGTGGGAAATATTACTAATATTTTAAAGATAAGGAAACTAACACAGATGAGTATATCCAGCCACATGGTGAAATATTATGAGGTTATTTGAAATTATATTACAAAGGTATATAATATTTAAATGCTTATGGCATAATGTTGGTTTATTGGGAAAAATAAGACAAAAATGCATGGTGCAAATATGTGTTTTTTCAGATATGAACATTTTTTAAATCCTAGAAGGATATTGCTATGGTCTGAATATCTGTGTCCCACCCCAGCTTCATACATTGAAATTCTAGGCCCCATAGTGATGATATTAAGAAGTGGGGCCTTCAGACGTGATTAGCTCATGAGGGTAGAGCCCTTGTGAACAGGATTAATGCCTGTATGAGACAGATCCTAGGGAGCTTGTTTCTCCCTTCCACCATGTGAGGACACAAGAAGTCACCGTGTATGAGAAACAGGCCCTTACCAGACACTGAATCTGCCAGCACCTTGATCTTGGACTTCCCAGTCTCCAAACTCTGAGAAATAAACTTCTTTTGTGTGTGAGCTACTCAATCATGGTATTTTGTTATAGCAGCTCAAACAAAGACAGAAATACACCACAATGTTGTCAATAACTTACTTGGGGCAATTAGAATTAATGGTTGTTGGTTTTTCTTCTACTTTCTACCATTCTGTATTTTCCAGTTTTTCCAGGGTGAGTAAGTCCTCCTTTACTGATGAGAGTGGCTCTCCTTGAGTGCAGTATCATATAATAGTTCAAGAGCTTGGTTTTGTTTAGAAATAGTCAAACCAGGGTTCAAATCCCGGCTCTGCCACTTTCAAGTTCTATGACCCTGAGCAAATGAGTAGACATCTCTAAACTTCAATTTTCAGATATGTAAAAGGGCTAATGGCATAGATATCATAGACGCATTATAAAGATTAAACTAAGCACCTTAAACACAAATCCTGGCACACAATTGGTTTGGCACACATTGTCTAGTACACAGTCTTTTCTTACTAGGGAAAACAATAAATGGAGGCTACCTAGCCCCAAAGGCTATGGTGTTTATCCAACCCTATGCTTTCTCAAATGTGATCCACAGATTCCCATCATGATCTTCTAAACCCTGTCGATTCAGGTGGCCCCAGGTTTGGCAACAGAACCCACAACCGGCAATTTTGAGTCAAGGAACGGTCACTACTTGGGGGATCACTCTTGCTCCCATCTTTGCAAAATTATACCATTTGTGTTCTATTTCTCAGAGGAACCAGGCCTCCATTTCGCAGCTATACACTGATACCTTCAAGGGGCAGGGAGTTCTTTCCTTCGTGTGATTAATGAGACTTAAATTGGCCCAGTGATAGATGAGTTATCCTAAAAGCATCGAATATTTAAAACTGAATTCTCCTTTGACAAAAATAGCCCGTGGATTTCAAGAGCTGCTGTCCCGATGTCCCTGTTAGCCACCACGTGATGTCTCCCCAAGCTGAATGAATTCCTGCTAACTATTCACCAACATCGAGGACTGAGATATCCTTTTCTCCTTTTGCTGCTCTGATGAAGGCAAAGCGTGTGCTTTACATCTTTATCTTAAGTGACCAGACTTGTTTATAGCTGCTCCAAATAATTACGTTTGAATGCATTTGCGTTTAACATGCCCCAGACCATGCACTCCCCTGATTAAGGGTTTCTAAATGGAATTCTTCCCTGGAAATGAGCCTTAAGTGGATTTCTTCACTTAAACAAGCTACTGTCCCAGATAGCCACATGGTCCTTGGAGAGAAGGATCTGTACCTTATCACGCTTGTTTGCTACAGTCATATACCTTTTTCCAGGTATACTTGCTTCTCCTGTACCTGCATTAACCCACTAGTCCTTGAAGGTCTTCCAGCTTTCTCACCTCTAACCCAAACCTCGCCATTTCCCCACATCCCAGAGTAAGAGTAACACCCACCTTGGGACCACCCAGATTACAGTGAACCCCTCTTATTTCTCTTATTCCCCTCGACCAAATGCTGGGAAACCTTTTGTTAAAAGGCCAGAGAGTGAATGTGTTAGGCTTTGAAGGCCATACAGTCACTGTCACAACGACTCAACTCTGCTATTGCAGCAGAAAAAGCCATGGACAATACGTGAAAAAATGAGCGTGTCTGTGTTCTAGTAAAACTTAATTTACAATAACAGGGGGCAAGCAGGAATTCCCCCATGGGCTGTAGTTGCTGCCTCCTGCCCTAGAGAACTGCAATGGCCATGCAGTGCCCTGCTCAAATGCCCTTCACCAGCTGTTGAGAATGTTGGTTGCTAATGGCTCACAGCTGCCCCCTTCTCCGCCATGGCTATTGAGAATGTCTCTTCTAGGAAATTACTCGGCCCCCAACCTCCAGCCAGAGGGACAGCCAGAGCCGGGGACTGACTGACACAAAAGTTCAAAACACCAGCCACTTGCCTCAAATCAGGACCAACTTGGTGTTACAATCCATGTTCCAGAACTTTCTCTGTTATCAAGCTGCAGCTTGTCTCCAACCAAGACTATCTCCTTGCTTGGCTCTGTTCCCCTGCCCTACCTTCCTTCCTTGCTCTCCTCCTTCTAAGAGAATCTCCTCGATAAATTAAATGCCCCCAAATCCTTGACTCAGGCTTTGCTTCTAGGAAACACAATCTAGCTCCATGCTGGTATTGTCTTTTTACTTGGTTCCCTTATGCTTTCAAGTTGTATCTTTCCCAATAAGACTATGAGATTCTATAGCCAAGAAAATCCTAAGCAAAAAGAACAAAGCTGGAGGCATCACACTACCTGACTGCAAACTATACTACAGGGCTACAGTAACCAAAACAGCATGGTACTGGTACCAAAACAGATATATAGACCAATGGAAAACAACAGAGACCTCAGAAATAACACCACACATCTACAACCATCTGGTCTTTGACAAAGCTGACAAAAACAATCAATGGGGAAAGGATGTACTATTCAATAAATGGTGCTGGGAAAACAGGTTAGCCAACTCATGTAACAACCTCCCCCTCCCAGGTTCAAGCAGTTCTCATGCTTTAGCCTCTCAAGTAGCTAGGATTACAGGTGTGCACCACCACATCCGGCTAATTTTTGTATTTTTAGTAGGGTTTCGCCATGTTGGCCAGGCTAGTCTCAAACTCCTGTCCTCAAGTGATCCACCTGTCTGAGCCTCCCAAAGTGCTCATCTCGTTGCTCTGGGGGAGCCAGGATGTGTGAGCCACCACACCTGGCCATATTCTCATTCTTAAAAGGAGATGTGTATGTATATACCACATTTAATGAGTTCTTATTATAAGCCAAGTACTCTACATATATCATCTCATTTAAGTCTCAAAACAACCCTATAAGATATTATCATTCCAATTTTTCAGTTGGGAAAACTAAGGCCCAGGGAGGTGAACTAACTTATTCAAGGCCACATAACTAGTAAGTGGTGGAGTCTGAATTTGAACCCAGAACTTGTTCTTGTAACAATTATTTCTACAGACTTTACATAGAACAAGAAAGAAATGCATTAAAATGTGTCTCCTTTAAGGATTTTTTCCCTGTACTTTTCACATTTTCTTCAAGGAGTACCTATTACATTTATAACCAGGAAAAATAACACTTATTGATTTTATAAATAAAAATAAAACAGAGTTCTCTCTTCCAGGAATCCAAACGAAATATCCATTCCCATTCATCATGTTTCTCAAAGGCATGTCTATTGGCATTCAGAGTGGATAATTCTTACCTGTGAGGGGCTGCCGTATGTGCTGTGAGATATTCAGCCCCTGCCCACCAGATGTCCTGTATCAGACACTGTCAGTTCCCTATAGCGATCCTTCAACACTCACCTCCACACTCAAGAGTGCCAGCTGCAAACACCTGGGGCTCTCTGCCTGGTAACTTTGCTCTGGCTAAAAAACACACGTGGTTCTCACCCAAAACAACCAGAAGTACTAGAGTGTCAATGCCCCTGGAAGCAGCCCTCAAGCAATGTTGAGCTAGAATTTGGTGGATAAGCCCCCCAGCTTCCTTGCTCTTCAATTGCAATGACTCTGGGGCACGTTCTTCTTGCTCCCCCAGAGTTCTCCAGCAGGACTGAGCTCCAGTTGCCCATGGTTGTAACTGGATGACACACCCTTGATGGGTTTCCCTATCTCACTTATGCTCACCTAACAGTGTTTCCTGGGATCAACTCTCAAATAAATTATTTGTCCTCATATCCTTGTCTCAGCATCTGCTTGTAGGAAAGTCAAACCAAGGCAGCTCCACAGGATACTGATACTGAAAAAAATTCCTACGTTTTTCCAAACAGTCTTAGGGAGGTGTGGAGGGTACAGTACTATTCCTGCATAAGGAACATTTAAGTTCCACAGCTGCTTTCTAGCTAGAGAACTTAGGCTCCAAGAACCCAATGCCAGGGTCATTTCATGGAACGCTACCTTCCCAAAGTCCTTCAAACCTCTATGCCTGCTGCCAACATCCCATTCTCCAGCTATTTCAATCCAGTCTCTCCCTGCAGGTTCAAGATTCACCAGTGACTTTTAGTTCAAACGTGCAAGGTCAACAAAAAAAGCAGAATAATCCATGGCTTTGGGCTCAGCAATCTTCCAGGAAGAAACAATCATCATCGTAACAATGCCAGATGCTAGCATGTATTGACTGACTGTCAAGTACCTGAGAGAGGGTGATGACATAAACTTTGAATTTTAGGTTTCTTCTAGAAAGAAATGTTGCTGCTTGGAGGTCAAGACAGCCTAGAAATAAGAGTTCAAAGCAAATTAATTCCCTTAGTCAATAAAGATTTATTGAGCATCTCCTAGGTGCCAGACATTGTACTAGGCTGAGAAATTAAACAGTGACCAAGTCACACAAGATTCCTCTTCTCTTGGAAGTCATATTCTAATACAACAGTGGTTTTCAACCAAGACAATTTCACCCCTCAACAATGACTAGAGACATATTTGGTTATCATAACTGGGTGGGAAGCGAGGACTATTGGCATCTAGTGGGTAGAGGCCAGGAACCCTACTAAACATCTTGCAATGCACCAGCAGCCCCACAACAAAGAATTGTCTGACCCAAGATATCAATAGTGTTGGGGTTGAGAAATAAATAAATTATTAAAAATGTAAAATAATGTAAAAATGGAGGGGAAAGGCAGAATGACAATAAACAAGTAAGTCAAGAATTTCAAGATGTGAACCCTGAGCTAGTGTCTTTATCTTAGCTTTTGTTATTAATCTGTAAAATAGGATCTATATTAGATGAGCCCCTCATCAATATCTACAAATGGAGGCAGGGTGTTTTCTAACAGGCATGCCCAGAACAGAATGGAGGTCAGCTGTGCACCATGGCCAACAGGAGACAAACTTTCTACCTCCAGCACATTCCAGAGCTCAATCTGATGCTCAGTTTCCTGACTGTTACCTCTAATCAACCCTACCCTCCTTCTGTAAGGAGAGATGCATTCACTTGTTTATTAAGGCAGTTTACACATCTTATCATTTATTTATTCCACCTCATTTCACAAAGGATTTAAGACAGCAAAGTAAAATATAAATAAACAATCATACATTCAAAACAGGGAAATATAAATTAGAATAAGGGGTAGGTAGAGGTTTCGTCATTGTTTTCTATTCTGTTCTCTGAAGATCTCCCCTGAGGATCTCTCTCTCTCTCTCTCTCTCTCTCTCTCTCTCTCTCTCTCTCTCTCTCTCTCTCTCTCTCACACACACACACACACACACACACACACACACACACACACACACACACACACACACCATACTCTGTTCCATTATAATTCTCTTCAACCTGTGAGATTTGGGTGGAGTTGACCCCACCCACTCCAACAGTGGATACCTGAACCCTGACCAACCAATCAGAGCACCACCTCCCCTCGTCACAGTGACTGGTGCAGGAATGGGCATGCGACCTATCATAGCCCAATCATGGACTTTCCAAGGGTTTTCAACAGCTGTAGGGAAATGTGCTCTCTCCTTCTCTGGAGCCTGGAGCTGTAAGGACAATTCTGGTTTGCAGCTGCTGGTGACCATCCTGCCACCACAGGGAAAGAGCCTGTCTGAAAACTAAGCCAAGAGAGGCACACAAAATCTAGAGATAGAGCCATAAAGTCAGAGCCCCGAGAACATCTGTTGAGACCTACGTGTGCCTAAAGGTGAGAGACACGTCCCAATAAACTCCTCTTTTTCTTTGCTTTAGGTTTCTGACCCTTGAGCCTAAAAGACTACGGCATACTACAGGGCATATGCCAAGATGAGAGCAAAATGGAAAACAGAAAGCAGATGAGGTGGATGCAGTTTCAAATGTGGCTGTGCGCTTCTGGGTAAACAAAGTGAAAAGGGAAATTCGGTCAACTACATTGTTCTCATTAAGCATGAAGTGAGAATGCTCAAGTTCCTTAGGACCAGCAAAGCTTTTTTCTAGCACTTATTTCTCAAAGCACAATAGGCATTATACAAGGAACTACTGGGAGATATGGAGGATGCTGTCTTCATTAACTGACACTTTGCAGCGAATTCAATAATGGGATGTATAAGGCTGCTGTTCAGAGCATCTGTTATGAACACTGAGGGACTCATGCTTCCATGGTTGGTCAACTTGATTCTGTGCAGTTGGAAGAAAGGCAATGTGGTCTGAGTATGCCAGCATCCAGAGGCTCTCTGCAAGTGTCAGTGTTCCAGGAACTGGTCCCCAAACATTTTAGCCACAACTGACTCTCAGCCCATTTCTGCCCTTTCCCTCTCAGTGCAAGCTCATTTGTACCAACTTCTGAAGGTTCCACTCTCCCGTCCCGAGGAGGGAAATACAAGAGAATTGAAACCTCCTGCCCTTCATCCCTGAGAAGGGTTGCACAGAGGTGCCTGCAGATGTCAAGAACTGTCCTCCACAGCATCCCTGTTCTTTACCTCCTGTCTCCATGATTAATTCAAGCTGTTGGGATCTCACATTACCATCAGGCTGTCACTGCACTGAGGGTCCCAAATGGCTCCAGCCCAAGCAACAAATTAATCCAGGTAACCTATCCTTACAAAGCCAAACAGAAACAAAAACAAAACCCGCCACTGTGCCCCCAAACCTGCATTGGAGTGGTGATGCTTTGATAAGGTTTAAATAAGACCTAGTATTTGATAGCACAACAGGGTGACTATAATCAAAATGACTTATTTGTTTATTTAATTTTTTTGAGACAGAGTCTTGCTCTGTCACCAAGACTGGAGTCCAGTGGCACGATCTCAGCTCACTGCAACCTCCACCTCCCGGGTTCAAGCGACTCTTCTGCCTCAGCCTCCCAAGTAGCTGCGATTACAGGCATGTGCCACCAGGCCCAGCTAATTTGTATTTTTAGTAGAGATGGGGTTTCACCATGCTGGTCAGGCTGGTCTCGAACTGACCTCAGGTGAGCCTGCCTCAGCCTCCCAGAGTGCTAGGATTATAGGCATGACAAAATAATTTAATTGTACAGTTTTAATTTTATATTTTAAAATAACTGAAGGAGTATAATTGGATTGTTTGTAACACAAATGATAAATGCTTGATGGGATGGATACCCCCATTTTCCACGATGTGATTATTATGCATTGCATGCCTGTATCAAACTGTATCAAAATATATCATGTACCCCACAAATATATGCAACTATTATGTATCAAAAACATTAAAATATAACAATTAAATTATTTTTTTTAGATGGAATCTCACTCTGTTGCCCAGGCTGGAGAGCAGTGGCATGATCTTGGCTTACTGTAGCCTCCGCCTCCTGGGTTCAAGCAATTCTCCTGCCTTAGGTTCCCAGGTAGCTAGGATTACAGGCACACACCACACCTGGATAATTTTCTTGTATTTTTAGTGGAGACAGCATTTCACCATGTTGGCCAGGCTGGTCTCTAACTCCTGACCTCAAGTGATCCACACACCTCAGCCTCCCCAAGTGCTGGGATTACAGGAATAAGCCATTGCACCTGGCCAAAAAGTTTTAAACATTTTTCTAAAGGTACATTCCAACTGTGTGCCTCACTCAAGTGCCACAGATGAAACCAGGTTGGTAGCAAAACATGATAACTGGTGACGGTAGGGAAGACAGGGTTTGGCTTTGTTTGTTTCTTCTTGTTTTGTTTCTTTCTTTTGCCTGTCTTAGGAACTGTGCCAAGGGTTTTACATGCATTATTCCATTTCATCTACACAGTGATCTAAGTAACTGGATAGTAACACCACCATTTTTTAAGAGAGGAAGGAGGAGTAATGCACCTCCCCCGAGGTTACACCATTAGAAAGAGACAGAACCCATGGATTTGAATGCATATGTTGGAAACAAATGCTCAGTGCCGCAAAGACACTAGCACTGAGACAAAGGACAAAGCATCTCTCAGCAAGGCAAATTTACTTCTGTAGAAGGGTGCATCTTGCATATGGAGCAATGGTGAGAGCACACAGAACAAAGGAAAGCAGGGGTTTTTATTTTCTCTAATGCAGCTTCTGCCTCTGTGTCTTTCCCCTATTGGCTAGGGTTGGACCGCACAGTCTAAACTAGTCCTGATTGGCTTGACATTTAAACTTTCTTAGATAAGGCAGGCACATAGTGAGGTGAGAAGAGAGAGATGGGGGGTCATTTATGGGGGGACTAGGAAGGTAACCTATTCCCGAATAAGGAAAGGAATGTGGACTGGGGTTGTAGCAAGTTCAGGCATGCCTAGGCATATTCAGACAAGCTGGGGTGCAGCAAAGGCAAGGGGGTATTTGGAATTATAGTATAGAGAACAGGGAAACTGGATAAGCTGTTAGAAGAGGGAAACTAACTGTATCTAACAATGGCAAGATGGGCCCCCAAGCCCAAGCTCTGGCCTCTGCCTCAGACCTTGGAAAGTGACCATGATGGAACCACAAGCAGGCAGAAGAACACTCTGCCCCTCAAGATCATCCAATCAAAAATTCTCTCCTCCCCAGCAGGGTTAAAAGTGAAACACACCATTAAAATGTGACCCTTGGGAAGGGTCAACCTTTAGTTGCCTACAGAGTAAGAATTCGTTGGTTGGATAATAATGACTTTTAAGGCAGTATTCCTGAAAATATGGCCTCAGGACCACTGACATCAGAATCACCTAGGAGGAGGATGAGGCTGTCAAATTTGAATATATCACAGCCCCAGTCCCAGATTTGCTTTCTCAGCATTGCTGTCTCAAGAGAATGAGGTTCTGCGGAGAGAACTTACATTAACAAGCACTTGCAGAGAATCTGTTCTACAGCATCTACAGCAGGTATATGCCAGATGCTGAATCACATCTATCCTCTCTATGATGTTTCATTGAATAGCACAATAGACAGGGAGAGGCAGGTGATGGGGAAAGAGGAAGGTTGGGAAAAGTTGATGGAGTGGAAAAAAAGCACAAGTCAGACAGATCTAGGGATTCAAATCCCAACATAGCCACTTGGACAAGTGACAACCTCCGTGAGTATAAATTTCCCATGGGGTTGACTTAAATCATAAATGAGAACTATGGTCCACGCTCATTCTCATAGTCAACTGCAGGATTCCATTCAAAGTACAATGAAAAGGGCTTGTGACCAGTGCACACAAGGGTTGTATTTCACCAACAACAAACCTCTGGGAGGAAAAGTATGGGCCAATCAGGGATATTCAAAAGAAACTACTTCCTGGCCAGGCGCAGTGACTCACTCCTATAATCCCAGCACTTTGGGAGGCCAAGATGGGTGGATTGCCTGAGGTCAGGAGTTTGAGACCAGCTTGGCCAACATGGTGAAACCCCGTCTCTACTAAAAACACAAAAATTAGCCAGGCGTGGTGGTGAGCACCTGTGATCCCAGCTACTCAGGAGGCTAAGGCAGGAGAATCGCTTGAACTTGGAAGACAGAAGCTGCAGTGAGCCAAGATTGTGCCACTGCACTCCAGCCTGGGTGACAGAGGGAGACTCCATCAGAAGGAAAGAAAAGGAGAGGAGAGAAGAGGAAAGGAGAGGAGGGGAGAGGAGAGAAGAGATGAAACTACTTCCTGATGGAGTTTTTCCCCCAAAACATCATCTGAATGTACTAACTCAATGAATATCCACCCTCAATGCTTACTTGGAACATGGCACATACTCAACATGGGAGGGAGAACTTAGAAGTATTTGCTGCCCTCAATGTGTTTTCAATCTAGTTAGAGAGAAAACTACAGACTCCTAGGAAAATTAAGATACACCACAAAAATCAAAGTCAAAGGCAACATGGCATGGAAAGTCAAAAGGCAGAATGGCTCACGCCTGTAATTCCAACACTTTGGGAGGCTGAGGTGGGTAGATCACCTGAGGTCAGGAGTTCAAGAGCATCCTGGCCAACATGGTGAAACCCCCTCTCTACTAAAAATACAAAAAAAAAATTAGCTGGGCGTGGTGGCAGGTGCCGGTAATCCCAGCTACTCAGGAGGCCGAGACAGGAGAATCACTTGAACCTGGGAGGCAAAGGTTGCAGGAAGCCAAGATCATGCCATTGCACTCCAACCTGGGCAACAAGAGTGAAACTCCATCTCAAAAAAAAAAGAGAGAGAGAGAGAGAGAATTAGCCCCTAGGAGTCAATAAATGTAAGCTGACTTGGAGAGAACAGAATTGAGCACATCACTAAGAAAGAGTCATGGGAGTGGAAGAAACAGATAGATCGATTATAAGGAGCTGAGCTTTGCCTTGAGTTCTCAAAATGTGTAAGACTTGTCTAGCAAGAAAAGAGAGAGGTATTCCAGGGAGAGTTGCAGTAAGTCATTGATAGCCCCACTATGGTCTCAATTCCCCCAGGCTGCTGAGCTTCTGGAAGATGAAGAACTGACCCATCGGAAAATATACAGATTGGAACAAGCATAGCTTTATTCTTCCCCTTCTCGGGATGGACCCCAACACCTAACCAAGGCTTTCCCTCTTACACTAAGCTTTGAGGACAGCCATGGCCTCATAAGAATCACAATCCATTCTACAAGTCCAGCAACAGTTCATCAAGGAGAGACTGGTGGCCACTGGCCAAGATCTCTGTATGCTCCTCAAGGGTTTCAATAGTTGGATTCCATTTACCTCTCTGGATTCCAGCTGCCTCACCTTATAAAATCACAGCTGGTACCAATCCTCCAGGCTCAGCTCACAGCAAAAGGGCAAAAGATATATCTAGGTCTAAATAGACCAAAAGCAAAAAAAAGTCTCCAGTATCCACTGTTATGGACTGAATGTTTGTGTGCCCTCAAAATTCATATGTTGAAACCCTAACCCCCAATGGTTCTGTATTTGAAGATGGGGTCTGTGAGAAGATGACAAAGATCAAATGAAGTCATAAGGATGGGGCCCTAATCTCACAGGGTGGGTCCCCTTATCAGAAGAGGAAGAAACACCAGAGTGCTCTCTCTCTTTCCACCATGTGAGGACACAGCAAGAAGGTGGCTGTCTGCAAGCCAGGAAGGGAGCCCTCTCCAAAACTGTCCCTGATGGACTTGGTCTGGTATGTCTACCCTCCAGAATTGTGAGAAAATAAATTCCTGTTGTTTAAGCCACCCAGTCTGTGTTATTTTGTTAGGCCAACCCAAGCAGACTAATATGCCCACTATTAAATGAAATCAGCAAGGTGCAGAAGTGTTCAGAAATGTTAGTAAATGCATAGAATATCTTTGTGAGAACAGACAATAAACTTATTACAGTGGTTGACTCTGGAGAGGAGAATTAGAGTGCTTGAGGAGAGAGGGCACTTAGTGTTTGCTTCACGTCCTTGAATATTGCTTTACTTTCTTTTCTACCATGTACATATTGACCTATTCAAATAGATAAATACGTTAATTTTTTTAAATGTACTATATGTACATGGACAGACTGCTAGACATAAGACACTGCCTAGAGACCTGAGCAAGTCATCCTTCTGGGAAATTCCAAGCTCCACAAATCATCTAAAACTCAATTCTTAAAATTTCAAAAAATATGCACATAGGTGGGCTTGTACAACACAGGGGAAGGAGCTGTGGTTCACAAGAGGACCAGCTAAGTATGTGAAATTACTTGGGGGATATCCTGTGTTCCAGGTTACAATAGTGATCTTAAAAGACAGTGTTGGAGTAAGGAACAAATACACAAACCCCACCGCCCTCTAGCCAACCCGTGCTGTGTGTCAAGGGTGTCAATGGTTGGATTCCGTTTACCTCAAGGGCTTAGACAAATCTGTAAACAAGCAGGAGCCATATGGCATCATTCATAGGCACCGAGTAGGGGTTTTACAAAATAACAGTAGAGTCTTGTCTCGTGTAGAGATCTGAGGCCAGAGGGAGCAGCTAAAATCATATTCAGCCAAAATTACCCATGATGGCTGTTTCTCTGGTTCAGCACCAGATGAAGTAACTGGCTTGTGTTTAGGGGCCAAGTTATATGAAAAATGCATATCTTTAAATGCTAGAATCACACTCTGGAGAAGCTCGTGGGAAGTGAGTCTGTCTGAAGCAAAAGCAGACTCATGTCTCCCATCTCACTTTGAGCATATGCTCATTGTGTGGAATGGGAAACAGAAATACTCACATTATTTATGTTACACTCTCTCTCTTTCTTCCCCTCCTCCATCCCTTCTCCCATCCCTGAACTGAGATCACAGAGTTGAGTTCACATAACTTAAAGACACTTATGCCTCACTGTGCTCCACAGTAAGGTAAGAGAATATGACATTGGACCAACCTGGCTCCTACTCCAGCCATGGAAACCTAGAAAATTATTATAATCAGATCCCAACTGCTCAAGTATCCCCAGTTTCCTAGCAACCCTCAAAAGGCTTTGGAGAAGGGTGGGAACAAGGACTTCCTGGGTAAGGTGGTGGCAGCTGTTTGAGATTGCTGGAGAGCTTCCCCAAATTGTCTTAAAGGCCTTTCTCACCCGTCATCCCAAGAACCCAACGAAGCACCTGCTAGCGAAGGGACATCAGACGATGCATCTACTCAAGAACTCCCAGAGACTCCGTTCTAAATTCCCTTACCTGGACTTCTAAGCCTTCCATTTGTCAGTCGGCTTCATCACTCCTCACTCTGGAAGGCAGCCCCTCTCTTCAAGTAAGGCTAGTTCCTTTCCACCTGCCTCAGTAGCCTTCTGAGAACACGTTCCCTCCTGGCCCTCATGTCCACTCACATCTCCTTCCCCTCAATATATCCTCCATCTCATATGTCCCTTCTTTTTTTTTTTTTTCTTTTTGAGACAGGCTCTTGTTCTGTTTCCCAGGCTGGAGTACAGTGGCACAATCTCTGCTTACTGCAGCCTCAACCTCCCCAGGTTCAAGTAATCTTCCCATCTCAGCCTCCCAAGTAGCTGGGACCACAGGCACGTGCCACCATGCCCAGCTACTTTTTGTATTTTTTGTACAGATGGGGTTTCACTGTGTTGCCCAGGCTGATCTTGAACCCCTGAGCTCAAGTGATCCACCTGCCTCAGCCTCCCAAAGTGCTGGGATTACCAGCGTGAGCCCCTGGGCCCGGCCTGTCCCTTCTAATTATTCGATTTTCCTTCCCCATGAATGAGCTTCCCATGATCACATATGCCCATTTTTGCTGGAGACATTCCATAGGCTTCATTATTATGCCTAGTTAGAGACAAAAAGCAAACACACGCCCACAGATAAGGAGCACCACAGGAGCTAAGCCACAGGGCAAGAAAATAACGCAGGAAATATCATCAGCAGCATCTAGATGTTGGTAGAATTCTAAGGGATGGAAATGACTTGGACAGATACCAAGATATACATAAATGCAGAGAAGAGATCAGAGAGGAGATGGAATTTGTTTGGGTCTTTAGAGGTTTGTTTGTTTCCCTTTTTGAATACTCATGATCCATTTCCTACTTCTTCTGACCAGCATCTCAATTTTATGGTGGAGACTTTCCTATTCCTCACTATGTGCAGTTTTGGTGAGACTGTCACTCAAAGCCCCTGTCCTTCCCAGCCAAGGGGTGAGCATGTGACTCAATATGGACCAATCAGACCGTCAAGTTTAAGAATCTTACACTTGAATGGACACAAAGAGAGACAAAATTGTTGGAATAATTC
This sequence comes from Homo sapiens, assembly GCF_000001405.40. Lineage (NCBI taxonomy): Eukaryota > Metazoa > Chordata > Mammalia > Primates > Hominidae > Homo > Homo sapiens. The sequence goes on along the minus strand of NC_000016.10, from coordinate 12,935,001 downwards.
ATATCAGCAGGAGAGCTCCAATAAGACCATGGTTGGAGCTGCCCTGGTTCCTGACATCCCAAACTTGGACCATCAGACGTTCCTTCAGTTCTATGAGCCAACCCATATTCTTCAAAAGATTTCCCTTTTTTGCTTAAGTCTGAAGAAGAATTGACTTTTGTTGCTTGTAACCAAAATTTCCTGACACAAACTATTTACCCTAAGCCTTGAAGGATGAGAGAGATGAGGGTACAGAGAGGAGAGGAAAGAAAATTATTGATGGCTTTGGCTTTCACTTCCTTTGGTAAGCGATTTTAAAGGGGCTTGGCTGATAACTTTGAAATGTCCATAGGGCAAACTCACTGTGAATGAAGCCTGCCTGAAAACAAAATGTATTGCCTTGAGACATAACGAATTTGCCACCATAGAAAGTGATTAAGGAGGGCCAGCTAAACATTAATCCAATAGCTTTCTTCAAAGTCTTCTCTCCAGAACATTATTTCCCCTATATATCAATAGTTGTTACATAAAAAGGTGTTTAATGGATATATCAGTTTGAAAAACACTGGGATGAACATAAATGTAAATGGCTTTATTGCATATATTCTAGGAGTCTTTAATTTATTTGGCCAAGGAACTCTAATTTTGAAGAACATTTCAAAGGACTAGTGTTCAATGGAGCATCCACTGGGAAGCATTATTGGATGGTCAGGTCAAGCATTGACACACAATAGGACATGTATAAAACACCTAACATACTGTCTAGCGCATAGCAGTTGCTCCAGAATTCTAGCTATAGTCTATAATCAGTATCTTACTTTGTTCCTTTTTCTGAATAGCATTTCCCTACATTTATTTATATAATCTCATCCCCTCCCTTGCCAGACTTCAGCCCCACTGGACTTCCACAAGCATGATGAATTTCTTTCCTGTCTCAGGGCCTTTGCACATCCTGCGGAGTTTTTTGTTTTTTGTTTTGGCTAGAATGCCCTTTCCCCCCACTCTTCACTAGATTGGTTCTTCCCATCCTTGGGTCTCATCTTAATGATCACTTTCTCAGTGACACCAGCCTTGTTATTTTTTCTCCCATCACCTTCCTCATTTTCCTCCATACTTATCACCCTCTTAAATGTTTTATTTACTGGCTGTGTGAACAGTCTTCCCCCACTATAACATAGGCTCCCGTGGTCAGAACCCTGGCTTGTTTTTTGGTTCATTAACACAGTGCCTAACTAGATAACACAAGAAAAAGATTTGTTGAATGAATGTGTACTATGGAAGTCATTCTCTAGATAAAGGATATGGCACAACATAATGTGCCCCATTTTCAACAGCAGATTTGCAAGAAGACAGAACCATTCTTTATGTTTCCCTTTGTTATATCAACTATGTTTTTTAAATCAAGGATATACTATTAAAAGACAATTCTGGGCTGGTCATGGTGGCTCACACCTGTAATCCCAGCACTTTGGGAGGCCAAGGAGGGCAGATCGCCTGAGGTCAGGAATCCAGACCAGCCTGGCCAACACAGAGAAACCCCATCCTACTAAAAGTACAAAAATTAGCCAGGCACAGTGGCATGCACCTGCAGTTCTAGCTACAGGGACTGAGGCTGAAGCAGAATTGCTTGAAACCAGGAGGCGGAGGTTGCAGTGAGCCAAGATCGAGCCACTGCACTCCAGCCTGGGTGGCAGAGCAAGACTCCATCTCAAAAAAAAAAAGACAACAAAGACAACTCTGAATTGGCATTCCTATAGAAAACTAAAGGAATGCAGTTCTGATATGTGGTTTTATGGTGGTCTGACTCGATGCAGGGAAATAGCTTAGAGAATATAAAAGAATAAAAGTTTATTATATGTTTCAAATTATTCATTCATATATTCATTCATTCATTAAACAAAGATATGCTAATCACCTACTATACATCCAAACACCATATGTTAGGCACTACGTATTTGAGGCCTTCCCAATCCATCAATTTGGTCTATATTCCCTCATTTTATATATTTACCTCCCCTCATTTGCAAAATCATAAGTCCTTTGAGGGACTTTTATTATATCTGTAGCAGAAATAAGAGAGTAAATAGATGGCACACGAGCACCATCCTTCTGTTCTTTTCTCACAGCAGACATGGCTAATCAATCACAGCACTCATGCCCACTGAGCTGGAATATGGCCTCCAAATCATCTTCAACACTCCACTGCAGGGAGCCACGACATGTCATCAGTGACAACACCCAAAATGAAACCTACTTGCCTACTCTGGATGGAAGAAACAGCCCAGGCTTCAGAGTCAGACCAAACTGTATTATAACCCTGACCCTGCTATATACTTGATGGAGAGTCTGTGTCTTTTACTCTTTAAGATCTAGATAACCCAGGCAGGCACAGTGGCTCACACCTGCAATCCCAGCACTTTGGGAGGCCAAGATGGGCAGATCACCTGAGGTCAGGAGTTCTCGAGACCAGCCTGGCCAACATGGTGAAACCCCATCTCTACTAAAAATACTAAATTAGCGAGGCATGGTGGCGCTCACCTGTAATCCCAGCTACTCAGGAGGCTAAGGCAGGAGAATCTCTTGAACCTGGGAGGCAGAGGTTGCAGTGAGTCCAGATCGCACCACTGCACTCCAGCCTGGGTGACAGAGTAAGACTCCATCTCAAAAAAGAAAAAAATCTAGATAATCCTACCCACTTTGCAGAGTTGTGAAGTAAATTAAATAAGATATATTTGAAACACCTATCATACAGCAAATATCCCATAAATGCTAACTATGAGTGTTATTACTTGTATTAGTCTGTTCTCATGCTGCTAATAAAGACATACCTGAGACTGGGTAATTTATAAAGAAAAAAAGGCTTAATGGACTCACAGCTCCACATGGCTGGGGAAGCCTCACAACCATGGCAGAAGGCGAAGGAGGAGCAAAGGTACATCTTACATGGTGGCAGGCAAGAAAGCATGTGCAGGGGGACTGCACTTTATTAAAAAACCCATCAGGTCTCATGAGACTTATTCACTGTCACAAGAACAGCATGAGAAAAACTTGCCCTCCATGATTAAATCACCTCCCACCAGGTCTCTCCCATGACATGTAGGAATTATGGGAAGCACAATTCAAGATGAGATTTGGGTGGGGACACAGCCAAACGATATCATTACTTTTACCCTGAGTATGCCTCATATGGTGTTTCACATACAGTACTTGCTTAATAAAATGGGCAACTTCATCTGACCTAGCAATCCCATGACTGGGTAAATACCCACCTGTATGTTCATCACAGCACTATTCACAATAGCAAAGACATGTAATCAACCTAGGTGCCCAATAAACATGGACTGGATAAAGAAAATGTGGTACATATACACCATGGAATACTACAGAGCCATAAAAAGAGAATGAAATCATGTCCTTTGTGGCAACATGGATGCAGCTGGAGGCCATTATCCTAAGCAAGTTAACACAGGAACAGAAAGCCAAATACCACATGTTCTCACTTATAAGTGGGATCTAAATACTGGGTAGACATGGACATAAAGATGGGAATAACAGACACTGGGAATGCTAGAGGGCGAGAAAGGGAGAGATGGGATACAAGGGCTGGAAAACTATCTACTGGGCACTATGCTCACCACCTGGGTGACAGGATCATTTGCACCCCGGACCTTAGCACCACACAATATACCCATGTAACAAACCTGTGCATGGTCCCCCTGAATCTAAAATGAAAGCTGAAATTGTTTTAAAAAGTGAAATAAAATGGGCAACTTCAATAACACACAAAGATCGAAAACCAGGAAAAGGTAAGCAAGAAGAACCTCCTCCCTCCATCCCCTGTATCCACTACATAATACATCCCACTTTCCTCCCGTACTTTTACTAAAAGTTATCCTGGGAGCACAGGGGATGCTCCCAGCATTCGTGACGGAACATCCAGAGACTGCATCTTTTGTTCTTAAGTGCTTTTCTTAGCTTGACCTGATTTTGCTCCAGGGGTGGGGATTATAAGATCTGGTAACACATTTGGGGTATTTTTGGATTCAAAGTCAAAGAGTAGGTAAGTGCTTGATTTTAACCACAAATAAGCCAGGGCTTGGGGCTTGCCATTGGATGATTGCCTTATTATAGGATATGAAATTGATCTGTGGAGTTGTTATGGGTTTTTTTCCCTTTGTACCTATCACTTCCTCTCTCTGTGTTTTAAGACTTTCTTTTAAAAATAATAGTTAAATGTGAAACATAACTGTTAGAGATTTAATAGTCTGTTTGGCAATGCACTAAAATCAATATTGTGACCCTAAGCAGGAGATTATTAAGGTTACTTTGCATCACCAGTGTTAAGGTTTTTTTCATTATTATTCACATCAACACGACATAGTCATGTCATAAATATTAAACACACCCAATTCCCTCCTTAGTTTGCTTTCATGCTAGTGAAATTGAGGGTCAGCATGGATCAGGACATTAGGAGGCAAACTATGATACAGAGAAGCCGAAAGAAATGAAAAGGAGGAAAATGCTTTTGACAAAAATCAATTGTGATTGAATTGGTGGGCCGAACTTTGAAAACACTGCCTTTGTGTGACATTTCATAATCGCCAGGTAATGCTGGAATATGTATTCATGAGCTTTTAAATGTATGCAACAACTCTTGATACTCAACTTGGCATTTGCTAGACTCTGATAACAGCACTGAAGGTTTAGTCCACAAGAAATAAGATCCCAATGAATTGACAAAGAAAAAGTAATAGCAGCATTTACTTGATAAAATGTGCTCAGTATTGTATGTTGACAGCATTTATTCCATCTGAAAAATTTTTATAGAGCACTTTCTGTGTGCCAGGCACAGTTCTAGGCACTGGGAATACAGTAGGGAGTGGGAGGAAGATTCCTGGCCTCCTGGAGCTAACATGTTGTGGGGAAAATGTGAAAGGAGCAAGTAGACAAGATGACTTTAGGTAGTATATGAACTATGATGAAAATAAAACAGTGACCTAATAGAGAAGGATGATGGTGAGATCTTTACATGGGCTGGGATATTTTCTGTAGGTAAGGCCCCCCAAAAAGATAACAGTTTACCCAAGACCTAAACAATGAGAAGGAGCCAGCATTGCAAAGATCTGGAGGAAGCTTGTTGCAGGCAGAGGGAAGAGCGTATGTAAAACCCCTGAAGTGGAAGCAATTCTGGGACATTTAAAACATGTTTTTTTCCCTTCAACTTTTATTTTAAGTGCAGGGCTACGTGTGCAGGATGTGCAGGGCTTTTTTACATATATAAACGTGTGCAGTGGTGGTTTGCTACACAGATTATCCCATCACCTGGGTATTAAGCCCAGCATCCATCAGCTTTTCTTCCTGATGCTCTCCCTCCTCCCAACCCCCGAGAGGCCCCAGTATGTGTTGTTCCCCTCCCTGTGTCCATGTGTTCTCATCATTCAGCTCCCACTTATAAGTAAGAACATGCAGTGTTTGCTTTTCTGTTTCTGCATTGGTTTGCTGAGGATAATGGCTTCCAGCTCCATCCATGTCCCTGCAAAGGACAAGATCTCGTTCCTTTTTATGGCTGCATAGTATTCCATGGTGTATCTGTACCACATTTTCTTTATCCAGTCTATCATTGATGGGCATTTAGATTGATTCCAAGTCTTTACTATTGTGAATATTGCTGCGATGAACATACAGGTGCATGTATCTTTATAATAGAATGATTTATATTCCTTTGGGTGTATACCCAGTAATAAAATTGCTGGGTCAAATGGTATTTCTGCTTCTAGATCTTTGAGGACTCACCACACTGTCTCCCACAATGGTTGAACTAATTTACACTCCCACCAACAGTGTAAAATCATTCCTTTTTCTCCTCAACCTCGCCAGCATCTGTTATTCTTTGACTTTTTAATAATAGCCATCCTGACTGACATGAGATGGTATCTCATTGTGGCTTTCATTTGCATTTCTCTAATGATCAGTAATGTTGCACTTTTTCTATGTTTTTTGGCCACATGTATGTCTTCTTTTCAGAAGTATCTGTTCATTAAAACATGTTTTTAAAGAATAGTACCAGTATCTGAAATTAGCCACTTCTAAGCTGATTAGCAGAACCAAAATGTTCACAAGAAACAGTTTGTTTAATATGCTTATGCAACGTCTTTGTCAGTTATTATCAAAGAATTGTTTGATGACATTCTTTGACTTGATATATGCACTAAATTTTTAAAAATAATGCCTCTGCAGAATGAGGAGCTTCTTCCATTCCTTGTTGCTATTCAATAAAGGAAAGTAAATACCACATGCTGCCCTTGCACAACTTCCAATTCAAGGGTTGTAGGCAATTCAATATTTTGTTAAAATGTCAAGAATATCTGAATATTTCAAAGGGCTTCCTTTGGATAGTAGGTGAGGCATCAAAACTAGAGAAGTTCTACACCAATAACAATGAAGTCCATCCCTTTTGTTCACATCCTTATGTCCGTCTTGGAGAACTGAAAAGTTAACATGTATTTGTGATCAGTAATTGTGTCCTAAATATTCAATGACTATTTTTAAAACAGTATTAACCAGACAAGTTTCATGGTTGTGTACCTTAAGGGAAGCTCATGCTTCTTCCTAGACCTCAGTGTCATTATTTGTAAAATGCAGACAATGGATGGTCTGATTATAAAGCCTATAAAGTCATGCACACACACATACACACACACACACACAACCAACCTCTGCACCCCTAATGACAAGCCCCAGTGCCTAGTATTTAGTAGGTACTCAATAAATACTCATTCATTAAGAAAAGAACCAAAAATGCAAATCTATGTTCTCATTTCCAACTGATTAGGGGCAAAAAAAAAATATAAGATAAGAAAAAGTAAGGACAGTGGAATTAGTTTTTCATGAGGCTAACTTCATTTAACTTAGGCTTTGTCTTTTATTTTGAGAACTACTTCTAACCTAAATTGTTTGATGTTAAAATGCCCTTATCTTTTGTGAAATGAAAGCAATTGTTTTTAAGTAGTTTCTTTTTACTTAATTTTCTTTTTTGGCAAAATCGAAAAGTCAGCACACTATGCTGGTCTCCAATTCTTCTAATTGTTTTAACTTTTAATCATCTTTGAAACCAGAAGTGTGGTATACCAAAGGCAAGATGGTACCTAAAGCTCCCTCCACCTCCAAAATGTGATGAGATAGACTTTTCTGGCTGGGTGGTTTGAACTGGATAACTCCCTCCATGGTGTGGTTCAGCACCGGGGACAGATCTATGGGGGGTGGGAGCCCATGTCCTTTTGTGGCCAAAGATTTGGATCTACATAAGTAAAAAACAGGCAGTCATGGTGGTTCACACCTGTAATCCCAACACTTTGGGAGGCCAATGCAAGAGGATTGCTTGAGTCCAGGAGCTCGAGCTCAGTCTGGGCAACATAGCAAGACCCTGTCTCTACAAAAAAAAAAAAAAATCAAAAAAAATTAGCTGACATGATTGCACATGCCTGTGGCCCCAGCTACTTGAGAGGTTGAGGTGGGCAGATCACGTGAACCCAGGAGGGTAACACTGCAGTGAGCTGTGATCTCACCACTGCACTCCAGCCTAGGCGGCAGAGCAAGACCCTGTCACCAGATAAATAAGTAAGTAAAAAACAGCTATGCTTTGAGATTGGCAGTCTTGGTATGAGCACACAACTCCAGACCTAATACCTAAAGTAATGAGTTTAAGTCTCCATTTAATGAAATATTCAGATTATGATTATACTTAGTTTCATTAACTGCATTCTCAGACTAATGTAACAGGATTTCCTTTTCACCTTGTAATTAACTTTATTGAGAATGCTTATTGGGATTTTTCTTTTTGGCAGTTTCCTAAAACCTTATTATAAATTATTTTAATATATGTATTACGATATTAGTAATGTTACTTAATTTTATATTGGCTGTTATTATTAAAAGAAGAAAAAATTCAACACTAATCTATTAAAGGAACAGCAGGCTGACTGAAAAAAAATCTGTATTCAGCTCCTAACAGCTGATCCTGAAATTTCGGTCCTCCCATGGCCGACCTGGCATTCTTATTTTCCAACCAAAAGCAGTGTGGTCCTTGTAGAACAAAATCCTCTTCTCCCTGTATGCAATTTGTACAAAATTAATCAGACCTGCAAGAAAGATCTATAGTGTAAGACAAATAGTCCTCCCCTCAGTCAGCGGTGGGCAAAGTCAGTCCATGAAAATGTTCTGCTTTTCTTCACTCTGATTCGTAGCAAGTTGATGGGAAGTATTTTTCTTTCAGAGCAAAATATCTGTTTCTCAGGAAAGGCCATCCTAGTATCTCTTCCCTCCCTTCTAGCCCCAATGTTACCAGGCACTATTTATGTTACTAGGCAGATGTTTTGTGGAGGCCTCCTTCTGGCTCCATGGCACCCTGAACTTACTCCCACCATGCTACTTTGCAATTACGTGATTACTTTTCCATTTCTCCCACTGTAACATAAGCTCCAAGAGGATATGTCCTATTTATGTCTAATTCATCCTTGTACCTCCAATTCCTGGCACATTGACTGGCACATAGCAGTATTTTAATAAATATCAGCGGAATGTTGATTGAATAGAAATATTAATTATAGGAAAGCAAACAATTAGCTAAAATCTGAGTCCTCCAGGACAGAAATGGTGACTTTATCTCGGTTGGTCCATTTTCAAAGGTGAATGTAGTCTAATACTGCAATTCTCAGCAGGGATCAATCAGTAAGGAAAACAAATAGAAAAAGAGGCATAATCTGGTATATCGCCCAGTATAGGTCCTTTAGAAAGGCATGAGAAAGGTCATAACTAGAGTATAAGGTTTAAAGCCAGGTAGACATAGTTCATGTCTGTGGTTTGAATTACTCAGCAAATATCTCTGTGACCTTGGGCAGGTTACTTAAACTCTCTGAGTCACAGTTTCTTCATCTACAATATGTGAGTGCAATACACATTTCAATTATTTTATGAAGATGTTGTGAGAAGCAAAATGCAGTCCAGGCACGGTGGCTCACGCCTGTAATCCCAGCACTTTGGGAGGCCGAGGCAGGTGGATCATCTGAGGTCAGGAGTTCAAGACCAGCCTGGCCAACATAGCGAGACCCCATCTCTACTAAAAAGAATAATAATAATAATACCAAAAAGAGCATGCATGTGATAAGTACAGAAAAAAAGCAATTGTTTTATTTATTACTCCTTTCAATCCACACTAAGTATCAATGCTATAGTAGGCATTTCCTATCACTTAATCCAGATATTCCAATAGAAATGCTCTATGAAAAGAAACGTGTCCAAGGATAAGCTTTCCCTGGTATGGAAGGAACAGAACTTGGCATCTTTTAAACTAAACCAGACACTGTGTTGAGCACTTAGGCTTTCTTTACAAATAGTCCTACAGCTGGTTGGAAGCACTTGGGAAAGGCAATGCAAATCTAATTAGGCTATGCCATGTGGCCAGCATTAGTAGCAATTTTTGAAAAGAGCCCAGGAGACAACTTACAGAAAGTGATTTTTTTCCCTTTAAGGGTTGTCTTTCTCTGTTGCTTGCACACACACACACACACACACACACATACACACACACAATCTCATTTTCTGGGTGCAAATATAAGACATGCTGGGGACCATACAGATTCTTACTGACCTGGTCTGCCAGTAAGACAAAATAATCAGTAATTCCTAACAGAACAAAAGCTCATGTGTTTTAAGTGGAAAGAGAAGAAAACCGTAAGACAGGAACAAATGGCAAAGAACAGGACAGCTGCTCCATCCAAGCTATTTCCTTGGGAAGGAATTGACGGTTTCTTCATTTCTCATCTGCATTGAAACATTAGTAATAACAAACACTCCCATGCACACACACACACGGTGTTATCAACTGGCACGCAGAGTGAAAACATTTTCACTGTGAAGACAACTGCACAATGAATTCATGCCGATTTGTATCATTGTCCCCTAATGAACAGCCAACTTTCGCACCAATAGTCACTCATTCTACAAACAATATTAGTAACAACTAATATTTATGTTACCAGGCACTATGCTAAGTTCTTTACATGTGTTAATTAATCCTCACAACAACCTTGTAAGGTAGACATAGTTTTACTCCTTTTATAGAATGGGAAACTGAGGTTCAGAGAATTTGATTAATGTTTCCAAGACTGCACAGTGAACAAGTACACAGCAAATACCCAATCTTGGTTGTCTACCCCTCAAGTCTGTGTCCCCCACTTCTTCATTGCACTCCCTCAAAGCCATGTTCAATGTCAGAGATCCATCTATACCACTTAATACCATACCTCAAGAGAAAAACCAATTTCTTGATCTAAAACAATCAAACTCATTTCAGGCTACTGTGCTGAACCTACAAACATATTTTAGCTAATCTAGTGTAGAGCATCCCCTCACTCTTAGTAACTACTTAATTTACTAACCCATATGCCAAAACCCTTAGAATCATAGATCTTCAGATAGAACAACTAGTCTGCCCAACTATGAAAAAGAACTAAGTTTCAGGAATAAGAATGTTGGTGGCTGTGACTTCCTAGAAAAGAATCAAACCTTCACATGAGTTGAAATTAGTCAAGTTCTCTCAAAACTCAAAATCCTAAGAGTCCTAGAGTTTCACTGGGCTTTTAATCAAGTTTGTGCTAAAGAGTCATTCATATATTCATTCATTCAATAACTATTTATTGAATACAGCATATTGTCTAGACATTGGCAATACAGGGATGAATAAAGCAAATGCATCCCTGCCCACCCCCAAGGAAGATTCAAACAGCCGTCTACCTCGCCTTTCCCTCCTCATGCACACCTTTCTTGGAGAACCTGCTCCACTACAGTGCTAAGGAATAATCCTAAAATGCACGCCACCCCACTCAACTGATGGAAGCAGGGTCAGACCACTGATCCATTGACTGAAGCCAGACCACTGACTGGCTGGAAACCACTCATATTCTCTCTCTCTCTGGATAATTTGGACTAAGAAAAGATGCTTTTCTCAGTCTACCTCCTGAAGTTCTTGAGATGGTCCTGATCCCTACCCCTCCTGAGACTCAAATATTCACTGTGAGACAAAGCATGTGCAAGCTGTGGAGTCGGACAGACCTGGGTTTGAATCCTGGATCCTCTATTTATTAACTATGATGTCACTGATAACTCCTCTAATTTTTTTTTTTTGGAGATGGAGTCTTGCTCTGTTGCCCAGGCTGGGGTGCAGTGACGTGATCTCGGCTCACTGCAAGCTCCGCCTCCCAGATTCATGCCATTCTCCTGCCTCAGCCTCCCAAGTAGCTGGAACTACAGGCGCCCACCACCACGCCCAGCTAATTTTCCTCTATTTTTTAATATGTTATTATATATATTTTCAAATAGGCACAAACATGGAATAGAATAATGAACTCCCATGTATTTGGTTAACCAGCTACAATAAATCTCAATATTTTTCCGACTGTTTCATTACCGTCTCCCAAAATTTCTTCTTCTTTTTTTTTGAGACAGAGTTTTGCTCTGTCATGCAGGCTGGAGTGCAGTGGCATGATCTCAGCTCACTGCAGCCTCTGCCTCCCAGGTTCAAGTGATTCTCATGCCTCAGCCTCTCAAGTAGCTGGGATTACAGGCATGCACCACCACACCAAGCTAATTTTTGTGTTTTTGTAGGGACACGGTTTCGCCACATTGGCCAGACTGGTCTCAAACTCATGGCCTCAAGGGATCTGCTGCTTTGGCCTCCCAAAGTGCTGGGATTACACGTGTGAGCCACTGCACCTGGCCCCATCTCCCACAATTTTATATGGAGTATGTTTGAAGCAAACCTCAGTCATCATGGTAGATTAGTTCTTTAATTTCCACCAATCTCAATTTTCTCATTCATCAAATGAGAGTATCTTCCATGGGCTTTTTTATTCATTGGACAGAAATGTATAGAGCTACTCGGAAGGCTGAGGCAGCAGGATCACCTGCGGTCAGGAGCTCAAGACCAGCCTGGGCAACTTGGTGAGACCCATTTCTACAAAAATAAAAAATAAAATGTATAGAGCTGCTGCCATGAGTCAGCCCAGTTCCTGGTGGGGCAGGGGCGGTACAGTTGTGACAATAGAAAGCATTTTCTCCCCTGCAGCTTACATTGTAGTAGAAGAGGCATAAATAAAATAATGAGTGAGACAACTTCCAAGAGAACAAAATGCTATAAAGAAAATGGGGGCCAGGTGTGGTGGCTCACACCTGTAATCCCAGCACTTTGGGAGGCTAAGGCACGTGGATCACCTGAGGTCAGGAGTTCAAGACCAGCCTGGCCAACATGGTGACATTCCATCTCTATTAAAAATACAAAAATCAACCGGGTGTGGTGGCATCTGCCTGTAATCCCAGCTACTCAGGAGGCTGAGGCAGGAGAATCGCTTGAATCTGGGAGGCAGGGGTCGCAATGAGCCAAGATCGTGCCCCTGCACTCCAACCTGGGTAACAGAGCGAGACTCCATCTCAAAAAGAAAAGAAAAGGTTGGGGAAATGGGAAATAATGGATGACTTGAGGGGCAGATGTAGACAGTGAAGTCCTCTCTAATGAGATAGCCACTGGGGTATGAGGTGAAAGAGGAAAGATCAGATGCACAGAGGGCTGGAGCAGTGTGCTGTAGGCATGAAGCACAACAGGTGCAAAGCCCCTGGGGCAGAATAGAGCCTGGCTCTTTGAGGGTTGATTGAGAACTAAATGAGCTAATATATTCAAACCATGTAGTAACTTGCTCAATAAATGTTAGTTGTTAGTAAGGCTGTAAATTGGATGTATATTTTGGAAACAGCTCTCTTTCCTAAAATGCCAATGGATATTTCCATTTACTTAGCATATCTTTCAATAGTTTCTACTCCCAGAGGAAGACCCACTCACACTGCAAACACCTGTATCACAAGAAAAGGCAATAGAATGTAGTGGTTATAATCACAGACCTTGGGGCCCTGACTGGCTCAGTTCAAATCCCAGTGTCACCACTAAGTAGCTATACAAACTTTAGACAAGCCACCTAACCACTCTGAGCCTCAGTTTCCCCATCCTTATGATGGCAAAAACAATAGTATCAGCCTAATAAGGTTTTGAGGAATCCATGTTTTGGAGTTTTATAATGTTATCTGTGTAAGTCACTGCTGATATTACACTATCTTACATATTTTTTACTGTTATATATGCCTCGATCTATACTTATCATTTTGTCTGCCTTGGCTAGGAAATTCCCTCAAAATTTTTAATTTTTTTTAATAGAGACAGAGTTTCATTCTGTCACCTAGGCTAGAGTGCAGTGGTGTGATCATAGCTCACTGCAGCCTGGACCTCCTGGGTTCAGTCTCCCACCTCAGCCTCCCAACTAGCTGTCACTACTGGTGTGAACTACCATGCCCAATTACTTTTCAAATTATTTTTACTTTTTTTAGAGACAGGGTCTCATCTTATTGCCCAGGCTGGTCTCGAACTCCTGACCTCAAACGATCCTCCCGCCTTTGCCTCCTAAAGCACTGAGACTACAGGTCTGAGCCATGCTCAATCTCCCAAATATGTTAAAATACTTGGGAATATTTTCAAAAGTTAAGTGTAGGACATCCCAGGTGCCTCGGTAAATATGGACTCATAAATGGTCCTAGATATGAGCTATACAGCGTCCTCAGAAACTAAGCCGCAGGTCTGCTTTGGGATTCCTTGTAAGTCCGTTTGGGAACTGTCCTAGGAGAGTCAGGGTGTGACCGGCTGGAATAGCATCCTGCTCTTTCTGATGGATTTTATGTTCTAAAACATCAAGTCATCATTTCTCCTTACTTGCTCAGGTTATGCTGCAAACTAAATCACGTAACATCATGATTTATGTTATCGCATAACCCGGTTTCAAAGAGTGGTTGTAAGGGTATATGGAATATGAAAGTCTTTGTCCTATGAACATATACAAGAGCACAGTCAGACCAACAACTGGTTCCATTCCAACACTGACCCAAAGAGAGTAATTTTATGTAGTTGTTTTTATAGACACTAGGAAACACGTTTTACACTGTGGCAGTAAAGTCTTTGTAATCGCTTCTGGCTTGTTTAGTGTTGTTTCCTGTCTTTACCACATCATTATGCAATACTGCACAACCAAAATTCTATGATCAAAGTGTGCTCTATTAAAGACAACGTGGTATCCTGGATGGGACTCTAGAACAGAAAAGGAATATTAGTGAAGAAACTAGCAAAATCCAAACATGTCTACAGTTTAGCTAAAAGGAAAGTACTCACGTTGATTTCTTAGTTTTGACAAAGGTACCTTGGTGATGTCAAATGTTGATATTGGGGAGAGTGGGTGAGGAGTATACAGAACTCTGTGTACTATCTTTTGTTGTTGTTGTTGTTTTATGTTTGCTGGTACATAGTAGGTGTATATATTTGTAGGGTACATGAGATGTTTCCATACAGGCATGCAATGTGAAATAAGCACATCATGGAGAATGGGGCATCCATCCCCTCAAGCATCTATCCTTTCAGTTACAAACAATCCAATGACACTCTTTAAGTTATTTTAAAACTTACAGTTAAGTAAGTTACTATTGACTATAGTCACCCTGTTGTGCTATCAAACAGTAGGTCTTATTCATTTTTCTGGGTACTATCTTTGCAACCTTTCTGCTGTAAATATTTTTAAAAGTACTCAGAAACAAAAACTGTATTTCTTTTATATATATATATACTTTAAGTTCTAGGGTACATGTGCACAACGTGCAGGTTTGTTACATATGTATACATGTGCCATGTTGGTGTGCTGCACCCATTAACTGTTCATTTACATTAGGTATATCTCCTGATGCTATCCCTCCCCCCTCCCCGTACCCACGACTTGAAACAAAAACTGTATTTCAAGAAGTGTGCTGTGAACACAAATGAGTGAGAAACGTTGATCCAGGCTGTAGCCACAGCCCCTCACTCACGTCTTCCATCCTTAAGAAGACCAAAGGGAACCTACATGCAGCCTGAACCCCGAAAGGGGGAGAGGGGTGTCACTGGCAGTCAGGGAAGTCGGGGTGCAGGAGGTAGGGTATGTTCATAGCACTTAAGGACAAAATGTGCCTTCAAAAACAAACGATAATTATACAGAAGCTGAGGAGCATTTGCAGAAAATCACCATCTCACAGGAAACTACATCCTGTTAATCAAAGAGGTTGAGGCCCTTTTGATTATCAGACTAAATATTTTTAGGCAATATCACTGAATGCCTGGAAAGAACATGAACAGCATCCGCTGAAGAAAAATCCGTCTTTAGATAAAAAGGCAAGTCCAATATATCACAGGAAAAATCAACCCCAGAAAATTAATGTAGAAACGTTGACAAAAATGTTCTCTTTCCTCCCAGTTCACCTTCACCCAAGTCTCTCTCCATGGCCCTCTTCCCAAATATCCAGATCTCTACACTGGCTATTATCTTACCATTTGACTAAAACTTAAGAGAAAGAATAGAAAGAGACCTAAGGTTAATATTAAGATAAGAAGAGAGAAATAGATGGAGATTAGTATTCTCTTAAAGCAATGTTGAGTGGGTGATTGAATAGACATGAAAATGACATTTAACTTGAGACTAGTGAATCCTCAGTCAAATCTAACAACTTGGATGTTCAGTGAAGAACAAACTGAAAATAGCATGACGTGCCCTTCTTGGTGTTTCACAAATAGATGCATCATTCTTTCCAATTTGTGTAATGGTAAATCCTTGTACATCTCATAATGTCCAGGGAAGGGTTTTATATTAAATGGGTGCCTTCTGGTTCTGGCACAAAGGGCTGGTCTAATTTTCCATTTATCAGACTGGATACCTTCCCTTCTACTTTGCTATCAATCAAAATGTTCTCTGATGACTGCTTGGCTTCTTAAACCCTTAACTGATTAATATCAGTTATCTCATCCTATTCTCTCAATGCACTCCTCAAATCATCTGTTCATCTGAACATACAAATGTTTTTCTGTATCTATAATATGTAAGTAGCTCCTGTAAATCAATAAAAAGATAAACAAGGAAATCTGTTATTACTGTCGGCTGCTGAATTAATGTGTTACATATATTAAGCTTATTAATATAAACCGGTGAAAAGGTCACATTCTTCTTATTTTTGTTATTCAGATATTCCCAACAATGCTAGGAAAGAAGAATTGGATCAACCTGGAAGGATTATATAAAATTAATATCTGGGCAATTCTTGTAAGAATGTAGTGTTTGTAGAATGACTTCTAGAATTCTCCCCTGTAGCTTCCCAGGAATTCTCTAGTCTAGTGCTACCCAGTACACTATTATGAGACACTTTCTCCCTTGATGTAAAAGATCACTGATTACTTAGGCACAAATATAGACCAAACGCAAGAATCATAAATAAACCAAAGCAGCCTGGCGCAAGAGACTTCTGTCCCTGGACACCCATCTCTGAGCAGTAATCCATTTTCAGTACAACTTTCAATGAAAACGCCTTATGTAAGCAACATTCATTAAGGTTTCCCGCCCACCTGATGGAATGATGAAACTTAGGTGACTTCAATGAGTTTGTTATTTCATTTGAGTGCTGATTCAAAAATCATCCTAGAGATTGGAACTTCAAGGGAAAATCCTGTTAGCAATCACCTTTTACAGCCAAGGACTTGACACCCTTTCAATTTCTCTGCTCTGTGATCATGTTCATTTGTATACGATGTCTGGGACTGAAGCACACGACTAGGTTCAACTTATTTCCCAGTGCGAACTGAAAGAAAATGTGCTCATTTCCATTAAAGCCAGAATCGGACACAGCAACTGCCGTGTCAGAATTGATGCCATTTACCATATCTTCGGGGGGCTATGGGATTTGGTCATAAAACTTCCATTTGCTGGTGTATTTTGTTCTAAAATGTTGCTATTTCTCATACCCTTTTGTGATCCAGTTCACTAATAATGTTAAATTATTTAATATATTTAAACCTAACACATCCTATTTGGTGGCCTATTTTTCAAACCATGCAAACATTGACTTTACTAACACACTGCAACAATTTCCAAACCATGAAAAATCATCACTAGGCAGAATCAGAGAATTCACATTGCCTAGGTCAAATTCCACAGGCTTCTTCCTCTACCCACTGAGCATAAGAATTTGCAACCAAACAGTCCAAAACTATGATTCAGCAAATAAAACACCCAGGCAACTCCTAGTGGAGCCTCAGCAAAGACGACCCAGTCTGTAAAAATGTGCATCATTAGAATTGTTTCTGTTTTCAGGAACCTCCAGCCACAACTAAATGCATTCTTTAAATTGTCTGGCTTTTGTTATTTTAAACCAAACCCTCCACATTACTTTAATGTGGGGGTTACTTGAAAACATAATTACTGGGGTAACCACAGTATTACATTATTGTCAAAAACTAAACAATCTTATTTTTTCTCCAGTCTCATAGGTCAGAGCATCAGCTCCACGATGTATATTGTATATACAGACCTTTGAAAGGAAAGAAAATCTTTGGGAGTATACCAAGATCCCCAGTCATGCTCTGTGAAAAATACCTATTGAAACACAATAGCAAACACAGTTTTTTTTTTCCCCTGGCAGAACAATGGAAACGAATTTGCTGCTGTTGAATCATACAGAGGAACCTCAAATCAACAGGACCGAAATTCAATAACCACTCCCTGCACCCCCTACACACGGAATATTCTGTGGATTATTTTTATGAAACTCTAGCGTTACAAAGAATAGACATAATTCTTCTGAACTAGTATTTCATAATTGAAAACAGCATGAAACCTAGAAGTCACAACTGGTCTACCTCAGGAGGCAGACGTATAAGCTAGCAGACCATTGGCTAACAGATTGACTAGCTAAAATGAACTAACCCAATAATCCATTGGTTAACTAAGTATCCAACCATGATGAAACAACCAAGAGGGCCACTAATCTAGTTAATAAATCAATCAAGATGAACCAGTCGAGCAGTCTGCTAGCTAAAAGTATCAATCATGTGAAACCAACCAAGTGGATCGCCATTTAACAAAGAAAGCAACCAACGGACATCGGATGATGCTAAATTCAGCTTCATCCAAAAGACATGAAAGAAAGCTTCTAACTTGCCCACAAAGAGCTCTTAACTAACCCAAGCACACTCCACGAAATCTGGCAATGTGACCACTGCTCAGGTCACCCCATGGGACTGGAAATGGTTCATGCAGCTGTACTTACGAAGATTATTTATGGGGGTTCTCGTGTCCATGTTCTCATAATGCTGGACGTGGACAACGATGTTTAGGTCTCTCTCCATGTGATCAGTGTTGCAGTGGCCCTGTGGTCTCATGACATCCGCAAGGGCCCTGAAAGAAGAAAGAATTTAAATCTGTTCATTCAAAACACAATGACTGGCAGCTGCTATGCGCCGAGTACTGCAGTCGCGAACAAATGGCAAGGCGGATTACTCCATGGAGCCACCATTCTAGTTAGGGGTGGAGTAGAGAAAAACGTAAGTAAATAAAATCACTGTAATTAGAGGTTACATAGGGACTTTACGCAGGCTACTGCATATGCTTCTCACAGCAGCCATGTAATAACAGGACTATCTACCCCACGGAGTTTTTAAGAGGATTAAATGATGAATACATATAATGTGTCTGCACTCCATAGATTTAGTTCTCTCTTTATATCTAACACTAGATACAAACTCTTCATGTACAGCAATGGCCCAGTATTAGTAACAGTAGATAACATTTATTGAGTATTTGCCATAAGCCAGGCACCACGCTAATCGCATTACGTCTTAACTAAACAAAACAGCACAAAACACATTATGAGGATTATTACTCCTTGCAGATAAGTAAACAAAGGCTCAGAGAGGTGAATCGACCTGCTCAAGGTCACAGAGCCAGTAAGTTGTGGCACAAGAATTTGAGCCTGAGTATTTTTGGAGTGTGCAGGGGGATGGAGACACAATTCAACCTGTGACAGTGACCTTCATGATTAGATGTAAACTTAGCAAAAAAAAAAAAAAAAAAACACACACACACACACAAAAAAAAAACTCAGTGTTCATACGTAGAACAGACCAGAGAGCTGTCAAACAGATACCACACCCAAGATCAGACCTACCAATGCATTTTTTCTCTTTACACTCCATCATGTGTTTATTTAGATCATATGAATATCCTTGAAAGATATATATTTTTGTAGGTATTGTTGTATATGTGTGTGTCTTTTACATAAACAGTGTTTTTACCCTAAACCTCATTCCGTTTCTTCCTTTGTTCACACGTGAGTGTTAGCCATATTGCTGAATGTGAAACCCTTCCATCCCTTGCAGCCGCTGCATAGTATTCCGTCATAAGCAATCCCCACATTTCACTTACCTTCAGGAATGAGCCTTCATATGCAATAATTAGTATGGTGGAGGAACTGGCCCATCAGAAACCCATCAGAATGGATGGCAGCTACAAACAGCTGCCATCATTGCAAACCAGCAGACTATCAGCCCCATTTGTTATTTCCATAATTATGGCCATCTAGATGGTCACCAACTCCCCAGCCCCGATAAACAACACTGCAATAAACATCTTTTTCTTTCTTCAGATAGGGTCTTGCTCTGTCACCCAGGCTGGAGTGCAGTGGTGTGATCATGGCTCACAGCAGCCTCGAACTCCTCAGCCTCCTGAATAGCTGGGACCACAGGCACATGCCACCACCCCCAGCTACTTTGTTTTATTTTGTAGAGACGTGGTCTCAGGGTCTTACTATGTTGACCAGGCTGGTTTCAAACTCCTGGCCTCAAGAGATTCTCCCACCTCCACCTCTCAAAGTGTTGGGATTACAAGCACGAGCCACCGCAGCTGGCCAATAAACATCTTCATACCGGCCTCCTCTGTACCACAGAGAAGTTCTCCAGGGTGCAAACCCACAAGTAGAATTGCCGTGTTTGGGGATATACCCCCATGCCCTTAGCTGGCCAGAGCCCTCTAAGCCCACACACTGGGAGACAGAGTCGGAAGAGGAGCTGTTTGGGGGCAACCCACGCAGACCACCCATGAATTCAGCAGGCCCAGCCTGTCTGCTGGAACTTACCGTACTACAGCAGCGATTCTCAAACAACAGTCCACCTATCAACGGTGTCAGTGTCCTAGCAGTGTCGCCTGGGAACTTGTTAAGATGCAAATTTTCAGATCCATCTAGCCCTCCTGAGTCAGAAACTACAGGGGTGGAGTTCACCCAGCAACCTGCAAGAATCTGCTACACATTCAAATTTGAGACCGTGCTAAGGCCACACAGGCCCCAAGCATGGGGAACTGTCGATCACGGGGCAATGGAATGATAGGGTAAGAACTAGAGCTGGTGAGGAGACATCTCGGCTGTGAGACAGAGATTACATAGGGACTTTACGTGGACTAGTGCACATGCTTCTCACAACAGCTGCGTTGTGAGAAGCCACAACAGCAAGAGCCCCATATGAATGAGAGGAAAAGACTGAGTCTGCTAAGAGACAAGAGAATAACAACAGCTATCATTCTTTCATTGTTTCAACAAATATTTATCGTCTACTATGTGCCATGCACTATATAAGGCCCTGAAGATACAGCAGTGCCCAAGATGAACAAGGTTGCTGCCTTCCTGGAGCTTATATTCTATGGGAGAAGATTTAAAAAAAAAATAAACAAACATGTTAAGTAGATAAACTACCGGGCACGGTGGCTCACGCCTGTAATCCCAGCACTTTGGGAGGCCGAGGTGGGCAGATCACGAGGTCAGGAGTTCGAGACCAGCCCGACCAACATGGTGAAACCCCATCTCTACTAAAAATACAAAAATTAGCCGGGCGTGGTGGAGCATGCCCCTAGTCCCAGCTACTCGGGAGGCTGAGGCAGGACAATTGCTTGAACCCGGGAGGCAGGGGTTGCAGTGAGCCGAGATCGCGCCATTGCACTCCAGCCTGGGCGACAGAGCAAGACTCCATCTCAAAAAAAAAAAAAAAAAGAAAAACAAACAAAAAAGAAATAAATAAACGAGGGCTGCAAATCAAATAAATAAGAGTAATGTGATCAAGAGAGCCTGGGACACAGCAGCAATTTTCACAATAGCCAACAAGCGGAAACAACCTGAATGGCCGTCAGCTGATGAATGGACACACGAGATGTGTTACAGGAAATGGAATATTCTCCAGCCGTACAAAGAAATGAAGCACTAGTACCTGCTACAACGTAAATGAATCTTGAAAATATTATTCCCCGTGAAAGAGGCCAGATACAAAAGGCCACACATTGTATGATTCCATTGATATCCAATGTCCAGAACAGGCAAATCCATAAAGATGGAAAGTAGATTCATGGTTGCCAGGGGACACAGTGAGGGGAGAGGAAAGTGGCTGCTAATGGATATGGATTTTTTTTGTAAGGGTGATTAAAACCTTATTAGAATTAGATACTGGACTTGGAGTAAGTAGTGATGATGGTGGCACAACTTTGTAAGTATTAGATTAGTGCAAAAAGAATTGCAACTTTTGCCATTAGAAGTAATGACAAAAATGGGCTGGTTGCAGTGGTTCACACCTGTAATCCCAGCACTTTGGGAGGCCAAGACGGGTGGATCACCTGAGATCAGGATTTCAAGACCAGCCTGGCCAACATGGTGAAACCCCATCTCTACTAAAAATACAATAATTAGCTGGGCGTGGTGGTGGGCACCTGTAATCCCGGCTACTCAGGAGGCTGGGGCAGGAGAATTGCTTGAACCCAGGAGGTGGAGATTGCAGTGAGCTGAGATCACACTGCTGCACTCCAGGCTGGGCAACAAGAGTGAAACTCAGTCCCCCTCCTCCCCGCCAAAAAAAAGAAGTAATGACAAAAACCACAATTACTTTTGCACCAACCTATATATTAAAAACCATTGAATCGCACACTATACTTTTTTAAAGTACACTTTTTAAATATACCAAAAACCACTGAACTGTATACTTTTTTTTTAAGTTACAAATAGAAAGGAGGGAGAGATTCGGTGTAAATCAGGAAATGCCTTTGTGAGGGGGTGACACTGGAGATGGGCCTTGAACAGCGAGGAGTTGGACACGTGAAGATGATGGGAAGAGCATTCCAGGCTGAAAGAACAGCAAGTGC
Organism: Homo sapiens; assembly: GCF_000001405.40. NCBI lineage: Eukaryota > Metazoa > Chordata > Mammalia > Primates > Hominidae > Homo > Homo sapiens. The sequence goes on along the minus strand of NC_000016.10, from coordinate 12,912,910 downwards.
AAAGGCCCTGAGACAGAAAAGAGCTGAGATATTCGGAGAACAAGCAAGAAGGCCAATGGAACTGGAAGAGGGCCAACGAGCAGGGGCACGTGACAAGGTGTCCATCAGCATCACCTGTTTCACAGAGTGAAATACTGCCCACGTGAACTCACTAAGCAGTGCGGGGATTGGGAGGAGATGCAATCCTGAACGTCTTTGAAATCAAAGTTTGGGCTCCTTGCAACCTCCGTGCAATAAGCAGGGTCTGAAACTCAAAGGGGCTACAGGGAAAGAAAGTTTTGAGACAAAAGACAGAGGCCTTCCAAACCTAACTTGCCTTTTTCACTTGTAAACAGGCTCTTCATGCTGAGCTTCAGGGGATCGCTGAATCCTCTGAAACTGCATAGAAATTGTGTTTGTGCATGTTTCTCGAGCAAGAAGCCATCACTTTTATCGGATTTTCTAAGAAGTCCCCCACTCTCCCGCGCCCCAAAACTCCGAACTATTCAGGCTTTTGAAAGGATAACAAAGTACGTAATCAGAATGGCTACTGTGAACTTGGTCGGTTCTGCCATCCGCAGATCCCCTGGGCTTCTCTTGAGTACCAAAATTTGTGAAATTTCAGCCCCAAAGTCCAAGGACACTTTTCCCCAGGGCAGCCCTTCCTAGAGTGTGCGGCAGAAATGAAGAGTCTTTAGGGACCTTCATTTCCTGGACAAAGAGTCTTTGAAGTGGGGCTCGCTCACTCCAGGGACTGCATAAACCGATTTGGTATGGGGAAGGAAATGTCAGAACTTTTTTGTATGGTCTTACGTGTATTGATGCTGGCACCCACTCCCAGAAGGCCCATGTAAGATGGCAGGAATCAGGAACCTTGGACCAAGGAAGATGACCACCAGCAGTCCCGTCGCTGGGATGTGCTGCCTGTATGGCAATTATATGTGCCCCCAAAGGGGATGCACAGATTAAATTATTTATTAGCTTGGGGTAAAAGTAATTGTGGTTTTTGACATTGAAAGTAATGGCAAAAACTGCAATTACTCTTGCACCGACCTAATACTTTTGACTTGGCTAACCATCACAAAGCAGACATGTGGTTTAAAAATGCCCCCCTTCTTAACAAAACTACAGCCTGAAGATAGCACTGATCATGCAAGCACAAGAAAACACTAAACTGGACTCCCCTCCCTTCTCTTCAAAAGCTTCTCACAAGGGTAAAACAATTACAGTCTATTGAGATCAAAACAAAGTCAGATAAAAATAATGAAAATGCTCAGGAGGAATGGTTAAAATCCAGATTTTTTTTATTAATGATAAACTTCACCCGTCACTGTACATTATGCATTGAGATAGTAACTAATGATAGTATGAAGTCATCACAATTAGCAACAGGTTTTCAAATAATATTTATTTCACCCTCAAGCTTGGTTTGAAATTTCTGTCCTTACGTATGCTTCATAATGTACCTAATCATTGTTCGTGGGTTCATGCATATGCTTATAAATGTGCATATATTGGGGTGCATACAAAAAAACATTTTATAGACAGGAATGTGCTGAAAAAATGTAATGAATTAGACAGTAGAAAGAACCAACTATGTGCTCCAAGCCACACAAATGCCTAAGAATTTGGCGTTTGTTTGCGGCACATAGTTTGAGTGCTTCTCAGATGTTACGGTGCATCCAGATCACCTGGGGATCTTGTTAAAATGCAGATTCTGAATCAATAAGCAGGAGGTGGGGCCTGAGATCGTGCCCAAGCTCCCAGAAGATAAAAATGCTGCTGGTTCACAGGCCACACTCCGAGTGACAAGACCCTAAGCGTACTGTGATGGTTAGTGTCATGTGTCAACTTGACTGGGTCACAGGGTGCCCAGATATTTCATCAAACATTATTCTGGGTGTTTCTGTGAGGGTGCTCTTGAAATAGATTAACATTGAAATCAGTAAGCTAAGTAAAACAGGTTGCATTCTAATGGCAGTAAGACAGATTGCCCTTCTAATGTGAGTGAGCCTCAACCAATCATCTGAAAGCCTGGATAGAACAAAACACTGACCTTTGCCCCAAAAAGAGAGAATTCTCCTGCCTGTCGGCCTTCAGACTTGTACAAGTACAGAGGCTCTGGAGATTTTGGACTTCCAATTCCTTATAATGAATCTCTTTGTATATTTGTTCTGTTTCTCTAGAGAACCCTGTCTCTTGCAGTTACCTGAAGAAGAAGCTAAGCTTTTTCTTGATAGCCTTCCACCCAGTTCAGGAGAATTATGTTGAAACAAAATTGTTTGTTTAAAACAACAATTATGTTGAAACATAATTATGTTGCCATTTTTGAGGTTGAAATGACTGAATATTGAAAATTTCACAAGAGAGTACTGAAAGCTAGTACTAGAACCAGTACTTTCTTATGAAAGCTAGTACTAGAACCAGTACTTATAAAAGTGCTGGCTCAACTTTCTTGTACATTTCCTTGTGTGTTACCTGTCTCCTGATATTTGGCTGTTTGCTCTTCAAGGGCAGGGATTGCTTTTGTACTATTCATGGTTATCTCATATCTCTCAGCACAGTGTTGGGCATAAGTTAGATGTTCAGTAAATACCTATCGAATGAATGAAAGAATGAATGAATGAATTTGGAGATACTTTGTTGTGCCAGGTAAACCAGGATATCAAATGCAGAACTCTTACTTGCCAAATACTGAACTAGGCACTCAGAATCCAACTACTGAGTAGAAGAGACAATTGTGGTCCCTGTGTGTCTTACTATGAATAATAAAAGGGCCAGGTGCAGTGGCTCATGCCTGTAATCCCAGCACTTTGGGAGGCCGAGACAGGTGGATCACTTGAGGTCAAGAGTTCGAGACCAGCCTGGCCAACATGGTGAAACCCTGTCTCCAATAAAAATACAAAAATTAGCCTGGCATCATGGTGGGTGCCTGTAGTCCCAGCTACTCGGGAGGCTGAGGCAGAAGAATCGCTAAAACCCAGGAGGCAGGGGTTGTAGTGAGGCAAGATCACACCACTGCACTCCAGCCGGGGTGACAGAGTACGACTGTGTCTCGAAGGAAGGAAGGAAGGAAGGAAGGAAGGGGAAGGGAAGGAGGGAAGGAGAGGGATAATGGAAGGAGACAGATAATAAACTAGTAAACCAGTAAACTAGCAAGTTAATTTTAGACCATAATGTAAAAATGAAGCAAATAACACTGACTGGGTGATGGGCTGGAGTGTGTCAGGCTGGGGTGGGAAGCAACTAAGCCTGGTCAGGGACGGCTTCTCAGAGAAGATGACATTGGAGCTGGGACCCTGGTGATGAGGAGGGACCAGCCACACAAGGGCCAGTGCAACAGCTCCAAGATGGGAATGAGCTTAGCTTATCCAAAGAACAAGAAGAAAATGGTGCATCTCTTTTCTTTCCAATTACAATGACAAATATATGACACCAATATTTCCAAACAGAACTCAGAGTCCCGGTATCTTGCTTCAAAGCCTCCAGGTATCCCAATGTCCAATCTATGTGTTGACTTTTAAACACTTGAATAGAGTTCCTGAGCACTTCTTCTTGCACAAGAAGCATCAATTATTTTTCAAAAATGCAAGGGCAATGGGCATGAGTGAGCTTTCTAGAGTAATGATTACACAGGTATAGACATTTGTCCAAGCTCATCAAACTACACACTTACAATGTGTGCATTTTATTGTGTAAATTATACTTCAATGAAGTTGATTTTTAAAATGCAAGGACTCAGTGCCCAAAGAGAAGTCAACATACCCTGCAAAGAAAAATAAATTAAGACTTTTCTGTGGCCAACAGTAGATGCATGCACACATGGACTTCTCCAGCCTGGGAAGCTGGTCAAAGCCTTAGGATAACCACAAATGCATAGAAAGATGAGAGGCAGGAGAGAAACTGGAAGGCAAAAGGCAAGAGGAGGAGGTGCATTTATCATTATTTGTTGCTATTTCTTTCCAAGGGGTGCCAGTTCTTCTGAAGCATGTTTTAAAAACACACAGGACCCTTATCTGCCATTTGCCACTTGGATTTCCAATTCTGTTTGAAGGTGGACAAAATAATGACATGTGTTCCCTACTGGCTTCAAGTGTAGAGAGCTTCACATATGTGCTTCTGTCCCCAAGGTCATTTCTCACCAACGCCTCCACCAAGACGTCTGGGCCTGCCGGGGCCGATATAGAAAGCATTCCTAGACTTCATCTTACGGTAGCTTCTTGAACTGGCCCCGATGCATGAGCTGTTGTTTGCAGGGCATCGCGTACTTCTCTGTGATCTGAGAAGTCTGGAATTCCTGCAGGTTTGCACTCAAACGCAGTGCAGCCTAGCGGCCAAGGATCCGTGCACTCAGACTGTCCAGGTTTGAAGTCCGACACTCCACTCTCCAGGGGCAGGTTCGTCCTCTTGGAAAGAAATCTGTGCCTCCATAAACAGCAGATTGTCATAGAGCCTACCTCATGGGGGAAGGGTATGAAATTAAACGAGAATTTACACATAAGCTTATGGCAAAATTGCAAAACCAACAAGGATTTTTCAACACCACTTAGGCCAACACTTTGCAATGTATTTAACGTAGTCACATATAGACCCTCCCTCCTATTCTGCACCTGCCAGCCCCTCCCACTCAGATTCAAATGCAAGTCCAGAGAGGTTAGGAGACTTGGTCAATGTCACACAGTTAAATAAATATAGCAGAGCAAGGGTTAGTAACCGAGATCCAGATGACAACATAATTCTCTTCAGTAGACAAGAGGTAAAAAATGTCAATAATAAGGATGATGATAAAAGGGTAATAGTTGTGACAGGTCCTGAGCTCATTGTTTTCCAAGCCCTGTCTCAGTGAATCCTCCACCTGCAGACAACAGCCTGAGACTCAGAGAGGTGAAGCAACCTTCCCAAGGTCACACAGCTATTAAGTGGCTGAGCTGAGATTGAATCTCAGGCCATCTGACTGGAGTCTGCGCTATGCAGAGCAACTTGACTGACTCTCTAGAGGCTGCAGTTAACATAACAGAGTGAATTGGGTGGAGGTGGTGACTGAGATGAACCCAAGAGCTTCCTGAAGGGGGCAGTCATCACTTAGTGGCAACCAATAGCTGCTGCGTGAAAATGCAGATCCAATGTCACCAGACCCACTGAGTTCTCATGAGAAATCAGGAATCTGGATTCCTGCGTGAAATCTCCCAGTTTGTAAATGTTGGCAACTGAGTCTCAGCTGGTTTTAAAACACCACGCATAATAGAGACTAAAGAGATTTCACAGCCAAATACAATGAGCTGGGTCCCGATGTGCAAAACCAAGCTCTGAAAGACCTGTTTTTGTGCGAGTGAGAAATTTTTAAATGACTGGATGTCTGATGATATTACGGGATTTTTGCTCTTTTTCCTGGGTGTGATAATGGAATTGTGCTGTGTAGGAAAATGTCCTTGCTCTCAGGAAAGCCCCCTGCTGAGATATTAGGGACTAAGTGTCATGTCTGCAACTTATTTTCACATGTTTCAGCCAAGAAAGAAAGAAGAAAGGGAGGGAGGGGAAGAGGGAAGGAAGAAAATGAGGAAGGGAAGAAGATGAGAAGAGGGGAGGGGAAGGAAGGAAAGAGAAGGGAGAAAAGGGAAGGGAGGAAGGAAAAAAGAAGCAAAGAAGGGAGGAAGGGAAGAAGACAGAAGGAAGAAGGGTAGGAAGGGAAGAGAGGAAAGAAAGGAGGAAGGAAGCAAGGAAGGGAGGGAGGGAGGGACGGAGGGAGGGAAGGGTGGAAGGGGGATGGAGGGAAGGAGGGAGGGAGGGAGGGAAAGGAAGAAAAGAAGAAAGGAAGAGAGGAAGGAAGGAAATAAGGAAGGAAGGAAAAAACAAAGGAGGAAGGGAGGGAGGGAAGGAGGGAAGGGGGAAGGGGGATGGAGGGAAGGAGAAGGGAAAGAAAAAAATATGGAAAGAGTGTGTGAGCAATAAAGCAACTATGACAAAATACTAATAATTGTTCAATCTAAGTTAGTGGTTCTCAACTGGGGCCAGTTTTGCCCTTTGCCCTTAGATGACATTTTTCACTGTCAAAACTGGGGTGTGGAGTGTGTGCTACCAGCATCAGTGGGCAGAGACCAGAGACGCCGCCAAATATCTTGCCATGCACAGGACAGCCCCGTACAACGCAGGATTCTCCAGTCAATAGTGCCAAGGTTGAGAAATCCTCATCTAGATAAAGGATATAGTGAAGTTATGTTATGATTTTTCAAGGTTTTTTTGTATGTTTAAAACTTCTCACAACACAAAATTGAGGAAAACTTAAAAATAAAAACACCTAAGTAGAAATACCTTGCAGATCAAGCAAAGCATGACTACATGGTTTGGTATCCATAGCTGGCTGCCATGTGCAGTCATTTATTCTAATAAATAGTGACTGACTGTGGCTGCTCTTGCAGCTGCTCAATGGGCATTTGTTCGGTTCTTACGAGATCCCATGCGAGCCTCCCCCCACCGCTTCCTGGAATTGCTGTCTTTCTCCTTTTCTCAGCCCTAATTAGCCCAGAAGCAAGCAGGCCACAGGCCCAGGACTCTGAACCTGCAAACTGGTATCTTGGAGGCCTCTGCAGCAAAACCCAAGTTTACTGGTCACTAGGGGCAAAGTTTATAATGGGGGTGCGACAACATACTTTATGTCTTTCAAGAGAATATGCTTTCAGTCTGGATGAGAACAAACCCCCATTCAGGGTCCCTTGCAGCTCCAGACAAAAATTAAGAGGCTGTGACTGGCAGGTTAATTTCACCTGGAAGCTGCCTGTGACTGGCAGGTTAATTTCACCTGGAAGCTGCTTTGTGTCATAGCAGCCTCTCTGATGCCAAGCTTGGCAAGTTGACACCCACTGGAGCAACCCTTGGCACAATCCGGCAAAGGCTACTGGGTCAGTTGCCATAGCTGGGACTCCAAGTGATTAACTGCGTAAGCAGCCCAGGATGCATTTGGCAGGTACCTGGGGTAGCCCCAGCACCACAGAAAAGTTACATACGTTGAGAAACAAGCAACAGAATACAAATACGGTCAGGCACAGTGGCTCATGCCTGTAATTCCAGCACTTTGGGAGGCAGAGGTGAAAGGATCGCATGAGGTCAGGAGTTCGAGACCAGCCTGGCCAACCCCAGGCCAGGTGGAACCCTGTCTCTACTAAAAATTCAAAAAAATTAGCCAGGTGTGGTGGTGCATGCCTGTAGTCCCAGCCAGTCAGGAGGCTGAGGCAGGAGAATCACTTGAACCTGGGAGGCGGAGGTTGCAGTGAGCGGAGATCCTGCCACTGCACTCCAGCCTGGGTGACAGAGCGAGACTCTGCCTCAAAAAAAAAAAAAATGCAAATAAAATAAGAGATTCACAGTGGCTCCTCTCCTTTCTCCTGGATTAATTTATCCCTCCATCAGCCCTGTGAAATATCCCCAAACCCAAGACCAATGTTTCCCCAAGTGTGGACCACTTTATCTCAAAGCCATTAGGGGAGTGGGGGTTGTTAAATGAAGATTTCTCGGGCCCACCCAGAACCTATTGATTCACAATCTCTGTGGATAGAACTCAAGAATCTGCATTTTAGGACACTGCCCCAGATCCTGATGTTTATTCAATCTGAAAACATCTGTCCCAGACACAATTAAAACCAGGAGACTGGTAATGCATAATTTCCTAACTGTGTGATCTTGGACACAGCACCTCACCTGAGCCATGATTTTCTTGCATGTATGTGAATATTAAAATAGTACCTGTCTCATAAGATAGTTGTGAGAACTAAATGAGAGAGTGTTTACTTGCACACACACACACACCCCAGTACAGTGCCTGGCTCCCTGCACAGTGCTCAGCAGGCATTAGTTCCTTTTCCTTAACAGCGATTGGCTGCACATTAGCATCACCTGGAGAGCTTTTCAAGGTGCAGATGCAATCGGGCACAGTGGCTCATGCCTGTAGTCCTAGCACTTTGGGAGGCTGAGGTGGGAGGATCACTGGAGGTCAGGAGTTCAAAACCTGCCTGGCCAACATGGTGAAAACCCGTCTCTACTAAAAATACAAAAAATAAATAAATAATAATACAGATGCTCAGGTCCCACCCTAGAGATTTGGATCTAAGTAGCCTAGGGTGGGACCCCTGGTGACAGGATTTTTTTTATAAAACATTCTAGGTAATACTACACAGCAGTTACAGTTGAAAATCATACCTTAGAAGCTGCCAGTAAAAATCAACAACTCTCTTTTCGGGAGTATGCACTTCCACTCCATTCTGGAATTCTCAAAAATGTATACTGGGAGGACCTGTGTTGAGGCTCTGGTACCCTAGGACTGGGTCCCCTAGATTCTGCCACCAGGCCGACCCTCCCTATACCTGCAGAAGAAAGTAGCTGCAACCCGCTCAGCTGTGTTCATTTTTCCCCCAGCAGAGCTGCACGGGGGCAGGACCAGGAAGTTGGGCCCTTGGGTAACCGGTAGAGAGCTGTCACCAGAACGCCCAGATCAAAGAGGGCTGATCTAGCATCACTTTCTCCCACAGATGCCCAAAGGTTAGCTCCTCTCCCCACCTGCTCACCTCCCGTCAGGCCAACCATCAAGGAGGACTCTTTTAAGAGCTGGTTCGCGAGGGCAGGGCTTGATGGAGATTTCAGCAGTAGTTAACCAAATCTGCAAGGCAGCCTACCTGTCTCGGAGTCAATCTTTCCCTACCAAGGCGACACCCGCTGCCTCAGTCCTGAGACCACTTCTCCCCTCATCTTAACACAGACCCGGGGAATTAACAGGGACTGGCCTGGCCGGTGGGGCTGGGGACAGGCCACCCTGTGGTTGCGGAAGGTGGGCGGGGCCAGAGCTTTACTCCTTTAGTAGGTCAGGGTTTCTTTGAAGCCCCTCGGAGCTTACTTCTGTGCAGCAAGACCCCACCATCCACCCACAGCTCCCTGCTGACCCAAACCGAGAACTTCCTCACCTCTTCCCCCAAAATCTCTTCTCTCTGGGGGAAAAAAAAAAATCTCATCGGATACTCTGCGTATAAATAGAAAATAATTACTAGTGAGGTGGTGATGTTCCTTTGCCTATTTTTGGTGGGTCTCTTTGTTCAGATTTTTTAGGCATCACACGGAGCGCGTGCACACACGCGCGCACACACACAGGCCCCCGGCAGAGGGGGCGCGGAAGAAGGGGTGGGGAGAGGGTAGAGAAAAATACAGCGACTTCGTTGCCCAGACTCTGAAAGGGGACAGTTAAAGCTTATGCCCCAACCATCCAGCTGTTCGCAGGCCGCTAGTCACTCCTTCCACCCCGCCCGCCCGGACCTCACGCCAACCCCCAGCCTCTCCCGCGGCCGGGGGCTTAGTGCTCCTAGTGGCTGCGTCCTCCGCCTCCAAAGTTACGGAGTTTGCGAATCGATTTAGACACTTAAAATAAAAAAAATTTAAAAAAAGCAAAAGGCAAATAGCTCCATTAATCCCCCAAAGCCTTCTCCCATCTGCTGGAACTAGCTGGTGCTGGGGCTTGCATAATGAACAAGGCAAACCCGAAAGTTGACGAAATCAGGGTGCTTGGAAGTGAGGGCGCGCGAGGAGGGGGCTCGGGCCCCCGGAGTCCACGCCAGCCAGGGCAAGGGGCTCAATCTGCAGCGATGGCCACGGCCCCGGGCAGGGAGAAGTGGTGGCCAGAGAAAGGGATGAGGTGGGTAAAGGGGCGGGGGCAGCTGAGGTCCCAAATCCAGGGACGGCGAAGCTCTGGGAAAGCGAGGCGGCCGCTCCAAGCAAGGCTTTTGTTCTCGCCCTCCCCTCACTCCACCTCCCTCGTCTCCTTTTCGCGAGTCGTACGAGTTGCAGGCGGCACTCACTCTGACCCTCCCTCCTTCACACACGCGCGCTCGGGCTCACACACGCCCCCCTCCCCTTTCGGGCTCGCCTGCCCCTGTTTACCAAAAAGCTAGCACCTGGAATCCGAGGGGTGCCATGGACCCTCTCCCCAAACCCGAAGATTTCGGGGCCACGGGCTCCCAGGCTACGTGTCTCAAGTCCGCCTCAGTCACCAGCGGGAGGAGGCGGCCAGAGGGTGAGGGAGCAGAGTCACACACACACACACACACGCTCACACACACACGAACACGCTCAGACCCACACCTGTGCTGAGCCCAGCGCCCCTTCTCCGTGTTCCAAGCCGAAGTTGGCTTCCCGGTGACATCCCCCAGCGGAGAGGCTGGGATGCGGGGAGCGGGGACCGTGGGGAGCGCCATTGCCTGGGGGAAGGTGGGGAGGAGAGAGCAGGGAGAGCGAAGCCCCGAGGGGAGGGCGAAGGGGAGGCAGCCCACCTGGACATGTGCTCCCTTTGGGGCCGGTGCGCTTTCTCCAGCCCCAGCTTGGTGAAGATGCCCACGAGCACCATGACGGCCACCACCCCGCAGATGATGTAGACGATCAGGTTGGTCTTGTCCTTGGTGGGGTCGTGCAAGGGGTCGTCCTTGCGGGCGGGGGGCTTGCCGGTGTTGAGCCAGAGCGGCGTGTCGTAGTTGGTGCAGGTGCTTTGGTTCAGTCGCCGCTTCTTAAACGTGCAGCAGAACCGGAAGCCACAAGTCCCGCAGCAGAAGATGAAGTCGCCCGAGCTGCAGTTGAACGGCGGGTCCCACTGGCCCATGACATCGAAGTAGCCCCGGCAGAAGTCCGGCGTGGGCGCCCGGGTCGGGGGCGCGTCCGATGCCTCAGCGCCCTCGCTGGCCTCTCCGGAGGCGGCCCCGGAGCGGTTGCCCCCCGCCAGCAGCAACACGCCGCCCAGTTGCGCCAGCTGCCCGTGTCCCGCTCGCTCCTGCGCCCGGCACACGCGGGCGCACAGCTCGGTGAGGAAGCAACCGAGGAGCAGCCGAAGGACGCGGCGCATGGTGTCTCCCAGCCCGGGCTCGGCCGCTCGGCCGCCGCTGGAGCCTCTGCGGCCGCCTCTCGAGGCGCGGCCGAAGCTGCCGAGGCTGCTGCCGGGAGCTGCGAGCCGCCGCGGGCCGCACATGCAGGGAGCGGCGCGGGGCGCTCGGTGGTCGGCGGCCACTGCGCTCGGCTCAGCCCGCGTTCGCCTCAGCCCGCGTTCGCCTCCAGCGCGCCGCGCGCCGAGGGGCCGGCCGGGGAGGAGCGCGCCCGGCCGGGCGGGGGGAGGATGAGCGGGGTCAAGCGCGGGGTGCAGGTCCGGCCGGCCACTGGGTGAGGCGGGGGTGGAGAGCAGAGGAGAATCGGGCTGGCAGCGCCTAGCCTTGGCCGGCAGCCCCGGACTGGCCGCCCCTAGCCCTCTCGCAGTATCCCTCTCACCTCACCAGCTCGCCAAGTGCGCTGAAGAGAGCGAAGCGACACTTGTGGAATGAAGGGAGGGCAGGAGGGAAGGGGGAGGGGGAGGAGGGCGGGCAGAGGAGGCGCGGGTGGGGGGGGGCGGGCGCGAGCTCTAGAGGGGCGGGGGCGCGGGGAAGAGGTGACTAGAGCGGGAGCTAGCTGGGGGGCGTGCAGAGCTGAGCCAGGCGAGCGGACGGGGAGGAGCGAGCTCGGCAGCAGCCGAGGCTAGAGGAGCCGCTCGGATTTCCAGGCAGGTGGAAAACCGCGGCAGGACCTCCCGCGCCCTCTCTGGGTAGGAGGCGCGGCTCAGCCCTGTCCAGAGCGCAGAGGCGGCTCAGCTCGTAGCTTTTTCACCGGTGCGTGTGCAGGAGCGGCGGCCGAAATCTGTGCATCAGGGGAAGGATGACTCGGAGAGGATGGGGACAGACTAAATGGCTTTCACTCCAAGACAGACTGGGTGCAGTCTGGTCAGGATCGCCCCTCCCAGGCGTGCGGGGCCTCCTTGCCCTTCCCGGCTGCGCCCTCCAGCCCTGAGCGCAACCCGCATGGCTCAACTCTCTGGGCCCAAGCAAGGACCCAGGCGGAGCTGGGAAGGACAGGTGGCAAGCCCCTGAGCCAGGGATAAGCACCCTCCGGGGGAGAGGGGCTCGGGATGAACGAATCAAAGAAGGTCGGGGGTAAGAGGGGACAGCCGAACAAGGCCGAGGCTATGGCGTGTCCTGGAAGGTCTTTCCTTGGAAGTCCCCCAGCCTCTCGAACCTGCCGCTTTCTGTCCCTCTTCGCCCCCGCAGCGTTTTCTGCGCTCCACAGGAGGGAACACCGCGGCGCCGCCTCTGCGCTCCCGGATCTGGCGCAGCGCAAGGCCTGGGCACCCAGCCTCAGCCACCCTCCCGGACCTGGAGCCCGCGCATCGGTCTCTGGAGCTGGCTGGCCCCTGTCCCCACGGATCCCCCCGGAAATCCTCACCGGGGGCTGCAGAGCTCTGCCTTGCTTCCTCAGCTTCCAGCCTCCCGTCTCCTCTGTGTTTCCAAATCTGCCCTCTCTCTCCTAGCGAATTCCAGCTCCCCGGAGGCCCTCTCTCATTTCTCCCACCTCTTTCTCTCCTCTGCTTGAATTTGACTCCAGTAGCCCCAAAACAGGATTTGCACCAAAGCTGCTACACCAAATTTAGATCTCCCCACGCCCCGGCGTTTTGTTTTTTAATTGCATTAACTAAGTATACACTTTGCAGGCTGCTAGGCGATTTGCAAGGAGATAATGTTTCCACAACCCTCCTCTCCACTTGGCTGCAGTCAAGGGCTTCTCAGGGCATCTTCAGAGAACGAAAAGTTGGGCGACATGTAAAATGGTTTACTAGGGTCCCCTGAATTGAGAAAGGGTGGGAGGATTTATTGGGACTCTGTTGCAAGTTTTCTCCAAATGAGAAGTTTGGCTAATCGCCCCTTCTCTTTGAAAAAAAAAGTCACATTTTGATGTTTCAAAAAAGATTTGCAAACACACAGCAAGACATTGACAGGGCATACCCAGGAGTATTATATTCCAAACCCATCTGGGGAAGGTATGAACACGTTTAATCCAGATTCACCAGATTCATTATAATAGAATCCCCAAAATAGGAGAGTATGGAAAGTCTGTCATGACTGGCAACCCACGCCCACCACCACCTTGTGAGTCCTACAAACACAAGCACTGGTGTGTGAGAGCTAATGAGAGCTGACATTTATTCAGTGCCTGCAACATACTCACTAAGCTTGCTTTTTCTAAAAGCAGCTCCTCAAGAAAGCTTAGAGCAGTGCCCAGCGTATAGCAGACAGTCTGGAAATATTTGCTGAACCACCGAGTGACTGGTTTCATGTAACTCTCTCTCCCTTAGGTAATAGTACCAGGCCCACACAACAGAGGGAGAGAATGAGCCCCAAAGCAGTTAAACCAGTTGCCCAAGTAGCTCTGCCAAATGAGTGCCAGAATTGACATTTGACCCAAGAAATTTGAGTCCAGAAACTGCCCTCCAGCCACTACATGAAATAGGCCTCCAAACTTTCTGTCTACCTCCTACTATATTATGTATTTGCGTTTTCGTCTGTTTGCCTGCACTGAGATGTGAACTGTGTAATGGAGAGGGCCTCGACTCCCATACCATGTCCCCAGCCCCTAGAACCCAGGCATACGGAGCTGCCTTGCGGGTCCATGGCTGCGCCCTCCAGCCCTGTGCGCAACTCCAGGGATTTGAGCCTTTGGGGTTGTGCGGGGCTGCAGGGTGCAGCCCCGGGGTACAGTTCTAAGCATGGTAAACACTCAAAAAAATGCATGGGTTGTATTAATTAATTTATGCAAGACTCTGTCTTAAACCAAAAGAGGAAAGGAACACTTAGGGCATGGATGATGGAGTATCTGCTGTCATTATGTATATAAAGGGTGGGAGTTTTCTATATACTACATTGGAAATGGAAAGGGACCCTCCAGCGGGCTTCCTATGTTCCAGGAAGCTGTGGCTCAGAGGTTAAGACCTTTGTGGGAGATCACATGGACAGCAATGACCCCACCAGGGCTGGATTTAGACGCCCAACTCCTAACCCCGGCCTCTTCCTCCACTCTGTGTCCGACTCCACTTCAGCAGGTATTAGGGCAGAGTTTAACCAGGGACATGGGAGAACAGTAGGTCACAGGGTTCTTTCTGCAAGGGTTGGGAGTTTTAAGGTACTTGTAAATTTGATTAAAAAAATACTTCAGAGAAAAGAGACAAAATCTGGACAGAAAAGTCCATTTCAGAATCTGCTTCCAATCTCTGTAAAATATTGCATGTCACCTGGACATTTGACTCCGGTCCTCAGAGGAGGCTCACTGTGACTGCTGCTCCTCGCTTTAATTAACAGAGACTGCCCCCTGTTTGTGTCAAGAAGAGCGCAGAGCTTGTGCTGGGGAAGGAAGCAGAAAGCCACCCTGTGTGGCTTATGTGCCAATGATTCTAAACCTTAAAACTCCTATCCCATCATGAGCTTTCCCCAAACCAGATTCCCTTCCTGTTCCTGTCTGCTGTAGTGGCCACCACTCCCTGGTATATTGCCCCAGCCTGTTTCCCAAGCCTTTGAAAAATATTAAAAAGAGAGAAGAATCCTCTGGGTTCATTTTACTCTGCAAAGAAAAAAGTCAATTTCCTCTGAGCATATCAAGTCAGTAAATACAGTTACTACCATGGGTGGGTACTTACTGGGAACAAACACCTGTATGGAAAATGTGAGTGAGAAAGTATTTATTTCAGGGCTCCTGGCAGGGAGGGGTAGGCATTATAAATGACCTAATTGGAACACCTGGTGAGCTCATGGAAGATTAAAAATCATCAGCAATGTCCCCCCACCATGACCCAAATGAATTCATGCAAACGCATTGATATTAAAATGCAGCTCTTAATGAAAGTGCTTTCTATGAAAGAGAGGGTGACATTATTATTTACAACACAGGCACTTTTAATATCTAAAGAAGAATCTCATTTGCTCTAGCCTTAATTATGTCAGACTGCAGTACACACAGCAAAAAGAATGCAATTGTACTCCCTAACAATTAGAGAAGGGAACCATGTCTTAATAACAAAGGATGTTTGGTTACCAGGACATTGCAACCACTGTTCATAAGCAACTCAACAAATTGAATTATATGTGCTCTGGCCCTCACCAAAATGAGTGGTTTGTTAATTGTCCTCCTCAAGTGGCTTTTAGGGTTTCAAAGAGGTTTTTAAGCAGCTGTTAGCCTTGAGGAGAAAAAAAAAAAAAGAGAAAAAAACATAAGTGAAATGTAGCTAGCACCTTGCCAGTTTCAAGCAATAAGCTGATTTGATGTATTTGATTCTCTCCTGAAGAGATGAGGGAAGCCTTAGAGAAGTGAGCTAGGTCTGAGCCAGATGCGGTGGCTCACACCTGTAATCCCAACACTTTGGGAGGCTGAGGTGGGCGGATCATGAGGTCAGGAGTTCAAGACCAGCCTGGCCAATATTGTGAAACCCCATCTCTACTAAAAATACAAAAGTTAGCCAGGCGTGGTGGTGCATGCCTGTAATCCCAGCTATTAGAGAGGCTGAGGAAGAAGAATTCCTTGAACCTGGGAGGCAGAGGTTGCAGCGAGCCAAGATCACACCCCTGCACTCCAGCCTGGGCAACAGAAGGATACTCCATCTCAAAAAAAAAAGTGAACTAGGTATGAAGTTTGGTTCCCCGGGACTGGTGGTGGTAGGGAAGATGATTTTTGGTGGTACCCCAACAAAGATCTTTTTTATATCAATGGTTTTACAGATATTTCAATGTGTATTCGAAAGAAAATAATAATGCATCAAACATGGATTCACTGGAATAAATGTTTAAGGTGTATAGTTAATAATTTTAAGTCTATCAATGTAAAGTCAATTATGGAAAAAAGACATTATAGTATTTACAAATAAAGAAATAAAAATAAAGAAAACAATGTGAAGTGTCTGGTACTAAAAACTGAAGTTTAGGAAGCACAGGCTTTGGTTTTCCCTCAATCCAGGGTTTCTCAATCTCAGCACTATAGACATTTTGGAGTGGATAATTCTGTGTTGGGGTGGGCGGGAGGTGAAGCGCTACTCCCTGGAAAATTGCCCCAGCCTGTTTCCTGAGCCTTTGAAAAATATTAAAAGGAGAAAAGAATCATCCGGGTTCATTTTGCTCTGCAAAGAAAAAAAGTCGATTTCCTCCGAACACATCAAGTCAGTAAATACAGTCACTACCATAGGTGGGTACTTTTTGGGAATCTGCCCCTGTATGGAACATGTGGGTGAGAAAGTCTTGTGCTGTCTTGTTCATTGTAGGACATTTAACAGCATCCCTGTACTCTACCCATTAGATGCCAATAGCACCCCCTGGTTGTGACAAACAAAAATGCTGCTAGACGTTGCCAAATGTCCCCTGAGGGGCAAAATTGACTGAAACCCAGAGTCATGGCTGTGTTTAAGTTCTGGCTCTTTCTCATAGGATATCTATGACTTTGAATAAATCACTTAATCTCTCCAAGCTTAGTTTTCTCATCTGGAAAACGGGAATAAGAAGGGTGCCTATACCCAGGGATGTTACAGATGATTGATACTTTGCATAAAGTGGGTGGCCAGCGAGTAGAACCTCAGCAGTGCTTAATAAATGGTCACTCTTACTATAGTAAACCTGAAGGATGACAAGATGCCAGGCAATGAGCTGATGTCCAGGAAGATAGATGACTGAGACAAGGGCTTTGCCCTCCATGATCTCAAAATCTTCAGGGGAAGATGAAATATAGAGACAGAGAAGGCCTTATGGGTATGGGACTTGTGCAGTCCCACAGTTCTCCATGTTCTAAAGGGCCCCATGCTTGGTTCAGTGCTCGGCACTGGGAAAAATCATTTTGACTTTTGCACTGAGCACCACCAATATTGTAGCTGGTCCCGTAAACAGGTGATGCACCTCTAGCAGAAATAGGGGTTAAGGTTACAGGAACTTAAAAGAGGATGTTTAGCTCCATTTACAGAGGAAAGGATGGCTTCTCAGGGATGGCAGCATTTGAGAAGTCATAGTTAAACGCATGTAAGCATTTTCAGAAGCAGCAGGAAGAATTTTGGTAGACATTCTTCAAAAGCAGTTCTTAGGCCAGGCGGGGTGGCTCACGCCTGTAATCTCAGCACTTTGGGAGGCTGAGGCGGGCAGATCACCTGAGGTCAGGAGTACGAGACCAGCCTGGCCAACATGGTGAAACCCTATCTCTACTAAAAATACCAAAATTAGTCGTGCATGGTGGTGGGCTTGTGTAATCTCAGCTGCTCAGGAGGCTGAGGCAGGAGAGTTGCTTGAACCCAGGAGGCGGAAGTTGCAGTGAGCTCAGTGAGCTGAGATCATGCCATTGCACTCCAGCCCGGTCGACAAGAGTGAAACTCTGTCTCAAAAAAAAAAAAAAAAAAAAAAACAGTTCTCAAATGCTAGAACAATACCAATATGTGTTGAAGGTTTCAATGGTTCATAGGAAATTGAGAAAAATAAGGCTGATAAAATGTGTTGAGTAAACACCTTTCACATTTGTTGGACATTGTATTAGTGTCACAATTTACTTTCTCAAATAACGTTGGAGTTAGTAAATGTTAGTTTTGTGTTTATGAGGGATGTGTGTGTGGTATTTAAAAAAAAATTCTTATCAGGGAAAAATGATCAAACCTGTTAATTGGGGTTAAATGACACCAATTTTTAGTCATTTTATTAAAGGTGAAATTCAAGTCTGTGGTCACTAATTTAAGAGCTTCGCAGTAGCTTTTGTTTACAAATGAAGTAGTAAGTTTAAGCAATTATCTAAATAATTTAATTCCTTTCAACTATGCTATGAAACCAAAATAGGTTTTGGGATCATGCATTTTCCAGCTAACTACATTGATTAAAATAACTTAGTGTATCCCCAGGAATCAATGGAGACTAGATGAAAACCCCACAGTTGTTTACTCTGCAGACCCCTGTCTCTCTGCTCAGACTCCTGTAAATACAGAATGTATCAGTTAGTTTTTGCCATGTAACAAATCACCCCAAAGCTTACCGGCTTACAACAACCATTTTTATTTAATTAACAGTTCTGTGGGCTGGCAACTAAGGTTAGTCTCAGTTGCACGATCCTGATCTTGGATGGGCTCACTCATGCATTTGCTGTCTTGCAGGCCAGCTGTGTCCAGGTTCACCTGGAATACACTTCAGCTGGGACAGCTCTTCCCCACTCCATGAGGTCTCATACTCCCTCAGGCTAGCCCAGCTTTTTTTGCATAGAGGCATGGCAGGTCCTAAGAAAGCAAGAAGAGGCCAAGCGCAATGGCTCATGCCTGTAATCCCAGCACTTTGGGAGGCCGAGGCAGGTGGATCACGAGGTCAAGGGATGGAGAGCATCCTGGCCAACATGGTGAAACCCTGTTTCTACTAAAAATACAAAAATTAGCTGGGCGTGGTGCCTGTAGTCACAGCTACTCGGGATGTGGAGGTTTCAGTGAGCCAAGATTGCGCATTGCACTCCAGCTTGGCAACAGAGCAAGACTTTGTCAAAAAAAAAAAGAAAGAAAAGAAAAGAAAGAAAGAAAGAAAGAAAGAAAGAAAGAAAGAAAGAAAGAAAGAAAGAAAGAAGAAACACACAAATCCTATTGAGACCCGATGTCAGAACATGCGCCCCATCACTTCTGCTACATTTTATTTGCCAAATCAAGCCATAAAGCCAGTCTAGATTCAGGGGGTAGAGAGACTTCTCTTGATAGAAAGAGCCAAAGTTACACTGAAAACCGAGGCATGCATATGTGTGACGCATGAATAAATGCAGCCTATTTTTTGTATCAATTTACCATATAGCTTAAATCTCATTACTACCAATCACAATCAAATGAAAATCTCCATATCACCAAGGCTGCCCAACCAACAATATTCAGAGGATTGGCGAGTATACAACCAGCCTTTGCCTCAAGAGACAAGTGTAATACATGTAATAGAAGCTATGACTGTAAAATAGCATCCTATTGGACTCAGGGGAGAGTTTAATACATTTAATACAACCTGGGGGTCAGGAAGGTAGAGTGGTGGGCTGGATAATGGCCCCCCTCCCCAAGATATCCGGGTCCTAATCCCTAGAACCTGAAACCTATTACCTGGCAAAAGGGGCTTTGCAGATTCAGAAGCTGGTACACATGAATTCTACTGCAACCAAAGAACTAACAGTCATAGAGAGCTGAATAAGCTGTGTTTTCGCCTACATATTCAGAATAACCCTCGGAAATTTGAAAGTTTGGTGTACCAGTATGAAGACACATGTCCAAGCCAATGAACTGGGAAGTCTTTGACATCACTCTGCTTCTCAACTTTCATATCCCAACAGTCACTAAGTTCTGTCAATTCTCCCTTCTAAGTGAATATTGAATCCTTCCTTTCCTTTCGTCTCCATTGTCACTGCTTTAGTTCAGGCCCTTATCACTTCTCACAATGACAATTGCAAGTCCGTCTAGTCTCACTCCAGCCACTCCTACACCCATGTCTCATCCCAAATCCAACTGCCTCTCATTCACTTAACGAGCCCTTATTAGATGTTCGCTTTGTGCCAAACACTACGTTAGGGGCTGGAGTCAACAATAAATAAGAAAAAGCTTACAATCCGATAAAGAAAACAGATTGATTAGTCAGGTTAGGTCATCTGCTGTGATAAACAAGCCCAAAATCTCAGTGCCTTAACAGAATAAATGATGACGTAGAAATCCAGCATCATCCTGAAATCATTTACTTCCAGCCATGTGGATGGAGGTGAGAAAGGATCAAGTGGGGCAATATCTGGCCTAGCCTGGAAGTGGCATATATCATTCCCACCATATTCCATTACTTGAACTCAGTCACATGAGCCAAATGGAAGAACCAAGGCAGCTGGGACATGTAGTTTTCCTATGTGCTCAGGTAAGGATAGAGGACTGGTGTGTCTATAACCAGCCCTTGCCTTGAGACAATTATAAGATATGTAATAAATGCTATGATCGGAGGATAGCATCCTGTTGGAACCAGGCAGAGAGTTTAATACATGTAATACAACCTGGACATCAGGAAGGTAGAATGGTGGGCTGGAGCAGTCATAATGGTCCCCCAAGATATCCAGGTCCTAATCCCTGGAACCTAAAACCTATTACCTAGCAAAAAGGACTTTGCAGATGTGATTATACTAGAGATCTGGAGATGAGGAAAATATCCTGGATCATCCAAGTTGGCCCTAAATTTAATCACAAATGTTCTTATCAAAAAGAGATTGAGGCCGGGTCGCAGTGGCTCATGCCTGTAATCCCAGCACTTTGGGAGGCCAAGGCGGGTGGATTACCTGAGGTCAGGAGTTAGAGACCAGCCTGGCCAACATGGTGAAACCCCATCTCTACTAAAAATGCAAAAATTAGCCAGGCGTGGTGGCACATGCCTGTAATCCCAGCTAATGGGGAGGCTGAGGCAGGAGAATTGCTTGAACATGGGAGGCAGAAGTTGCAGTGAGCCAAGATCACACCGCTGCACTCCAGATTGGGCGACAGAGTGAGACTCTGTCTCAAAAAAAAAAAAAAAAAAGGAGATTGAGGGAGATTTGATGACAGAAGAGGAAAAGGAAACGTGATGATAGGAACAGATTGGAGTGATGTTTCTTGAAGAGGGAGGAGGGGTCCAGAAGTCACAAAAGCTGGAAAAGGACGTGAAAAGCTAAAAAACAGGGCAAGGAATAGATGCTCCCTTGGAGCCTCCAGAAGGAATCGGCCAACTCTGCTGACACTTTGATTTTAATCCCTTAAGACTCAGTTGAGACTTCTAATTTCCGGCACTGTAAAGAGAATAAATTTTGCCTGTTTTAAGACACTTTTGTGGTAACTTGCTACAAAAGCAAGAGAAAACTAGTATAGCAAATAATGATTAAACTAAGTTACCAATAAGAATGACTGTTCATGAGCTAGGTAAAACTCTCAATGAGCTAGGAGGGTCGGGAGGAGATGGGGATTAAGGCTGAGAGGTAGCCAAGGTCCAGATCAAACAGAGTTTTGTAGGAGGTTTGAATTTTAACCTTAGGGCACGGAAGTAGCACTGAAGCAGACGTGACCTGCCCAAGATTTGCATTTTTAAAGGATGAGTGGCTTCTTCATGGAGAACAGACCAGGGAACTCAATGTTAGAAGTGGAACACTGTCAGTCGCTTTATTCCAGGATAAAAGTAAGAAGGCAATAATTGGCCAGGCATGGTGGCTCACACCTTTAATCCCAACACTTTGGGAGGCCGAGGCAGGCAGATCACTTGAGGTCAGGAGTTCAAGACCAGCCTGGGCAACATAACGAAACCCCCATCTCTATTAAAAATACAAAAATTATCCAGGTGTAGTGGCAGGTGCCTGTAATCCCAGCTATTTGGGAGGCTAAGGCACAAGAATTGCTTGAACCTGGGAGGTAGAGGTTGCAGTGAGCCTTCACGCCACTAAACTCTAACCTGGGTGAGAGTGCGAGATTCCGTCTCGGGGGGAAAAAAGTCAGTAATTCAAGGTTACAACAGAGGACCAATCCCATAGGTCAGCAGACCCAACAGGACTTGGTGATGGACTTCCTGGCCTCCAAATGTGCATAGGGACATCCACTCCATCAACAACATCAGCTGTGCCAACTCTGATAGTCATGGTGTCTTCAGAGGCCATAGCCAGCTTAGCCAGGACAGGGGCAAAATAGGGAGATCTGAAAGTATGGGGAAGGTATCTGTGAAACCCAGGTGCTAACCCCAGATTTCATTGTCCATGGACATTGTATTACCAGGACCACCAGGACCTTTGTAACTTGGGTAAAAATAATTCAAACGCCATATCCATATAATGGAAAACCCAGCATTAACCCCCCATCCCATGATCAAGGGTTTTTTCCTAATCTTTTCTGGCTCTAATTTCCTACTTCTGCTCACATGTTATGGAGACGTGCACTCCAGAGAGGCACCAACCAAGGATGAGGTGGGGCTGAAATCTACCTTATACTCTGCCAGCCAAGTCATGCATCCTTGGGGTATGTGAGAAAATGATTCAATGTTTGGCATGGCCTGGGCATTTGAACAGAACAGACTGGACAGCAAGGTCAAGTAGAGGGTCAGATTAAAAAATGTAAATGTCTTGTTAAGAAGCTCAGAGTTTTCCCATAATAGATGGTACCTCATCAAAAAATGTTAAGTAAAGAGGCCAGGCACAGAGGCTCATGATTGTAATCCCAGCACTTTGGGAGGCCCAGGCAGGTAGATCACCTGAGGTCAGGAGTTCGAGACCAGTCTGGCCAACATGGCAAAACCCATCTCTACAAAAAAAATACAAAAATTAGCTGGGTATGGCGGCACACACCTGTAGTCCCAGCTACTCAGGAGGCTGAGGGAGGAGAATCTCTTGAACCCAGGAGGTGGAGGTTGCAGTAAGCCAAGATCATGCCACTGCACTCCAGCCTGGGTGATACAGCAAGACTCCATCTCAAAAACAAACAAACAAACAAACAAAATGTTAAGAAAAGAAGAACAAGTTCAGGTTTGCTGATTATTTAACCAATAATCAGGTCACTTTTGTGGCTAATCAGGTCCTCCTCATCCATCTTAGACTAAGGAAAAGCCAACCAGTCTGTGCTGAGGATCCACATACTGGAGTACCACCGGGTATCACCGTCTTCCTCTATGTACAAAGAGGAGCAGAAAGAGTTGGGAGGCAGAAAGAGAAGATGAGTTCTATTTCAGAGAGAAGCAGAAATAAGGCAAAAAGAGACTTGACTACATCACTGATGGCTTTCTCGTTCCTGAGATTTGGGGCTTCTGTGTGATACTCCTGGACCTGCCAATAAATTCCTCTTACCTTCTTCCCATTTTTCAAGTTCAGGCTGATTCCTATTACTCACAACTAGAAGGATCTTGACCAAGATACTCTGTCTCCAGTTTCTCTACTCAGGCCTCTATCACCTCACCACCAAATGTTCCTTTTTGTTTCTGTCTTTCCTGATTCCATTAATTAACTTGATGGAAAAGACAGAAGAAGGGGCAGGGATTACTCACACATACACAAAGACATATGTAGAAGAGTGCTTTTTTAATTGATTTTTATTTTTATTTTAAGTTCCGGGGTAAATGTGTAGGATGGTTTGTTACATAGGTAAACATGTGCCATGGTGGTTTGCTGCACCTGTCAACCCATCAGCTAGGTATTAAGCCCAGCATGAATTAGCTATTTTTCCTGATGCTCTTCCTCCCCCAACCCCACTCCCCTACAGGACCCCGGTGTGTATTGTTCCCCTCCCTGTGTCCATGTGTTCTCATTGTTCAGCTCCCAATTATAAGTGAGAACATACAATGTTTGTTTCTCTGTTCCTGCGTTAGTTTGCTGAGGATAATGGCTTCCAGCTCCATCCGTGTCCCTGCAAAGGACACGATCTCGTTCCCTTTTATGGCTGCATAGTATTCCATGGTGTATAGGTACCACATTTTCTTTATCCAGTCTATCATTGATGGGCATGAAACGTGCTCTTTAAGGCATTGTTTGTAATAGCAGAGGATTGAAAGCAACCTAAATGTCCATCAGTGAGAACTTGGCTAAATAAATTACAGTGTTTTCATATCACGGAGTAATGGAATACCATACAGTGGTTAAAAAAAGAAGGAATTTTTAAAAAACTGAAACTCAGTTTAGGTATGACTGCCCCAGATCCCCAGGATGTTACATATATTATATATATGATCTTCAAGATATAGTTTTAAAATGCAAAAATAATAACACACACACACACACACACACACACATGCTTAGACTCTATAGACTATCTTTGTAAAGATATGCTAGAAGCAGTGGTAGCCTCTAAGGATAGGAACTGGAGTGGGAGGGAGAAATACTTTTCCCTGTATACTTTTATATACTACTTTTTAAAACCATCTGTATGCTTTAACGATTTAAGGAAAGAAACTGATTAAAGAGTTTTTAAAAGGAAAGAAAAAGAGAAGGAGGAATGGACGAAGGGTAAATGAAAAGAAAAAAGCAAGTTTCTATTAGCATGGATTAATAACGACAGCAACAACCTGAGTTCCATTTCCAGCTCCACCTTTGACAGATCCTTGACCTTGACCTTGACCAAAGAAAAGCCTTTTCTTTTCTTTTCTTTTTTTTTTTTTTGGAGACAGAGTCTGGCTGTGTCACCCAAGCTGGAGTGTGGTGGCGCAATCTCAGCTCACTACAACCTCCACCTCCCAGGCTCAAGCAATCCTCCCACCTCAGCCTCGCAAGTAGCTGGGACCACAGGCATACATTACCATACCTGGCTAATTTTTTGTATTTTTGGTAGGGACAGGGTTTCATTATGTTGCCCAGGCTGGTCTCGAACCCCTAGGCTCAAGCCATCCTCCTGCCTCAGCCTCTTAAAGTGCCAGTATTACAACCGTGAGCCACCACCACCTGGCCCTCAGATTTTTTCACCTGGAAAACAGGTCAAAGGCCTGTCACAGTGGCTCACACCTGTAACCCCAACACTTGGGGAGGTCAAGTCGGGTAGATCATTTGAGGTCAGGAGTTCAGAACCAGCCTGGCCAACATGGCAAAACCTCCTCTCTACTAAAAATACAAAAATTAACCAGGTGTGGTGGCAGGCGCCTATAGTCCCAGCTACTTGGGAGGCTGAGGTGGGAGGATTGCTTGAGCCTGGGAGGTGGAGGTTGCAGTGAGCTGAGATTGTGCCACTGCACTCCAGCCTGGGTGACAGAGCAAGACTCCAGCTCAAAAAAAAAAAAAAAGGAAGAAAGAAAGAAAAAAGAAAACAGGTCAGCAGAACAGATGATCTTTAAGGTCCCAACTCCAAAAGCGATCTACAATATTCACTGACAGAGCTAATTGCTTGGGCAGAACTTTCTTTCAAATTAAAGCAGCAATTGTCCTGGCTTCCCACAGAAGCATATGCTGTTACTATCATAATATGAAATGGCTTTTCTTTTATTAGCATCGCCTTTGGAATCTGGTGCCTTATAGGACATAAAATGAATCATAAATATTTACAAATCATGTATAATAAAGATGATTTTTTAATGAGGCACACTTGAGTGCTTGACCCAGCTCTTGATCTCTCTAAGAAAAGTCTTTGCCCTCCCCTCGCCCAGCTCTCATCTCCTGTAGCCCCCATGACCAGAGATAACAAACAGCTGACCCAGAAGGAGACAATTGATCACAATGCTGCCCAACAGCCAATTAGATTCCCCTCAGGTAGAACTACCATTTGATCCAGTAATCCCACTACTGGCTATCTGCCCAGAGGACAAGAAGTCGTTATTCAAAAAAGATACTTGCACACGCATGTTTATAGCAGCACAATTTGCAATTGCAAAAATATGGAACCAGCCCAAATGCCCATAAATCAACTAGTGGATAATGAAACTGTGGTATATGAACAACACACACTGGGGGATCAAGGGAAGGAAGCGGGGTTAGGGGTGGGGAGAGCATTAAGAAGAATAGCTAATGCATGCTGGGCTTAATACGTAGGTAATGGGTTGATAGGTGCAGCAAACCACCATGGCACACATTTACCTATGTAACAAACCTGCACATCCTGCATATGTATCCCAGAACTTAAAATAAAACAAAAAGAAACTGATATATATACATATATATATATATATATATATATATATATATATATATATATATGAATAGTATGCAGACATAAAAGGAATGAGTTAATGGCATTCACAGCAATCTGGATGGAACTGGATTATTCTAAGTGAAGTAACTCAGCAATGGAAAACCAAATATCATATGTTCCCACTCATACATGGGAGCTAAGCTATGAGGTTACAAAGGCATAAGAATGACACAATGGACTCTGGGGACTCAGGAGGAAAGGACGGGAAGGGGATGAAGGATAAAAGACTACCAATTGGCCAGGTGTGGTGGCTCACGCCTGTAATCCCAACACTTTGGGAGGCCGAGGCAGGCAGATCACCTGAGGTCAGGAGTTTGAGACCAGCCTGGCCAACATGACAAAACCTCGTCTCTACTAAAAATACAAAAATTAGCCAGGCATGGTGGCAGGCACCTGTAATCCCAGCTACTCGGGAAGCTTAGGCAGGGAGAATCGCTTGAACCCAGGAGGCGGAAGTTGCAGTGAGACAAGATCGCACCACTGCACTGCAACGCAGCCTGGGCAATAAGAGCAAAGCTCCATCTTAAAAAAAAAAAAAAGACTATAAATTGGGTTTACTGCATACTACTCAGTTGATGGGTGCACCAAAATCTCACAAATCACCACTAAAGTGAGATTTGGTTACTCATGTAGCCAAATACTACCTGTTCCCCAAAAACCTATGGAAATAAAAAATTAAAAATAAATAAAAAAGATTGCCCTCAGGAACTTGAAGTAGGAAAGACTGAGTCTGAGGGAGCACGGAGGTGAAGAATCAATTTACATGAACATTAGGAACCAGAATGAAAGTCATATGAGAGCAGAGATTGTAGTATCCTTGCGTGACTGCTGTATGCCCAGTGCCTGCCACCATTGCTGGCACATGGTAGGTGCACAATGAATATTAGCTGAAAGAAAAAATAATAACTCGAGGGAAGGTCCATGGACTCCTACTGCTGCCAATTCCTGGGATGATCTCAGCTCCTTTCCTTTTAAAGAACCAGATCTCCAGCTTGGCTTTGGATTTTTTGAGATTTTTATCTTTCTTAAGAAACCAATTTATACCTAAGATGATTTGAATAGATTTTCATTTCTTTCACCCAAAAAAGCCCTAAGACACGTATATTTTTCTAGAAATACTAATCAAATTTTTTCCCCTGAGACTACTGGAGCTATTTTAATTAAATATTATCAAAATTCATTTTAACACATTCTATGATTCAATTCAATTCAGGAAATACTTATTGCGCTATGGGAAAGTTGAAAGATGAACAAGACTGTCCCTGCCATCAGGAAGCTCACATTCAGATAGAGAAAGACAGAAACAGGGAAATCATTCTGATAACACAGCATATCATCTGAGAAAAGAGGTTTAGACAATGCATGATGGGTGTTACGTGGGAAGAAGAGATCAGCATTAGGGAAGATTTCATAGAGGAAGTGACCCTGACGATGGGCTTGAAAAATGAGTAGAATGTCCCAGGGAAGGGTGTTCTAGGAAGAGAGAACGTTTTGAATAAAGCTATGAAGCTAAGGAATGTTGATGGTTCATGTAGATGAACAATGGGCTACATGGTGGAATTTAGTGAAAGAATCAGTTAGAAGGGTGAGATTAGACTGTAACAGTGAATCACATTGTCTTTTACCACGATGCCAACTCAGTTTTAAATTATCCAGGCCAATAGGGATTTTTTAAAAAGAGTGGCATTTGGCAAGTCTCCGAGTGCTGAAAGGGACACCTGAAGTCTTAGAAACACTGCAACACAGAGAATGATTACCAGACGTCTGCTCTCAATGCTGGACACTTGTTTTATTGAAAACGGATGTTGTTCCTCCTCGAGGCACCTAATAAACACTGAATGCTCATGCATCACTACGCTAAGGCGGCTAAAGATGAATGAATGACTGGCTTTTGGGGTGGGATTTTTAAAGTTTTGGAATGAGATAGTGATGTTGGTTGTGCACCACTGTGAATGTGCTACAAGCCAATAAATTATGCACTTTAAAATTACTGAGCTTGTTAACAAAACAAAGGACAAAACCCATAGGATTGTCTTAACAGATGCAGAAAAAGTACTTTACAAAATTCAACATCCTTTCATGATAGAAAGTCCTCAACATATTAGGTAGAGAATAAATGTACCTCAAGACAAAAAAGGCCATATATGACAACCCATAGCTAACATCACTGGTGAAAATTTTCACATCAATGGTTAAAAGCTGAAAGATATTCTTCCAACATCAGGAACAAAACAAGGATGGCCACTGTCACTACTTCTAATCAGCATAGTCCTTTAAGTCCTAGCCATAGCAATTAGGCAAGGGAAATAAATAAATGACACCTAAATTTAAGAAGAATTTAAACTGTCCTTGTTTGTGGACAAGATGACCTTATACATAGAAACCTTTAAAGACGCCACCAAAAAAAAAAAAAACTGATGTAACTAATAAATATAGTAAAGTTGCAGGATATAAAACCAACATACAAAAATAAATAGCACTTCCATATACTAACAATAAACTGTACAAAAAAGAAATCAAGAAAACAATACCATTTATGATAGCTACAAAAAATAAAATGTCATACTTAGGGATAAATTTAACCAAAGAGAAAAAAGGCCTGTTATATGCTGAACAATATAAAACATTGATGAAACAAATTAAGGAAGGCACAAATAAATGGAAAGATGCCCTATGTGCATGGATTGGAATAATTAATGTTGTTGAAATGTCTATACTACACAAAGTGATCTGCAGATTCAGTGCAATCTCTATCAAAATATCAGTGATATTTTTCACAGAGATAGAAAAAACAATTCTAAAATTTGTATGGAACTACAAAAGATCCTGAATAGCCAAACCAAGCTTGAGCAAAAGGAACAAAACTGGAGGCATCGCACTACCTGACTTCAAAATATACTACAAAGTTATAGTAATCAAACAGCATGGATTTTTAAAAAAACCCATCATAGTACTAGGATAAAAACAGACACATAGATCAGTGAAACAGAATAGAGAGCCCAGAAATAAATTCACAAATTTACAGCCAACCGATTTTTTTATTTTTTATTTCTGTAGGTTATTGAGGAACAGGTGGCATTTGGTTACATGAGTAAGTTCTTTTGTGATGATTTGTGAGATTTTGGTCCACCTATCACCCAAGTAGTATACACTGAACCCAATTTGTGGTCTTTTATCCCTCACCCCCTTCCCACCCTTCCCACCCTTTCCCCCTGAGTCCCCAAAGCCTATATATATATATATATATATATATATATATATATATATATACATATATATATATATGTATGTATGTATACACACACACACACACACACACCACAGTTTCTTTATCCACTTGTTGATTGATGGTCATTTGAGTTGGTTC
The DNA here is from genome assembly GCF_000001405.40 of Homo sapiens. Taxonomy (NCBI): domain Eukaryota; kingdom Metazoa; phylum Chordata; class Mammalia; order Primates; family Hominidae; genus Homo; species Homo sapiens. The sequence continues at coordinate 12,884,084 of NC_000016.10, read as the reverse complement.
CATGTTTTTACACAGTCAATTGTTTTCTGACAAAGGTGCCAAGAACACAAATGAGGGAAAGAACAGTCTTTTCAACAAATGCTGTTGGGGAAATGGGATATTTGCATGCAGAAGAATGAATTAGACTCTTATTTAATACCATATACTAAAATCAACTCAAAATGGATTAAAGACTTGAAAGGGAGACTTAAAATTTTATATCCATTGGAAGAAAACATAGGGGAAAACTCCATGACATTGGTCTGGGTAATGGTCCTTTGGAGATAAATCCAAAAGCACAGGCAACAAAAGTAAAAGTAGACAAATGAAATTACATCAAACTAGGAAGCTTCTGCACAGCTAAGGAAATAATTAACAGAATAAAGAGAAAATCTACAAAATGAGAGAAAATATTTGCAAACCATACATCTGGTAAGGTTTTGCTATGGTTTGAAATTTCCCTCTAAATCTCATGTTGAAATTTAATTGCCACTCTAACAGTGTTAAGAGGTGAGACCTTTAAGAAATGATTAGGCCATAAGGTCTCTGCCCTCATAAAGGGGTGAATGTTGTTATTGAGAGAGTAACTTAGTTATCACAGGAGTGAGTTTCTGATAAAAAGGATGAGTTCATCTTTCTTGCCCTTCTGCTAAGGGATAACCCTCGCCAATGCTAGCACCATGCTCTTGGACTTCCCAGCCTCTAAAACGCTGAGCCAAATAAACTTCTGTTTATAAATTACCTAGTCTGTAGTATTCTGTTATAGCAGTAGAAAATGGGCTAAAACTGGGCTGGGCGTGGTGGCTCATGCCTGTAATCCCAGCACTTTGGGAGGCCAAGGTGGGTGGATCGCCTGAGGTCAGGAGATGGAGACCAGCCTGGCCAACATAGTGAAACCCCGTCTCTATTAAAGATATAAAAAATTAGCTGGGAGAAGTGGTGGGTACCTGTAATCCCAGCTACTTGGGAGGCTGAGATCATGCCACTGCACTCCAGCCTGGGCAACAGAGTGAGAAATCATCTCAAAAAAAAAAAAAAAAAAAAGAAAGAAAAAGAAAAAAGAAATGTGATCCCCAGAGTTGGAGATGGGGCCTGATGGGGGGTGTTTGGGTCATGGGGGCAGATTGCTCATAAATGGCTTGATGCCATCTTCACAGTAAGGAGTGACTTCTTGCTCTGTTAGTTCCTGCAAGATCTGATTGTTAAAAGAGCCCGGCACCTGCCTCCTCTCTCTCTTCCCTCCTTCCTGTCACCATGTGATGCCTGCTCCCCTTCACTTTTCCCCATGAGAAGAAGCTCCCTGAAGCCCTCTTCAGAAGCAGATGCTGGCACCGTGCTTCTTGTACAGCCTGCAGAACCATGAGCCAAATAAACTTGTTTTCTTTATAAATTATCCAGCCTTGGGTATTCCTTTATAGCAATGCAAACTAAGACACTTGGCTTCTTGTCTTTCCCTTATGGATTTCTCCGATAAATCCTGCCTTAATAAATCAACTGTGGCCAGGCACAGTGGCTCATGCCTGTAATCCCAACACTTTGGGAGGCCGAGGCAGGCATATCACCTGAGGTCAGAAGTTTGAGACCAGCCTGGCCAACATGGTGAAACCCTGTCTCTACTGAAAATACAAAAAAATTAGCCAGGCATGGTGGCATGTGCCTGTAATCCCAGCTACTTGGAAGGCTGAAGCAGGAGAATCACTTGAACCCAGGAGGCGGAGGTTGCAGTGAGCCGAGGCTGTGCCATTGCACTCCAGCCTGGGCAACAAGAACAAAACTCTGTCTCAAAAAAAAAAAAAAATCAACTGCAGGTAAATCCTCATCTCAGGGCCTTCTTCTGAAGAACTCCATTTTGGGATGGGGTCTGGCTCTATTGCCCAGGCTGGAATGCAGTGGCTCAATCTCAGCTCACTGCAACCTCTGCCTCCCAGGCCAAAGCAATCCTCCTGCCACAGCCTCCTGAGTAGCTGGGACTACAGGCACACACCACCACACCCAGCTAATTCTTGTATTTTTTGTTGAGACAGGGTTTCACCATGTTGGCCAGGCTGGACTCACGTGATCTGTCCACCTCAGCCTGCCAATGTGCTGGGATTACAGGCTTGAGCCACTGCACCCAGCCACAGGCAATTATTCTCATAAACTGAAACCAGAAACAAAAAGCACAAAGACTGTTGATCCAAGACCAGCTGTGGAAAGGTCTAGCTCCACATTTTCACAAAACAGGATGATTCCAATCAGGGTGATGTAATGACAGTTTCTCACAACTTGAACTATAGTATTTACTACTCAGACTCTGTAACCTACTAATGATTCTTTTTACTGAAACATACATTACCTTCTCTTGCTCACATGTATAAGACAAGTAGGTTTTATTTAAGAAATTAATTAAGTTCTCCTAGCTACATTTACCCTTGGAATTATTAACATCTGGAAATGAAAAATCAATGAAGACGTGGTGGATTCTTTTATTTCTTGCCTCTTTCTGTCCATGTTAAGAATAGAATTGCTGCTGTACTTTGATCTAAAATCATTGTGCAAATCTAAAGGGAGATATATTTTTTTTTAACAAGAGCACAAATCCACATTTATTTATTGACTTTTCATTAGTTTATTGAGGGGTACAGCATCACTCAGATTCTGTGTCCAATCGCCTTAGCAGGAAGATTGCATCAGAATTTGGCATGAACCATGCCACTGTTTCCATGGGCCCAAGTTACCTTTCCCCAGATTACTCTGGTTTTGTTTGGTTTGCCTCCAGGAGTCACTGTGTTGTTCTTTGCTTTGTATACATAAGTGCATCTCTTGCCCAAATAGAATTCTGTTTCATCTAGGGCATAAACACCTTCAGTTTTAAGAAGAGCTGTGTGCTCCCTTTAGTCCCGGAGACCCCACTTATAGCCGGCAAAAATGGCCTTGGACCACAGCCTTCCAGACATAGTTCTTTTAACAAGTCCTGTTCCCAGCAGGCCTACTCCAGTTATTTGCCCCCAAATTTCAGCAGCAGGTGCTTCACTCCTCTAAAAGGAGATATCTAATTCTTTTTGGGGACCTCTTGTTCTGGGGATTAAATGAGGTAAGTAGATAACATAGCCAAGGGGTGTGGCTCATAGAAGGCACACAACAATTAGCCACCTTTCTTCATTATGAAGTTGTGGCCTAGGAGGATGCTCTAATTCTGTGATTTTCAAAGTGTGATCTTACAACAGAATCATCTGGAATGCTTGCTAAATGAAGATTCCTGGACTCTATCCTTCTAAATCAGAATTTCTGGGAAAGACCCAGAAATCAGCATTTTAAAATGCCCTCTGTTTATGTTTTTAACTTTTTTTTTTTTTTGGAAACAGAGTCTTGCTCTGTCACCCAGGGTGGGGTGGAGTGCAGTGGTGCGATCTCGGCTCACTGCAACCTCCACCTCCCGGATTCAAGTGATTCTCCTGCCTCACCCTCCCCAGTAGCTGGGACTACAGTTGTGCTCCACCATGTCCGGCTAATTTTTTTTGTATTTTTAGTAGAGAAGGGTTTTCACCATGTTGGCCAAGCTGGTCTTGAACTCCTGGCCTCAAGTGATCTGCCCACCTCCGCCTCTCAAAGTACCGGGATTACAGGTGTGAGTCACCGCACTCTGTCCTCTGTTTAAATTGTATGTATTCTAAAGTTTAAAAGTCATCATATCTGATCCAGTGACCCAGGGTGTTCATGAGAATAGTGTGTTAATACAAACTGTTTTGTTCTAAGATGACAAAAATTCAAATGAAATTAACTTAAGCTAAAAAAAGAAAAAATAAAAAAGGAAGGAGGACTTACTAGTTCACAAAACTGAAGGCTCAAGGTAGACCTGGCTAGATTCAGGGACTCAAATGCTGCCTTCAGGATTCCATCTCTCCCCTCCCTCTCCTGGCTCTCTTATCATGATAAGCCCAGTTGACTCCATTCATGGGCTCTGGACATGATGAAATAATTGTCCACAGCAGCTCCATTATTGCCTTGTCTTTACATTCATTATCTTCAAAGATTGGACATATCTTTTTCCTGGTAGTTTCAGCAGAAGTCTCTGAGAGATATATGATTGGTCCAGCTTGGGTCACATGCCCATCTTTGAGCCAATCAGTAGGCAGAAGAATATAGCTCTCTGATAGGTAAGACCTGAGCCATGTGTACATGGCTGTGGTAGAGATATCGGTACCGACTCCACCTAAATCAGACAAAATGAGTTTCCCCAAGAAATAAGTATCCTGTTGCCAGCAGAAGAAGGGAGAACTGTTTTTAAACAGATGCCAAGTAGACAAGAGAACATCATGTTCACTAGAACCAGAATGCTCTTTTTTAAAAGCCCTATAAGTGATTCTGCTGATCATCGCATTGGGAGGACCAGATTCTGGTGGGTCTCCAGGGTCAGCAAGAAAGTACCTCTCTGTAATCCCAGCATTTTGGGAGGCCGAGGCAGGTGGATCATCTGAGGCCAGGAGCTCGAGACCAGAGCCTGGCCAAGAGGGTGAAACCCCATCTCTACCAAAATTACGAAAAACTGACTGGGCACAGTGGCTCACACCTGTAATCCCAGCACTTTGGGAGGCCAAGGCAGGCAGATCACCTGAGGTCAGGAGTTCGAAACCAGCCTGGCCAATATGGTGAAACCCCGTCTCTACTAAAAATACAAAAATTAGCCAGGTGTGGTTGTGGGTGCCTGTAGTCTCAGCTACTTGGCAGGCTAAGGCAGGAGAATCGCTTAAACCTGGGAGGCGGAGGTTGCAGTGAGCCAAGATTGCACCACTGCGCTCCAGCCTGAGCAACAAAGTGAGACTCCTTCTCAAAAAAGGGAAGAAAGAAAGAAAAAAAGGAAGGGAGGGAGGGAGGAAGGGAGGAAGAGAGGGAGGAAAGGAGGAAGAGAGGGAGGAAGGGAGGAAGAGAGGAAGAGATGGAGGAAGGGAGGAAGACAGGGAGGAAGGGAGGAAAAGAGGGAGGAATGGAGGGAGAGAAGGAGGAAGGGAGGGAGGGAGGGAAGGAGGGAGAGAAGAAGGAAGGGAGGAAGGGAGGGAGGAAGGAAGGAAGGAAGGAAGTCTTACCCATAGAGAGGAAATGTCGTGTATGTCTGTTTTGCAGTTCAGTGCTAAGATAGCCAAGCCTGTGAATACGCGCCTGTGTGAGTGTCTAATTTTAAGGTGGTAGGAGCCCTTTTTTCTCTGGCAGTGAACAAGAGTGGTTGTGGTAAGCCCCAGGGATGCATTTATCCTAAACTGACTCAGAAAGTCTCAAAACGACTGATTTGTCCACACTGGAGAGTTCAAGTCTCACCTCTTCTGTCTAGGCAGAAGTAAAAATGCCAGACCAGGATGAGTGGCTGGGTACCTTTGGTTCAGCTGAGGGTTAGTCTTCTGCAAACCATGTTAGCCAGAGAATGCAAGCCTAGATTGCCACCACTTAACAGAGAGCAAAAAGGCTGGCATTAGAAGGAGCTTCGGAAAATTGTGTCTGCTTATCCTACAGAGAGACATCAGGTTAGCGTGACATCCACCAAGCAGATGTGCTGACAGGGACAGGGGCCAAATGGCAGACTTGTTGAAAAGGGAAAAACCAATTGTAATACAGATGATTCCTTTTTTTTTTTTTTTTTTTTTCAGACTGAGTCGCTCTCTGTTGTTCAGTCTGGAGTGCAATGGCGCGATCTCAGCTCACTGCAACCTCTGCCTCCCGGGTTCAAGCGGTTCTCCTGCCTCAGCCTCCCGGGTAGCTGGGATTACAGGCGCGTGCCACAGTGACAGGATAATTTTTGTATTTTCGGTAGAGACAAGGTTTCACCATGTCAGCCAGGCTGGTCTCGAACTCCTGACCTCAGGTGATCTGCCCGCCTCAGCCTCCCAAAGTGCTGGGATTACAGGCGTGAGCCACCGCGCCCAGCCACAGATGATTTCTGATGAAAACGTATTGTACTTCAGTTACTACAGTTGGATTTTCCCCTTGATATTTGTCAGTAGAAGAGAAACTTTTCCTTGAACTGAAAAAAAGAGAAATCGAGTCCTTCTATAAGTGCTTATTTATATCAACGCTAGAAGCGCGAGGAAGAAGAAAAGTTCATGAAATGAGTCCAGTGTCTTCCTGAACAACTAGTTTGCCCAGAATGGTAACGCTCCTACTGCTGGAAAAAAAAAAACTGAGGCAAGACCCAAAAGGACGTGGAGTCTAATTTTAAAAGTACGTCAAGATATTGAGAGAAGATGTGGGAAAAGTTGCTGACAGAAGGTCCTGGTTGTGTCTTTTGTCACCAGTTTGCTTGTATCAGCATGTCATATGTAAAGGGCAAAACATCATCTCATTTTAATAACACACTTAACTGTCTATGTATACACAGGAGATCATGATGCTTGCCAATTAAAAAATTGAATCTCAAGTGCAGGTAGAGCAAGCCAGTTTTTTTTTAGACCAGACAACTAGCAGAAATCTGTGGTTCTTAAAACAGTATCTGGAGCATTAAAAGAGTGTTGAGGCCGGGCACGGTAGCTCACACCTGTAATCCCAGCACTTTGGGAGGCTGAGGTGGGCAGATCACAAGGTCAGGAGTTCAAGACCAGCCTGGCCAACATAGTGAAACCCCGACTCTACTAAAAACACAAAATTTAGGTGGGCATGATGACATGCGCCTATAGTCCCAGCTACTCAGGAGGCTGAGACAGAAGACTTGCTTGAACCCTGGAGGCAGAGGTTGTGGTGAGCCGAAATCGAGCCACTGCACTCCAGCCTGGGCAATGGAGTGAGACTCCACCTAAAAAAAAAAAAAAAAAAAAAGTGTTGCAATAAAGATCACAATGGGCCAGGTGCAGTGGCTCATGCCTGTAATCCCAGCACTTTGGGAGGACAAGGCAGGAGGACTGCTCGAGTCCAGGAGTTTGAGACCAGCCTGGGAAATATGGCAAAACCCCGTCTCTACAAAAAATACAAAACTTCATCAGGTGTGGTGGCTCATGCCTGTAGTCCCAGCTACTTGAAAGACTAAGGTGGGAGGATTGCTTGAACCCAGGAGGCGGAGGTTGCAGTGAACCGTGATCACGCCACTCTACTCCAGCCTGGGTGAGAGAGGAAGAGCCTATCCCAAAAAGCAAACAAACAAACAAAACACAATGATGTGGATATCGAAACCACATTTTGTGGCGGGAGTGTGACAGAGGAAGGCATTTGAAGGAGAACAACTCAGCAATTTATTGAAAAGTGCTCCTCCCCACACACTTCATCCACCTGGCAGCAAACTGGACTATTTAGAGGTGCTTTTGTGCATTTCATCTTGTGTAATATTCACCAGATGGGATTATTTTTCTGACTCACTTTGTTTTTCCCTTAATGCTTTTAAAGTGCCCCACTCCATATAAGAATGTTCTTCTCTCTTAGGAATAGAATTAGATATTCATTAAATCATTTATTTTTAAAGTATCCATCAGGGAGTCTGCTATGTACTATGCACTGTACTGGACACTAAAAATACAGCAATGAAAAAAAAAGGCAAAAAATCCTATTCTCACAGAGCTTATGTTCTAGAACTCAACTGCCCAAGATGGTACCCATGAGTCCCATGAGCCACTGAGAACTTGAGAAGTGGCTGGTCTAAGTTGAAATGTGCTGTCAGTGTGAGAAACACACAGCATTTCAAAGGCCTATTACTGGAAAAAGAATGGCAAAGCATGCCAATGTTTTAAGATTGATTACATATTGAAAAGATAATATGTTGGATAGTACTGAGTCAAGTAAAATATGTTATTAAATTTAATTTCAGCTGGGAGCGGTGGCTCACGCCTGTAATCCCAACACTTTGGGAGGCCCAGGCAGGAGGATCACTTGAGGTCAGGAGTTTGAGACCAGCCTCGCCAACATGATGAAACCTCATCTCTACTAAAAATACAAAAATTAGCCAGGCATGGTGGTGGGCGCCTGTAGTCCCATCTACTCAAAAGGCTGAGGCTGGCAGAAGAATTGCTTGAACCCAGGACGTGGAGGTTGCAGTGGGCCAAGATCGTGCCACTGCACTCCAGCCTGGGCAACAAAGTGAGACTCCATCTCAAATAAATAAAGAAATAAAAATAAAGTTAATTTCACCTGTTTCTTTTTACTTTTTTCAATATAGCCCCTAGAAAATTAAAAATTACGTATGTGTCTTACATTTTACTTCAAGTAAACAGCATTGTTCTAGAACAGCAGTTATCAGGTGGGGGTAATTTTGCCCTTCCTCCTGGGAGGACAGTGGACAAACATAAACTTTTTTTTTTTTTTTTTTGGTAGCCTTGACATCTATCATCTCTGGAAACTCAAACTTCTAGGACTAATCTTTGAGAGGTTCCTAGACACCGTGCCTGGAATTCACAGAGCTGCCCTCAGGGGATGTCTAGACTTCTTTGTGCGTGGGTCATTTTAGGGAGCCCACGGTTCTGCTTGGGGTGTGTGTGTGGGGGGGGGGTGTGTGTGCGTGTTTTGAACAAATCTTCTTAAGAGAGAACATGTAGCAGCAAAATAAGTCACTAATGATAAACAAATGTGATACATAATTTTGAGCAAGATTTAAACATATTAAACTGCCTTGGCGCCTGGGCACAGTGGCTCACACCTGTAATCCCAGCACTTTGGGAGGCCGAGGAGGGCGGATCCTCTGAGGTCAGGAGTTCGAGACGAGCCTGGCCAACATGGCAAAGCCATGTTGTAATTTTGTAAAAATACAAAAATTAGCCGGGCATGGTGGTACATGCCTATAATCCCAGCTACTTGGGAGGCTGAGACAGGAGAATCGCTTGAACCCAGGAGGCGGAGGTTGCAGTGAGCCAAGACTGTGCCATTGCACTCCAGCCTGGGGGACAGTGTGAGACTCCATCTCAAAAAAAAAGCCTTGGCATATTGTGGAATTTCCCTCCCTTAAGCTTTTCCCCATGACACCTTTTTTCATTTATTATGATCAAAGGCTTTTTCTAACTTTAAAAATACTTTATTATGAAATATCAATACAGAAGAAAAGAGCAAAAATGTAAATATACTACTTACTAAATAGTAAGCAAATATCCGGGCACCTGCCACCTAGGTCATGAACAGAGCATTCTCAATATCCCAAGGAGCCCCAGGGTCATTTCCCCATCATAACTCTCTACCTCCCCTCAGGCTTTTGAGATAACTTTTTCTTGACTTCCTTTTTAATTTTACAACCTACAGCTGTGCCCCTTAACAATAGAGTATCATTTTGACTATTATTGAACCCTGTATAAATTTAATTATACTGTATATATTCTTTCTATTTTTGCTTCTTCTGCTCCGTATTATGTATTTAGTTTCACTCTCATAAATGCATGTAGCTCTACTACCTTTATTCTCACTGCTGTATAGTGTTTTATCCTGTGAGTATGCAATGCATTTATCAGGTCTAGAGCAGAGGCACATTTAGGCTGTTTCCATTTTAGGGCTGTCTTTAACAATGTTCCTATGAACATTCTAGGACATGAATGTTGAGCTCATGGGCACAGGTTTCTCTAGGGTTGGTCCTCACCAAATTTTAATTCAAAAATATCTATAGAATCTATGCATCTGTGTCTGAGATTGAATAAAATCAACTCATCTGAATCTCTTATTACAGTCATAAAGCTTCCAGAATGCACTTAAAACTCCATTCTCACTCCAAGCTTTTAGCATTTAGTGCTATTTGAGATCAAAGCCCTAGAGACTATCTCCTTAACTATTTTCATTCTTCCCGATCTCATTGCATAAAGGAGGAAGGAGACTCTGATTCATGCATATCCTTGCATTGCCTTTGCATTGCTCACCAGAGTGATTTAGCTAAAAGGAAATCTGACCCACGTTTGCAACCCTTCTTGGGATCCCCATTGCCTTCAGGATAAAGTCCCAAATCCTTAATATAGCATCAGAGATTCTGTCATCTCCCCAGTCTGCTTGCCAGCCACACACAGCACACAGCCCTACACTTCACCTTTTTTTTGGCAATACCAAAGGGCTTAGAGTCCCCGCTATACTCCATGGTTTTTCTTTTTTCTTTCTTTATTTTATTTTATTTTATTTATTTTTTTTTTTTGAGTCGGAGTCTTGCTCTGTTGCCAGGCTGGAGTGCAGTGGCGCAATCTCAGCTCAGCTCACCGCAACCTCCGCCTCTAGGGTTAAAGCGATTCTCCTGCCTCGGCCTCCTGAGTAGCTGGGACTACAGGCAAGGGCCACCATGCCCAGCTAATTTAGGTATTTTTAGTAGAGACAGGTTTCACCATGTTGGCCAGTATGGGCTCAATCTCTTGACCTCATGATCCGCCCACCTCAGGCTCCCAAAGTGCTGTGATTACAGGCGTGAGCCACTGCACCTGGCCCCACAGTTCTTCATACCCCATGCCTTCTACCTTGCTGTGCTCTCTGCCTCTTCCCAAATCTTGTTTTCCGCATAAACTCCCATCCATCCTTCAAGGGTCATCTCAAAAACTATCTCCTTTGGCCGGGTGCGGTGGCTCACGCCTGTAATCCCAGCACTTTGGGAGGCCTAGGCGGGTGGATCACGAGGTTAGGAGATCGAGACCATTCTGGCTAACATGGTGAAAGCCCGTCTCTACTAAAAATACAAAAAATTAGCTGGGCTTGGTGGCGGGTGCCTGTAATCCCAGCTACTCAGGAGGCTGAGGCAGGAGAATCGCTTGAACCCAAGAGGTGGAGGTTGCAGTGAGCCAAGATTGCGCCACTGCACTCCAGCCTGGGAGACAGAGTGAGAATCCATCTCAAAAAAAAAAAAAAGAAAAGAAAAGAAAAGAAAAGAAAAATTGCTCTCCATGTGGCCCACTTCTTCTCCTAATCTCTGTCCTCTGAAACCTAGAGTTGCTATCTAAAGTTGATTAGAATCAAGCATTTTAGAACCTCCTAATATCACTCAGGTAAGTCACTATATCCTCAAATGACTATTTCCTTCTTAATTCAGATAGACCATTGGCTGATAACATACATTTTCAACAGAATACAGCTTGGTATTTATATGAATATATAGTTTATCATTAATCATTTAGTATTTTCTGTAACTCACTGTCATCTTTCAGGATATAAAGGAAACAACTTGTAGTACTCCAAATAAAGTATAGAATATTAGGTTACAATTTAACTAGCTGAACAGAAATGTACCAGGTCATTCCCTTTTCATATATTTGATATGTTTAATTTTGTTTTTGTGTGCCTCTGTCTTAAAAGTCAAAAGCAAGGGCCAGGTGCAGTGCTCACACCTGTAGTCCCAGCACTTTGGGAGGCCGAAGTGGGTGGATCACTTGCAGTCAGGAGTTCAAAACCAGCCTGGCCAACGTGGTGAAACTTTGTCTCTACTAAAAACATAAAAAGCTTAGCCAGGCATGGTGGTGGGCATCCGTACTATCTCGGAGGCTGAGGCAGGAGGATCAGTTGAACTCAGGAGGCGGAGGTTGCAGTGAGCCTAGAATGTGCCACTGCACTCCCACCTGGGCAACAGAGTGAGACTCCATCTCAAAATAAATAAATAATAACATAAAATAAAATAAAGTCAAAAGCAGGGCATGAAGTACAATTAGTTAAAGATTTTAGCTACTTGGGTACACGAAAATAGAGATTTTATAACAATTTGCAGAGAAAAGTATGGGAGAGGGAAGTCATATACATAGGATATTCTCCCCCACTCCTCCCATACCTCCCATACCATAGCAGACATCATCATCCATTGCTTCCAGTATTCATTTCCTCTGAAGCTGGAGACCCTCCAAATTCTCAAAATTCAAGATAGCACTCCAAGCACTACTGATCCTAGAGGTAAAGCACATTTGCCATTTCAGATTGAAAATCTGCCAAGAAGTTTTTAGGCAAAGGATCATCTCTTATTTTCCTAAATTGGACAAGAATATATTCTAGGTGGTACTAAAGCTGGTCCTAATGTACTGAATGTCAATATGAAACTGAAATGTTTCTGTTCACTGGTTTAAAAAAAAAGAGAGAGAGAGGAGGAGGAAGAGAAAGAGGAAGAAAAAAGAAGGAGAAGGAGGAGAAGAAGAAAAGAAGAAGAAGAAGAAAAAGAAGAAGAAGAGGAAGAAGAAGGAGGAGGGGGGAGGAGGGGGAGGAGGAGGAAAGGAGGAAGAAGGGAGGAGGAAGAAGGAGGAAGGAAGGAGAAGAAGCAGAAAAGAAACTGAAATGTTTTCCTCCCATGTCAGGACTGAGTTTCCCTTGAAGATCTTCCTGGTTTCTCCAGCCTACACTGACTTTTCTCTTCTCTGATTGTTAATGGTCTTTGGCTTGCATGCTAGATGGGTTCGTGTCCAGTTAGATTGCTAGGTTTCTTGATAGTAGGGGCAGAGTCTTAACTTGTGGTGAACATGGCAGATGCTGAGCACATAACAGATGCTCACCGAAGTATTCCCTCTTTTTATTAGTGATATAGAAAAAGAAGACATTAGAAAGAGAGGTATGTCACCTTCTGAATACACTTTAGGGAAAAAATGTGGAAAGAAAAAGTTTAGTTGAGACAATAAACTATAGCAACAGCAAAATATTCTCCCTACCCTTTCAAGTCTAACATCTTCAAACCATTTATAGTCCAATGGTGGAGGGAAGTCAATTTAGAGACCACACTACTCAAAAGTCAAAAAACATTTGCTGGGGTTACTAATTTAATATTTCAAGGAAACTTTCCACACCTCATCTTCCAACAAACTCATTAATGCTGAATCTTTATGATGCTCTGAATTTAAAATTCTGCTACCGTCTTACCCCGGAACACTCACTTCTGCCAATAAAAACACTTGCTTTTAGTAAGGTTTGCGGGTTCACTCATCTTTGCTCAAGCGGCTTTCTCCATCTGAAATTCATTTTTCTCTTCTCTCTCTACCTGTTCCAATCTTGCCTGGCCCACTCAGTCAACTGTGGGACTCTCTCTCCCATACAACCTCTTTTGACTCGTGGAACTGTAACGCTCCCATTCTGGCCACTCTGGGTGTCCACCACACATTTTCTGTCTCACACTAGGAGTTTGGATCCTACAACATGTAAAAGCATAAACTTGAGAGCCTACCAGACACCTTAGTCAAAATCCTGGCTGGTTAAGTGACCTCAAGCAAAGATCTTATCTTCTTTAGGCCTTAGTTTCCACATCTGTAAAATGGACATAAAAATAGAACCCACAGTATGTAAAGTAGTGCAACCCCTATGGAAAACAGTGTGGAGATTCCTTAAAGAACTAAAAGTAGAACTGTCATTTGATCTGGCAATCCCACTACTGGGTATCTACCCAGAGGAAAATGAGTCATTTTACAAAACAAATACTTACACACACATGTTTACAGCTGCACAATTCTCAAGTGCAAAAATGTGGAACCAGGCCAGGCATGGCGGCTAACGCCTGTAATCCCAGCACTTTGAGAGGCCGAGGCAGGTGGATCACCTGAGCTCAGGAGTTTGAGACCAGCCTGACCAACATGGTGAAACCCCATCTCTACTAAAAATACAAATTAGCTGGGCATGGTGGTGGGCGCCTGTAATCCCAGCTGCTCAGGATGCTGAGGTGGGAGAATCGGTTGAACCCAGGAGGAGGAGGTTGCAGTAAGCCAAGATTGTGCCACTGCTCTCCAGCCTGAGCGAAAGAGCAAGACTCCATCTCAAAATCCATCAGTCAATCACTTGGGCCCACTCCTGGAGTGTATGATTCTGTAGTGCTAAAGTGAGCTTGAAAATGTGCCTTTCTGATAGGTTCCCTGGTGAGTCTGCTGTTACTAGACTAGGGAATACATTTTGAGAATCACCGATTCAGCTCCTGACCATGTGGTCTGGCAACGTGGGCTGTGCTCAGCTGGGCTGTTCTTCTGGTCTTGGCTGGGCTCACTCATGCATCTGTGGTCAGCTGCCAGTCCACCCCACAGCTGTTTCTAGGAGTTGGCTGAATGCTGACTAAGATAGCATGTGTGACTGGGACATTTGTCTCTTGGCGCTTGGCTGATCAGATAAGGATTGTTCACATGGAGCTCATAGGGTTTCAAGAGAGAGCAGAAACAGCTAGAGGTCTAGACTGGCACACTGTCACTTTTGTCACATTCTAGTGTTCAAAGCTTGGCACAAGGCCAGTCCAGAATTAAGAGGTGGGGACACAGACTCTACCTCTTGATGGGAGAAGATGCAAAGCCACTTTACACAGGGGTGTGGTTAAAGAGAAGGGAACAGTCTGTGTCCATGTGTGCAATCTACCACATCACTGTTGATCCTAATACCTAATTGGCACACAAGAAATACTTGTGGAATGAGTAAGTGATTCTCCTAACAACTGAACTTTCAAATTTTGCAAATGATGGCGAATCACTTGCACATGACAACCTAGTTTCACGTGCACAGGGGACTGCTGATGAATAGTAGAGTCCCCACTTGATGGCTGTGTGATCTTCACCCTCAAGCCTTGGGGCTTTCGCATATAAAATGAGGATGATAATTTTCATCTCACAGAGTTGTGGTAAGAATCAAATTTGAGAATCCAGGCTGGGCGTGGTGGCTCACGCCTGTAATCCCAGAACTTGAGGAAGCTGAGGTGGGCAGATCACCTGAGGTCAGGAGATCAAGAATAGCCCAGCCAACATGGTAAAACCCTGTCTCTACTAAAATAATAATAATAATAATAATAATAATAATAATAATAATACAAAAATTAGCTGGGTGTGGTGGTGGGCGCCTGTAATCCCAGCTACTCGGGAGGCTGAGGCAGGAGAATCACTTGAACCCGGGAGGCAGAGGCTGCAGTGAGCCAAGACTGAGCTATTGCAATCCAACCTGGGCGACAAGAGTGAGATTCCATCTCAAACAAAAAAAAAAAAAAAAGAGAATCTATACACAACATGAAGGTTTTAGAATTTCCTGAGCAGCGTAACCTCTCTACACATCAGTTCCCTCATCTGAAAACTAGGGACAAATCACCCCCATCTTACAAGGTTTGGGAGAGGATGAAATGAGATGGCATGTGCCAAATGCTTGCTTTATAAAGTGCTCACAAGTATTACTAATGGGATCACATCACCTAGCACGGTGTCCGGTAACACTCAGCAAATGCTGGACCCCACGTGGCACTCTGGCTATAGAAATGTACTAAAAGAGCTGCGACAAAATGCCCCACATCAAAAACTCCAGGTGCACAAATGCTGTCCAAGGTGCCAGGTTTTGAAAATCTAGACATGCAAGAAGCCACCAGTAGTCCAGCCAGATAGTCAGAGGGGTCTCACGATTCTCACCAGCCGGATGCCTCTGCCCGTTTCTCTCATACCTCTAGCCCACAGCTCCGGTGCCTCTACTTATACAGTGAAAGTAGGTCACCTCAATATTTCAGATGTTAGAGGCAGGCAAGATACAGGAGAAAGGAATGGAGTAGATGAAGCCAATAGTCAGAGATGAGAGGTTGATGGCTGGGGAATTCATAAACCTTTGCAACTTCCCTAAATAGGTAAGGCAGGAAGGGAGGGACAAAGGGAGGGAAGGAGGGAAAGAGGAAGGGAGAGAGGGAGGGAGGAAGGAAGGAAAGATGGAGAAAAGATGAAACGAAGCTTAGCAGGCAGATGGTTGATCTGCTTGAATGGCCCCTCTCAGTCACCTGCAGCCTCTGAGACCAGAGGCTGGAGATGCTATGTGAGCAATCTTGTCTGCCGCCCATTTAAATGCCTGGGGAAGCCACAGCGACTGAGAAAACCACGCATTCTGCTAAAGCTTTCAGAGTGGTCCCCAGGGCATCCCTCCCTCTAGGTGACTCCCATTTAGGCCAGCATTAATGGGTCACCTGCCAAGAAGCCCTTAGATTGTGCAGTTAAAAGTGCCTTATTCAGATAATCACCAACTGAACCAGAAAGGCTTCTGGGCTGGGAGGGTGAGCTCTGGCTGTGGGTCCAGCCAAGCCTGCAGCAAGGCAGCCTCTCAGCCTGCCAACCAGGTTTTTCTCACCCTCTCCTCTTAAGGAAGATTGTAGGGCTTTGCAGACTCATGGGTTGCACTGTGAATAATGATCATACAGGAGCAGGGAGCTTAGGACAAACCCAGGGTCCGATTTCAGATCAGGTTCAGGATAGCAGGAGGGCATGAGAAAATTTGAGGGATCTGGAACTTTCCCTATGGGAGGTGGGAGGCTGGAGGCTGTTCTTTTACTAGGCACATAGGTATGGTTCACTTGCTATGGACGAGGAGCTATACCAGGTGCTGGAGATGCTGGGATGAGCATAATGGGCCCAGCCCACTCTCAGGGAGCCGAAGTCTTAAGAGAGGAGACGGAGGCCTAATAAACTAATCAGTAATTACAGCGATTTCAGACTACAGCTGAGTGCAGTGGCTCATGCTTGTAATCCAGGCATTTTGGGAGGCCAAGGCAGGAGGATCACTTGTGTGCAGGAGTTCAAGACAAGCCTAGGCAGCATAGTGAGACCCCCCCCCATCTCTGCAAAAAATGAAAAAAGTAGGCAGGCATGGTGGCATGCACCTGTAGTACCAGCTACTCAGGAAGCTGAGGCAGGAGAATGGCTTGAGCCCAGAAGGTCAGGGCTGCAGTGAGCCAAGATCACGCCACTGCACTCCAGCCTGGGCAACAGAACGAGGCCCTGTCTCTAAATAAATAAATAAATAAAGTGATTTCAAAGAGTGAAGGAAATAAATAGAATGATGTGCTAGCAATTGGCCTGGAGTGGGGACTGCAGGGAAGAGCAATATTGGACAGGGTGGTCAGGGAAAGCCTCTCTAAGAAAACAACAGTTGAGCCAAAACCCAAATGTGATGATGAAGCAGATTGGAGAAACAGAATCTCATGTGGAGGGAAGAGCAAGCAAAAGCCTTCGGTTTGGCTCAGCTTAGCATGTTTCAAACAGATAGAAGTTCAATGTGAGGAGTGCTTAGTGAATCAACAGAAGATAAAATCAGAGCACTAAGTCACTGCCTGCTAGCCTCCTGGATGCCCCCATGATCTCTGCCTCCTGGAATTTACACCCTTGTGTAAACAATAAATATGGCTGACCTAGGGGACCTGGGGGAAGTGACAGGGTGTGGGTTCTAAGACTGGGTTATAGAAGAACATTGCAGCTTCTGCCTTGCCCTCTCTTTCTCAGACAACTCACTCTGGACAAAGCCAACCACCGTATCATGAGGACAGTTCAGCAGTCTCATGGGAAGGTCCGTGTTATAAGGAACTGAGGCCTCCTACCAATAGCCAGCATCAACCTTCTAGCCATGTGAGTGCATCTTGGATCCTTTAGCCCAACAAAGCCTTCGGACGACTGCAATCCCAACCTGTGTCATAATGGCAACCTCTGAAAGACCATAAGCCAGGACACCCAGTTGAGTCACTCCCAAATGCCCGACCAAGAAAAGCTGCATTAGTCCGAGCACAGTGGCTCACATCTGTAATCCCAGAACTTTAGGAGGCTGAAGGAGGAGGATCACTTGAGGCTAGGAGTTCAAGACAAGCTTGGACAACA
This sequence comes from Homo sapiens, assembly GCF_000001405.40. Lineage (NCBI taxonomy): Eukaryota > Metazoa > Chordata > Mammalia > Primates > Hominidae > Homo > Homo sapiens. The sequence continues at coordinate 12,866,667 of NC_000016.10, read as the reverse complement.
TAGCAAGACACTGTCTCTACAAAACATTTAAAAAACTAGCCAGGTGGGGTGACACATGCCTGAAGTTTCAACTACTTGGGCGACTGAAACAGAAGGAGCTCTTGAGCCCAGGAGATCGAGGCTGCAGTGAGCTATGATCACACCACCGCACTACAGCCTGGGCAACAGAGCAAGACCCTGTCTCAAAAAGAAGGAAAAAAAAACAGAATAAAGAAACTGCATGAGATAATAAAGGTTTATTGTTCTCTTAAGTCCCTATATTTGGGGAAATATTTGTTGTGCAGCCATCAATAACTAATACAGTCATGAAGCACTATCGTGAGAAGCTTGGGTTTTCTTTTTAGCATCATTTGACGATTTTAAGTGGGAAGATAATGTGATCTGATTCATGTTCACATGGAGCACTCCGGATTCTGGGAGGGGAATGGGATGTAGCAAAGCAAGAGAAACCGAAGTGTTGGAAGGATTCCTAATTCCAGACTTCCTTCCAGCTGTCTGAAAATGCCCTTTAATTTCTTTCCAACCATCCAATTGCAGTCTTGCAGTTCCTAATAGGAGATGGAACAAGTTCTGAAGTTTAGAAATGTTGGAAGCACTGCACAGCTTCCTGTCTTGTTGTCACTCCACTTCCACTCTCTATGTGGTCACCAAATATTTTGTCCAGCTTATCCCATGACAGCACTACATTTCCTGGTTCCCCTGTGATTGGGTGGGACCTTGTGACTAGTTTTGGAGAATGAATTGTGAGTGCACGTACCCCATATTGCTGCAAGCCAAGGATTGTATTGCTCACTGAAGACCCTCCAATGCTGTCTTCTTTCATGAGTGTGCATATGAGACGGCGGCTGCTCCATTAGCCTGGACCCCTGAGTAACCAAGAGGAGCAGAACACCCCTTGCCAACTCTAGACGTATCAATGAGCGTGAACGAGAAATAAACCTTTTCTGTTTTAAGATATTGAAATGGGCCAGGCACAGTGCTTCACGCCTGTCATCCCAGCACTTTGGGACGCTGAGGTGGGTGGATCACCTGAGGTCGGGAGTTCAAGATCAGCCTGGCCAACATGGAGAAACCCCGTCTCCACTAAAAAAAAAAAATAGCCGGGTGTGGTGGCACATGCCTGTAATCCCAGCTACTCAGGAGGCTGAGGCAGAAGAATCTCTTGAACCTGGGAGGCAGAGGTTGCAGTGACCTGAGATCGCACCACTGCACTACAACCTGGGCAACAAGAGCAAAACTCCGTCTCAAAAAACAACAACAACAACAAAAAAAAACCAGCACATCCTAACTGATAGACTTTCTTATAAAGCCAGTTTTTATTATTAATAGGTGCCATTTGTGGATTATCTACATGACTCTAATAATTTATTATCTATGACCTTGTTCAATTCTCACATCTCCTGCAAGATAAATATTATTATTTCTATTTGACAGATGAGGAAACAGGGGCTCAAAGAAGTAAAATAAAGTGGAAAATCCACAGGAAATGAAATTAATATCTGTAGGGATGTTTTTTAAGTACCAGCAATATCAAACACTTAACTTTTATTAGGACAAGTGGCATAACTTCTCTGTGCCCCATTGTATCATCTGGGATTCAGCTGCAAAATCTCTCCCACTACGTAAGGCAAAAAAGAATTTAATAGAAAGAATTCAGTTCAGGCTGGGCATGGGGGCTCACTCCTGTAATCCCAGAGCTTTGGGAGACCAAGACGGGCAGATCACTGAAGGTCAGGAATTCGAGACCAGCCTGGCCAACATGGTGAAATCCCTGTCTCTACTAAAAATACAAAAATTAGCTGGGCATGGTGGCGGGTGCCTATAATCCCAGCTACTCAAGAGGCTGAGGTAGGAAAGTCACTTGAACCTGGGAGGCAGAGACTGCAGTGAGCTGAGTTTACACCACTGCTCTCCAGCCAGGGTGACAGAGTGGGACTCCATCTCAAAAAAAGAAAAGAAAAATTAGATCAAACAAAATTGTTATGAGGGCTGGAGGAGCAGGATCTAGGCTGTCCTCTAGGAACGACTTCCAGAGCAGCATCTCAGAACTTGCCCATCAGAGAAAGAGGAAGAAGGGCCAGCAGAAAGCCACCTTCTGGGCCAGGCGCAGTGGCTCACGCCTGTAATCCCATCACTTTGGGAGGCCAAGGTGGGCAGATCACAAGGTCAAGAGATCGAGACCATCCTAGCCAAAATGGTGAAACCCCATCTCTACTAAAAATATGAAAATTACCCGGATGTGGTGGTGTTCACCTGTAGTCCAAGCTTCTCAGGAGGCTGAGACAGGAGAATCGATTAAACCTGGGAGGTGGAGGTTGCAGTGAGATGAGATCGCGCCACTGCACTCCAGTCTCGTGACAGAGCGAGATTACATCTCAAAAAAAAAAAAGGAAAAAGAAAAAGAAAAAAAGAAAGCCACCTTCTGATGTCTGGCTTCAGGATCACACCACCTTAACCATGGCCCAGATGCAGGAAACAATCCCTCCTCCTGCTCTTTGTCAAGCCACATCTCATCTGCTGTGAGCTAACACCAAGTTGGATGCCTCATCTCCCCACCAAACTTCATTCTAAACTCAAGTCTTTGGTGAGTCCATATGATTGGTGGTTCTGAATCAGACCAGGAGCGCTAGCTACAAGGGAGTCTGGAAAACATGTTACAGATTTTCACTTTCCAGTCTCTGCAGTACGAGAGACGTCCTAGAAAAACAGTTGAACAGATGTTAGAAGAGACAAGTGACTGGATCCACTACACTGTTTTTCCACCTGAAAAAATGGGTTTGTAATTTCTGCTCTATGTAATCATAGGGCTATGTTGAGGAGAAAACAAGACCAAAAATGTGGACCTACTCAAATATCACTGCCTTCTTGATATCAAACATAAAAATCCTTCTGATAATCCTATATGGTCAGTATCATTATCTCCATTTTTAGCAAAATGAAGTTAAGGCTTTGGAGGCTGAGCTCACACAGGTAGTAAGCTTTAGGCTTGATGCCATAAAGTGACCAGCTTGTCCCAGCTTGAAAGTAGCCAGACTTGTTTTGTGTGTGTGTGTGTGTGTGTGTGTGTGTGAGATAGAGTTTTGCTCTTGCCGCCCAGGCTGGAGTCCAGTGGTGGGATCTCAGCTCACTGCAACTTCCGCCTCCCAGGTTCAAGCGATTCTTGTGCCTCAGCCTCCCCCAACAGCTGGGATTACAGGTGCCTGCCACCACGCCCAGCTATTTTTTTGTATTTTTAGTAGAGATGGAGTTTCACCATGTTGGCCAAGCTGTTCTTGAACTCCTGACCTCAAGTGATCCACCCACCTGGGCCTCCCAAAGTGCTGGGATTACAGGTATGAGCCACTGCACCCAGCCTAAATCAGCCAGACTTTCCACACTACCTCTCTGTTCCTGACGCTCAAGCCTCTTTTAGCCTGGAAAGAATATTCTGTGTTTCTTAATTAGTGCTAATGGAACACGTGCATTTCCTCCAGGCACAAAAATTCTCTGCATATTTCTGCCTATTTAACCACATGTTCTAATTGATATCTTTCCCCCTGCCCCCCAACTAATTTATTTACTAATTAAAACTCTGTTCAAATGAATCGCACTTGATTCAGGTCCCGCCTTCACAGCATTTTGCAGCAAGCTTCAAGGAGGCTCCTGGGGAATGTTCTTTCTGGGAGCGCTCAGTTTAGGGTTGGATGTAGGACCCTTCCCTTGTGCTCCCTAAAGAAGGGGTCAGGCTGCCCCCTCACAGGACCAGGGGATGGTCTCTGAGTCAGCGGCTGGCGGCACTCAGCGTTTGAAGACATAGTATGTGCCAGGCAATAGGACAAGCGCAAGGAGAGACAAGCAATAATGGCTCAGGTTCTCAATCCAGCTGAGCTTTTAACAAGCTATGTGATTTGAGGCAAACTAGTGGACCTCTCAGAGCCTCCCTCTCCTCAGCTGTAAAATTTCACTAATGAATTTAACTTTCTTAGTAACGTTGAGGGGATTAAATGAGTTGATGCAGGGGTCCCCAAACCCCGGGCCGAGGGCTGGGAACTGAGCCACACAGCAGGAGGTGAGCAGTGGGTCAGCAGGAGGTGAGCGGCGGGCGAGCAGGCGGTGAGCGGTGGGCAAGCGGGAGCGGGAGGTGAGCGGTGGGCAAGCGGGAGCGGGAGGTGAGCAGTGGGTGACCGGGAGGTGAGCAGTGGGTGACCGGGAGGTGAGCGGTGGGTGAGCGGGAGGTGAGCAGTGGGCAAGTGGGAGCGGGAGGTGAGCAGTGGGTGAGCGGGAGGTGAGCAGTGAGCGAGCCGGAGCGGGACATGAGCAGGGGGCAAACCAGCATCACCACATGAGCTTCACCTCCTGTCAGATCAGAGGCGGCATTAGATTCTCATAGAAGCGTAAACCGTATTGTGAACTGCGCCTGAGAGGAACCTAGGTTGCACACTCCTTATGGGAATGTAATGTGGAACAGTTTCATCCCGAAAACATCCCCCGCCCCTAACCCCGGTCCATGGAAAAATTATCTTCCATGAAACTGGTCCCTGGTGTCAGAAAGGCTGGGAACCAGGGAGTTAATGCATCTCAGAACACCAGTGACAGGACATCAGGGTCACAAGCCAGGACTCTTGGGGTCAGGCTGGGGTCTTCTCTTTGCTGCCTTTATGACTTATCACCAATGACATAACTTCTCTGGACCTCAGTTTTCTCATTTGTATTACGGGGTTAATGAAAGCGACTACCTCATTATATTCTCAAAATTACTATTAAGCATAATTTTACATTTGTATGTACTAAGGTCAACTCTGATTAGGTATACTGGTGAGAACTTTGCACACTTTATATTACATTTACTGTCTTTTTTTAATTTTCATTTTATTTGTTTATTTATTTATTTATTTATTTATTTTGAGACAGAGTCTCGCTCTGTCGCCCAGGCTGGAGTGCAGTGGCACAATCTCAGCTCACTGTAACCTCCACCTCCAAGTTTAAGCAATTCTCCTGCCTCAGCCTCCCGAGTAGCTGGGACTACAGGTGTGTGCTACCATACCTGGCTAATTTTTGTATTTTTTGGTAGAGATGGGGTTTCATCATGTTGGCTAGGCTGGTCTCGAACTCCTGACCTCAGTTGATCCACCCACCTCAACCTCCCAAAGTGCTGGGATTACAGGGGTGAGCCACTGCACCCAGCCTCAATTTAATTTTTAAGTTCAGGGGTGCATGTGCAAGTTTGTTATATAGGTAAACTTGTGTCACAGGGGTTTGTTGTACAGATCATCTCGTCACCCAGGTATCAAGCCTAGTACGCATTAGTTATTTCTCCTGCTTCTCTCCCTCCTCCCACCCTCTACCCTCTGGTAGGCCTCAGTGTGTGTTGTTCCCCTCTATGTGTTCCTGTGTTCTCATCACTTAGTTCCCACTGATAAGTATGTTCTCAAAATTAAATGAGATAATAAAGCAAAGCATCAAGGACAGTATCTGGAATATATTAAGTAATCAATAAGCGCTGAGCACTATTATTTTCATGTACTAGAGTGTCTGAGACATAGTCTACACTAGATAAATACTAGCTATCATCAGGAGACACAACAAGCAACAGGAAACCCATCTTAGCAGTCCTGGGAGACCTGCTTTCTCTTGAGACCTTGATTGGCTCCACTCTGGGCCTCTAGGCATGGATTGGGATTGAAGGCAGCTGTTCTTAAACTTGAACCTGTATCAATCATCATCATCACCCACAGTCTTGTTAAAACAGATTTCTGGGCTCCACCCCCAAAGTATCAGACTTAGTAGGTTTAGGGTAGGAGCCTGATAACTCACATTTGTCAAGAGTCCTTGGTGCTGTTTGTCTGAAAACACTACTCTTTTTTTTTTGAGACTAAGTCTCACTCTATTGCCCAGGCTGGAGTGCAGGGGCGAGATCTCAGCTCACTGCAGCCTCTGCCTCGTGGGTTCAAGTGATCCTCCTGCCTCAGCCTTCCGAGTAGCTGGGACTACAGGTGTGCACCACCATGCTTGGCTAATTTTTGTATTTTTAGTAGAGATGGGGTTTTGCCATGCCAAGGCCCAGGCTGGTCTCGAACTCCTGACCTCAGGTGATCTGCCCGACTCGGCCTCCCAAAGTGCTGGGATTATAGGCGTGACCCACTGCATCCGGCCCTAGGAGCACATTTTGAATCTTTGATTTAGGTTAATTCTCAGAAAACCCTCTTATGTCCGGTCTGTCCTCATTGGCCTCTGTCACATCTCACTGCTCTATACTGTCCTCTCAAGATGGCGGCTGCCATAGTCCCATTTGTGCTGAACAACACAGTTGTTCAATAATGCAGAATAATACAGAACATCTAAGACTTAGGAATTTATAAAGAACAGAAATGTATTGGCTCATAGCTCTGGAGGCTGGGAAGGCTAAAGTCATGGCATTGGCAGGTTTGGTGTCTGGTGAGGTGAGGCCATTCTCTTCTTCCAACATGGCACCTCACAGACTGTGTCCTCCGGAGGGGAGGAAGGCTGGATGCTCACATGGCAGAAGGTGGAAGGGCCAAGAGGCACAAGGGGGCCAGACTCAATAAAGGTCCCACCTCCTAATACTGTTACAATTGTAATTAGATTTCAACATGAGTTTTGGAGAGGACAAACATTCGAACGATAGCAGCAACCTACCTGGAAAAGGACCACCAGAATTATCTCTCACATTCTCTCCTCTGTTGCTAAATGCTGCTTTCTTACCTTACAAAACTAACAACCAGCCAGCCAGGGAATGAATCTAAAAAGACCAAGTCCGGCCCTGCACCCTTGGGCTGAGAAGTTACCTTTTCCAGAGGTACTTAAGCAGCTATTCAGCCCCTGACCAGCCCTGTCTAGGAAAGGGTTAATAATTGTTTTGTTTTGTTAGACTCCACCTGTGAGGGGGTAACAGTATCTCCACTTCTCACCCTAAAAGTAAATCAGTCTTTCTAGGGAAAAGTAGAATTAGAAAAATGAAGAGCTGGGTTTTTTACATATATATTTTTAATTCCCTTAGTTCTGAATTTCATTAGCTTTGTGTTAATATTGTGATCAAAATTAATTTTAGACCAAAGGAAAAACCATTATTCTTTGTTTCCCTTAAAATATATTTTACCTTGAAACTTGGCAAGTAGAAAAATGCAATTCACTATAAAAGTGAGCATTGCTAATTTGCAGTATTATCTGTAGCGGAGTATTGAGGGGAAACAAAACAGAGAATTATAGAGAAAAATTCAGAGAAGAAAAAAATAAGACTAACACAAAAGAAAAAATAATACTGCAGGCCAAAACGAATGGTTGTAAAATATTTCCTCGTAAAAGGCCAAGTAGTAAATACTTTCAGTTTCAAGCCCAGTGGATTATGCCAATATTAATATCCTGGTTGTAGTGTTGTGCTTAAATTTTGCAAAATGTTACCATTGGGGGCAACTGAGCAAAGAGTACAATCTCTCTGTATTATTTCTGACAACTGTATATGAATATACAAAGATCTCCATCAAATTAACAATATATGTTTTCAGCTTTGCAGGCCATATGTGTTCCCTCTTGTAACAAATCAATTCTTCCATTGTTGAGGGCAAGCAGCCACAGACAATATGTAAATGAGTGTGTGTGGCTGTGTTCCAATAAAACTTTACTTATGGACATGAAATTTGAATTTCATACAGTTTTCTTTTTTTTTGAGATGGAGTTTCACTCTGTAGCCAGGCTGGAGTGCAGTGGCGTGATCTTGGCTCACTGCAACCTCCACCTCCCAGATTCAATTGATCCTCCTGCCTCAGCCTTCTGAGTAACTGGGACTGCAGGTGTACACCACCACATCCAGCTAATTATTGTATTTTTAGTAGAGATGCCATTTCACCATGTTGGCCAGGATGGTGTCGATCTCTTGACCTCGTGATGTGCCCGCCTTAGCCTTTTAAAGTGCTGGGATTATAGCCGTGAGCCACCGCGCCCGGCCAAATTTAATATAGTTTTCATGTAGCACACATATTTGGCTTTTTATTTTTTTCAACACTTTAAAAATGTAAAAACCATTTCTAGCTGATGGGCAGCACAGAAAGAAATGGTATTTAGATGTGGCCCACAGGTCGTAGTTTGCCGATCTCTGACCAAAAGAAAGCAGTGTACTCGAAGCATTATCTCTGCTTTCAAAACAATGGTATGGGTACTTTAGGGAAACTTTAGACAGGAATGTTTTTCTCTTTCCTGCAGTCATTAAATGGTTAAACAACCCCCTGGGCTGCTGGGTGAAAAAGATGGTAAGGAGATGTGAGACATTTAAAAATAAGAAGGAATCTGTATCTTTCCTCAATGGGGCATTTTTTTTTTCTATCCAAATATTCATCAGACAATGGCCAACAAAAGATGTTAATGTGCCTTTTTGTAGCACTTTGTCGTTATACGTTTAAACATCAAATGTGCATCTCCTTAGGCCAAGTAATTTTATTTCTATAAATTTTTCTCACAGTTGTAAGCAAAAATATTTGGAGGTGCCTGGCCACAAAATTGAAATTTTTATTACAAAAGCTGGGGTTCTCCAGATAAATAGAACCAATAGGAATTTTATATATATATACAATATATACACTATATATTATATATAGTGTATGTATTATATATAATATATATCATGTATAATTATATGATATATATTATTATATATTACATATGATATATATTATATATATCATATATATATGCAGTGAGCTGTGATCGCACCATTGCACTTTAGCCTGGCTGACAGAGAGAGCCCCTGCCAGAAAAAAAATACACACACAGAACAAGTGAAGCATGCATTCAAAGAGCAAGACCATAATACCAAAGCACATGATATGGTTTGGCTGTGTCTCCACCCAAATCTCATCTTGAATTGTAGCTCCCATAATCCCCACATGTCATAGAAGGTACCCAGTGGAGGTAATTGAATCATGGGGGAGGGTCTTTCCCATGCTGTTCTTGTGACAGTGAATAAGTCTTGCGAGATCTGATGATTATATAAATAGGAGTTCCCCTGCACATGCTGTCTTGCCTGCCACCATGTAAGACGTGACTTTGCTCCTCCTTCACCTTCCACCATGATCATGAGGCCTCCCCAGCCATGTGGAAATGTGAGTCAATTAAACTTCTTTCTCTCATAAATTACCCAGTCTTAGGTATGACCTGATTAGCAGCATGATTACAGGCTAATACAGCACATTTACCCAAGCATGAGGGTGGGAGGGGGCTGCTGACACTGTGTAGCATGTGCTGGAGGGAAGGGGAGCCTCCTGTGGGTACAATTCATAAAGCTGGTGCTTCAGTAAAGTCTGGCAGAGACTGAGCATCTAGATCCCAAGACCATGAGGTAATCAGCCAACAGGACAAGAACCATAGAAGACAAAAGAGGATCTACAAAATCTGACAGAAGGGATACCCAGATGGGGCTGGAACAAGGATTGCTGTTTTGTCAACCATGACAAAAGGTTGCTCTCAGTTTCATTGCAAAGGATAATTGGCCACTGATATCAGAACCCACTGTACATGATGTGAAATTTGTTTAAAAAAACACCTATGTATATAAATATATATCGGCTTAGATAAATACAAGTGCATGAGTGTATATCAGTTTATATTAAATGTATAATAATAGCTAGGCTTTATTGAGCATTTATTATGCCAGCACTAAGTGTGAGTAAGCCTCAGTTGGGTTTCTAGAACACCAAGAGGCCAGTCTGGAAAAAAGAAAATAATGAATTAGATAACAAAGGAAACAAAAAGAGGGAGTGGATACTTCAATTCATGGCCGTGTTCAGTGCCCATAGGGTGTAGATAAAATTTCTATCTTGGATCCTGAAATATTCCTCTTTATTGTTGCAATAAATCTCCTCTTCATGCAAGCTGGTCACTTGCTCTGATGAGAGCTGACAGTGAGATTGGAATAGGGTGCTTGCCTATCTTCTCCAGTACACTGTGAGCTTCTTGAGGGCAGGAGCCACATCTTGCTCATCATTGCAAAAGACATTTGATGACAGGTGGATGAACGAATGGATGGATCTGGCAGCAACTGCGTAACTGAGCTGGAAATGCTATGGTTGTGCTATATTTTGACAGAGAATCATACTGCCAGGCAGAACAGAGTAGCAAGCATCCACAGGAACATTAAGGGTGGATTTGATTTGATTTTTCAATCAGGCCAAGATTCTTTCAGAGTTTTGTATAGTGAATATATAGTGCCATTTTTTATTCTTTTTTCTTGTTTTTTTTGAGACAGAGTCTCACTCTGTTGCCCAGGCTGGAGTACAGTGGCATGATCTCAGCTCACTGCAACCTCTGCCTCCTGGGTTCAAGCGATTCTCCTGCCTCAGCCTCCCAAGTAGCTGAGACTACAGGCGTGCACCACCACACCTGGCTAATTTTTGTATTTTTAGTAGAGACTGGGTTTCACCATATTGGCCAGGCTGGTCTCGAACTCCTGACCTCGTGATCCACCCACCTCGGCCTCCCAAAGTGCTGGGATAACAGGCGTGAGCCACCGAGCCCAGCCCATTTTTCTTTTTTTAATTTCTAAATTTTTTTCCAAATTCTCCCAGATGATCCTGATATTGTGCCCTTAAGATGGGAAAAAGCAGGTCTCCTTTCACAGAATGTAAAATCCATGAATGCAGGGATCTTGCTTCCTCATTCCTCCCTGTCTCTTGATGGAAATGCCCAGACCCTGCACTTACTCAAACTTAATTTTTGAAATGAAGAATGACATAATCTGGTTATTTTTTCTTTAAATTTTTTTTCATCCATTCAATATTGATTATGTTTGTTTGGTAGAGATCGTGGGGGCATTCTGTAACTTTCTATAGTCTTTCAGTCCACATTTACTATACAAACACTCTGTTGTTTGGATTCTAATTTACTGACATTTATGCGACTTTGAAGGTAGTTTATTAAAGAGCTGTTTCCAAAGATACTCAAATGTGTTATAGGTGTCATAGTGTAACTTAGAAACCTCTCTGAAGATGCATATATCAGGATTCAGGAGGGGTTTTTTTGTTTTTTTTTTGTTGTGTTGTGCTTTGTTTTGTTTTATTTTTGAGGCGGAGTCTTGCTCTGTCGCCAGGCTGGAGTGCAGTGGTGTGATTTCAGCTCACTGCAACCTCCACCTCCTGGGTTCAAGTGATTCTCCTGCCTCAGCCTCCCAAATAGCTGGGATTACAGGCACATGCCACCATGCCCAACTAATTTTTCTTTTTTTTTTTTTTTTTTTTTTTTTTTTTTTTGTATTTTTAGTAGAAACGGGGTTTCACCATGCTGGCCAGGCCGGTCTCAATCTCCTGACCTCGTGAGCTGCCCACCTCAGCCTCCCAAAGTGCTGGGATTACAGGTGTGAGCCACTGTGCCCAGCCTACGGTTTTATTATTTCATAGATATACTTCATGGAAGTTAGGAAGACAGGTCATAGCTACCAGAAAAACTATGTGATATCATCCTTGCTTTCAAATTTTAAAAGCAGGAGGGCTGGAGCGACTTTCACAAGGTTAAAAAAAAAAACTAAGGCTGGGCACAGTGACTCACACCTGACATCCCAGCAATTTAGGAGGCCGAAGCGGGCAGATCACTTGCGGTGAGGAGTTCAAGACCAACCTGTCCAACATGGTGAAACCCCATCTCTACTAAAAATACAAAAGTTAGCTGGGTGTGGTGGCACACCCCTGTAATCCCAGCTACTTGGGAGGCTGAGACATGAGAATCGCTTGAACCCGAGAATCAGAGGTTGCACTGGGCCAAGATCATGCCACTGCAATCCAGCCTGGACAACAGAGGGAGACTCTATCTCAAAAAAAAAAATTAATAAGGGCTAGATTTGAGTCTAGATGTGTCTGATTTCAAAGACCGTGATCTTTCTATTTGTGGCAGAGATCAAGATCAATTATCCTCTTTTGTCATAATAATAAAATTCCAAATTTTACCTAGGCATATAACCACTCAGAATAAAGGTGACATATCTCAGCCTCCCCTATAGTTAGGTATGGCCATGCAGTGAAGTTCCAGGTGTGAGAGGAGGTCGTCAATAGTGCTTGCTAGGAAACCTTTCTAATAGGCAGTTGCCATGCACCTATGGACTCTTCTTTCTCCATTTCTTCCTCCTGCTGGCAGGAGCAATGGTAGCCATTTTGGACAATGAGATAAAAGCCATGTATTGAGTACAGAAAATGCTTCAGCCCCTGTAAACTGTGGAGCTGCCATACTAGCCCTGAAATATCTGCCTCTACACTACATTTATGTGAGGGACAAAAACACTTTTATTGTTCGAGCCAATGTTTTGGGATGCTTTTGCAGCTGAACTCAATCCTATTATACTATTACAACACAGCCCTTCCAATCTGTCATCATTTTGAAGAGAGAAGCCCTAAAACTAGTATCAATGATAATTTCACCTAAAAAACATCTTGGGGGAATCAGGTTGCGGAGGATAATACTCATAGATATATAGCTTGTTCAAAGAGAAAACATAATGGAATTCTTCCCGAAAAAAATGCTGACGTCTGTATTTTGGTAAACACTAAGATTCAATACTCACCAAAATCAAATGTTGACTTCACCTTGCTCAACATGCATGCCCAAAACAATAAACTAAGATGGAATGTGGGGAAGAGAGGGCAAGACAAAGGCCCTACCAACTTCTCCAGAAGTATAGCATGTGGATTACCTCCCAATAACACCATTAAGAAATATTAGAATTGGGCCGGGCGCGGTGGCTCACGCCTGTAATCCCTTGGGAGGCCGAGGTGGGCAGATCACTTGAAGTCAGGAGTTCAAGACCAGCCTGGCCAACATGGTGAAACCCCATCTCTACTAAAAATACAAAAATTACCCGGGCGTGGTGGCCGGTGGCTATAATCCCAGCTACTCGGGAGGCTGAGGCAGGAGAATTGCTTGAGCCTGAGAAGCGGAGGCTGCAGTGAGCCAAGATCGCCCCACTGTACTCCAGCCTGGGTGACAGAGCAAGGCTCCATCTCAAAAAAAAAATTAAAAAAATATATATATAATCAAATAGATACATATCAGATATATATATATATATAGCAGAATTGTAGCCAAGTAAGTAGTTTTAGATTATAAATGTATTGAGGATGCAATCAAAATAACATCCTTGAACATTATTTTACATGTGATATATTTACATGGTACTTAATTAAAACTGTATTTCCTCCTCTTGCACTTTCAAGAGACTTTACTAAAAATATTCTATTTTTTTTTGAGACGGAGTCTCGCTCTGTTGCCCGGGCTGGAGTGCTGTGGCGTGATCTCGGTTCACTGCAAGCTCCGCCTCCCGGGTTCATGCCATTCTCCTGCCTCAGCCTCCCGAGTAGCTGGGACTACAGGCGCCCGCCACCACACCCAGCTAATTTTTTTGTATTTTTAGTAGAGACGGGGTTTCACCGTGTCAGCCAGGATGGTCTCAATCTCCTGACCTCATGATCCGCTCACCTTGGCCTCCCAAAGTGCTTGAATTACAGGCGTTAGCCACCGCACCCAGCCACTAAAAATATTCTTATGTCCATTTTAGGCAAAGAAAAAGTTATACTGGGGAATTTTTAAAGATTATCTTGGAAAAACAACAAGAGGAAAGCTGAGGCTTACAGCCTTTCTACCTCATTCAGAATCCTAAAAAAGTACCCTACATGACATTTTGAAAGTGGAGATATAATGCTATAACATAAATGAACAGTTCCTACTGAAATGTTTTGAAAGAAGGTACCAATTTCATTATTATTATCTTGTGCTAAGTTTTAAAAATTATTTTTACATTATAATGTTCTTGTAATATAGAAAACATCACTCTAAAATATGAAAATAATATTTAACTTTAAAATTTCCTCATTTTAAAAATTAAAAGATTCATAAAAGTCAGTAACTATCCACTTTAAGGTCTATATTTGTTTCTTAAGCATGGTTCTTTCAGAAATTTCCAATTAGTGATGACCTTCAAATGGGTCATTTTGACTTACTCTCAAATAGTTTCTCTTATAATACTTGGCTTGTTCATTTTCAATTTAAGTTTGGAAAAGAAAAGTAATTTTTTTTAACAGCAGAGAATAAGTAGAAACTATCGATGGGCCTATATATTTCAAGAGGTTCCTAAGCCATGTATCCTAGGGCTAAGTCTAAATATAAAATCACATTTGTAGCTGTTCAATCAATTTTTGACATAATGACTCTTGAGAAGTTATGCTACTTTTTAGACAACCATTCTTTTTTTACATTTAAAATTGGTGGACTTCATGTAGTTTATACCTACCTCAAAAATACAAAAATATATAATTCATGTGTCTTTTTTTCAACACTTTGAATCTCTTGATTGCCAGGACTATATATCATTAATGCCTGTCACAATCCCCAGAACATGATAGCTATTTAATAAAGAATATAATAAATACAATGAAGAAATAAGCTAATGAATGAATGAGCAATTGGCACAGAACTCAATGTCCTATGAAACTCAACAGAAACCATAAAGAGTGCTCTACAAACCCTATGGTTGTCTTAAATCCTGAAAATACTTCTATACTAGGACCACTGAGGTTTCTTTTTTTTTTTTTTTTTTTTTTTTTTTTTTTAGACTTAGTCTCACTCTGTTGCCCAGGCTGGAGAGCAGTGGGGAAATCTCGGCTCACTACAATCTCCGCATTCTAGGTTCAAGCAATTATCCCACCTCAGTCTCCGGAGCAGCTGGGATTACAGGTGCCCGTCACCATACCCGGCTAAGTTTTGTAATTTTATGAGAGACAAGGTTTCACCATGTTGTCCAGGCTGGTCTCGAACTCCTGACCTCAGGTGATCCTCCTGCCTCGGTCTCCCAAAGTGCTAGGATTACAGGCATGAGCCACCGAGTCCAGCCAGGATCATTGAGGTTCTTGAAGGACATTTTGAAGTTCACAGAGTGTCCTGCTTTCTTGTCACTCAGTTCTTTGTTGTTGTTGTTGTTGTTTTTTACCTTTCATTTTAGGTTCAGGGATACCTGTGAAGGTTTCTTACATAGTTAAACTCATGTCACCAGGATATGTTGTACAGATTACTTCATCACCCAGGTATTAAGCCTAGGACACAATAGTTACTTTTTCTGTTCCTCTCCCACCTCCCACCCTCCACCCTCAAGTAGAGCCCACTGTCCATTGTTTGCTTCTTTGTGTTCATGAATTCTCATCATTTAGCTCCTACTTATAAGTGAGAACGTGCAGTATTTGGTTTTTCTGTTCCTGTGTTAGTTTGCTAAGGATGATAGCCTCCAGCTCCATCCATGTTCCCACAAAAGACACGATCTCTTTTTTTGTTCCATGGTGTATATAGAGTATATTTTTTGTTCTAAAATGCATTAAATAAATATGTAATAAGAAGTGTGCTGGGCGCAGTGGCTCACGCCTGTAATCCCAGCAATTTGGGAGGCCAAGGCAGGCAGATCGCTTGAGGTCAGGAGTTGGAGACCATCCTGGCCAAGATGGCAAAACTCCATCTCTACTAAAAATACAAAAATTAGCCGGGCGTGGTGGCAGGTGCTTGTAATCCCAGCTACTCGGAAGGCTGAGGCAGGAGAATCGCTTTAACCCGAGAGGCGGACGTTGCAGTGAGCCGAGATCGCACCACTGCACTCCAGCCTGGGGGACAGAGCAAGACTCCATCTCAAAAAAAAAAAAAAAAAGAACAAAGAAAAGAAAAGAAAAAGAAAAAACGAAATAGTTTGACACTGTAGTTTCAGATCAAGTTATACTCCCCAATTTACCTGACACAACAGTTTCAAGTCAAAGCATCAAATGGAACAAATTTGAATTGTGAGCCATAATTGGGTGAACCCAAAATATTTTCCTCACATATGTGCACCAAGACAAAGGGATGAAGAAGTAATGTCTTCTGTAACTTTCCAGCGTGTTTTACACATGTGCTATTTCCACAAACACACTCATATCTAGGTTTGCTTCATCCTAAAGGCATTTCTCCGAGCTCTACTGTTATTTTTTGTGAGCAGTTTGAGGGCAAGATAACCAACCTGCCAGCCCCCAAATGGCTTGGAAATGAATGAAGAACATGACACAAAAAGAAAACCTCACCTTTCAAAGAATAATTTCCTTGCACACTTATTTCACCAGCTACCACCCACAATTAAGTCTTCTTGTCCTCTTTTGGCAAAGACAATAAAACCTTCCTATATCTTAGATACAAACTATATTTCTTTACTTGCTATTTTTTAGTTATTACTTATGTAAGTGTGTTTTCATTTTGCAATTGATATATTTTTTATCTTTGAGCATTGTGAAGATTTATGGCTTGAGAGGGATGACATCATAATTTTTTCCACTAAAATAAATGGATTTTTTTTTTTTTCATTTAATGGGTTTTTACTTAGCGGCAGGGTTTTCGGGAATGAATGAAAGTGACTAAACAAAAGATAGTTACACAGATTATTCTCCATGCAGAAATAAGCCAACAGGTAGTCTTTTTCCTTTCTTTCTTTCTTTCTTTCTTTTTCTTTCTTTCTTTCTTTTCTTTTCTTTTCATTTCTTTTCTTTCCTTTTTTTTTTTTGAGATGGAGTCTCACTCTGTCACCAGGCTGGAGTGCAGTGGTGCCATCTCGGCTCACTGCAATCTCTCCCTCCCAGGTTCAAGCCATCCTCCTGCCCCAACCTCCCGAATAGCTGGGAATAGAGGCGCACACCACCACACCCAGCTAATTTTTATATTTTTAGTAGAGATGGGGTTTCACCATGTTGGCCAGGATGGTCTCCATCTCTTGACCTCATGATTCACCCGCCTCGGACTCCCAAATTGCTGGGATTACAGACCTGAGCCACGGCGCCTGGCCTAGTCTTTCTTTCTTACTTAATCTCTGTTACTTCCTTGCCATGCGTTAGGCAGAATCTTAATATGGCCACCAAGATTTTCTGTTCCTCTGGTGTACATGGCCTGTGTAATCCTTGGTACTGTGAACATGATGGGTTTTAACCCCATGATTAAGTTATGTCAAGTGGCACAATTGACCTTAAAATAGGGAGATAAAGAGATTGCTACTAAACTGATTACAAGAGTCTTTCTAAAGCACAGTTTTCTCTGGACAGTTGCAGAAAAAAAAAAAAAAAGTCAGAGAGATCCAAAGCATGAGAGAGATTCCATTTACACAAACTTCTCAGTTGCTAAGGTGGAGGAACCACATGGCCAGAACCTAGGAGCAGACTGTAGAAGTCAAGAATGGTCCATGGGCTGGACACGGCACATGCTGGCTCACATCTGTAATCCCAGCACTTTGGGAGGCCAAGGTAGGCAGCTCACTTGAGCTCAGGAGTTTGAGATCTGCCTGGGCAATATGGTGAAACCCCATCTCTACAAAAAATTTAAAAATTAGCCAGGGTGGTGGCATGCACCTGTAGTCCCAGCCTGTTAGGGGGCTGAGGCAGAAGGATGGCTTGAATCTGGGAAGTTGAGGCTACAGTGAGCCGTGTTT
Source organism: Homo sapiens (assembly GCF_000001405.40). Classification (NCBI taxonomy): domain Eukaryota; kingdom Metazoa; phylum Chordata; class Mammalia; order Primates; family Hominidae; genus Homo; species Homo sapiens. The sequence continues at coordinate 12,849,218 of NC_000016.10, read as the reverse complement.
GTGCCACTGCACTCCAGCCTGGGCAACAAAGCAAAATCCTGTCTCAAAAAAAAAAAAAAATGTCCCTGTCCAGCAACTAGCCAAACAACAGGAACCTCAGCTTTATAACCATAAGCAAATGCACTCTGCCAACTACTCATGGAAGCTTGGAAACGCATCTTTCCCCAGCTGAATCTCCAGATTAGGGTACAGCCCAACAGATGCCTTGTCGTATCACTAGCAGAGAATCCAGCCTCACTATGCCAGCTTCTGACCTGCAGAACTGTGAGCAAGTAAAGAGTGTTGCTTTCAGCTGCTAAGTTTAAGGTGATTTGGTAGACAGCAATCAAAAATTAATATACCCCATATTTGCCAGGATAAATCCCGTTATAGTTTTATAAATGTATTTTAGAAACCGCAGAATCTCAGAATCATAAAATCACAAAGGCTTATTTTTCACTCGTACTAACATCTAGTGGGAGTCATCAGAAGGGCTCCACTTAAAATAGTCACTCAAGGCCGGGTGTGGTGGCTCACGCCTGTAATCCCAGCACTTTGGGAGGCTGAGGCAGGCAGATCATTTGAAGTCAGGAGTTCGAGACCAGCCTGACCATCATGGAGAAACCCCGTCTCTACTAAAAATACAAAAAGTAGCCAGGCGTGGTGGCATATACTTGTAGTCCCAGCTACTCGGGAGGCTGAGACAGGAGAATCACTTGAACCTGGGAGGCAGAGGTTGCAGTGAACTGAGATCGTACCATGGCACTCCAGCCTGGGTGACAGAGCGAGACTCCATCTCAAAAAAAAAAAAAAAAAAAAAAAAAGCCACTCAGGGACCCGTGATGCTGGAGGCTTGTATGATTTTAGGATGCACGTCTATGATTTCTGGAGGAAGCAGAGCTAGAAGGTTTTACTCCAGCAATTAAATATGCAAGCCTGGGTGGGACACACATTCCTTCTGCTCGCTGGCACCCAAGACCAGAACTAGCCCCATGGCCCTGCCTGATGATAAGGGAGGTAAAAAGTGCAATCCGTTTGTGTGCATAGGAAAATGGAAAAGGATAACCATGAACGATATTAGCTTCAACCACCGCTTCTTTCCTCTTTTGTCTCCTCACTTCCAGATTTTGGCAGATTCTGCCCAATACCAGGCATATGGGGGCTGGATTGAAAAACACACTCATTCGAGGTATCAGACTAGCGTTGTACAGGATTGATGAATCAAGCCCACAGGCATATGCAGTAAAGACTACACACTGTAAATTTTTAAATTTGTTGCCAACATTTAAAATATCAGAACATTTCCTATAAAAGCCAGGATCTAGGGTTTCTCTCAAAACATTTGGAAGATCTTGCAATGATCTACTTCAAAGAAGAAGGTGGAACTATTAATATACAGATTGATCTACAATGTTTCCTAAAGAGTACTGGGATGGTGTTGGGTTTGTATTTTGAGACAGGGTTTCACTCTGTTGCTCAGGCTGGTCTCAAACTCCTGGGCTCAATCGATCCTTCCACCTTGGCCTCTCAAGTGCTGGGAGTACAGGCATGAGCCACTGCACCTGTCCTGAAGATAATTGTAATATGAGAAAAAAATCAAATAAAAAATGTTTATAGTTTGTTCGTACATATAAACATATTTTAAAAGATCTAGAAGAATATATACACCAAACTATAAATCATAGGTACCTATTGGGAATGAAGTGAGTTGGGGGGATTCCACAGCACCCCAAAATTTAAACGAAGTATATTATCTGGCCAGGAAAACTCATCAAGTTTGGATGCCACCTTAATAGAGATGAGAACAATCTTAATTGTCTTAAATTGAGAAAAAGTCTTACTATTATACCATTTATTTTTAAGGATGTTGATTTTCTTAAATGTAGCAGAATAAAATTTCAATTCACTAGGGCCTTCACATAACCATTTTTATGAGTTCTACACATAAGAAAAGGACAGACAAGAGAACAACATAAGCAGGACATTTTTTAAACTTCAGGGAATAGCTGGGTGCAGTGGCTCACACCTGTAATTCCAGCACTTTAGGAAGCTGAGGCAAGTGGATCACCTGAGGTCAGGAGTTCAAGACCAGCCTGACCAACATGGTGAAACCCCATCTCTACTGAAAATACAAAACGAGCTTGGTGTGGTGGTGAGTACCTGTAATCCCAGCTACTCGGAGGCTGAGGCACAAGAATTGCTTGAACCAGGAAGGCAGAGGCTGCAGTGATCGCGCCACTGCACTCCAGCTTGGGGGATAGAGTGAGACCCTGTCTCTAAATAAATAAATAAATAACTTCAGGGTATCTTATAAGCCAATACAAATCCACAGTGACATGTATTTCTACCTATTTAATACTAATTGGTAGCAGTTATAAGATTGATCTGGAGACACTGAAAGAGCATAAATCATCAAAGACAGATTTGACAGATTTGACATCTGTTTCAATCTATAATGGGCAGCTATGGCTGTGTCTTCCCAGCAGGCCTTCCATCTTCTGGAATTACTGAGAATTACTGATCATCATCCTCCTTTCTTTTTTCTTTCTTCTTTTTTTTTTTTTTTTTTGATACAGAGTTTCACTTCATCACCCAGGCTGGAGTGTAGTTGCAGGATCTCAGCTCACTGTAACCTCGCCTCCTGGGTTCAAGCCTCCCAAGTAGCTGGAATTACAGGTGCACACCATCACGCCCAGCTAATTATTGTATTTTTAATAGAGACAGAGTTTCACCATGTTGGCCAGGCTGGTCTTAAACTCCTGACCTAAAGTGATCTACCTGCCTCGGCCTTCCAAAGTGCTGGGATTATAGGTGTGAGCCCCCGCACATGGCCACCCATCCTCCTTTCTAACACTTCAATTTCCTTTTGGAAATCTACCCCTCATCTATTGCATCCAGAATTGCTGATTGGTAAATCTAGGCGTATGCCCCTATAGGAGACAGAATAATGATTCTCTCCCCCAAAGATGTTCACGTCCTAATCTATGACTATGTTATGACACATGGCAAAGGGGAATTAAGGTTGCCAGTGAAACTACGGTTGCTAATCATCTCACCTTAAAACAGGATCTGTGGTTGGTGGGTACTAGGGCAGTGTCATCATGAGGGTTCTCAAAAATAGAAGAGGGTGGCCCGGCACAGTGGCTCACACCTGTAATCCCAGCACTTTGGGAGGCTGAGTCAGGTGGACTTGAGCTCAGGAGTTCAAGACCAGCCTGGGCAACATGGTGAAACCCTGTCTCTACGAAAAATACAAAAAAAAAAAAAAATTAGCCATGCGTGGTGACATGCAGCTGTAGTCCAAGCTACTCAGGAGGCTGAGGTGGGAGGACGGCTTGAGCCCAGAGGGTGGAGGTTGCAGTGAGCTGAGATCACACCACTGCACTCCAGCCTGGGTGACAGAGTGAGACCCCATCTCAAAAAGAAAAAAAAAAAAAAAAAAGAGGGAGGCAAAAAATGAGAATCACAGGGAGATGAGAGAAATGGAAGAGCGAGAGTAAGAGAGGGATGCAACTCTCATTGTTAGCTCTGAAGATGTAAGAAAAGACTTCAGAGCCAAGGAAAGCAGGCAGTCTCTAGAAACAGAAAGGCAAAGACATGAATTCTCTCCTAGAGCCTCCAGATGGGAACACATCCTGGCCAATACTTTGATTTCAGCCCAGGGTCAGACTTCTGGCCTCCAGCATCAGAAAATAATAGATTTGTGTGGCTTTAAGCCAGGTAATTTCTAGTCACTTGTTACAGCAGCATTAGGAAGCTGATACACAAATAGTCGCTTCTGCTGCTGGAGAAGCCAGGCTGGGATTTCCGGCAGGTCATGCCTCTTATCACCGTCAAATGGAAGCTCAGCAGCATCTCTGCACTGCTCTTGTCCCAGTTTGACTCAACTTTTTCTTCCTTTGCATGACTTTCAAGAATCCCTCTAATAAAAGTAACCTTTGGTTATAGCTGGTTGGATTTGGACTCCTGTCACTTGCAATTAAGAGTCCTGATTCCAAGTGGGGCGTGATGGCTCACGCCTGTAATCCCAGCACTTTGGAAGGCCAAGGCGGGCAGGTCACTTGAGGGCAGGAGTTTGAGACCAGCCTGGCCAACATGGTGAAACTCCATCTCTACTAAAAATACAAAAATTAGCCAGGCATGGTGGCACATGCCTGTAATCCCAAATACTAAGGAGGTTGAGACATGAAAATCACCTGAACCCGGGAGGCAGAGATTACAGTGAGCCAAGATCATGCCACTGTTCTCCAGCCTGGGCAACCGAGTGAGACACAGTCTCAAAAAGATTAAAAAAAAAAATTCCTGATTTCATTTGCTAAATCAAGCAGAGGACCATTTGTCAATAGATGTTTCATTTGCAAGGACTGAAATAACTGTAGTGTTCATTAATTCTTAGCTAACCAGTTAATAAGTAGAAGTGCCTGTGGGTAGTCAATTGTTTTTATAAAATTTCCTTATACCATTATTTCACTGAAAAAGAGAGTAAGAGCAGGAGAGTAGGGTAGGTAAGTGCCTGGGCTCTGGAGTCATGCGGATCAGAGTTCAAATCCCATCTTCCTTGCTTACAAGCTATGTGTGTGACCTTCAACCTGTGGCATATTGGAAAGCAACCTTCATTCACAAGGCCACCAGTCTTCCATGTGGTGTTTTGTTCTCCTTGTTCCTTTCTTTCCATTTTTTTTTTTTTTTAAGACAGAGTCTCATCCTGTTGCCCAGGCCGGAGTGCAGTGGTGCGATCTCAGCTCAATGCAACTTCCGTCTACTGGGTTCAAGCAATTCTCCCGCCTCAGCCTCCTGAGTAGCTGTGATTACAGGTGCGCACCACCACACCCAGCTAATTTTTGTATTTTTAGTATAGTTGGGGTTTTGCTATGTTGGCCAGGCTGGTCTTGAACTCCTGACCTGATCTTCCCATCTCAAGTGCTGGAATTACAAGCGTGAGCCACCGCACCTATCCTGATCTCTTTGTTTCTGACTACTGCCTCGTGTTCCTTGATTTGTTCCAGGAGTGTTTATCTATTGCCCCCTGACGCTAAGAATGGAAATGTGTGAACATTTCTTATCCATACTTTTCTCACTTGTGGTGTGGATGATGGCACACAAGTTTTGAAAACCGAATGAGATAAAATACGTAAATAAATTATACAGGTGTTGGCACCTAGCAAGAGTACTTAATAAATGCTAATTAACAAAATAAAAGCAAGGACAAATGAGCCTCTTTGAGCCTTGGGCTCCTTATTTATAAGACAGCATTGACATCTTTCTCATGTATGTTGGTAGGACTTAAAAAGATGAAGTATTGGCTGGGTGCAGTGGTTCATGCCTGTAATCCCAGCATTTTGAGAGGCTGAGGTGGGCGGATCACCTGAGGTCAGGAGTTAGAGACCAACCTTGTCAACATGACGAAACCCTGTCTCTAATAAAAACACAGAATTAGCCAGGTGTGGTGGCAGGAGCCTGTAATCCCAGCTACTCAGGAGGCTGAGGCAGGAGAATCGCTTGAAATGGGGAGGTGGAGGTTGCAGTGAGCCAAGATCATGCCACTGCACTCCAGCCTGGGTGACAGAGTGAGACTCTGTCTAAAAAATAAAAAATAAAAAAAAGGTGAAGTATTTTAAGTGCTTACCTGGCACACAAATTTTGGTTTCCTTAGCCTTCCTCTTCTGGGATGTAAATGTGGCAGCATCAGCATGAACTGGTTCTTTTCTTCCCTCTGGTCCAACAGCATCCTCATTCTCTTTCTGAGAGTAAGGCAAGATGTGAGGTCTGTACAGGATGTGAGGTGTGAATCTCTTTGCCAAGTATGTAATCATGTTGTCTTGGTTAATCCTGACTTCAGTTGAAGAACGAGAGGCAATGAGTACTTCCTGATTTTCCAGAAAAGTAACTCCTCGGACCTGTTCTATTCCTACCGTCCCCAAAAAATTGATCACTTGGCGGATGCTTCCGGATGAACTACTCCTCCAACTCTGGGACTTTACATTCTCCGCTTTTCAATCACTGTTTTGCTAAAATTTCATATAAGCGTTGACTAAGATGTTGAGGTCAAGATGATTTAAAAGAAAAAAACAGGCTGGTGCAGTGGCTTACCCCTGTAATCCCAGCACTTTGGGAGGCTAAGGCGGGAGGATCACTTGAGGTCAGGAGTTTGAGACCAGCTGGGCCAGCATGGTGAAACCCCATCTCTATTAAAAATACAAAAACTAACTGGGCATAGTAGTGGGCTCCTGTAGTCCCAGCGACTCAAGAGACTGAGGCATGAAAATCACTTGAACCTGGGAGGTGGGGGTTGCGGTGACCCAGGATCACCCCACTTGCACTCCAGCCTGGGAGACGGAGTGAGACCCTGTCTCGAAAAAAAAAAAAAAAAAAAAAAAAGATTCCCCATTGAGACATTGAGACATATGAAAAACTAACACACAATTTATCTGGGTTACTATCATCTTTGTTAGCACATAAGCTAGGCAGATATATAAGATGTATCTCAATTCTACAATTACATCATTGGGGGAAAATCTAAACATTTTTCATGGCACATAAATTGAAAGTGATTTCAAAATAGTTTTGTCAGGGAAAACATTACTTCTGGTTTACTTACATATATTTTACTGTGTATTAAAATCTGGTAGAACCCCCTTTTCACTTTGCCAATTGGACTTATGTCTTTATTGATCATTCAAGTGAGCAAAGGAAATACGCTTTAAAAACTCAGGCAAACGGTGTTTGTCTTGTATCCCGTCAGAGGAAACAAATTGAAGTAGGAAAAAAAAAGCCTGGTAGAAAATTATTAACTCTAAATGTGGAATAATATTGAATTAACTGAGAAAATATATATATATAATCAGCTAAAGGAAATATTTTGCTATGAATGATTAATGTTCCTTAGCAAAGTTAGAGGAATCATAAATCTAAATCTAATACTTTTAAGAATTAATCTCACTTTATCTCTAATAAGCTTTGTGGTCTGTGCCTTATTATTATGTTTTGTTATTTGTTAGTTATTATTAGTTATTATTTTGTTACTAGTTGACACATAATAATGATATATATTTATGGGGTATAGTTTGATGTTTCAATATATATATGCATTGTGTAAAAATTAAATCAGGGTATTTACCATGTCGATCACCTCATACATTTATCATTTCTTTGTGGTGAGTACATTCAAAATTCTCTCTTCTAGCTATTTCAAAATAAATAATACAATATTGTTGGCCAGGCACAGTGGCTCACACCTGTAATCCCAGCACTTTGGGAGGCCAAGCTGGGCAGACCACCCAAGGTCAGGAGTTCGAAACCAGCCTGGCCAACTGGCAAAATCCCAGCTCTACATTTTTAGTTTCTATTTTTAACAAAACTTAGCTGGATGTGGTGGTACGTACCTGTAATCCCAGCTCAGGGAGGCTGAGGCAGGAGAATCACTGGAACCCAGGAGACAGAGGTTGCAGTGAGCCAAGATCATGCCACTGCACTCCAGCCTGGGCAACAGAGTGAGACTCCATCTCAAAAAACAACAACAACAACAACAAAAATATAGTTAAACATAGTCACCCTATTGTGCAGTAGGATGCAAGAACTTATTCCTCCTATCTAACTGCAACTTCGTACCTGTTGACCAATCTCTCCCTATCTCCTCTCCACTAACCTCCGCAGCCTCTGGTAACCACTATTCTACTCTCTATTTCTATGAGATCAACTTCTTTAGATTCCACATAGGAGGGGGATTGTGCGGTATTTGTCTTTCTGTGCCTGGCTTATTTCATTTAACTTAATGTCCTCCAGGTTCATCCAGGTTGCTGCCAATGACAGAATTTCCTCCTTTTTAATGGCTAAATAGTACTCCATTGTATATATATATATACCTACATATTATTTATCCATTCATCTGTTAATGGATACTTAGATTAATTTCATATCTTGCCTATTGTGAATAATGCTGCAATAAACATGGGAGTGCACATGTCTCTTTGACATATTGATTTCATTTCCCATATTTATTTCAATCCCAGTAGTGGGATCGCCAGATCATACGGTAGCTCCATTTTTAGTTCTTTGAGGAACCAGCATACTGTTGTCCATAAAGGCTGTAGTTATTTACATTCCCACCAACTGTGTGCAAGGGTTCCCCTTTCTCCACTTCTGTGCCAGCATATGTTATTTTTTGTCTTTTTGATAGTAACCATTCTACCTGGGGTAAGATGATATCTCATTGTAGTTCTGATTTGCATTTCCCTGATGATTAGCATGTTTAGCTATGATTAGCATGATTAGCAATGATGTTGAGCATTTTTTCATTTATCTGTTGGTCATTTCTGTGTCTTCTTTGAGAAATGTCTATTCAAGGCTTTTGCTTATTTGTAATTGGATTTTTTGGGGTTTTGTGCTATTAAGTTCTTTGAGTTCCTTATACATTCTGGATATTAACCCCTGGTCAGATATATAGTTTGCAAATATTTTCTCCCATTCTGAAGGTTGTCTTTTCACTCTGTTGATTGTTTCCTTTGCTATGAAGAAGTTTTCTAGCTTTAAATACTCACATGTTTTTCTATTTTTGCTTTTGTTCCCTGTGATTTTCAGGTCTTTTGCAAAAAAAAAAAAAAAAAAATCCTTGCATGGACCAATGTCAAGAAGCATTTCCCTGTGTTTTCTTCTAGTAGTTTTGTCATTTTATTATTTCAGTCTTAAATGTAAGTCTTTAATTCATTTTGAGTTTATTTTTGTATACGGTGATAGATAGGGATCCAGTTTCATTCTTCTGTATAGGGAGATCCAGTTTTCCCAGCATTATTTACCAAAGAGACTGTCCTTTCCCCAGTATAGGTTCTTGGCAAATTTGTCAAAAATCAGCTGGCTATAAGTGTGCAGATTTATTCTGTGTTCTCTATTCTGTTCCATTGGTCTGTGTGTCTATTCATATGCCAGTACCATGTGTTTTAGGTTACTATAGCTTTGTAATATATTTTGAAGGTAGTGTGATGACTCCAGCTCTGTTCTTTTTGCTCAAGACTCCTTTAGCTATACAGGACCTTCTGTGGTTCCATACAGATTTTAGAACTGTTTTTTCTATTTCTGTGAATAATGTCATTGGTATTTTGATAGGCATTGCATTGAATATGTAAATTGCTTTGGGTAGTACGAACATTTTAACAATATTAATTCTTCCAAGCCATGCACATGGGATATCTTTCCATTTATTGGTGTCTTCTTCAATTTATTTCATCAATGTTTTATGTTTCACCTCTTTGATTAGATTTATTCCTAGGCATTTTATTTTGTTGCTATTTTAAATGGGATTGGTTTCTTGATTTCTTTTTCAGATCGTTCACTATTGATGGGAAGAAACATTAAACCCAAAATTAATACGAGGAAAGAAATAATAAAGATCAGAACAGAAATAGAGACTTAATGGCCGGATGTGGTGGCTCATGCCTATAAATCCCAGCACTTTGGGAGGCCAAGGCAGGTGGGTTGCTTGAGCGCAGGAGTTCAAGACCAGCCCAGGCAATATGATGAAACCCCATCTCTACTAAAAATACAAAAATTAGTCAGGCATGGTGTGCTCAGGCGTGGTGGTGCACACCTGTAGTCCCAGGTACTCAGGATGCTAAGGCAGGAGGATTTTTTCAACCCGGGAGGCAGAGAATGGAGTGAGCTGATTGTGCCACTGCACTCCAGCCTGCGCAACAGAGGAAGACCCTGTCTCAAAACAAACAAACAACAAGAAGAAAAAAATCAACTCAAGAAGTCCCAAATCTTACCATGTAAATCATGTAAATCAGGCTTGGGTGCAACTCTGGGTATCATGAATGCTGAGGCAAAAATTCTCCTCATCTGTGGAAATGTGAAAGTATAAAACAAGTTATCTGCTTCCAAAATGCAATGATGGGACAGATATAGGACAGGCATTCCCATTCCCATAGAGAGAAAATGGAAAGAATAAGGGGGTCACTTGTCCCAAGTGAGTTCAAAACTCAGCAAGACAAAGCCAGGCACAGTGGCTCACTCCTGTAATCCCAGCACTTTGGGAGGCCGAGGTGGGTGGATCACCTGAGGTCAGGAGTTCAAGACAAGACTGATCAACATGGCAAAACCCCGTCTCCACTAAAAATACAAAAATTAGCCAGACACGGTGGTAGATGACTGTAATCCCAGCTACTTGGGAGGCTGAAGCAGGAGAATCACTTGAACCTGGAAGGCAGTGCGGTTGCAGTGAGCCAAGATCACACCCCTGCACTCCAGCCTGGGAGACAGAGCAAGACTCTGTCTAAAAAAATAAAAAACCTCAGCAAGACAAATTTCATTAGGTCTCAAGGCCTGAAAATAATCCTCAACAGGCTGATGCTCTGTCTTCTGAGCCTACAGAAGCCCTGTCAGTCTTAAGGATGTCCTCAGAGTCATTCTTCCTTTTTCTTAAAGGAAACACATGTTTGAAGCTCAGTACCTCTATGAGTTCATATCCTGCCTGTGACATTTTGGAAGTCCAACAGCTTCTCTTCATTTAATTCTGCTTCTGTCCCTTTCAATTCAGGGTGACAGTGCTTCTGCTGATATAACATTCTCAAAACTTTGTGTGTCTCCTGTGCAACTCACAGAGTCCACACAATCAGGTAAGAGGGTTCTCCACAGCTCTTTCCTGGATAACCTCATCTCTATTCCTGGCTTCTGCTAGGATGGCTGATTGTTTCCATTAGCCAAATATTCAATCTCTTTAGAAACAAGAGACAGTAGTCAGAAACAAAAAGATTAGGCCAGGCATGGTGGCTCACACCTGTAATTCCAGCATTTTGGGAGGGTGAGGTGGGTGGATCAATTGAGGTCATGAGCACAAGACCAGCCTGGGCAACGTGGTGAAACCCCATCTCTACTAAGAAATACCAAAATTGACTGGGTGTGTTGGCATGTGCCTATAGTCCCAACTACTCTGGAGGCTGAGGCACGAGAATTGCTTGAACCTGGGAGGCAGAGGTTGCGGTCAGCCAAGATCCCACCACTGCACTCCAGCCTGGGTGACAGAGAGAGACCCTGTCTCAAAAAAAAAAAACACTCAACCTCTTTAGCAAATGGTTTTCCAGCCACTCTATGGGAATATGGGAATTCTCTCCAGAGTATGTTTTAGCATATTTTGAAATACAGGTAGACTGGGATTATTTCAAATCACCAAGTTATGGCTCCTTCTTGCTTAATAGTTCTTTCCTTGATTTAACTCTTTCCTCTTTCATTTTACTATAAATGCAAGGAGAAATCAGGCCACACCTTCAACACTTTGCTTGGAAATCTCCTCTGCTAAATATGCAAGTTCACTGCTTACAAGTTCTACTTTCCACAAAATAACAGAAAACAATTCAGCCAAGTTTCCTGGCACTTTATAACAAGAACCACATTTCCTCCAGTGTGCAATAATTTTTTTGGTTTCCTCATTTCCTTTTTTTATTTTTACTTTTTTTTTTTTGGCTTTTTTGTCTCCTCATTTCCTTCTGAGGCCTCAACAGAAACACCTTTCATTATCATATCTGTACAACAGACTGTGACAATATATGTATTCTCTAAAACAATAGCAGTTTTAATTACCAGCCTCTTCCCTTCCTTTTGAGTTCTCATCAGTATATCTCCCTTAATGTCCATATTTCTACCAATAGTCCCTTCAAGGCAATCTAGCCTTCTTCTGTCAATGCGTCAGAATTCTTTCAGCCTCTACCCACTAGCCAATTTCAAAACCACTTCCACATTTTTAGGTTTTTCTTTTTTCTTTTTTTTTTTTTTTTTTTTTTTGAGACAGAGTCAACCTCTCTCAACCAGACTGGAGTGCAGTGGTGCAATCTCAACTCACTACAGCCTCTGCCTACCAGGTTCAAGCAATTCTCATGCCTCAGCCTTCCAAGTAGCCACAACTACAGGCACATGCCACCATGCCTGGCTAATTTTTGTATTTTTAGTAGGAACAGGGTTTCACCATGTTGGCCAGGCTGGTCTTGAACTCCTGATCTCAAGTGATCTGCCCGCCTTGGCCGCCGAAAGTGCTGGGATTACAGGCATGAAACACTGTGCCCAGCCAATTTGTAGATATTTTTTATAGCAGCATTCCACTTCCCAGTACCAAAATCTGTATTAGATTCCTAGAATTCCCATAAGGAAATATCACAGATTGGCTGCCTTAAAATAATAGAAATGTGTTCTCTTATAATTCTGGAGGCTAGAAGTCTAAAATCAAGGTGTTAGTAGGGTTATGCTCCCTCTGAAGTTTCTAGAAAATAATTCTTTCTTGCCTCTTCTAGCTTCTAGTTGCAACTGGCAATTCTTGGCATTACTTGGTTGGTGGCAGTATAACTCCAATCTCTGCCTCCAATTTTTTTTTTTTTTTTAGTGTCGTCCTCTGTCACCCAGACTGGAGTACCATGGTGTGATTTCAGCTCACTGGAGCGCAATGGTATGACCTCAGCTCACTGGAGCTGCATCCTTTGCCTCCCAGGTTCAAGTGATTCTTGTGCCTCAGCCTCCTTAGTGGCTGGGATTACAGGCATGCACCACCATGCTCAGCTAATGTTTGTATTTTTAGTAGAGACAGAGTTTTGCCATGATGACCAGGCTGGTCTCAAACTCCTGACCTCATGTGATCTGCCCACCTTGGCCTCCCAAAGTGCTGGGATTACAGGCGCGAGCCACCATGCCTGGCCTCTGCCTCCATCTTTACATGTCTCCTTTACTGAGTATCTTGTCCTTGTCTCTATCTCCAAATCACCCTCTTCTTTCTTTTATAAAGACACCAGTCAGTGGAGTAGGGTCCCTGCAAGCATGTATGACTTCATCTTAATTTGATTGATTACATCTGCAAAGACCTTGTTCACAAATTTGGTCACAATCACAGATACTAGGGGTTAGAACTTGAACATATCACTTTAAGGGACACAATTCAACCCATTATGATGACAACGATAATGATTGATTGGTTGGTGATAATGATGAATATAATGGAAAAAGAGGGAGAATAAGAGAAAGAAGATGATAAAGATAAATAAATATCGAGCACTTATTAAGTGCCATGTAGTATGCAAAGTGCCTTACCTGAATTATTTCATAAAATCTACCTAAAACCCCTATGAGAAACATACCATAATCACCTTATCTTCACTTTTCAATCAAAAAGACTTAGACTATGAGAGGGTTAAGACCATTACTCAAGGTCTCTCTACCGGCAAAGTAAATCTGAGACTCCCTCCATTTCTGTTGGAATCCTGAGCCTAGGCTCCCAACCACAATGCTCTCCTGCCTCTAATGATACTATGTCCTATTCTTTAGGGGCCCAAAGCCAGATAAATGAATATACTTAGGTTTTTACCTGCAGAAAAAGTATGCCAATTTTTGCCCAAAGTGAGCAGTACATATGTTGATTTTATGTGGTACATAGATGCAGGTCACACAGGGAAGATAATACTCCCCTCCGTGATTGATTGATTGATTGATTGATTGATTGATTGATTGATTTAGAAGGAGTCTTGCTCTCTTGCCCAGGCTGGAGTGCAGTGGCACTATCTTGGCTCACTGCAACCTCCGCCTCCCAGGTTCAAGCAATTATCCTGCCTCAGCCTCCCGAGGAGCTGGGATTACAGACGCCCACCACCACACCCAGCTAGTTTTTGTATTTTTAGTGGAGATGGTGTTTCACCATGTTGTCCAGGTTGGTCTTGAACTCCTGACCTCAAGTGATCCACCCGCCTCACACTCCTAAAGCTCTGGGATTACAGGCATGAGCCACCACGCCCAGTGAAATTGTTTTTTTAATTTGAAATAATGCAGACCTACAGGATGTTCCCACAAAAATAGCATGGAAAGTCCTGCATGGTGACATCTTATATAACTTTAGCGCTATATCAAAATCAAGAAATAGGCATTGGTACAATATTGTTAACTAGGCTACAGACTTCATTCAGATTTCACCAGTTTTTACATGTATTTGTGTGTGTGTGTGTGTTTGTGTGTGTAGTTCTATGCAATTTTATTTTGTGCATACCTCTGTACAACCACCAGCATAATCCTGATACAGAACCCATCACCACAAAGGAGGTCCTGGCAGTATTCCCTTTTCAATGTACTTCATTGCTTTAAGGAGAACGTCTTGGTTTGCATTTACTGTTTCTTTACCACCTAACACTTTCACTCTCCTTTTGATCAAAGAGATCTCAAATCTCTGTCTCAAGGTCCTTAGCAGAGACCAGAAGCTACCTAACAGGTATTGATACTGTTTTCTTCCCCGTCTAATTTTACACATGTCTATTTGTGGCAGGAAATACTAGTTTACCAGAATTGTGAGCAGTGAGAATTTTTCACATTTTTTTATTTTTTATTTTTATTTATTTATTTATTTATCTATTTATTGAGACAGAGTTTCACTCTTGTCGCCCAGGATGGAGTGCAGTGGTGCGATCTCGGCTCACTGTAACCTCTGTCTCCCAGGTTCAAGTGATTCTCCTGCCTTAGCCTCCCAAGTAGCTGGGATTACAGGCACTCACCATCATGCCCAGCTAATTTTTGTATCTTTAGTAGAGACGGGGTTTCACCATGTTGGCCAGGCTGGTCTCCAATTCCCGACCTCAGATGATTCACCCCCCTCGGCCTCCCAAGGTGCTGGGATTACAAGCGTGAGCCACCGCGCCCGGCCTGTTTTTCACTTTTAAGCCAAGGTATTTGAGTAACAAAAGTGAATCACAGAAAACTAGAAAGTAAATAATAACACAGGAGGCACGCAGGTAGGGCAAAGAAATTAGGGAAGATGGCATGCAAATGCTGAAATTTGCCAAACACTGGGTGAAGAAAGAATTTGGACCCTAATTCAGGTTCAGAGGTGTTTTATGGCATCCACCAGAAAGAAGCACATGTGGGCATGCTCCCTGGAAATACATTTCATTTCCCACTAAAACTGGAAATTAGAGTGCATTTGTATTTCTTTATTTTAAGGCCTTTCCATTAAAGGAGATTCAATTTGGCTGGTCACTCGCACCAGTGACTCATCTCGCCAGCCTTTGTATTCTTCATGTTATTAAACATTGCTGGTGCAGGGGCGGTGGCACTCCAGGGCTCAGACGAGGCAGTAGCTCCCTTCAGAAGGTCTGACAGGCAGCTCCCGCGCTGCAAAGCGGTGATGTCACCCAAGGGCAGGTCTGCTGTTTTCTCCAATGAGCAGGGAGGGAAATGAGGAGAGAACTCATGGAATCGGTCCCCAGAAGCACCCAGTGTGCACTGAAGCTCACACCGCAGAGATGAGGCTGAAAGGCAATAAATGCAAAGCGCTAATAGAGATGGCTCAACTAAGTGTTTAACTCATTATTTCAGCTTTCGGGTCTCTAATTGTTTCAGTAATTCAAAGGATATAGTATAGAGCTTTTGGATATATTGTTTAAACCCACACAAAGTGAGTCAAAAAATCAATTAATTTGTAAAACCTTATTGCTGGAAATAATATGAAGTCCACCGTCTTCCAGGCAACAAATTTTTCCTTGGTGATTTGCCTTATGGTCTTTGGAGTTTCACTTTGTGTGTGAAATAATAGAGTTCATTTTTTTGCTGACATCACTCATGCACTTCATTTATTCAATAATATTTATTGAGCCTCTACAATAATGAGAAACAGTAAGTACTGAGCACTAGAGATATATAGGGACTAGGCCAGGCACAGTGGCTCATGCCTGTAATCCCAGCACTTTCTGCTAAGGCAGAAAGATCGCTTGAGGCCAGGAGTTTGAGACCAGCCTAGGCTGGTCTCAACATAGTGAGACCCTGTTGTTAAAAAAAAATAAATTTAAAAAGCTAGCCGGGGCTGGGCATGGTGGCTTATGCCTGTAATCCCAGCACTTTGGGAGGCTGAAGCGGGCAGATCACCTGAGGTCAGGAGTTTGAGACCAGTCTGGCCAACATGGGGAAATCCCGTCTCTAATAAAAATACAAAAGTTAGCCAGGAGTGGTGGCCCACACCTATAGTCCTGGCTACTCAGGAGGCTGAGGCAGGAGGATCACTTGAGCCTGGGAGATTGAGGCTGCAGTGAGCTGTGATCCCACCACTGCACTCCAGCCTGGGCTACAAAGTGAGACCCTGTATCAAAAAAAAAAAAAGAAAAAAAAAAGGTCAGGAGCAGTGGTTTATGCCTGTAATCCCAGCACTTTGTGAGACCAAGGCAGGTGGATCACTTCAGGTCAGGAGTTTGAGGCCAGCCTGGGCAACATAGTGAAATCCCGTCTCTACTAAAAATACAAAAATTAGCCAGGCATGGTGATGCACATCTGTGGTCCCAGCTACTCAGGAGGCTGAGGCATGAGAATCACTTGAGCCTGGGAGGTAGAGGTTGCAGTGAGCCAAGATCCCGCCATTGCCCTCCAGCCTGGGCTACAGAAAAAGACCCTGTCAAAAAAAAAAAAAAAAAAAAAAAGAAAGAAAAAAAAATCTGTAGGGATTGAGTAAATACAATTTCTTATCTTCTTGGAGCTTACATTTCATGGAGGAGGCAGAAAATAAGCAGATAAACATATGTCATGCCACATAGTGATGTGTGCCATAGAAACAAACAAATACATATACATATACATATACATATACATATACATATACATATACAGTAGAAGAGTAGGGGAGAGAAATGAGAGCCCTCTTCTCATTCAGACGATACTCTAAGTGATGAATCAGTAAACATTTATTGAACACCTACTATGCACTAGGCATTCTGTTGGTGGGGAAGAAGGAACAGGTGAAATCAAAAGAATTGGTGAGCACACACTTTATGGACAAGACAGAAACAGCAATAATAATTACTATACAGGATCGGGTGTGACATTTTCCCCAATATTCCTCCAAGGCACGTGTTGTTATTCCCAGGGACTGGGAAAATTTAAATTACTTTTCACAGTGGAAAAATGCCAGCACCAAGATTCTAGCTCAGATCTGTTTGGTTCTGAAATGATTTCACTCATGCCACACTCCCTTCTCTGTACAGATGGAATTGGAGAAGAAAATGGTGAATTCAATACCCTTGGTGTTACAGCTAGGTACAATACTGTGAAAAGATCATCAGTTGCCAAATATAAACCAAAACAAAAGGTCCTCCTAACCGAGCTTTATCATTTTACTAATGAATTAGAAGGTATTTGAGGACCTTATAGATCTTGGGTTCATCATTCTGAATATCAATTGTTATTAGTTATTGATACATGGAAGTATTGACCAAAAAAGGTTAATATACTTCTGAGGCCATGTGCAGTGGCTCATGCCTGTAATCCCGGCATTTTGGGAGGCCAAGGTAGGGGGGGATCATCCGAGGTTAGGAGTTCAAGACCAGCCTGGCCAACATGGCAAAACCCCGTCTCTACTAAAAATACAAAAAAAAAAAATAATTAGCCAGATGTGGTTGTGGGCACCTGTAATCCCAGCTACTCAGGAGGCTGAGGCAGGAGCATCATTTGAACCTGGGAGGCAGAGGTTGCAATGAGCCAATAACATGTCACTGCATTCCAGCCTGGGCAACAAGAGGAAAACTCCATCTCAAAATAAAATAAAATTCACAGCTTGTCTCGAGCACTGTGCGATGTGGGCAGCAGCTGCTCTGTCCCACATGCAAACTCTCCAGCAGGTTAAGACAGCTGCAGCCCACATCATTTCAGGGGAACTCTGAGTGGGTTAGAGAATCTGACCAGATGTTGCCCCTTGCATCTTTTTTATTTTTTAGTTCCTTCTCCAAAGAGGAAGACCAGACAATTTAGTGGTTACGCTTCTGCTATAACAGAAGTCTGTCTACCATTCTGTGCTGAAGGGAAAGACGGAGTACAGATGGGAAAACTACTATCTACTAAGCAGTTTAGACAGTAGGGTGCAATGCACAAAATGCAGGATCTTTTTTGTGGGTGTCACAGTCTATCCCTACGTTGTCATTGGAGAGAGGAGAGGGGAAATGTGGTACAGATTCAGGCAGATGGTAGGCGGGTTCATAGGAAGATGAAGGGAGAAGATAAAGAAGACAAAACCATTTTCTTTGAGAGTAGAACAGACAGGGTCTTGCTCTATCACTCAAGCTGGAGTGCAGTGGCATAATCCTAGCTCATTGCAGCTTCAAAGTCCTGGGCTCAAGCAATCCTCCTCCCTCAGCCTCCCAAGTAGTTAGGAGTAGATGTGTGCACCACTACATTTGGCTAATGTTTAAAAAAATTTTACTAGTTCCTTAGACATGGAGTTCTCCCTATGGTGACCAGAATGGTCTTGAACTCCTGGCCTCAAGTGATCCTCCTACCTCAGCCTCCCAAAGTACTGGGATTACAGGTATGAGCCACCATGCCCAGCTGACTGTTTTCTTTATCTCTTCTTTCTTCTCCTCAATATTTCTTTAAACTTTGCAAGTCTTCCACAATGATTAAGGGTTGCTACTAAAAAAAGAAAAATCTAAACTAAAAAGAAGGCTAATCTCCTTCTTTTTTGACATTAAAGATGGCCTAGGCTGGGTGCAGTGGCTCACACCTGTAATCCCAGCATTTTGGGAGGCGGAAGCAGGTGGATCACATGAGGTCAGGAGTTCAACACCAGCCTGGCCAACATGGTGAAACCCTGTCTCTACTAAAAATACAGAAAAAAAAAAATTAGCTGGGCATGGTGGTACATGTCTGTAATCCTAGCTACTCAGGAGGCTGAGGCAGGAGAATCACTTGAACCCGGGAGGCGGAGGTTGCAGTGAGCTGAGAGCACACCAATGCACTTCAGCCTGGGCGACAGAGCAAGACTCTATCTGAAGAAAGAAAAAAAGGCTTAATATGTCAACTTTACTCTTAAAACATGAGTAGACTAATTTGTCAATAATCATACCTTTTCAGGAAAATGTATCATTAATAATTGGATATTTCAGCCGGGCGCAGTGGCTCACGCCTGTAATCCCAGCACTTTGGGAGGCTGAGGTGGGCAGATCACCTGAGGTTAGGAGTTCGAGACCAGCCTGGCCAACATGGCAAAACCCCATCTCTACTAAAAATACAAAAATTAGCTAGGCGTGGTCATGGGTGCCTATAATCCCAGCTACTTGGGAGGCTGAAGCAGGAGAATCACTTGAACCCAGGAGGTAGAGTCTTCAGATAGCCGAGAATGCACCACTGCACTCCAGCCTGGGCAACAGACTGAGACTCTGTCTCAAAAAAAAAAAAAAAGAAAAAAGAAAAAAAAATGGAAACTCAAAATGACAAAACATAATAATATTATAGCTAGCATTTCCTGTGCACTAGCTCTGCGTGAAATGCCCATTCCAAAGGATTTCTCCACCTTGGAACCATTGGTATTTGGGGCCAGATAATGCTGAGTTGTAGGGGCTGCCATGGGCATTATAGGATGTTCAGCAGCGTCCCTGTCCTCTACCCCCTAGATGCCAGTAGCACCACCACCACCTCCCCTCAGTATGACGGCCAGGATGTCTTCAAACACTGCCAACTATTTCTGGGTGACATTTGAGAACCACTTCCATACAATTTTTCACAGCATCGTTCACGGCAAGGGCGATATTGTGATACCCATTTTACAGATAGGGAAACTGAGTCTCAGAGAGATATCTTACTGCTAGTCACAGAGCTAATAAGTGAAAGAATCAGAACTCAAATCCAACTTTTCATAACTCCATGTGATATTATAATTATGGTAACTACCAAGGAGTAAGCATTTATCCATACCTTCAGGCACTGTGCTAAGTAAGTGCTTTATGTGTATACCCTCATAGAATCCTCACATCAACTGTATGACATGGATACACTCATATTTATTTCACTAAATAGATCCTTGTTTGCAAATGGCCTTGATGAAAACTCATTATTCCTGCTCTTTTTGTAAGAGCAAACTGAGGCTCAGTAAGGTTATAGAACTTGGCCAAGGTCGTACAGCTGAAAAGCTGTAAGCCTGAATTGGAATATAGCTCTGTCTGACTCCACAGCCTATGGTCTTCGCCAACACAAATACCCACAAAGCCTGAGGTCTCATTATCCTGCACTCTTTGCCAATGGAGGATGGGAGAAAATGAGAAACTCTGATTTACTCATACAATTACAAGTAAGGGGCCAGGCGTGGCGGTGGCTCACACTTGTAATCCTGGCACTTAGGGAGACCGAGGCAGGTGGATCACCTGAGGTCAGGAGTTCGACCTCCTGGCCAACATGGTGAAACCCCATCTCTACTAATAATAAAAAATTAGCCAGGTCTCGTAGTGCATGCCTGTAATCCCAGCTACTTGGGAGGCTGAGGCAGGAGAATCGCTGTAACCTGGGAGGCAGAGGTTGCAGTGAGCTGAGATCATGCCACTGCACTCCAGCCTGGGCAACAGAGCAAGAATCCATCTCAAAAAAAAAAACAAAAAACACAGGTAAGTTCTGCTCTAATTGAGCTCAGTAGTCACTCATTCATTCATTCATCACTCATTGCCTATGCAGTATTGCATAGTCCAAAGAGCATGCTCTCCAATCCTGCTCTACTAATTACTTGCTGTGTGGCCTTGGGCAAATTACTTAAGTTCTCTGAGCCACAAGCTTCATTTTCCTTATCTATAAAATCAGATAATTACCTAGGTTTTAGGATTATTATGAAAACAGCATGAAATAATGCATGGAAAGTGTGTAGCCTAGAATGACTACACAGTAAGTGATCATTAACAATTTTTAATAAATTTTGTTGTTGTTACTTTGCAGAAGGAATTGAGCTGGTACATTCTGAATGCATGCAAAGTAGAATAATATGAAAATAGCCAAAGAAAAATCATCATGCCAGGGAAATACAATTGAAATGCCAAAGCAATCTCTAAGCAGTATGACAGGACAGCATTTAACTGCTGTCCCATATGTTAGCTTTTGGGGAAAAAAAAATTGCACATGAACTCATGTTTGTCATTAAAATTTTTTTAAAAAAAGCTTTTGACTTTATGTTGGCAAATGCCAGGAAATATACTTACAACACAAGTTACACTTTAAAAAAATGAAAATACATCTACAATTTTCTAGATTTCTTGTCATCATTTTTGCCTGTTTCTACTTTGAGGATTTGGGGGCGATAAAGAAAACAACTTCTGTTGCTAGGAACATTTCAATAAATGAAGATATATTGCTGCCCACAAAGATGCCCCATGAACCAGTCCTCCTGCTCTCCCACAAACCAAATTATACACAGATGTATGGCTGAGTCTGAAGATGTTTGTTAAGACTAGTCATTTTAATTCTGAACTTAGTTACAGATTCAAGACATAAAAGGGGAGGGAAAAAAGGTTGAGGGAATAATCTAAATTCTTTCTCCCAGGGAAGTTTTGTTTATCTTCTTTGAATCTAATCATCTGCCCGATTTGTATATTTCTTTATGCAAATTGGTCAGATGTTCTAAAAATCATATAGGAAGGCTAGGTCTAATAGCTCAGGGTCAAGATTTAGCATTGGAAGTCTTAAGGTCATTAGTCTTCCTTTCTAAAGTTACCTCTTAAGAAAATTCATAAAACTAGTGAATTCATTCACTTTGGATGGATCTTTCAGTTCTCACTTGAGAGAACAGATTTAAAAGGGTAACCCATTGAGATAAACACTGCAGTCCATGTTGGAATAACCAGATTAATATTTCTAAAAAGTAATCAGATTAATTTCTGTGGAAGGCAGTGGAGCTTAATGGTTAACTGTTGGGAGCTTCAGACTTGGATGAAACTGGCTTCACATCCCAGCTTTGCTCTTCAATTGCTGTGGCAGGTAGACTCGATATGGCCCCAGTGATTCCCACCTCCTGGTCTTTGTGCACTTGTGTAATCCTCTCCCCTAAGTGTGTATTGCCCTGGTGGCTTGATTCTAACCAACAGAATATGGTCAAAGTAATTGGATGCTACTTCTGTGATGAAACTACACAAGATGTGAGTTTTGTCTTGCTAGAAGTTTCTGTCCCTTGCTGCTTTGATGAAGCAAGTTTCCATGTTGTGAGCCACCATGTTAGAAAGTGCCATGTGCCAAGGAACTGAAGGTGGCCTCCAGCCAACAGGAAACTGAAGCCCTTGGGCCAAGAAACCTGAAGGAACTGAATCCTTCCAACAGCCATGTAAGTGAAGTTGCAAAGCAGACCTTTCCCCAGCTGAGTCTTCAGAGGTGACCCCCACCCTGACTGACTCCTCAGTTATAGCCTCTTGAGAACCCATAAGCAGAGTATTTAGCTAAGCTTTGCCCAAACTCCTGGCTCCCAGCAACTGTCAAATAATAAATATTTGTCATTTAAGGCTGCTAAGTTTGTGGTAATTTGTTAAGTAGTGTATTAGTCTGTGCTCATGCTGCTGATAAAGACATAGCAGAGACTGGATAATTTATAAAGGAAAGAGGTTGAAGGGACGTGTTGGACTCACAGTTCCAACATGGCTAGGGAGGCCTCACAATCATGGCAGAAGGCAAAGGAGGAGCAAAGTCACGTCTTACCTGGCAGCAGGCAAGAGAACATGTGCAGGGGAACTCCCTTTATAAAACCATCAGATATTGTGAAACTCACTACCACAAGAACAGTATGGGGGAACCACCCCTATGATTCAATTATCTCCACCTGGCCCTGCTCTTGACACGTGGGGATTATTACAATTCAAGTGAGATTTGGGTACAGACACAGCCAAACCATGTCAAGTAGCAATAGATCATCAATACAGTAGCTATGCCACCTTGGATGAGAGAATTAACCTCTCTGAGCCCAAGTTTTTTCTATGTAAAATGTGGATGCCAATACTTACTTCTCAGCGTGGCTGTAAAGATTCAATAAAACAAATGCTTAACATTGGAGCTGGCACCTTGTCAGCTTACTTTAAATTTACTTTTATTTTATTGATAATATTCTGTACTCATGATGCACACCAAACTCAGGAAATAATTAATGTGATATACAGGAATTTTAAATATATAAATCAGTTTTTTTAGAAATCACATACCAGGAAATTCAATGTTACAGTTGTCACAAAAGGAGGCACAGTTTCAGTTTTGTAAACAAAAAATAAAATTCTAAGGCCCATGTGAATGGACCCCCTCCTCTTAGCCAAGGACATTCCAAAGTTAACCTAACTAGTTCAGACCATGGTTGGGGGAGAGTCGGACATGCCTCCTTATACTCTCCCTGCTTTTGAAATTCAGGAAAAGCCAACCAGCATTAACATCAACACAGACCTTAAAGTTGATAAGAAACATTTACAGGCCAGGCACGGTGGCTCATGCCTGTAATCCCAACATTTTGGGAGGCCAGGGCAGGCAGATCACTTGAGGCCAGGAGGAGTTCAAGACCAGCCTGGGCAACATGGTGAAAACCCATCTCTACTAAAAATAGAAAAATTAGCTGGCCATGGTAGTGGATGCCTGTAATCCCAGCTACTCAGGAGTCTGAGGCAGAAAATCGCTTGATCCCAGGAGGCAGAGGTTGCAGTGAGCCAAGATCACATCACTGCACTCCAGCCTGGGCGACAGACAGAGCAAGACTCTGTCTCAAAAAAAAAAAAAAAAGAAAAGAAAAGAAAAAAAAAAAACCATTTACAATCTATTATCTCCAAAGCCTGCTACCTGGAGGCTTCTTCTGCATGATAATACTTTGGTCTCTACAACCCATTATCATAGCCGAGATATTCCTTTATATTGATTCCAGGTCTTTAGATAATAACTTAACTCTTTTAGTCAATTGCCCATCAGAAAATCTTTTTTTTTTTTTCATAATTTCATTTTCTTTTTTTCTTTCTTTTTCTTTTTTTTTTTTTTTGAGATGGAGTCTCACACTATTGCCTGGGCTGGAGTGCAATGGTGTGATCTCAGCTCACTACAACCTCCGCCTCCCGGGTTCAAGCGATTCGCCTGCCTCAGCCTCCCGAGTAGCTGGGATTACAGGTACCCGCCACCATGCCAGGCTAATTTTTTGTATTTTTAGTAGACACGGGGTTTCACCATGTTGACAAGCTGGTCTTGAACTCCTGACTTCGTGATCCATCCGCCTCAGCCTCCCAAAGTGCTGGGATTATAGGAGCCACCACGCCCAGCCCAGACAATCTTTAAATCAACCTATAACCTGGAAGCCCCCGTCTCGAGTTGTCCTGCCTTTCCAGCTCGAACCAATGTACATCTCACATGTATTGATTGACTGATGTCTAGTTAAAAGGTATAGAAGCGAGCTGTATCCTAACCACCTTGGGCACATGTCATCAGGAAATTCTAAGGCTGTGTCACAGGCATGTCTTTAACCTTGACAAAATAAACTTTCTAAATTGATTGAGACCTGTCTGGCACATCTGTTTGGGCTCACAGTTTCTACTGCCTGATTCTTGTGCAATGCAAGTTGAGGGGGGCACCTGAGTATCTGCATGCCAGAGGAAAGATCACCCCAAAGAGAGGCAACGGGAAACAAAGATCCACAGAAAGAGGAGTGCATACATACTTCATAAGAGTAAACCAGTTTAGGGCTGGGCACAGTGGCTCAAGCCTGTAATCCCAGCACTTTGGGAGGCCAAGGCAGGCGGATCATCTGAGGCCAGGAGTTCGAGACCAGCCTGGCCAACATGGTGAAACCCTGTCTCTACTAAAAATACAAATTTAGCTGGGTATGGTGACTCACGCCTGTAGTCCCTGCTACTTGGGAGGCTGAGGCAGGAGAATTGCTTGAACCTGGGAGGTAGAGGTTGCAGTGAGCCAACATTGCACCACTGCACTCCAGCCTGGGTGACAGAGTAAGACTCCATCTTAAAAAAAAAAAAAAAAAAAAAAGAGTAAACTGGTTTACCCATAACTTATAGTTTAGTTTGCCAAGTGTGAGGGATATTGGGGAGCCCCTTACACTATTGATGGGAAAGAGAACATGGTGACAAAACCCATCAACAATTTATGTGTATGTGCTATTTAGCCCAATAATCCCATTTCTAGGAACTTATCCTAAAGAAATTCTCCAAAAAAGAGCACCAATATATTTAAGCTGTTTATTGCAATAGTCCTCATAGATAGTAGGTTGAACCATATGAAATGACTGGTATTTGGCCATTTTTGACCAATGAACACAGCAATTTCATAGAGTTCTACCTAAAAGAACAGCATTTGAAACAACTTCAGAATCCACGTGCAACTGTAAAACTGTGGACTATTTTATACATACACATATATGGCATATCAACATTTACATACACACACATATATATTGGTATATATGACATCAGCGTATTAAGTAAAGAAAACAGCTGACAAAATAACATTCCTAGGCCATGCAAAACAATGACTTTGGGAGGTCAAGGCCAGTGGATCACTTGAGTCACAGGAGGTGGATCACTTGAGTCCAGTAGTTCAAGACCAGCCTGGGTAACATGGTGAAACCCTGTACCCCGTCTCTTAAAAAAAAAAAAAAAATTAGCCAGGCATTGTGATGCATACCTGTAGTCCCAGCTACTCAGGAGGCTGAAATGGGAGGAACACTTGAGCCTGGGAGGTGAAGATTGCAGTGAGCCATAATCACACCATTGCACTCCAGCCTGCGTGACAGAGCAAGAACTTGTGTCAAAAAAAAAAAAATTTAGCGAGGCATGGTGGTGTGTGCCTGTAGTCCCAACTACTCAGGAGACTGAGGTGAGAGGATCACTCGGGCCTGGGACATCAAAGCTGCAGGGAGCCGTGACTGCGCCACTGCACTCCAGCCTGGGTGACAGAACAAAACCATGTCAACAACAACAAAAAAGAAAATAAAAGAAACTCATTTGTCCTTTATTGCTTTAGTATTTCATGAAGACCATAATTTTATCAGGCAATAAAACTTCCGTGGAGGTTTAAAGAAGTTCCTTCAATTTCACACATTACCCTTTGCATTAACTGTAACGTCAGAACACTCAGATGGCCAAGAAAACATGAACAGTCCACCAGCAAAAAAGGGTTGGATAAGGAGAAAAAAAAAATTGGAAAGAATTCGATATACAATATTTCAAAAATATAAGCATCTAAGTGCCAATGATAGAAAAACATCAGAATTTTATTGGGCTTTCTCATCCTGATTTTGGTATTATTTCCATTACGAAGAAAGGGGCACTACGATTGCAGTTCTTGGGACTCTAAAAGCCTTGAGCCAGTGTTAGCTTCATGTAATTTTTAACATGGACTTGACCCAGGACATACTGTTTCCAAAGAACAGCTTCTTCTCATAAGGCAGGGACAAAACAGGAAAGCAAATCTCCTTGCTCTCTTGTTTTTGAATGTCTTTTGCTCTAATAATCTGTGTCAAGAACTGCATGGCTGAATGTCATACTGTGTTGTGCTTGCGGCTGTTGTGCACATTGTGATAGAGATGTTTACAACTGGATGGTGGGTTGTCACAGCACAGCACTGGGGACAGTGGCCAGCACTGCTCAGGAACACAGCTGAGGGCCGGGCGCAGTGGCTCTTGCCTGTAATCTCAACACTTTGGGAGGCCAAGGCAGGTGGATCACCTGAGGTCAGGAGTTTGACATCAGCCTGGCCAACATGGTGAAACCCTGTCTCTTCTAAAAATACAAAAATTAGCCAGACGTGGTGGTGAGTGCCTGTAATCCCAGCTAATCGGGAGGCGGGTCTTTCCCATGCTGTTCTCATGATAGTGAATAAGTTTCACCAGATCTGATGGTTTTAAAAATGGGAGTTTCCCTGCACAAGCTACCTCATTCTTCTCTTGTCTGCCGCCATGTGAGACATGGCTTTCACCTTCTGCAATAATTGCAAGGCCTCCCCAGCCATGTGGAACTGTAAAAACATTAAACCTCTTTCTTTTGTAAATTGCCCAGTTTCAGGTATGTCTTTATCAGCAGCATGAAAATGGACTAATACAGCCTCCTTGAGACTTCTCTTGTTTCCATTACCTAGCACGATTCCATCTAAACTCTTCTTTTCTGTGTCCTTTCATCCTTCTCATGTTCTTAACCTTAACCATCCTTAGCCATAGGTGAATATTCTCTGTCCTCAGTTCTCTGTTCTTCTTTTTTTTTCTTTTTTTTTTTTTTTTTACACTTACACCCATGATGTAGCTCAAGGGTTATATGGTTTGGCTCTGTGTCCTCACCCAAATCTCCCATCGAATTGTGATTTCCAGTGTTGGAGGAGGGACCTTGTGGGAGGTGATTGGATCATGGGGGCGGATTTCTCACTTGCTATTCTTGTGATAGTGAGTTCTCATGAGATCTGTTTATTCAAAAGTGTGTAGCACTTTCCCCTTCACCCTCTCGCTCTTCTGCTCTGCCACGGGAAGACGTGCCGGCTTCCCCTTTGCCTTCCGCCATGACTGTAAGTTCCCTGAGGCCTCCCCAACCATTCCTCCTGCACAGGCTGCAGAACTATGAGTCAATTAAACCACTTTTCTTCATAAAATTATCCAATCTCAGGTAGCTCTTTATAGTAGTGTGAAAATGGACTCATACAAAGATCTTACTATCATCTCTACTCATGTAATTTCCAAATCTGCACCACTAGCTCTGATTTCTCACTGGACTTGTATTTCCAGTGGATATAGAGGTGAACTATAGACACACTGAGCTGAAAGGAACTTTAGAGAGTGTTTAATCCAGAGACCTCAAACTGAATGGCTCAGGGGGCCAGGAAGGTAACATAAATATAAAGCAGGCTGGGTGTAGGTGGCAAATGGCAACTGATACTGGACCTCACCATCAGGAATACAATAGGGCATGGTGGGGGCTGTGGAAAAACAGGGGACCACATGTCCTATCTACAGGGATCAGCTTCTGCCAGTTTCTGGAGGCACAAGTCTGAGCTTTTGTGTATCATCTCCCAATTGTCAAATGTTGCTAGAAAATTAAAATGTAAAACCCTGTGTAGAATAAACAAACCATATCTGCTACCCATTTGCTCTTCTGATCTAACGCAGTGCCTCCATTATTTATTTATTTTTATTTTTTGAGATAGAGTCTCACTCTGTCACCCAGGCTGGAGTGCAGTGGTGCAATCTCAGCTCACTGCAACCTCCACCTCCCAGGTTTAAGCGATTCTCATGCCTCAGTCTCCCGAATAGCTGGGACTAATGGCATGCGCCACCACACCCAGCTAATTTTTGTATTTTTAGTAGAAACGGGCTTTCACTATGTTGGGCAGTTTGGTCTCAAACTACTGACCTCAAGTGATCCACCCACCTTGACCTCCCAATGTGCTGGGATTACCAGTGTGAGCCATCATGCCCAGCCAGTGCCCTCTTTTTTTAAAGATCAAGTGGCTTGGGCTCAGAAGGGTTATGTGATGGGTTCATTGTTCACATTTGGCAGAGCCATAACCAGAATTCGGCTTTTCTCACTTCAAAATCCCTCAAAATCTGCTTGTTCAAAAATTAAATCATGGGCCAGATGCAGTGGCTCATGCCTGTGATCCCAGCACTTTGGGAAGCCAAGGTGGAAAGATCGCTTGAGCCCAGGAGTCTGAAATCACCCTGGGCAACATAACAAGACTTCGTATCTACGGAAAATAATTAGCAGGTGTGGTGGCACCCACCTTAGTCTCAGCTACTTGGGAGGCTGAGGTGGGAGAATTGCTTGAGCCCAGGTGTTCAAAGCTGCAGTGAGCTGACATTGTGCCACTGGACTCCAGCCTGGATGACAGAGCAATACCCTGTCTCAAAAAATGAAGAAAAGAAAGGAAAAAAAGAAAACTAAATATTTTTCATTATTTCTTTATTTTATTTTATTTTATTATTATTTTTTTGATACATAGTCTTGCTCTGTCACCCAGGCTAGAGTGCAGTGGAGTGACCTTGGCTCATTGCAACCTCCGCCTCCCAGGTTCAAGCAATTCTCCTGCCTCAGCCTCCTGAGTAGCTGGGATTATAGGCGCACACCACCACACCCGGCTAATTTTTGTATTTTTAGTAGAAATGGGGTTTCTCCATGTTGGCCAGACTGGTCTCAAACTCCTGACCTCAGGTGATCCACCTGCTTTGGCCTCCCAAAATGCTAGGACTACAGGCATAAGCCATGGCGCCCAGACTCTTTTTCTTTCTTTCTCTTCTTTTTTTTAAGATAAAATTGACTTTTCCCAGTATCCCATTTCTAAGAGCAGAATCATTTTTTCTCGATTTTCTCAGGCTAGAAACCCAAGCCTGTGATTTCTGTCTTGCTGTCTTTCTCATTGCATCCCTCCCTTCATTTCTTCTTCATTCCGACTTCCAGACCCTTACATTTAGCCACTTCAGGGCTCAGTTGCTCTCCTCATGCTCAGTTCCTTTCAACCACAACCATGGTTTGTCTGTCTTAAAACAGCTCCTCTACCTAGCTGATACGGTTTTGCTGTGTCCCCACCCAAATCTCATTTTGAATTGGAACAGTCCCCACGTGTCAAGGGCAGGGAGAGGTGGAGATAATTGAATCATAGAGGCGGTTTCCCCCATAGTGTTCTCGTGGTAGTGAATAAGTCTCATGAGATCTGATGGTTTTATAAATGGGAGTTCCCCCGCACACGCTCTCTTGCCCGCCACCACGTAAGATATCCCTTTGCTCTTCCTTTGCCTTCCACCATGATTGTGAGGCCTCCCCAGCCATGTGGAACTGTGAGTCCATTAAACCTCTTCCCTTTGTAAATTACCCAGTCTTGGGTATGTCTTTATTAGCCGCATGAAAATGGACTAATACACTAGTACTCAAGGTTCTCCACCATCTGGCCCCATTAACCACCCAGGGATGTATTCTCTTCCCTTCCCTCCTCGCACAGTCTGTTACCCACTCTCACCTCCAGGGGGCGCGCAAGACCCTCCTCCCTTTCCGCCAGTTGACTTTGTTGACCAAAGATCGCAATTGAGCCACATTAAGGGGATGAAGGCAGAGCACAAGATCAGAAGTAAATTCTGATTCCTCCCCCTCTTGAAAGCATCCTGGCCAGTTTCATCTATTTCATACAGGTTAAATAATGTATTTAACATTTAATATAAATTAACTTATTTTAATTAATATAAATTAATTTAATTAATAAATTAATTATTGATGTAAATTAATGTTTAATGCTGATAATAATAACAGTTACTTTTTTTATGAGACAGAGTCTCGCTCTGTTGCCCAGGTTGGAGTGCAGTGGCGCGATCTTAGCTCACTGCAGCCTCCCTCTCCAGGGTTCAAGCAATTCTCCTGCATCAGCCTCCCTAGCAGCAGCTGGGATTACAGGAACGCACCACCATGCCTGGCTAATTTTTGTATTTTTTGTTGAGACAGGGTTTCACCATGTTGGCCAGGCTGGTCTCAAACTCCTGACCTCAAGTGATCTGCCTGCCTCCACCTCCCAAAGTGCTGGGATTGCAGGCGTGAGCCACTGTGCCTGGCCCAGGTACCATTTTTGAGAGCTAACCACGTGCAGGTCAATGTGTGTTTTCCTGCAGTTTCTTATTTCATTTCCCCCAAAACTCTATGAAGTATTTCATTTTGAAGATGAAGACACTGTGGTTGAGAAAGACTAGGGGACTTATTCAAGGTTATATGGCCAGTGGTGGGGCTGAGATGCTACCCAGTTCTGTGGCCTCCAAGCTCTCAATCTACGTGTGATGCCTTCCCACAGCCCTGGTGGTGGGACCCACGTCTAACTTCTTTGCATCCTTCACGCTGCCTCAGATTTCTCATCCATCAAATGGCAACAATAACAATCTGTATTAGTTTCCCATGGCTGCCATTATACAGTACCACAAACTGGGTGACTTAAGATAGCAGAAATAGACTCACTCTCATATCTGGAGGCCAGGAGTCTGTGATCAAGGTATTGGTGGTGCCATACTTCCTCTAAAGGCTCCAGGGGAGAATCCTTCCTTGTCTTGCCTCTTCCTAGTTTCTGGTGTTTTGTTTTGTTTTGTTTTGTTTTGTTTTTGAGATGGGAGTTTCACTCTTGTTGCCCAGGCTGGATTGCAGTGGTGTAATCTCGGCTCATTGCAACCTCTGCCTCCCCGGTTCAAGCAATTCTCCTGCCTCAGCCTCTCAAGTAGCTGGGTCTACAGGCTTGTACCACCATGCCCAGCTAATTTTGTATTTTTAGTAGAGACAGGGCTTTTCCATGTTGGTCAGCCTGGTCTTGGACTCCTGACCTCAGGTGATCCACCCACCTCAGCCTCCCAAAGTGCTGCGATTAAAGGTGTGAGCCACGACGCCCAACCAGTTTTGTTTTTTTAATGGTCTTGCTCTGTTGTCTAGGCTAGAGTGCAGTGGTGTGATCTCAGCTCACTGCTACCTCTGCCTCCTAAGCTCAAGCAATTCTCCCGCCTCAGCCTCCTGAGTAGCTAGGACCACAAGTGCACACCATCACACTCAGGTAATTTTTAAAATTTTATTGCAGAGACAGGTTCTCGTTATGTTGCCCAGGCTGCAATTCTCCCACCACAGCTTCCCAAAGTGCTGGGATTACAGGCGTGAGCCGTCATGCTGGGCCCTAGATTCTGGTGTTTTCTGTTATCCTTGATATTCCTTGTCTTATAGATGCATCCTAGCCACACACTCTAATCTCTGTGGTTGTCTTCACATTGCTTTCTCTGTGTGTCCTCTTCTCTTCTTAAAAGACATCAGCCCAGGCACGGTGGCTCATGCCTGTAATCCCAGCACTTTGGGAGGCCTAGGCAAGAGGATCACTTGAGCCGAGGAGTTAAAGACCAGCTGGGCAACATGACATCCAATCAGAAACTCCCAGAGTGAAGTCTTAGGACGAATATGCTTGAAAAGCTCCCCAGGAAATTGTAATGTGCAGCCAGGATTAAGAACCACTAATTGAGACTAATATGCTCAGAGTCTGAAGAGAGAAAATCCAGAATCCTGATGTTGGAGTGCCTCTAGCTACAGACCTTATTTCTCCAGAATATTATATCCTCAATTAAAAAAAAAAAAAAAAAAAAAACAGGCTAGGCCAAGCCTGGTGGCTCACGTCTGTAATCCCAGCACTTTGGGAGGCCGAGGTGGGTGGATCACTTGAGGTCTGGAGTTTGAGACCAGCCTGGCCAAAATGGCAAAACCCCATCTCTACTAAAAATACAAAAAAAAAAAAAAGAAAGAAAATTAGCTAAGCATGGTGGCAGGTGCCTGTAATCCCAGCTACTCGGAAGGCTGAGGCAGGGAGAACTGCTTGAACCCAGGAGGTAGAGGTTGCAGCGAGCTGAGATTACACCATTGAGATTACACTCCAGCCTGAGTGACAGAGCAAGACTCCATCTCAAACAAACAAACAAAATCTAAAAAAAAACAAGCTAGTGCTTTGGGAAGATAAAAACCAGCAAGACTTGACAGATTCAGACATGTGTTCCTTTTCTTAGGAAACAAGAGAAGGAACACTCTATAATTTTTTTGTTGTTGTTTGTTTTTTTAAGATGGAATTTCACTCTTGTTGCCCAGGCTGGAGTGCAATGATGCAATCTCGGCTCACTGCAACCACTTCCTCCTGGGTTCAAGCAATTCTCCAGCCTCAGCCTCCTGAGTAGCTGAGATTACAAGCACCTGCCACCACGCCTGGCTAATTTTTGTATTTTTAGTAAGGAAGGAATTTCACCATGTTGGCCAGGCTGGTCTCCTGACCTCAAGTGATCTACCCACCTCAGCCTCCCAAAGTGCTGGGATTACAGGCATGAGCCACCGTGCCTGGCCAAAAATTTTTTTTAGAAGATATCAGTCATTGGATTTAGGGCCCACTCCAATCCAGTATGAGTATTAACTTGATTACATCTGCAAAGACCTGTCTTACAATTAAGATCAAATTCACAGGTTCTAGATGGACATGAATTTTCTGAAGACACTCTTCAATCATTCAATCCTATGCATAAAATTTCAAGACTGTGGTGAAGCTTAAATAGGACTCTGTATGAAAAGGTATGTATCCCAGTGCCCAGTGACTCAGCAGTGTATTGCATTTGTCTCCTCACACCAGCAGCAATAGGCTGTATTGTTCACTTGCCATTCACTTGACTCAGGTGCTTGGCTTATTTTATTTTATTCTTTTTTTTTTTTTTTTTTTTTTTGAGACAGAGTCTTACTCTATCACCCAGGCTGGAGTGCAGTGGCATGATCTCAGCTTACTGGAAGCTCCACCTCCCAGGTTCAAGTGAGTCTCCTGCTTTAGCCTCCCAAATACCTGGGATTACAGGTATGCGCCACCACGCCTGGCTAATTTTTTTTTTTTTTTTTTTTTTTTGTATTTTTAGTAGAGACAGGGCTTCAGCATATTGTCCAGGTTAATCTCGAACTCCTGACCTCAAGTGATCCACCCGCCTCGGCCTCCCAAAGTGCTGGGATTACAGGCATGAGCCACTGCGCCCAGCCAGTTGGCTTATTTTAGAGTGTGGACAAGCAGTTCTTCACCCTAGCTTCATATTAGGATCACCTGGGACATTGAAAGAGCAATGCTGAGGTCTCATCCAAAACTCATCCAATCAGAAATTCCCAGGGTGAAGTCTTGGAACGAATATGCTTCAAAAGCTCCCCAAGCGGTTCTAATGTGCAGCCCGGGTTGAGAACCACTAATTGAGACTAATATGTTCAGAGTCCCAAGAGAGAAAATCCAGAATCCTGTTGTTGGAGTGCCTCTGCGTACAGACCTTATAGTCCAGAATATTAAATGCTCAATAAAAAACCAAGCTAGTGCTTTGGGAAGATAAAAACCAGTAAGAGCTGACAGATTCAGACATGTGTTCCTTCTCTTAGGAAACAAAGCACAGTTATGATGTTAGCAAACACAGGATTTGGTTTCAATCAAACAGTGCCCAGCAGGGGGAAGATAGAGAAAGAAAATGAAACGCAGAAAGGGTTGCATGTATCAACAGTGTTTTCCGACAAAACTGGTGGCTTTCAATTTTGCCCTGGCCCCCAGTGACAAAAATGTCATCCTGAGAGGGCCAGAACAGACTACAGTTACTTTGCAAGAATATATGACAAACAGCAAGGCAAGAGGTGGGGGTTGAAGTATGTAAAATTCTGTTGTTGTTATTCATTGTAAACTCATCCAATACCAAGATTCATGGAGAAACTAAATGGAATTTGGAATCTGCCCTTGGGATTCTCAACATTAGTAAGTTTAACCGAGAAGCAAATTCCACTTTGATTAGGGTCTTTTTATTAAGGGCTTTGTATTCATTAAGGG
Organism: Homo sapiens; assembly: GCF_000001405.40. Taxonomy (NCBI): domain Eukaryota; kingdom Metazoa; phylum Chordata; class Mammalia; order Primates; family Hominidae; genus Homo; species Homo sapiens. The sequence continues at coordinate 12,815,183 of NC_000016.10, read as the reverse complement.
CTTCCTATGTGTCAGGTCCTGTTCTGGACACTTGGTGTATTCTAATGGATACATAAGCCTTGGGGAGCTCATACCTCTGCAAAGAGCTTAAGTTGTACGGTCAATGCACAATTGAGTTCAGTGGAGTGGAGCTTTCAGGAATATTCTTATTCTTGTTGAAAAAGGGGGAAAAGTTCATTTCACAACCCAAGAGAACAATTGCAAAATATTTAAATGCTTCAGGAGGCTGGGTTCATTATTCAGATGAAAAAAAAATGAAGATTAGAAAGTTGGCCTGGCACGGTGGCTCATGCCTATAATCCCAGCACTTTGGGAGGCCGAGGCGGGTGGATTACCTGAGGTCAGGAATTTGAGAGCAGCCTGGCCAACATGATGAGACCCCGTCTTTACTAAGAATACAAAAAATTAGCCAGGCGTGGTGGTGGGTGCCTGTAATCCTGGCTACTTGGGATGCTGATGCAGGAGAATCGTTTGAACCTGGGAGGCGGAAGCTGCAGTGAGCCGAGATCGTGCCACTGCATCCAGCCTGGGCAACAAGTGCGAAACTCTGTCTTAAAAAAAAAAAAAAAAAAAAAAAAGGAGAAGAAGAAAAAAGTTAACAGTAAGCTCCACTATCATCCAGAAAGTAATTTACAAGGGAGTGTTAAGCAATATAGGGGAGGTAGAAAAGAAAGCCTAAATGGTAAGTTAAACTCAAGTTTCTGGATGAAAAATAGTTGGAACAATTAGTACTATCTGCTTCCAAGGCTGAGAACTGCATTTGAGAAGGTGAGCATACTTACGGCTGTTCTGTCCCACATGCCAGAGGTAGGCCATCGGACAGAAGAACCGAAGCAACAGGAAAGATTCACTGGCTACAGGTTATTCATGAATGTTCTGAATCAGCATTGTCCAATAGAAATTCTGCATCGATGGGAATGTTCCACATGTGTGCTGTCCAATATGGTAGATACTAGCCTACGGGTGCCAGATACAATATGAATGCTCAATTAAATTGGTATTTCAGATACACAAAATAATTTTTTTTTTTTGAGACAGAGCCTCACTCTGTCTCCCAGGCTGGAGGGCAGTAGCCTCATCACGACTCACTGCAGCCTTGACTTTCTGGGCTCAGATGATGCCCTCCCCTCAGCCTCCAGAGTAGCTGGAACTACAGGCATGTGCCACCATGCCCAGCTAATTTTTGTATTTTTTGTAGATATGGGGTCTTGCTATGTTGCCCAGGCTGGCCTCGAACTCCTGGGTTGACATGATCCTCTCCCTTGGCCTCCCAAAATGCTGGGATCCCAGATGTGAACCACCATGCCCAGCCCCCTTGTCACTTGGGAGGCTGAGGCAGGAGAATCACTTGAAAAAGCCCAGCGTGGTGGCTCACACCTGTAATCCCAACACTTTGGGAAGCCAAGTTGGGTGGATCACTTCAGGTCAGGAGTTCAAAACCAGCCTGACCAACATGGTGAAACCCCGTCTCTACTAAAAGTACAAAATTAGCCAGGCGTGGTGGGACATGCCTGTGATCTCAGCTACTTGGGAGGCTGAGGCAGGAGAATCCCTTGAACCTGGGAGCTGGGAGGCAGAGGTTGCAGTGAGCCGAGATTGCGCCATTGCACTCCAGCCTGGGCAACAGAGGGAGATTCCATCTAAAACAAAAAAAAAAAAAAGGAAGGAAGGAAGAAAGCGGCAGAGGAAGCAGTCAGATATGCATTTATCTCATATGAGCAGAGGGATGACTGAGTTATATCTGTCCTTTGTCCACAAGGAATTTCCTTGTGGGCAAATTGTGAGGGAGGTATGTAATGTTTTTATTTTTGTAGCTATCTTATTTAGGAATAAAATGGGAGGCAGTTTTGCCTGATGCTGTTCCCAGCCTGACTTTTCCCTTTGCCTTAGTGATTTTGGGGTCCCAAGACTGTATATACAGTCACATGCTGCATGGTATTTTGGTCAACAACCTAACACATATATTCACATATGATGGTAGTCCCATAATATTATAACACTGTGTTTTTACTTTACCTTTTCTATGTTTTGATGTGTTTAGATACACAAATACTTATCATTATGTTACACCTGCCTACAGTATTCAGCACAGAAGCATGGTGTGCAGGTGCATAGCCTAGGAGCCATAGGCTATACCACACCACCTAGGTGCATAGTAGGCAAGATCATCTAAGTCTGTGTAAGCACACTCTATGATATTCACACAATGATGAAATTGCCTAATGACATGTTTCTCAGAACTTATTCCTGCCGTTAAGTGATGCATGACTGTGTATAGATTGTCTAGAGAGAGAGATTGGCAAGTGCAAAATCTGCAAGGTGGTCCAGACGGCTGGGACCAGGAAGAGCTGATGCTGTGGTTCATGTCCAAAGAGGTCTGCTGGGTGAATTTTCTCTTGCTTAGAGAAGGTCAGTGTTTTGTTCATCCAGACCTTCAACTGACTGGATGCAGCCCACCCACATTATGGAGGGCAATCTGTTGCACTCCAAGTCCAAATGTAACTGTAGTAATGTAATATGTAAACACCCCTAGGCCAGGTGCGGTGGCTCACGCCTGTAATCCCAGCGCTTTGGGAGGCCAAGGTGGGCGTATCACTTGAGGTCAGGAATTCGAGACAAGCCTGGCCAACATGTTGAAACCCCATCTCTACTAAAAATACAAAAATTAGCCAGGTGTGGTGGCAGGCACCTGTAATCCCAGCTACTTGGGAGGCTGAGGCAGAAGAATCACTTGAACCTGGAGGGCGGAGGTTGCAGTGAGCTGAGATCGTGACATTGCACGCCAGCCTGGGCAACAGAGCGAGACTCCATCTCAAAAAAAAAAAAAAAAAAACCCAAAAAAACATTTCCATGGTGAGGCAGGAGAAGAGGGCCTGGAGGCAGGGAATCTAAGGACTTCCTAGAACTAAATCAAATGGAAACACTTCAGCTATAACAGGAAATATCCTCTTCATTTACATAGGGCATACACCATACAGCTAGTAAATGACTCTGTAACTTTACTTCATCTTCTTCATTTACATAGGGTGTATGCCAAGTAAGTAACTTTGTAACTTCACTTTAGCCTCTTCATTTACATAGGGCATACACAAAGTAATCAGTGGAAACCTCTAAAAGGTATTTAAACCCCAGAAAATTCTGTAACTGGGCTCTTGAGCCCGTATGCTCAGGCCCACTCCCACCCTGTGGAGTGTACTTTCATTTTCAATAAATCTCTGCTTTTGTTGCTTCATTCTTTCCTTGTTTGTGCATTTTGTCCAATTCTTTGTTCAAGATGCCAAGAACCTGGACACCCTCCACCATTAACAATGGCAACATTCAGAATAATGTTTGACCAAATATCTGAGCATTGTGGCCCAGCCAAGTCGACACATAAAATTAACCATCACACAGCCTAACCAGGAATGACAATACCCATCAAAGCAAGGCCCAAGTGCTTCTCTCTAAATGCGGCCTTACGCTCTTATGCCAAGCCTACTGGCTCCAATCCATAAACCAACCTGGCTCATAGTTTTAACAAGCTTTGTCATCCAGCTTCACAAACTGGGGCAGATGAGAAACAAGGGAAGGAGACAGACAGGACTTGCAAGAGACAGATGCAACAAAAAGCAAGGAGTGACTGCCCACAGGCTGGGAGCAAGGAGACAGAAGATCTATAAAAAGTGGACAGAAGAACTATAAAAGCTCAGCAGCCCAGAGTCCTTGAGTGTTAGGACAAATTGTTCTGCCTGCTTCAAGAAGTGAGGCTATTCTACAGCCCAGTACAGAAAATGATGTTCTTAATCTTATATCTAGGACTCTAAATAACAGCACATTTAGATTAGAGCTTTTTTTTTTTTTTTTTTTTTTGACAGAGTCTCGCTTTGTTGCCGAGCTGGAGTGCAATGGCACAATGTCAGCTCACTGCAACCTCCTCCTCCCAGGTTCAAGTGATTCTCCTGCCTCATCCTCCCAAGTGTCTGGGACTACAGGCACGTACCAACACACCCAGATAATTTTTGTATTTTTAGTAGAGATGGGGTTTCACCATGTTGGCCAGGATGGTCTCAATCTCTTGACCTTGTGATCCACTTGCCTCGGCCTCCCAAAATGCTGGGATTACAGGCGTGAGCCACCACGTAGATTAGGGCTTTTTACAAGTATAGCTGTTACAAGAAGTGGGAGGGAAGAAAAAGGGCAGTTTTTTTAAAGGGTGGAGAGCGGGGATGGTAGTCATTGGCCTTTGTGACTCCCCCACCCCCACCTCAACATTCACTCCTGCACGGGTTATGTAATGGATTACCTATTGGCTCTTTTTAACAATTGGTTCTTCCTTTCTTAGGACAATGGCGTCAAGATTTCATTTTAAGAGAATTGTGCTCCCCACTCTTAGGCATGTAACTAGGGTGAAATTGACACCATGCCTTCTTTAGGGTGGGCCTCATGACTGCAGCCAGTTTAAATATGCCATCTATCCTTCTAACTTTGGTTTTAAACTGGCATTGCAGTGATGCAGGGGATGTTTGCTGGAGGATTCAGAGGAAATAAAAGACACTTCCTTCCTCACCTCACTGGGTGGTGTCTCATGAGAATGTGGTCTAGAACTGCTGTAGCCATTCCGCTCCCATGAAGGAGGAGCCTGGAGCTTCCAAGTGATTGGGAGGAAGTCTTCTCTGTAGAGAGTGATGATAAAGCCAAAATTATAAAGGGCAGAGGATGTAACTGTCCAACAAGTTCTCCTTGTCTGCTGCCTGGGCAGAGCCAATTTATCAAGACAGGGGAATTGCAATAGAGAAAGTTTAATTCCCTCAGAGCTGGCTGTACCGGAGACCAGAATTTTATTACTCAAATCAGTCTCCTTGTGAATTTGGGGATCAGGTTTTTTAAGGATAATTTGGTGGTTAGTGGACCTGTGAGTCGGGAGTGCTGATTGGTTAGGTCAGAAATGAAATCATGGGGAGGCCAGGCGCTGTGGCTCACGCCTCTAATCCCAGCACTTTGGGAAGCAGAGGCAGGCAGATCATGAGGTCAGGAGATCAAGACCATCCTGGCTAACATGGTGAAACCCCATCTCTACTAAAAATACAAAAAATTAGCCAGGCGTGGTGGCAGGCACCTGTAGTCCCAGCTACTCGGGAGGCTGAGGCAGGAGAATGGCGTGAACTCGGGAGGCAGAGCTTGCAGTGAGCCGAGATCGCACCGCTGCACTACAGCCCGGGTGATGGAGCTAAACTCCGTCTCAGAAAAATAATAATAAAATAAAATAAAAATAGAAGAAATGAAATCATGGGGAAGTTGTCATCTTTGCACAAAGTCAGTGCCTGGGTGGGGGCCATAAGACTGTTACTGGAAAGGGGTCTCTATCCAGACGCCAAGGGAGGGTTCTTGGATCTCACACAAGGAAGAATTTGGGGCAAGTCCATACAGTAAAGTGAAAGCAAGTTTATTAAGAAAGTAAAGGAATAAAAGAATGGCTACTCTATCGGCAGAGCAGCCCTGAGGGTTGCTGGTTGCACATTTTTATGGTTATTTCTTGATTGTATGCTAAACAAGGGGTGGATTATTCATGAGTTTTCCAGGAAAGAGGTGGGGAATTCCTGGAAATGAGAGCTCCCCTTTTTAGACCATATAGGATAACTTCCTGATGTTGCCATGACATTTGTAAACTGTCACGGTGCTTGTGGGGTATCTCTTAGCATGCTAATGCATTATAATTAGTGTATAATGAGCAGCGAGGATGTCCAGAGGTTTGCTGTCATTGCCATCTTCATTTTGGCTGGCTTCTTTACTGTAACCTGTTTTATCAGCAAGGTCTTTGTTTTGTTTTGTTTTGTTTTTTTGAGATGGAGTCTTGCTCTGTCACCCAGGCTGGAGTGCAGTGGCATGATCTCGGCTCACTGCAACCTCCACCTCCCGGGTTCAAGTGCTTCTCCTGCCTCAGCCTCTCAAGTAGCTGGGATTACAGGCACCTGCTACCACACCTGGCTAATTTTTATATTTTTCATAGAGATGGGGTTTCTCCACGTTGGCCAGGCTAGTCTCAAACTCCTGATCTCAGGTGATCCGCCTGCCTTGGCCTCCCAAAGTGCTGGGATTATAGGCATGACCCACCGCGCCCAGCCTAGCAAGGTCTTTACGACTGTATCTTATGCCGACCTCCTAAGGTCCATCCTGTGACTTAGAATGCGTAACCTCTTGGGAATGCAGCACAGCAGGTCTCAGCCTTATTTTACCCATCCCCTATTCAAGATGGAGTCTCTCTGGTTCAAATGCCTCTGGCAAGACCAGGCTGGGCATGGTGGCTCACGCCTGTAATCCCAGCACTTTGGGAGGCCGAGGCAGGTGGACCACTTGAGGTCAGCAGTTGAAGACCGGCCTGACCAACATGGTAAAACTCTGTCTCTACTAAAACTACAAAATTAGCCTAGCATGGTGGCATGCACCTGTAATCCCAGCTACTTGGGAGGCTTAGGCAGGAGAATCACTTGAACCCCGGAGGCAAAGGTTGCAGTGAGCCAAGATCACACCACTGCACTCCAGCCTGGGCGACAAGAGCAAAACTCTGTCTCAAAAAAGAAAAAAAGTGTGAACCCCAAATGTCTGAGACAGTTCTCAGACAATTTAGGAAGTTTACTTTGCCAAAGTTAAGGATGTGCACCCATGACATAGCCTTGGGAGGTCCTGATGACACGTGCCAAGGTGGTCGGGGCACAGCTTGGTTTTATACATTCTAGGGAGGCATGAGACATCAATCAATATATGTAAGATGTACATTGGTTCCGTCTGGAAAGGCGAGACAACCCGAAGTGGGGAGGGGGCTTCCAGGTCACAGGTAGATAAGAGACAAAAGGTGGCTGGGCACGGTGGCTCATGCCTGTAATCCCAGGACTTTGGGAGACTGAGGCGGGCAGATCACCTGAGGTCAGGAGTTCAAGACCAGCCTGGCCAACACGGCAAAACCCCGTCTCTACTAAAAATACAAAAATTAGCTGGGCGTGGTGGCAGATGCCTGTAACCCCAGCTACCTAGGAGACTGAGGGAGGAGAATCGCTTGAACCTGGGAGGCAGAGGTTGCAGTGAGCAGAGATCATGCCACTGCACTCCAGCCTGGGCAACACAGCAAGACTCTGTCTCGGGGGAATAAAAAAAAAAAAAGGTTGCATTCTTTCCAGTTTCTGATTAGCTTTTCCAGAGGAGGCAGTCAGAAATGCATTTATCTCAGTGAGCAGAGGGATAACTTTGAGTTCTGTCTGTCCTTTGTCTACAAGGAAATTCCTTCTGAGCGACGTACGTAGCTTTTTTATCTTAGTAGGTTTTTTTTTTTTTTTTTTTGAGACAGTTTCCTTCTGTCACCCAGGCTGGAGCGCAGTGGCACAATCTCAGCTCACTGCAACCTCCGTCTTGTGGTTTGAAGCGATTCTCCTGCCTCAACCTCCCGAGTAGCTGGGATTATAGGCATGCACCACTACAACTGGCTAGTTTTTGTATTTTTAGTACAGATGGATGTCTCACCATGTTGGCCAGGCTGGTCTCAAACTCCTGACCTCAAGTGATCCTCCTGCCTCGGCCTCCCAAAGTGCTGGGATAACAGGTGTAAGCCACTGTACCCAGCCTTAGTAGCTGTCTGTTTCAGCAATAGAGTGGGAGGCAGGTTTGCCCTAAGCAGCTCCCAGCCTGACTTTTCCCCTTGGCTTAGTGATTTTGGGGTCTCAATATTTATTTTCCTTTCACAATTGCAGCTATTGCTATCATCCAATGCACTGGTACAGTTTTGAAGTTGCTCCAGATTGGCCTATAGATCTATTCCCAATTGCTGCTGAGGTTCAAAATATGGTTATCTTGTTGAGATATTCATAATCCATTTATTTATTAATGCAACAAACATTTAGTGTCTATGCCTCAGGCATCCTGCTTGGTGAGCTAGACAGTCAAGGTAACTGCCCTCAGCTGGGCGTGGCGGCTCATGCTTGTAATCCTAACACTTTGGGAGGCTGAGGCAGGAGGATCACTTGAGGCCAGGAGTTCAAGACCAGCCTGGATAACAGTGAGACACCATCTTTATAAATAATAATTTTTTTTTTGAGACAGAGTCTCACTTCGTCACTCAGGCTAGAGTGCAGTGGCACGATCTTGGCCCACTGCAACCTCCGCCTCCCAGGTTCAAGTGATTCTCCTGCCTTAGCCTCCCAAGTAGCTGGGATTACAGGCGTGCTCCCATGCCTACCTAATTTTTATATTTTCAGTACAGATGGGGTTTCACCATGTTGGCCAGACTGGTCTCGATCTCCTGACCTCAAATGATCTGCCTGCCTTGGCCTCCCAAAGTGCTGGGATTACAGGCGTGAGACACTGTGCCCGGCCAAAACAGTAAATTTTTTAAAAAGGTAACCAACTTAATAGACCTTATAGTTGAGTCGGGAAAGTCAACATTAAATAAATAATTACACCTGAAAACATATAATTATCAACTGTGCAAAGTGCAACAAGGGACAAGAACATAGTGCTCTAACAAAGAATGAGGGAGGCCTAGTTTAGATCAGCAAAGTGTGCAAATGGGTAGGGCATGGCCTCTCCACAGAAGTGTTATTTAACTGCAGGCCTTCATGTTCAAATGGGCTTTAGCTCAGCAGGGGAAGATACTTTTTTGTTTGTTTGTTCGTTTTTCAGACAGAGTCTTGCTCTTTCACCAGGCTGGAGTGCAGTGGCGCGATCTCAGCTCACTGCAACCTCCGCCTCCCGGGTTCAAGCAATTCTCCTGCCTCAGCCTCCCGAGTAGCTGGGATTAAAGGCACGCGCCACCACATCTGGCTAATTTTTGTATTTTTAGTAGAGACAGGGTTTTACCATGTTGGCCAGGATGGTCTTGATCTCTTGACCTCGTGATCCACCTGCCTTGGCCTCCCAAAATGCTGGGATTATAGGCATGAGCCACGGTGCCCAGCTGGGAAGAGGCATTTTAAGCAGAAAGAACTGCATATGCAGAGAGGGAAATTAATTTGCATGTTTAATGAACTGAATGGCCAGTATGACTGCAAAGCTAGTGAATAAGAGGCAGGGTCTGTTTCTATAATTCATTCTCTCCTTCACATTTCTTTTAATTAAAAAAAATTTTTTAATAGAGATGAGTTCTCACTATGTTGCTCAGGCTGGTCTTGAACTCCTGGGCTCAAGTAATCCTCCTGCCTAAACCTCCCAAAATGCTGGGATTACAAGCATGAGCCATTGTGCTCAGCTTCCCCTTCACATTTTTTTTTTTTAAAGACACAGTCTCACTCTGTCGCTCAGGCTGGAGTGCAGCGGCGGGATCTCGGCTCACTGCAACCTCTGCCTCTCGGGTTCAAGTGATTCTCCTGCCTTAGCATCCCGAGTAGCTGGGACTACAGGCGTGCACCACCACACCCAGCTAATTTTTGTATTTTTAGTTGAGATGAGGTTTCACCATGTTGGCGAGGGTGGTCCCGATCTGTAGACCTCATGATCCGCCACCTCCACCTCCCAAAGTGCTGGCATTACAGGCCTGAACCATTGCGCCCGGCCTCCTTCACATTTCTTGGGACTCCTCCTCTGGGCCAGGCCATGTTCAGGGAATAGGGTTATAGTGATTGATTAATAATAACAATGGCTAATATTCATTGAGTACCTACCATTTGTTATTAGAACTATTATTCTAAGCACTTTGATACATGAACTCATTTAAGCCTTTCTGCAACCCTATGACCTAGATGCTACTATTGTTTCCATTTCACAGATAGGGAAACTGAGGCATAGAGAAACTATGCAATTTTCAAGAGCATACAACCAGTAAGTGGGTAGAACCGGGATTAATCCAAGCCCACTGACTCCAGGACTCATAGGCATTTATACTCTTAACCACTATGATTCATGGGTGACTCTTGTCAAGGATTAGAGAACAGTAGTTATGGCCATATTAGCTACTCAAACAGTGCTTTGGATGTAGGCAGCTAGTTTAGAAAAGAATTTCCCAAATTTGTAAGATCATAAGAGCTCCCCTGCAGTGCTTGTTAAAAACAGATCATTTTCAGGCCAGGCACTGTGGCTCATGCCTGTAATCCTAGCACTCTAGGAGGCCCGGGTGGGTGGATTGCTTGAGCTCAGGAGTTCCAGATCAGCCTGGGCAACATAGTCAAACTCGTCTCTACTAAAAATACAAAGTATTAGCCAGGCATGGTGGCGCACGCCAATAGTGCCAGCCACTTAGGAGGCTGAGGTGGGAGAATCACCTGAGCCCAGGAGATCGAGACTGCAGAGATTGTGCCACTGCACTCCAGCCTAGGCAACCAGAGTGAGACCCTGTCTCAAAACAACAACAACAACAACAAAACACAGATCATTTTCATAGAGATTTGGATTCAATAGGTCCATTCTGGAATTTGTATTTTCAACACGTTTGACAAATGCTGGCTAAGTAGTTCACTACAATGGCTCTTGAGTTGAAGAGACACTAATTTGGTTACTCGCAGCTTTACTACCTCTCTAGATGTGTGTCACCTTGTGCAAGTTCGTTCATCTCTCTGAGCGTCAGTTTCCCCAAATGACGGATGCAGCTAATAACAGCACCACCTCCTAGGGCTGTAGTGGGGATTAAGTGAGCAGCGTGCAAAGTGCTTAGCGCCCTGCCTGGTGCATAGCAAGCAAAGATAATAACAGAAAGATGGTGGCAGCCACTGGGAAGTTCAGGCTGAGACAGTCTTCCAAGACGTCCACCTTTTCATCTTTTTTTTTTTTTTTTTTGTATTGGCAAGGTCTCTCGCCGTGTTGCCCAGGCTGGTCTCCAACACCTGGACTCAAGCGATCCTCCCTCCTTGGCCTCCCAAAGAGCTGGGGTTACAGGCGTAAGCCACCCCAGTGGCTCCTTCTGACTTTATGATAGAGTTGTCAGATAAAAAAAAATCAGGACGCTTCCATTCAAACCTGCAAAAAGAGAAAAATTTAAAAAAATTAGGACGCCCAGTTCAATTGGAATTTCAGATAATGAAAAAAAAATTTAACGTAAGTAGCTCCCAAATACTGCATAGGACATATTTATACCAAGTCAGTCATTCTTTAAAAAAAAAAATCTGAAATTCCAATTTAACCGGGAGTCCTGCATTTTTACTTGTTAAATCTAGTAACTCTGCCTTTAGGGAAGGACTGACCCCAAAGCCTTATCCCCGCCCACGCGTGCCCTAGACAGTCTCCACTCGCCAGGCGCGCAGGTCGATCCCAGAGGGGCCGCTGGCGCCTCCGCTCCGCCCAGGCAGCACTAGTGGCGCCCCGAGCCACCGGGCCCCTCCCCGTCCCGCCCCAGTCCCGCCCCGAGATCAAAGGGCGTCGCCCAAAGCGGGACAGGTCCAGCGGTTGTTCTGTGTGAAGTCGCGCGGCTTCCACCCACGCAGTGTTCTAAGTGAAGGCCAGAAACTCGCTCGCCATGTCGGCTGCAGAGGCGGGGGGTGTTTTCCACAGAGCCAGGGGCAGGACCCTGGCCGCGTTTCCCGCAGGTACTGCCCGCCCCTCACCCGGGGAGGGGACTCTGGGGCTGCGGAACCTTCCGCCGGGGGAACCTTTTGTTCAGGTGTGCGCTCCGCCAGTCGGACACCATCCGGGGCTGCACCGGGGCCTGGGAGCCGCCATAGCTGCATCAAAGCCTGCTCTTAGGGATTCCAGGGGCGCAGTTGAGAGGCGAGGCCGAGAGAGCGATCTGGTCTAGGAGCCTCCTTGGCCTTGACCTAACTTCCCCCAGAGAAGGGAAGTAAGAGGAGGGTAGCAAAGCATAGTTAATGACAGCTTGGACTCTGCAGCGAGACCTGGTTTCCAAGCTGTGCATTAGCATCTTGGCCTCAGCTTCCACATCTGTGAAACGGGAATACTTGTGGGTGTTACTGGATAAGCGTTCGGTGCATGTTAGAGGGTGTCGGTTTTATTAAGGTTGTTCACCGTTATGTATTCTGTACTCCATAATGACGTTTATTTAAGTCATTCACCGAAATGGTAACACTGCCCCATCAGAGCAGTAGAGAGGGAGGGCATTCGAGAGTCGTAGTGAAGTGCTTGGATTTTGGATTTAGATTATCTGCTTTGCCTTAAAAATGGGTTTGATAATACCTGCCTCATAGGGTTGTTGGAAGCGTAAACAGATCAAAAGTATTTTTGTAACCCGGTGTTGGACGCATGCTAGGTGCTAAGTAAAGAGGGAGGTTTGTTTCTGGTTTGTTGATTCCCCTCTGTGGCTTTTTGCTGCCTGCAGCCAGATCGCCTCCCAGGCTCTCACCAGCTTTATACCCCCAGGGAAGTCACCCTAAATGCCCTATATGATCAGGCTTGTGTCCACTTCCTTCAGGGTTGTCATTCTCTCTCTTGCCCAGTTCTGCAACAGGTTTTGTTGTTGCCCTTGTTTGAACTGCATTTAAAAGGGCCAAGGCCGTTCTTTCCCTGAGGGTCTTGGCGCTTGCTGTTTTCTGCTTCTTTAGCAGGGTTGGTGAGCCTGGCTCTCTCAACCGTCACACCTCATTTTAAAGTTCATTCACTTCCTCAGAGACTTTACCTGCTACCTTATCTAAAGTAGGTTTCTCCGGTAATTCTATGGTAAAACCTTATTTATTCATTTAAGGCGGAGTCTTGCTTTATTGCCCAGGCTGGAGTGCAGTGGCACGATCTTGGCTCACTGTAACCTCCGCCTCCCGGGTTCAAGCGATTCTCCTGCCTCAGCCTCTGGAGTAGCTGGAACTATAGGCACGCACCACCACGCCCGGCTAATTTTGTATTTTTAGTAGAGATGGGGTTTCTCCATGTTGGCCAGGCTGGTCTCGAACTCACAACATCAGGTGATCCGCCGTCCTCAGCCTCCTAAAGTGCTGGGATTACAGACCTGAGCCACCGCGCCCGGCCTGGGACGACTGTATTTTAATGGACCTTGTCTTTTTTGTCCAACATGAAGATTTTGCTCTTTTCTTGCTGGGCAACATTCCATTGGATGATTATATACCTTATACATTCTGTTGATGTATATGCTGAATATCTTCCCTTTGCCTCTCCAAACCTTTCTCCCTTCCCCACCATGCCCCAGGGGTTTGCCCTCCGTGAGCTACATCGGTGGGCTCCTTGCCTTTTGGTTTTCCTTTGGGCTCAGCCAGTGGGGAGCCCTGAGAAGAAATCAGAGCAGGGAGAGAAGCAAAAGGCAGCTGTATTTATTCTTGCAGTTTACTCTGTGGGGTTGCCTCGCCTGGCTGTCTTCCTCCCCACCCCTGAAGGTCAAGGTCGCTCCTTTTCTCAGGACAGCTTTTCTCCTCATTCTCTCTAGTTCTGGATTTGAGTAACCATTTCCTCCTTTGAGGCGTGGGAGTGGCAGTGGTTCTGCTTTTCTAACCTTGGGTTACCACACTCCCTTGTAGGTTTCGTCCACCCAACCCCCACCAAGTAATCCCTTTTTAAACCCTTTTTAAAATCATCCTAATTTGAGAATGCCAACTATTTCCTGCAAGGATCCTGACTAATACAATGGCCATTTAGTTGTTTCTGGTTTTTGCCCTTGGTAACAGTGCTGTTATGAACATTCTGTACAAATCTCTTTGTGGACACATGGGAGAGTTACTCTGAGGCATATACCTACAAGCTATGTTCTGGGTTATAGGGTATAATCATCCCCAGCATTACTAGATGTGGTCAAACTGCCTTCCAAAGTGGTAGTGCCAATTTATACTCCCACCAGCAGTATATGAGAGTTCCCTGTTACTCTGCTGTATTATTTTTTTTTTCAGTTCAAGAAATATTTGTTGTGGGCTGGCTGCGGTGGCTCACGCCTATATATTTGTTGAGGGCCGGCCGCGGTGGCTCACGCCTGTAATCCCAGCACTTTGGGAGACTGAGGCGGGTGGATCACCTGAGGTCAGGAGTTCGAGACCAGCATGGTCAACATGGTGAAACTCCATCTGTACTAAAAATACAAAATTAGCTGGGTGTGGTGGCACATGCCTGTAGTCCTAGCTACTTGGGAGGCTATGGCAGGAGAATTGCCTGAGCCTGGGAAGCAGAAGTTGCAGTGAGCCGAGAATGTGCCACTGCACTCCACCCTGGACAACAGAGCAAGACTCCAGCTCAAAACAAACAAACAAAAAAACCGAAAGGAAATAAATATTTCTTATATTCCTATTGCACTGTCCAGTATGGTGGAGAATAGGAAGTTGGGGGCGGGGGAGTGGTTCAAGTTACATGCTCTCAGAGGCTTGTAATAATCCAGGTACAAAGCTAGGGCACAAAAAATAATGCTTGGCTACTGGTGGGCTCTGAGGTCATTCACGCAGGGTTTCCCTGAGGAAGTGTTGCTTCGTCTGATTGCTAAAAGAGGAGTATGAGTTAACTGGGCCACGAAGGGAGGGAAGACCATGTGGACCATGGGCAGAGCAAGTGTGAGAGTCCTAGGACATGGCAGGATGGGAAAGGGAAGGATGAGGGCTGAAGGAAGTCTCTGAGTCTGGAGCAGAAAGATGAGGTTGGGACATGGTGTGGGCTGAGGCTGGAGAGGGAGGTGGTGGTAACTAAGGATTTTTGTCGTGTCCTAATAGCATCAAGAGGTTTCAAGCTGGATGTGTGAGGAAGCAAGGATGTATGATCAGATTTTTATTTTGAAAAGAGTGGTCTGATTGCAGCAATGGCAACAAAAGCATTTCTACTTTAGAGCAACTTGGGATGCAATCCAGTTGGAAGCTGGAGCTCAAGGATTTGTCCAGAGGCTGCATTTCTGTAGTCCCCCATGGTTTACTTTTTTTTTTTTTTTTTTGAGACAGAGTCTAGCTCTGTCACCCAGACTGCAGTGCAGTGATGCTACTCACTGCAACCTCCACCTCCCACGTTCAAACGATTCTCCTGCTTCAGCCTCCCGAGTAGCTGGGATTACAGGCATGTACCACCATGCCCGCTAATTTTTGTGTTTTTAGTAGAGACAGGGTTTCGCCATGTTGGCCAGGCTGGTCTGGGACTCCTGACCTCAGGCACCTCGGCCTCCCAAAGTGCTGGGATTTACAGGCATGAGCCACCGCACTTGGCCCCCATTGTTTACTTTGAATGTGTTTATTTGCTGTAGCTGGAGGTGCCTATTGGGCACGGGGTGTCTTTCAGTGGAGATGGTGGGAGTGCTGAGGTATAGTAGCTTCCTAGGCCATTGCAGCTGCCAGGGGGCCACCACTGGGACCAGAGGATCAGAGAGCAGCTCCCCTGGATAAGAATGGGGATGCTGGAGAGAGACTTGATGATAAATCTATAAGATACCTACCCTGCTGATAGGAGGAGAGAGTGACTCTGAACTTTTCTTAGCCCCGAGTAAATCTAGAAGTGGGGCCAGCACTTGATCTCCTCTGTGAGCCATGCAGTCCCATAGACACACCCAGGATGGGTCATTTAACGGAGGGCCTAGAGAGGCCCAGCCTCAGAGTGTTCTGCTGAGAACCCCAGGTTTGTGGGTTCACATTACTAGGTGCTGAACCCTAGCCTACCATTGCTGCTTCCATTGCACTCATTGACAATTCCCCGGGGTCCTGACTCTATTAGCATCGCTGGCAACTTGGAGAGGTGCCCTTAGAGGCATCAGAGGCCTCTCCAGACTCCTTGGGAAGCCAGTAGATTTGCCCCTTGGGCAGACTGAGAAAGTTAAAGAACTAGCTTTTCGAGGCTGGGAGCAGTGGCTTACGCCTGTAATTCCTGCACTTTGGGAGGCCGAGGCAGGTGGATTGCTTGAGGCCAGGAGTTTAAGACCAGTCTGGCCAACATGGCGAAACCCCATCTCTACTAAAATTAAAAAAATTAGCCGGGTGTGGTGGCAGGCACCTGTAATCCCAGCTACTTGGGAGGCTGAGGCAGGAGAATCACTTGAACCTGAGAGGCGGAGGTTGCAGTAAGCCAAGATTGCCCGCTGCACTCTAGCCTAGGAGACAGAGTGATGACTGTGTCTCAAAAAAAAAAAAAAAAAAAACTGACTTTTCCCCTTCTCTTGCCAAAACACACACCATCAAAGGGGTTTGATTAACTCAAGCAACAGTCCCTAAAAATCACAGCTCTGAACCCTTCACCTTTGCTGCAGAATCAGCTCATTGAGCAGTTTGTTTTCCAAGTGTAGCCTGCCAATTAAATGAAAGAGCGCTTTGCTTTAAGACCCATTTCCTCCCACCGGTGATTTACGTGAGTAACAGTATTCCCATCAACTCCTTCCAGTAGTGGTATGTGTGACACTTGGTTTCAGTCATCCGTTCCCTGTTAACATAATGTGCTAGGCTCTGTTGACGGATGTTGATTAAAAAAAATTGTACATGTCTCACCTGAGAAAGCTCACATTCCTAAGGCATGTTCAGATATTCATTTTAATTAGGCAAATTGATAATTAGGTTTTCTTGACACATATCCTAATTAGGACTACTTTCTTCTAGTAATTGTCTTTTGAGAAGTTTATGGCTTCTGTTTTGAAGAAATCCTAAAAGGGAGAGAGATCAAGATAAAATATGCTTTTAAAGTGACTTAATTATTTTTAGGTCTGAATCTGTTTTTCCAGTTTGATATTTTCCCTTCAGAGAACTGGACTAATGGGTGGTATTCTTAAAAAGATTATTTTCCCAGACATTTCATTCCTAAGAAGCTGATGGAATTTGCTAATCCTGAATCTTTCCTTGTACTCTCTGGAAAACTTCTCCCTTGGCAGAGAATAGTGTCAGTAAAAAAATAACTCACTCTGTCTCTTGCAGGTCTCACCTAAGAACTTTTCTAGAAATAGTAGACCTGGAAAGGTATCTCCAAGTTTGAACAAAGTTGAAAATATTGTGGTTTTAAAAATTCTAACAGGATGATGATGATGAAATAAATGCTTTAAATTGTGCCATACATTTAGGCCAAACTAGTTATCTCTTATTTGAGATATATTTGAAGGTCCTCTTATTTGAGAGTTCCTGTGAGTAAATAGGGCTTATGATTACTTTCTCAACTCTTTGTTGTAATCATCAGTCAAGGGATAGAGTGACCAGCACACATATGTAAAAAGTTTGCACTATAACATTTCCAGAAAACACAATTAATTTTATTTTTGAATGTCGGGGTTTTTCATTTTCAAAAATTTATTTATTTATTTATTGTATTTTATTTCTTTTGAGGTGGTCTTGCTCTGTCACCCAGGCTGGAGTACAGTGGTGTGATCATGGCTGATTTGCAGCCTCAACCTGTGGTGCTTAAGTGATCCTCCCACCTCAGCCTCCTGAGTAGCTGAGACTACAGGCGTGCACCACCATGCCTGGCTAATTTTTAAGTATTTTTTTGTAGAGACAAGGTCTTACTGTGTTGTCCAGGCTGGTCTTGAACTCCTGAACTGAAGCTATCCTCCCACCTCAGCCTCCCAAACTGTTAGGACAAGCTTGTCCAACCCATGGTCTGCTGGCCACATGTGGCCCAGGATGGCTTTGAATGTGTCCCAGCACAAATTCCTAAACTTTCTTAAAAGTTCGGAATTTTTTGCCATTTTTTTTTCAAGCTCATCAGCTATCATTAATGTTAGTGTATTTCATGTGTGGCCCAAGACAGTTCTTCCGTTGTGGCCCAGGAAAGCCAAAAGATTGGAAATCCCTGTGCTAGGATTACAGGTGTGAGCCACTGGGCCTTGCCTGCTTTAAAATTTTTTTTGGAGACAGGGTCTTACTCTGTCACCTATGCTGGAGTGCAGTGGCATGATCTCCGCCCACTGCAGCCTCCCCCTCCTGGGCTCAAGCCATGCTCGATCCTCCCACCTCCACCTCCTGAGTAGCTAGGAACAGAGAAGGTGCTACCACGCCTGGCTGATTTTTATATTTTTTGTAGAGACAGTTTCGCTGTGTCACTCAGGTTAGTCTTGAACTCTTGGACCCGAGCAATCCTCCTGCCTTAGCCTCCAAAAGTGCTGGGATTACAGGCATGAGCCACCGCACCTGGCCTAAATTTTTTTAATAACTTTCTTGAGGTATAATTTATGTACCATAACATGCATTTTAAGTTTACAACTCAAGGGATTTTATTAACTTTAGAGTGGTGTAGTCACAATCTAACTTTAGCACATCTCTACCTTCCCAAAAAAGTGGTTTTATACCCACTTGCAAGTCTCTTCATGTTGCCACTCCCAGCACAGGCAACTGCTAATTTACCTCCATAGATGGGCCTTTTCCGGACATTTCATGTTAATGGAAAAATATGTGGTCTTTTGTGACTGGCCTCTTTGTGGTAGCATAAGGTTTCTGAGGCTCACTTATTTTGTAGCTTGAACCAATACTTTGTTCCTTTTTACTAAATGATATTCCATTGTATAGATAACCCATTTTGTTTATCCGACCACCTATTGATAAACATTTGGACATTTTTTTTTTGACACTGATGGACATTTCACGCATCTGGGTACCTCTTGTCTATTGGGAATAAAGCTGCTATGAACAGTCACAGACACATCTTCTTAAGGGTATTTGTTCTCATATCTTTTGGGTAGATACCTAGGATTGGAATTGCTGAGTCATACGGTAACTATGTTTAATATTTTGAGGAACCACCAAACTATTTTCCAAAGCAGATGCGCCATTTTACATTCCCACCAGCAGTGTATATGGGTTCCAGTTTCTCCATATCCTTGCCAACATTTCTTATTGCCACTCTTTTTTATTATAACCATCCAAATCGGTGTGAAGTAGTATCTCATTGTGAGTTTTTTTTGTTGTTTTTTTGAGACAGAGTCTCACTCTGTCGCCCAGGCTGGAGTGCAGTGGCATGATCTCGGCTCACTGCAAGCTTTGCCTCCTGGATTCAAGCGATTCTCCTGCCTCAGACTCCCAAGTAGCTGGGATTTCAGGTGCACACAACCACACCTGGCTAATTTTTGTATTTTTTAGTAGAGATGGGGTTTCACCGTGTTGGCCAGGCTGGTCTGGAACTCCTGACCTCAGGTAATCCACTTGCCTCAGCCTCCCA
The DNA here is from genome assembly GCF_000001405.40 of Homo sapiens. Classification (NCBI taxonomy): domain Eukaryota; kingdom Metazoa; phylum Chordata; class Mammalia; order Primates; family Hominidae; genus Homo; species Homo sapiens. Next base: position 12,796,250 of record NC_000016.10, on the reverse strand, counting down.
AAGTGCTGGGATTACAGGCATGAGCCACAGTGCCTGGCCAGTTGTATGTTTCTTCTTGTGACTTTGCTGTCTTTTTCTACCTGTACACTATAAATTCTTGAGGAGCAAGAAGCCCAGACCTAGGATGGTGTCTAGCAGTAGTAGACACTCAGTGGCTTTTTTTTTTTTAAGACAAAGTCTTGCTCTATCGCCCAGGCTAGAGTGCAGTGGCGTGATCTTGGCTCACTGCAACCTCTGCTTCCTGGGTTCAAGTGATTCTCCTGCCTCGGACTCCCAAGTAGCTGGGACTACAGGTGCATGCCACTGCACCTGGCTAATTTTTGTGTTTTGGTAGAGATGGGATTTTACCATGTTGGCCAGGCTGGTCTTGAATTCCTGACCTCAAGTGAACTGCCCACCTTGGCCTCTTGAAGTGCTGGGATTACAGGCCTAAGCCACCACGCCTGGCCTCAGTGACCATTTAATATTGAGTAAATGGATGAGTATGAATGAATACACTCCACCTGGGTCACCTGGGTGTATCTGTCCAACCCACTGCTCTCATGTACCATGGAGTCTCCGGACTAAACAAAGCTGAGACCAAGGTGTTGATCAAACCAATAGAAGTTGTTGGCTGGGTACAGTGGCTCACGCCTGTAATCCTAACACTTTGGGAGGCTGAGGCGAGTGGATCGCTTGAGGTCAGGAGTTTGAGACCAGCCTGGCCAACATGGTGAAACCCCATCTGTACTAAAAATACAATGATTAGCTGAGCATGGTGGCTGGCACCTGTAATCCTAGCTACTCTGGAGGCTGAGGCAGGAGAACTGCATGCGCCTGGGAGGCGGAGTTTGCAGTGAGCCAAGATCATGCCACTGTACTCCAGGCTGGGCCACAGAGCGAGACTCTGAAAAAAAAAAAAGTTGCATGACTACACCAGGTGGCTGTGCACTGTGTGCACTACTCCAGAGCATCTAGAGGCAGAGGTTTTGCCTACCAGGTGGGTGCCCTCACATGGAGCACATCTGCCCGGGGGAAGGGTTACCTTCTCTTTGCATCTGGGGCTTCTGTTAGCCTGGCCATGTGCCTACACAGCTGCTTCTGCCCAGAGAAGGCGCCTTCTACCAGTTCTTCCCAGAGTGCTGCCTGGGACAGCAGCTGCCTGCTGTCTTGTTAGGGAAATGGGAAAAAAAATAACAGCAAATATCCACCAAAACCAGGCAAACCCCAAGTGGAGTTCTGCTCTTGAAAAGTGAGAGAGGTTCTGGAAATGTCTTTTCCCCTCTTTAACCGTTGTCTCGAATGGCGTCAGCCAAAGCCAGTGATGCCAAAAGCCGCCTGGCCACGAAGTCCCAGCCCATCTGCTTTCTTAGTTCTCTGAAGAGTTGCAGATAAAGATTTTGGAAGGACGGCCATTGTGGCAGCCAAGCCATGACTCAGAATCTTTTGTGTGTCTCAAAAACTGCCTTTTGGATGCATTTAGGCCAAGAAAAGAGAGGTTGGGTAAATTTACCTTTGTACAGGTTGAGCATCCCTATTGCAAAATGCTCTAAGATCCGACCGAAACTTTTTGAGCACTGACTTGATGATCAAAGGTCATGCTCAAAAGCATTTCGGATTTCAGATTTTACAGATTAGGAATGCACTACCAGTTTGCATATGCAAATGTTCCAAAATCTGAAAAAAGTCTGGAATCTGAAACTCTTCTGGTCCCAAGCATTTCAGATAAGAGATATGCAACCTGTACTTAGGACAAGTCATTTGGAGACTCTTGAGGATATTGCTGTCACAGTTAATTATTTTGGGGGTGGGGGGAGGGACAGGGTCCTGAAGGACACTATTTTTTTTTTTTCCTTTAACAACTGTTAGCATACCCTACAGTTCACCATGTGAATTGTTAATTAAATAATATTTACCACTTTGGGCTTCTTTCTGATTCAACAGTGTAAATGTGTACAATTCAGTGGCTTTTAGTGTATTCACAGAGGTGTACAACCATCACAATCAATTTTAGAACATTTTCCTTAATCCAAGAAGAAACCCTGCACCCCGTGCTGAAACTGCCCCCAAAGACCCCCAACCCCTAAACAGCCACTAATGAAGGACACTCTTATCTGCTGCATACCATTCTGGCAGCTTCACAGTGGGGACATTACGATTGTTAAGTCAGAAAGAGTCCCAAAGTGGTAAATATTGTTTAGCTACTCTTTGGTGTGTGATTTTTTTTTTTAAACTGCTGAAATAAGATTAGTCCCCAGAGCAGTTGAAGGGTATTGCTGGAGACATTTAGATTGTGATTCACTATGCAGATTGCTATTGTGAGAAACTGCAAAAATTGCATTTTGTTGCCATTTGCTCTTTAGCTAGAAAGCCTGCAGGCGGCTGTGAAGCTTCCCATCTTTCCTGCTTTATAACCAAAGCAATATCCACAGTATATAAAGGAAAAGATGTTAAGACCAAAGCATGTAAATATATATGTGTCTCTCATCAGATGTTTTCTCAGCCCCACCATGTGCTGTGGGAACCAAGAGATAGGTGAGTCTTTAAAAAGCCTGTCTCTGCTAAGATAAGGGTAGGGGTTACTGTGAATGGTAGTCATGGCACGAGTAACTCACTTTTGACCACTTGCTCTGTGTCTAGTCCAAATGCTTTACATGTTTTAAGTCATTAATTCTTCTCAACAACCCTTTTGAGGTAGGAGCTGTTATTCCTACTGTGCAGATAAGGAGACTGAGTCCCAGAGAGGTTCAGGAACTTGCATCATGTCACGTAGCTGGTAAAGGGTAGAAATGGGAGTTGAACTTGGGCACTCAGGCCTCAGTCTGAGCTCCACTGGAACTCAGTTAAGGGTTTCAGGAGATAGAGGCCCAAAGTCTGTTGTCAGCATGGTCTATCCCCGCCTCCCGCTCCAGCCTTCTGGTGACTTAGGGTCTGGGTACTTGCAGTGCCCCCTCCCTGGAGCGCGTCTCCACAGCCCCACCCACTGGCCACTCTGTCTTGCAATCAGCCTGATGACCCTGCAGTTGTAAAGAGCGAAGTGTGTAATTGACTTGTGTAACTAACTTAGTTATTTGCTTGTTTGTTGTGCATCTCCCCCGCTATCGTGTAAGGTTTTAAGGAACAGGATCCATCAGCATTGCTCACTGTTGAATGTCCAACCACTGACAGCCAGTGCCATAGAGCAGGTGCTCAGAACATACCTGCTTGAATGAGTGAAGGAGGCCAAGCTGCATCTGCCTACAGGGCAGGGAGCATTTGAGCTGGCAGGGAAGGGTAGAAGGGATTTCAGCAGGAAGAGTTGGTGGAATGGAGAGCGTATACCAGAAAGAGGAGGGGAAGTGTACTAATCCGTTCTCATGCTGCTAATAAAGACAGACCCAAGACTGGGTAATTTATAAAGGAAAGAGGTTTAATGGACTGACACTTCACATGGCTGGGGAGGCCTCACAATCATGGGGGAAGACAAAGGAAGAGCAAAGGCATGTCTTACATGGTGGCAGGCAAGAGAGCGTGTGCAGGGGAACTGCGCTTTATAAAACCATCAGATCTCGTGAGACTTATTCACTATCATGCGAACAGCATGGGAAAGACCAGCCCCCATGATTCAGTTACCTCCCACCAGGTCCTTCCCATGACATGTGGGAATTATGGGAGCTACAATTCAAGATGAGATTTGGGTGGGGACACAGCCAAACCATATCAGGAAGTATAGGGTGTGTTGGAGAAGCAGATAGTGGTCTATCTGGGGGGATTCCTGTGGTATGTCTTAAACAGGGTTTTTCAACCCCCCAGCATTGTTGATGTTTATGGGCTGGATTTTGTTGTGGGTTCCTGTCCTGTGCATTATGAGATGTTTAGCAGCATCTCCAGCCTTTATCCACTGGATTCCAGCAGCACCACCCACTTCCCAGTGTGATACCTCAAAATGTCTGTAGACATTGTTATGTGTCAGAATCATCCCTGGTCTGATGGGACTACAGCCACTGGTCCATCAGGACCAGTGAGATACAGCTGGAAGAGGCCAGGCATAGCGGTTCAGGCCTGTAATCCCAGCACTTTGGGAGGCTGAGGCAAGTGGATCACTTGAAGTCAGGAGTTTGAGACCAGTCTGGCCAACATGGTGAAACCTCATCTCTACTAAAAATACAAAACATTAGCTGGGTGTGGTGGCGCACTCCTGTAATCTCAGTTGTTCAGGAGGCTGAGGCAGGAGAATTGCTTGAACCTGGGGGACGGAGGTTGCTTTGAGCCAAGATCGTGCCACTGCATTTCAGCCTGGGGGACAGATCAAGACTCCATCTCAAAAAAAAAAAAAGATACCGCTGGAAGAACTTTGGGCCCCTTTAGGCCCAAGTGCTAGAATGAGTGGATGAGTGGGGATCCATTGATGTCTTCATCCATTTCTTCACCAAATATTGACTGATGCCTGCCACGTGCCAGACTCAATAATAAAAGCTGCTGATATGCCAGAAAGGGAATGCAAACGTGGGCCTGCCCTGGAGCTTTCAGGATGGTGGCTCTGTAGCCAGGAATTTGATGATCTGGTTAAGGGGTTGGGAAGAGACATAATGGCAGCAACTGCCTGAGATGGACTGGAGTAGGGAGAGCTGCAGGGAGCCATCCTGCCAGCCTCCTTCTCCCAGGTGGGAACCATGAATACCTGGCCCAAGAGTAGTTGGTGATGGGAACGGTAAGGTGGGGCTGCTGCAGGGATGTTGTAGACGTGGAATGATGCAACTTGGCTGTCTACATGCACAGGATGACACATGATCTTAAGATCTGTAGACTGGGGGACTAGGGATGATGGTGGCAAAATTAGCAAGATCTAGGGAGGGAGCCAGTCTTAAAGAAAGATGTGCAGCCATAGAAAAGAATGAGCTCATGTCCTTTGCAGGGACACAGATGAAGCTAGAAGCCATCATTCTCAGCAAACTAACACAGGAACAGAAAACCAAACACCGCATGTTCTCACTCATAAGCAGGAGTTGAACAATGAGAACACTTGGACACAGGGAGGGGAACATCACACACCAGGGCCTGTTGGGAGGTCGGGGGCAAGGGGAGGGAGAGCATTAGGACAAATACCTAATGCATGCGGGGCTTAAAACCTAGAGGACGGGTTGATGGGGCAGCAGACCACCATGGCACATGTATACCTATGTAACAAACCTGCGTGTTCTGCACATGTATCCCAGAACTTAAAGTAAAATTAAAAAAAAAAAAAAGATGATGGATTTGCCTGTGGAAGTGTTGAATTTAAGATCCTGATGGGACAAGCTGGGAGCTTGGACATGTCCAGAAAAACAGACATACTAATACTATGTTCTACTCTTTTTTTTTTTTTTTTTTTTTTGAGATAGAGTCTTGCTCTATCACCAGGCTGGAGTGCAGTGGTGTGATCTGCAGCCTCCGCCTCCAAGGTTCAAGCAATTCTCCTGCCTCAGCCTCCCGAGTTGCTGGGACTACAGGTGCATGCCACCATGCCTGGCTAATTTTTATATTTTTAGTAGAGATGGGGTTTCACCATGTTGGCCAGGATGGTCTCGATCTCTTGACCTCATGATCCAACCCCCGCCCCGCCACTCGGCCTCCCAAAGTGCTAGGATTACAGGCGTGAGCCACCGCGACCGGCCAATGTGACTTTTCTTATGAAAATCAAGTTAAGAAAGCTATTTATCATTGTATTCTACCGTGAATTATTTGAGGTTGCATACAAGTAACAGGTTTAGCACATCATGAGAGCAGAAATTATTATAATGTTAGGTATTACTTAATAACGTGGCTGGCCCCCAGGCCTTTTCCTAGTTGAGTGATGAAAACAGTGATTCATTTGCTTTTGGGGGCACCTTCATTATAGTTAGTCATTGCTTAACTGGTAATAGTGAAAAAATCAATAAAATTTCTAATTCTTGGTATATATTAAAAAGTCAGCTTTCATTAACATTGACAAATATGCCTAAAAGGGATAATAAAAATGAGAGAGGAAATGTATTAGCAGAGACAAATCCAAGAAAACATTTAGTTTGTGATTTTAAAAGTTCAGCGGTAAAGAGCAATTGCAATTTGAATATCTGTCTTTCAGGCAGGATATTGGCACATAAACAGAGGCTCATAGGAAAGATTAATGGTAAAGCATTGCGTGAATTCTTCCAGGTTTTTAAGATTCTTCTCTGAGTGCAATTGCTTTGCACCTGATAATGTTTAAAGAAAACCTACAGGCCTTTCTGTCCTTAGCTTGATATTACCCAAAATTCACTGTGTATTTATCCCTCAGTTTTGAAATATGGTTTCTGTGACAGTCTTTTATAAGTTAGCCGAAATGTGGAAGTGGCCAGATCTTGTTATTCTCTATACAACAGGTGACTCTGATTTCTAAGGTCAATTTTTCATTTAAAAGTGTTTCAAAGTTAATTTTATAATTCGATTTAGAAAATTATGGCAACCAGGCTGGATGCAGTGGCTCATGGCTGTAATCCTAGCACCTTGGGAGGTCAAGGTGAGCTGATCACTCGAGCTCAGGAGTTCTAGACCAGCCTGGGCAACATGGTAAAACCCCGTCTCTACCAAAAATACAAAAAATTAACCAGGCATGGTGTCGCGCACCTGTGCTCCCGTCGACTCCAGAGGCTGACGTGGGAGGATCACTTGAGCCCGGGAAGTGGAAGTTGCAGTGAACCAAGGTCATGCCACTGCACTCCAACCTGGGTGACAGAGTGAGACCCCATTAAAAAAAATTATGGTAACTCATTAGCTTATTTTTCTTTTTTCCTGGCTTGTTGTTTGGCTAGACCTAGGCATTCCTGGCTTGGATATGTCTTCTCTATAGTAATTTCAGCTGTCCTGAAATGTGGGCGAGTGATGTCTGTGGCAGAATTTGCAAAGGTGGGGGCCTGGTTTGCCCCTTAGCCTTTGTAGATTTCAGTCAATGTATTTTCCTTTGCTGGGTCTCCTCTTCCTCACCTCTAAGCAAAATGGAAAGATTACCATAGATAAGGGTTTGTCATTGCAGATGCCAACAGCAGCCAGGTGGTAAATTGGGCCAGGTGGGGACTGTGGCAAATTTGAGAGCACAAACCCCATGTGAAGGCACAACCACTGTACAGACCCAGAGAGTCACTAGCATGCTTCATTTGGGTCTGATGTGGCCAGATTTTCCAAGAGAATCCAGAAAGCCAGGTATATTTATGAAACTCATGAATTAAAAAGGTTGGCAACAAATTCAGAAGTTTATAAACGCTGCCTGGGCCCAACAGCACACATCTGCTAAGCAGACCTCATCCACAGACGTCGAGTTTGTAATCTCTGGAAGAGATCACCACTGAGCACTCACAGGAGACAGATGTCTGGGTCCCCGCCTGTGCCTCAAATCAACCCTGTGCTATTGGCAGGGACCCTGAACATCACGGCCGACCAGGGAAAAGCTCTGGGTCTTGCCATCATTGTCTTTGTGTACAGCCCATTTATCAAGACGTTCCATTTGAAGGAAACTTTTTGGAGAGAAGATGTCAGTATTGAGGTGGATAACTTGAGGGAAGCCCAGAGCATGTTCTGTCTTCATCATGGCTCTCACCACTCCAGGCCATCCAGCCCAGCAGCACTGAGGTTCTGAATAGCTCTTGGGTAGAAGTTGCTGGGTCTTTATTGTGTGACCTTGAACTTGAGGCATGCCTAAGCCCCATCTCCCTTCCCCCTCACTACCCAGACCTCAGCATCTCCCCCTTGGTTTAATGAAAGGCTGGTTACAGTAACTCTGAGAGTCCTTCCAGCACTGACAATTTCTAGTACTTAGGTAGGAAAAGGCGGGCTTCTGTGAGTTAAGCCTTCTGATCTCACCAGGATGAGCTACAATAAATGGCCTTATTGAGTGCAGTACTGGAAGGTCAGGTACAAATGTGACATTAACTGAGATAAGTTAAGTATGTGAGACTAGCCCTCAGGTTTATATTACCATCCATGGCTGACTCTCAGCTGAGCCCAGTGATTTCACCTCCAGGTGTTCATGCTTTGTGTGATCCCCTGCCCTTAAGGTGGGCTGCCCTGGTAACTTGATTGTAATGAGCAGAACACAGCAAAAGTGATGGGGTGTTAATTCCATCATGATGTTATATAAGATTGTAGCTTCCATTTGCTAGCAGACCCTCTGCCTTGTGTGGTTCGATGAGGCAAGTCTCCATATTGCAAGCTGCCATATTGGAGAGGCCCATATGGCAAGGAACTGAAGGCATCCTCCAGGCAGCAGCCAGTGAGGAACTGAAGCCATCAGTCCTACAACCTACAAGGAGCTGAATCCTACTAACCACTATGTAAGTGAGCTTGGAAACGGATCCTGCCCCATGTGAGTCTTCAGATGAGACCTCAGCATTGACCAACACTTCTGTTGCAGCTTGTGAGAGACCTTGCAGAGGACCAGCTAAACCATGCCAGACTCCCACAGAGGCTATAAGATAATAAATGTGGGTTGTTTGAAGCTGATACATTTGTGGTAGTTTGTTACACAGCAGTAGACAGCTAAATTAACTTCTCTATGAATCTGTCAAAAAATTAACGTTGAAAAAGTTAAATTCGCTGGCCAGGTGTGGTGGCTCATGCCTGTAATCTCAGCACTTTGGGAGGCTGAGACGGGCAGATCACGAGGTCAGGAGTTCAAAACCAGCCTGGCCAACATAGTGAAACCCCATCTCTACTAAAAATACAAAAATGAGCCAGGTGTGGTGGCACATGCCTGTATAATCCCAGCTGCTCAGGAGGCTAAGGTGGGAGAATCACTTGAACCGAGACGCAGAGGTTGCAGTGAGCTGAGACCACGCCACCGCACTGCAGTCTGAGTGACAGAGTGAGACTCCATCTCAAAAAAAAAAAAAAAAAAGAAAGAAAAATTCATTCTGGATATTCTTATTCATAACAGATATAGGTGTTTTAATTAAATAAATGTATGTTTTTACCACGTATGAACACTAAATACCCTATAGGCATTATCCAGAGCTTTGTATGAGTTGTTTCCAAAGTTTATAGTCTTGTTTTGATATCATCTGGGTCAGAAATGAGATCTTAATCAATTCTTTTTTCTTTTATTCCTTCCACACATATTTGTCTCAAAATTTGACCTTGGTTTTCATCATAGTCATCAGTTAGGGCCCCTGACTGGGTTAATTTTTTTAAGTCAATTTGGGAAGAAAAATACAGACTTCTCTGTTGTGCACTGGAAAACGTGTATGTATGTGTGTGTGTACGTATGGGTGTACACATACATGTGTGCTATATACTCATACTTGGTAATGGGTGCTTTTTCCATGAAGTCATGTAGTAATAAATTAGAACATACTAATTAGTAATGGATTCCCTGATTAACTTCTTACTTTTGAGATGGAGTCTCTCTCTGTCACCCAGGCTGGAGTGCAGTGGCACGATCTCGGCTCACTGCAACCTCCACCTCCCAGTTCAAGAGATTCTCCGGCCTCCTGAGTAGCTGGGACTACAGGCGCATGCCACCATGCCTGACTAATTTTTGTGTTTTTAGTAGAGACGAGGTTTCACCATGTTGGCCAGGATGGTCTTGATCTTTTGACCTCGTGATCCACCCGCCTCGGCCTCCCAAAGTGCTGGGATTACAGGTGTGAGCCACCATGCCCAACCCAACTTCTTACTTTTCAAAGAATCTTGACACTTAGTTTTGCAAGGCAATGTAAAGGGTGATGACTAGATAGTAATGAATAATACAGAGAAATAAGAAATATTTAGGGCCAAATCCATGACCTGTACATAGGCAGAGACCTAACAATGACCAGAGAAGTATGCAAAACCAAACCAAAACAAAATAAAAAATATACCACCACTAACAACCTGAACAAAGCCCCTCTGAAGTGTTAGTTTAAGGAAACGAAAGTCACTGTGCTTCTGTTTCTCCTCCAACCCATGTAAGTTGCAGGCCACTCGAGTTCCTTGGTTAGTTGTATGTAGGCTGGTGCTTCCCAAATTTGGATGTGCGCATAGGTCACCCCGGGGTTCAGTAAAATGCAGATCCTCACCCAGTGGATCTGGGCTGGGGCCAGAGATTCTGCATTGTGAATGTGCTCCCAGGCGACGCTGATGTCACACCTGGAGGAATAAGGCTGTGGCCCAGCCCTGCCATCTCTGTGCCATGAGCAACCTGCTGCTTTCTGCTGTCAGGTAACCCTCACCTTGTCCCTCTTCATCAGGCTCATTGCCAGGCTAGTTCTCCTCGTTAATTAGCATTGTCAGGCATGTACTGTTTGACCGAGTAATCTCATATTTAAGCTAGGAAAGGTAGGGGGAAAAAACTGGACCCCTGAGTGTCTTTTGGTTTTTTTTTTTTTTCCAGTAATGACAAATACTGTCATACTCAGAGTGCTTCAGGAGTGGACCTCAGTTTATCCATACTTCCATGGCTCAAGTTGCTAAAAGAGTGCTTCCAGAGGGTTTCCAGAAAAGCTGGACTGTGCCTGGGGACTGTACCCTGGGGGTAACTCTGGGCTTTGGTGAAATAATTTTAATGCAAGTATTGTTAAGAGGTCACTTTCATCTGAGTGTGGTGGCTCATGCCTATAATCCCAGTACTTTGGGAGTCCAAGGCCAAGGCGGGCAGATCATTTGAGGCCAGGAGCTTGAGACCAGCCTGGCCAACATGGCGAAACCCCGTCTCTACTAAAACTACAAAAATTAATCAGGTGTGGTGCTGCATGCCTGTAATCGCAGCTACTCGGGAGGCTGAGGCATGAGAATCACTTGAGCTTGGGAGGCAGAGATTGCAGTAAGCAGAGATTGCAGCATTGCACTGGAGCCTAGGTGACAGAGGGAAACTTTGTCTCAAAAAAAAAAAAAAAAAAAGAATTCACGTTTGTCTGGGTGTGGTGGCTCATGCCTGTAATCCCAGCACTTTGGGAGGCTGAGGCAGGAGGATCGCTTGAGCATGGGAGAACAAGGCTGCAGGGAGCCATGACTGTGCCACTGTACTCTAGCTTTGGTGACAAAGCCAGACCCCATCTGTAAAAATAAATTAAAAAAACACAATTCACTTTCATAATGTAAAAAGCTGCCCTTTTAAGGGATGGAGAGGTATACATTTAAAAGAGATTCCTCCTTCTAGAATTAAGCATTGTAAGCTCCAAATATCTTTAATTCAGTCTTGATAAAAAGAAATTACGATGAGACCAAAGACCACCAGCTTCTGTAGCAGGAACCTTAAGAGCATCCAGTTCCTTTGGAGAATGAAGATTCCTGAGTAAACAAATTACCTCATTAGATAAGTAAGGTAGATTGAATACTGATATGTGAGCTGTCGTTTATTTTAGGTCAAATCTGTTTATTTTGTACTTTGTCACATAAAATTGAGATTCTAAGTTTTTAGTAAGTAAACAAGTAATAATGAAAGATTTGTTTTAATAGCTTCAAGGACTATTGACTTTTTGAAATTCTGACTATTCGTCATAGGAAACGATTTGTTAAAATGTTTGCTATAGGGAGCTGTTCATAAACTCTGTTGTAGAAGGTTGATTTATGCTGCTACTTTGGGGTGCCTGTGTTCACCTCCCTTATCTGGTTCTGATTAATTCATCCAGCTTAAATGGCTCTGCAAACAGCCTCAAAAGTAGAAACACAGCTAGAAGCATTCATTGGTGTAAAAAAGGTTATTATGCAAGTAAAATAAATGATTAATAACATAAAGACACAAAGCAGAGTCTCAGTTTTTTTTTTTTTTCATGACAAAATGGTCAGATCTTCAGGAAATCTTGTTGTCTACTTCTTGACCATTTATCCCTAATGCCTCATTTGTAGGGATCTGTTACTGTGTAACAAATTACCCTGAAGTTTCACAGCTTAAAAAGCAAATATGTATCATGTCACAGGATTTTGTGAGGAATCTGGGTACAGCTTAGTTGAGTTCATCTGCCACAGAGTCTTATAAGGCTTCAGTCAAGGTATCTGTTGGGGCTGTGGTGTCATCTGAAAGCTCAACAGAGGAGTGTCCTCTTCCAAGCTGACTCACATGGTTGTTGGCAGGATTGGTTTCTCATGGGCTTTTGGCCAGAGGTTTCCCTCTGTTCCTCAGCACATTGGCCTCTCTGTAGGGATATTCACAACATGACAGTTTTTAATCTCCAGAGCAAGGGCTCTGAGAAAGAGAAAGAGATGAAAGTCATGGTCTTCTTTTAGCCCACTCTTGGAAGGGACTGCCATCATCATATTCTGTTTATTAGAAGCAAGTTGCAGCCCACACTCAAAGGGAGGGTGTTGCACAGGGATGTGAATATCAGGAGGCAGGGATTTGGGGGGCATCTTAGAGTCTTTCTGCCAACACAGTCAGTGCTCAGTGAATGACAGTGGACTCCCTCAGTCCCTGCTGGATGTGCCATATTGCTGTCTTTCTCCATGAGATGCACACACCAGGGTTTCATGCAGCCTTTGTTCAGATTGACTTCTGGCCCATTGTAATTGAACACTGTGCTGTAAGTTGAGGACTGTTGGGTTTATGTACATGTACAATTTGTTCTGTAACGTGTGCAGAGGTATTTTTGTTCACTTTTTTTTTCTTTAACTCTGAAAAAGGAATTAAGAAGGGAAAGGAGGCTTGAAACCAGAGTCCATTCTAAGGTGATAGTGAGCTCAGTGTGATGGGTGGGAAAGTGGCCATGGAATTTAAAAAGGTTATCACTGGCCCTTACTTGCCATTTAGATCTCAGCTTAAATGTCACCACTTCAGAGAGGCCTTTCCTATCTTATTTATTTATTTATTTATTTATTTAATTTATTTATTTAGTTTTGAGACAGAATCTCTCACCCAGGCTGGAGTGCAGTGGCATGATTTCGGCTCACTGTAGTTTCCGCCTCCCAGGTTAAAGTATTCCTCTCACCTCAGCCTCCCAAGTAGCTGAGACTATAGGGATGCACCACCACATCCAGCTAATTTTTTGTATTTTTAGTAGAGATGAGGTTTCACCATGTTGGCCAGGATGTTCTCAAATTCATGACCTCAAGTAATCTGCCCGCCTTGGCCTCCCAAACTGCTGGAATCACAGGCGTGGCGCCTGGCCCTGTCTGTCTAATTTAAACTAGCCGTTGCCTCACTCTTAATCTGCATAGTCATTAATACTCTCTGATTCTATTCCCTGCTTGTTTACTTGCTCATCTCCCCCAACGAGCACTGAGTGCGAGGACAGCAGGGACTCATCTGTCTTGGTCACCCTCATATTGCCAGCACCTCTCACAGGGCCTGGCAAAGCAAAGGCTCCCAGTATGATACTCAATAGACAAATGAATCAAACACATGGACGTGAACTGATTCCAAGGAGCTTTTTGGAAATTACAGCATCATCATGACTTCCAAAGGAAATGCCATTTATTCAGTTAACATGCATTGTCCATTAAATTATTATTATTATTATTGAGATAGAGTCTCATTCTGTCACCCAGGCTGGAGTGCAGTGACGTGATCTTGGCTCACTGCAACCTCCGCCTTCCGGGTTCAAGCGATTCTTGTGCCTCAGCCTCCCAAGTAGCTGGGATTACAGGTGCCCACCTGTAATTAGCCACCACGCCTGGCTAATTTTTATATTTTTGATAGAGATGGGGTTTCACTATGTTGCCCAGGCTGGTCTCAGACCCTTGACCTCAGGTGATTCGTCCATGTTGGCCTCCCAAAGTGTTGGGATTATAGGCATGAACCACTGTACCTGGCCATACATTAAATTATGAAAAAAAAAAAAAAAACAGCCTCAAGGTGATGGAGCAGCTCTGTCCCACCACTAAGCGCTAGCAGGCCATTTAGCAAGTTCTCTTGCCTCTCCGGGCCTCAGTTTCTTCAGAGGATAAATGAGGGGGCTGTAGATCGGGGGTCCTCAGACTGTGCCGTGTCCAGCCCCAGATCTGGCTCTGGCATTGGAAGTTCCAGATGCTATTCTGTAAGAGCAAGCTTCTTTGCTTGGAATGTTTTTTCAACATTGGTCTGTCATGTACGATTTTGATTATGGAAAGGATTCTGTGGCCAAATAATTTTTTAAAAAGTGAAACCCACAGCACTTCTGTGCCCATTAATGGCCATTCCAGCTCTGCCCAAGCAGGCACTGGCGCGGCAGTTCTGGCAGATAAGAGTAGAAACCCTAAGACCCACAAAGCTTTGGCCCAGGAGAGTCAGTCGGAAGAGCAAGCAGAATGATTTCAGGTGGCCTAGATCCCTTTCCAAGAACATAAAAGAGTCCCCACCCCCAGCCTCACACCTCACGGATGCCCACATCCTACTGCCTTTGAAATGTTAGCATCGATTTTTCTTTTTTCTTTTTTTTTTCTCCCACATTGACTTACTCATTCCGAGATTTCATTTCTGGCACCACACCTCCCACCAGATAGCCAGAGCTTCCAAGCGCCAAGTTTTATAATTAAAATTCTGTCACATCCCCCGAAACGGTGGAAATGGTGCCACGAAGCCTCACAGAAAAGATGTGTAAGCACTTCACCTAGTAATTTAAATATAATACTTCTGGCAGCATTCAATTTGGGGAGTTTTATTCTAATTTAAAGACGATTATGGAGCACGAATATCTTCTGCATTGGGTTCTCTTGTGGCCCGTGCTTCCTTTTGGCTGTCTAGCTTGTCAGCAAACAGCTTGGTGGTGTGGCTGCAGAAGCCCACGTGGACAGTTCTGGCCTTTGGGTATCACCAGGTCCCAGGCATAATTAGTATAAATCAAAATCCTCTAGACTATGACAGGAAAATGGTATGTTTGAACCACAGCTTATTAAAATGACCTACTTAATTTAAGAAAAATAGTGTATCCACTTTGCATGGGAAGCTGGTTGCTTTTATGACAGATTTTACAAGATTTCTCCTTCTTTCTCCCTCTCTCTTTTTTTAAGAAAAGGAAAGCGAATGGAAAGGCCCATTCTACTTCATCCTGGGCGCAGACCCACAGTTTGGGCTGATCAAGGCCTGGTCCACTGGGGACTGTGACAATGGCGGTGACGAATGGGAACAGGAGATCCGTCTAACTGAGCAAGCCGTCCAGGCCATCAACAAGCTGAACCCCAAACCCAAATTCTTCGTTCTGTGCGGCGACCTCATCCACGCCATGCCAGGTAAGACTCGGGTCATCGCTTGTGACCTTTTCTCCTTCAGCCGGTCATGACTGCATTTGGGCAGGAGAAAAAAAGATTTTGCTTCGAAGGCATCTTTGCTCAGTCATGGACCGTTCTTTCGCTTCATGATTGTTGCAGTATCATTGAACATCAGAAAGTGCACACTCATGTTATATTTAGAGTTTGGCGAGATTAATCACAGTAATTAGGCACAGCTACAGTTCTGATGATTTGAGCTTAATATGAAAAATGGAACAGATTCCCACACATCACCTTTCTGCATTTCCAGGGACAAACTTGAACTGCTTCCAGACACTATATCCATAAATATAATCTTCTCTCCTCATTTCCTTTCTTCTTACACTTTTATTTCTCCCTTATTTGTTGGTGCTTTTTTGTTGCAAGTGACAGAAATCCAACTTAAAACAGGATTCCCTTTTTTTTTTTTTTTTAAGGTATGTGTTGCCTAATAGGACTGTAAAGTCTGGGAGCAGACCTGGGTTGCAGGTACAGCTGGATCTAGGGGGTCAGCTTGGTTATAAGGACTTGGTCTCTCCATCACTCTGATCTGCCTTTCTCTGGGTTGACCTCATTTACGTTCAGGCTCTCTCTAGATAGTGGCTCCTGGGAGGTCTACATTTGTATCCTTTTGTCAGAAACCAGAACAGAAAGAAAGTGCCTTATTCTGGATGGTCCAAAGTCCCAGGCTGGCCGGGTGCAGTGGCTCATGCCTGTAATCCCAGCACTTTGGGAGGCTGAGGTGGGCGGATCACTTGAGCTCAGGTGTTCGAGACTAGCCTGGTCATCATGGTGAAACCCCGTCTCTACTAAAAATACAAAAATTAGCCAGACGTGGTGGTGCATGTAGTCCCAGTTACTCAGGAGGCTGAGGCATGAAACTTGCTTGAACCCAGGAGGCGGAGGTTGCAGTGAGCTGAGATTGTGCCACTGCACTCCAGCCTGGGTGAAGGAGTGAGACTCCA
The DNA here is from genome assembly GCF_000001405.40 of Homo sapiens. NCBI lineage: Eukaryota > Metazoa > Chordata > Mammalia > Primates > Hominidae > Homo > Homo sapiens. The sequence continues at coordinate 12,780,201 of NC_000016.10, read as the reverse complement.
TCTCAAAAAAACAAAACACAAACAAACAAAAAACAAAGTCCCAGGCTCATACCCCTCTGGCTCACATGGCCCCCTTCCACCAGAGTGTGGGGTCAGCTCCACTGCAACCACGTGCCCTAAAGAACAGGACAGTCTCCCCCGAAAAAAGTGAGATGTTGGAAATTCAACGATGACAGACACCTTCTAGAACTCTCTTCCTATTTATTTTGCCTACTCTGATGTCCTTTTCTCCCAGGCAAAGATAAAGCCCAGCAAGCAGGTATAAGCAAACGGAGAGTGCTCCTGTCCCTCAGGGAGGCAGGGGACCTTAGACCATTGCAGAAAACACAGCAGTGGGTGTGGGTGTCTGTCTGGGGCTAGTTGTACCTTGTAAACCGAGGCTCTGAGTTCTGTGATGATGTCTAACTCCTTTAGAAGCCGAGGTACCCTGTAGTAAGCCTGAGTGTATCAGTTCCTCCTCATGGTGGCTCTTTTTTCTGGCAGCCCACTTATCTAGAACAAAACCCATAATGAAAACATGAGAATGGCCGGGCGCGGTGGCTTATGTGCTTTGGGAGGCCGGGACAGGTGGATCACTTGAGGTCAGGAATTCAAGACCAGCCTGGCCAACATGGTGAAATTCTGTCTCTACTAAAAAATATAAAAATTAGCCGGGTGTGGTGGCAGGCACCTGTAACCCCAGCTACTTGGGAGGCTAAGGCAGGAGAATCGCTTGAACTCGGGAGGCAGAGATTGCAGTGAGCTGAGATCGCGCCACTGCACTCCAGACTGGGTGATAGAGCGGGAAGCTTAGTCTCAAAAAAGAAAAAAAAAAAATTAGCCAGGCGTGGTGGTGCATGCCTGTAGTCCCAGCTACTGAGGAGGCTAAAGTGGGAGGATCACTTGAGTCCAGGAGTTTGAGGCTACAGTGAGCCATGATCGTACCACTGCACTCCAGCCTCCAGACAACAGAGAGAGCCCCTGTCTCTAAGAAAAAAGAAGAAGAAAAGAAGATTTCAAATTTTTCTGTTCAGTGGTTTCTTCTCTTTAAAAACAGAATGTTATAGGGCTCACTGGAATTATATAACATGTTCTCGTAGATGTTTACCAACTTGTTCTGAATTCTGTTGATGTATTCAGTCATATTTCAAAATCAGATTTAAAATAAAAGTTTTTCATGCAATTATGTTGCTTTTTAAATAAGATACACTGAATATACATTAAACACTATAAATTAAAAGATATAGTTTTTATGATCAGCCCCGCCAGTTGGTCAAGACTTCATAAATGTGACTTGGCAAACTTTTGAACGTGAATTTTACATGCAGTGCAACTCAAGCAGAATGTATAATTTGTTCTGGAGACTTGGACTGTTTTCTGGGGTTTTAATTGAACCAGTGAAAGGAATGTAACTGTTTTGAATATTGTGGTTTGAGATTAAACAGAGCATTTTAAAACTAGTTACCATTTTTTAATATGCAATAAGTGGTTTCCCTCTCATTTAGCTCATAGACAGGGTTAGACACTAGAAAGTAATTATTTGCTTTGACTACTTAGCACATTCTTCATTATCAAATGCATATATTAATAGGCAAATAAAATCAGAAAGCATACTTTTAGTTCTACCATAAATAGTATCTTGGCCCTGGCCAGGCACAGTGGCTGACACCTGCAATCCCAGTACTTTGGGACGCCAAGGTGGGCGGATCACCTGAGGTCAGGAATTCAAGACCAGCCTGGCCAACATGGTGAAACCCCGTCTCTACTAAAATACAAAAATTAGCCGGGCATGGTGGTGTACACCTGTGATCCCAGCTACTCTGGGGGGCTGAGGCAGGAGAATCGCTTGAACCCAGGAGGTGGAGGTTGCAATGAGCAAGATTGCACCACAGCACTCCAGCCTGGGCAGCAGAGCGAGACTCCATCTCAAAAAAAAAAAAAAAAAGAAAGAAAGAAAGAAAAAAGAAAAGAAAATATCTTGGGCCAAGTGGATTTAAGTTGAAAATGGAGAAAGGCCAGGCATGGTGGCTCACACCTGTAATCCCAGCACTTTGGGAGGCCGAGGTGGGTGGATCACTTGAGGTCAGGAGTTCGAGACCAGCCTGGCCAACATGGTGAAACCCCATCACTACTAAAAATACAGAAATTAGCTCAGCATGGTGGCGTGGGCCTGTCATCTCAGCTACTTGGGAGATTGAGGAAGGAGAATTGCTTGAACCCAGGCGGTGGAGAATCCAGTGAGCCAAGACTACACCACTGCATTCCAGCCTGAGTGACAGAGCAAGACTTCATCTCAAAAAAAGAAAAAAAAAAAAAAAAGAAAATAGAAAAAAAGAACTTTCATTTTTTTTTTAATGAAAGTAATAATATGCTTTTTCTTATAAATATCTATTATAGTACTTATCATCCACAAAAATGTCTGTGTGCAAACTAAGTGCCAATTACAGTGTTAGATGCTATGGATGTAATATTGGAGACAAGAGACCAGGTCTTTCTGTGGAACTAGAGTCTTGGCAGAGAAGCACAAAAATGTGATGGGAAGAGGAGTCCTTGGTGCCAAGCCCATAGGAAAATCCTTAAGAGATACAGGCTTCTTTGTTTCACACAAAGTCCATTTAGTTTTGAAACACATTTTTGTTTTGCAGGCATCTTTTGGGTTATCTTGGTATTTTATTCTATTATAAAGCTCCTCTATGGGGTAAGCCACATTGTAAGTAGCAAGTGAACATTTGTGCAAATACTGAGACCCATTGATTTTCATCCTTCACTCTTAATTTAGGGTTACTCTTGTCAGTCCTCCTGATGCTGAGGTATCGACCCACTGGTTTTGTCCCCAGAAGCCTTGTTAGATTTCAGCAATTACGTGTGAAGCTGACAAATCAGAACATGATGATACCTTTAGGGTGCAAGAGATTCCTTTGAGCCTTTAGAACAGTTTGTTACTAACATATACATTCATCCCTGTTTATTAAAAATTGGCATAACCACACAAAAACAGTTAATACAGGAATAATTCTTCCCTTGATATAAAGTTTCCTTGAAGAGTTCTTCATGTATTCAGCTGCACTTGGGCAACTATTCTGTGACTTAGTTTCAGTTGATGATGTAGCCCTGGGAAGTCCTCTGTTCTGTAAAGGGAGGCAAGCCTGCTTTAGTATTTGTATTAGTCTGTTTTCATGCTGCTGATAAAGACAAATTTCAGACTGAGTAATTTATAAGCAAAAAGAATAATTGCCTCACAGTTCCACGTGGCTGGAGAGACCTCACAATCATGGCAGATGGCGAAAGGCACATCTTTTTTTTTGAGATGGAGTCTCACTCTGTTGCCCAGGCTGGAGTGCAGTGGCATGATCTTGGCTCATTGCAACCTCCGCCTCCTGGGTTCAAGCGATTCTCCTGCCTCAGCTTCCTGAGTAGCTGGGACTACAGGCACACACCACCACACCCGGCTAATTTTTGTATTTTTGGTAGAGACGGGATTTCACCATGTTGGCCAGGCTGGTCTCGATCTCCTGACCTCGTGATCCACCTGCCTCAGCCTCCCAAAGTGCTGTGATTACAGGCGTGAGCCACCACGCCCAGCTGAAAGGCACATCTTATATGGCAGCAGACAAGAGAGAAGAGAACTTGTGCAGGGAAACTCCTCTTTACAAAACCATCAGATCTCGTGAGACTTATTCACAGTCACGACAACAGCATGAGAAAGAACCCCCCCAGTTCAGTTACCTCCCACCAGGTCCCTTCCACAACATGTGGGAATTGTGGGAGCTACAATTCAAGTTGAGATTTGAGTGAGACCACAGCAAAACCATATCAGTATTATTCCAAAGGATGGTATGTTAGTTTCCTGTTCCTGCTATCACAAATTACCACCAACTTAGTGGAATCAAACAGTTCTCTTACCATCCCAGGGGTCAGAAGTCCAACAAGAACCTGCAGCGGTGTGTTCCTTCTAGGGGTTCCAGCTTCTAGAGGCCAACTGCGTTTCTTGGCTCATGCTCCTTCTTCTGCCTTCAAAGCCAGCAGCATTGCACCTTTTCTCCCGTCTGACCTCTGCTCCACCCTCTCATATTCTGTTACTCTGATTCTCCTGCTTTCCTCTTGTAAAGATCCTGGTGATTATATTAGGTCCATCCAGATAACCCAGGATAATGTTTCCATCTCAAGATCCTTAACATAATCCCATCTGCAGATTCCCCTTTTGCCATATAAGGTAGCATATTTGTAAGTTCCAGGAGTTAGGATGTCGAACATCTCTGGAGGGACATTGTTCAGCCTACTGCAGATGGCAGGGACTGGAATTCAGGGTCTGTTATCTGCCAGGAACTGTGTTACTATCTTATCTACTCATTACAGTCTTGCAAAGGAGGTGTCATTGCTATTTCCATTTTAATTGATGGGGAAACTGGCTCAGAGCAGTGAATTGCTTTTCCCAAGGCCACTCAGCTTGTAAACTGGGAACTCTTGTTCATCTGTTTCCAAACCTTGTGCGCTTCGTTTTGCAGCCTGGCTGGTCAGACAGAAGGTGGTGCCCAGAGCAGCAGATGGAGCTGTTAGAGATGTAGAATCTCTGCCCTGCCCAGACCTAATGGATCTGAATCAGAATTTTAACAAGATTCCCAGATGAACTGTATGGACAATGAGGTTCAAGAAGCACTGATAGATTGAGCATCCCTAATCTGAAAATCCAGTATGCTTCAAAATGTGAAACTTTTTGAGCACTGACATGACACCATAGTGGAAAACTCTACACCTTTGGTCCCAAGCATTTTGCATAAGAGATACTCAACCTATAGTAGTGATGATGAGGATGATGGCAGTGCTGCAGGAAAAGTACCCATAGATGACATGGTGAAAATGTGTGTCTTAGTCTGTTTTCTGTTGCTTATAATGGAATATCTGGAACTGGGTCGTTTATAAGAAATGAAATTTATTTCTTTCAGTTATGGAGGCTGAGAAGTCCAAGGTCAAGGGGCTACATCAGCTGAGGGCCTTCTTGCTGGTGGGGACTCTCTCTGCAGACTCTCAAAGTGGCACAGAACATCACATGGGGAGGGGGCTGAGTGTGCTAACTCGGGTCTCTGCTCTTCTTAAAAAGCCACCAGCCCAGGGCAGTGACCCACATCTATAATCCCAGCACTTTGGGAGGCCAAGGCAAGTGGATTGCTTGAGCTCAGGAGTTGGAGACTAGCCTGGACAACATAGTGAAACCCCGTCTATACAAAAAATAGAAAATTATCCAGGCATGGTGGTGCACACCTGTAGACCCAGCTACTTGGGAGGCTGAGGCGAGAGGATTGCTTGAACCTGGGAGTCCAAGCTTCAGTGAGCCGTGATCATGCCACTGCACTCCAGCCTGGGTGACAGAGCAAGACCCTGTCTCAAACAAACAAACAAACAAAAAACACACAAAAAAGCACCCTGTCCCACTCTCATGATAACCCATTAATCCACTAACTCATTCATTCATTAATCCATGAATGGACTCATCCATTCATGAGGGCATGGCCCTCACGATCCAGCCACCTCTTAAAAGCCCCACCTCTCAGAACTGCCACACTGGGGATTACGTTTCAACATGAGTTTTGGAGGACACAAATATTTAAACCATAGCAATGTGTGGTGAGCTTTTGAAGGACTAGAACAGCATGCATTCATAACAGATCAAGAAATTGTGTCAGTTAATAAAAGAGATTTCTAAGACAAAAGCCCTTGTTAATAAGGCAGATGACTCTGGAGGGAACTTTTTTTTTTTTTGAGACAGTCTCACTCTGTCCCCCAGGCTGGAGTGCAGTGGCATGATCTCGGCTCACTGCAACCTCTGCCTCCCGGGTTCAAGTGATTCTCCTGCCTCAGTCTCCTGAGTAGCTGGGATTACAGGCGCCTGCCACCACACCTGGCTAATTTTTGTAATTTTAGTAGAGATGGGGTTTCATCTTGTTGGCCAGGCTGGTTGAACTCCTGACCTCAAGTGATTGCCCTCCTCGCCTCCCAAAGTGCTGGGATTATAGGTGTTGAGTCACTGAACCCAGCTTGGAGGGAACATTTTTAAAAAGCCATCTAGCAGAATGCCTCCTCATCCCTGGCGGACTCACTTTCTGGTCCCTCAACTGCTTCTGATGTTTCTTCTCACCTGAAAAAATAAAATACAGTGCACAGGAGCCTTTGAGTCAGAACGCAGCATTGTGGGTGGAGACTGGAAGCCTGCTGTCATCTGTTGCTGCTGAACAGCTGAGGCAGGTATTCCAGTGATGCCACTGTGCTGCTTAGTTTCCCTGGGCACACTGTTTTCTCCCGTGTTAATGGTGTGTCATATTTTTTACTGTTAAGTACTTAGGTGTGAATAGGTGTAACAAAATGATTGTTTACTGGTAGCATGTAAATTGAGAGTCAGGAATCGCGGTGATGCCAAATCACCACAGATTGTTCACGTGGGTGGCTGAGACAGACACTTTTTATTTTATTATTTATTTGTGTATTTTTATGTATTTTTATTATTTTTTGAGGCACAGCCTCACTCTGTCGCCCAGGCTGGGTACAGTGTCATGATCTCGGCTCACTGCAGCCTCCACCTCCCGGGTTCAAGCAATTCTCATGCCTCAGCCTCGAGCAGCTGGAGTTACAGGTGTGCACCACCATGCCCGGCTAATTTTAGTATGTTTAGTAGAGACGGGGTTTCACCATGTTGCCTAGGCTGGTCTTGAACTCCTGGCTGGAAGTGATCTGCTTGCCTCGTCCTCCCAAAGTGTTGGACTTATCAGGCATGAGCCACCACGCCGAGTCGGGGCCACTTTTTAATGTATTAAATGTAATCTTGTGTGTATGCAAGTGGTTTGTGAACATTCCTTTTAACTGATAATGGTGTATATCAGGAGAACCATTATTCCTTTAGACTTACACATGCTCAGCATTTAAAGGGAAATGCTTTAAGTTTGTAGGTTTTGCTTTGCTTTTTACACAACACTGAATAACGCAGGATGACCTCTTCTTACAGGACTTCCAAAATAGCCCTTTGATGTTCAGGAAAACGGCCACACATATATACTTTAAAAGGGTCTTTATGCAGAATGCTTAAGAGAGCTACAATGGCTTCTTTCGTTTGGGTCTTGCACTTGTACATAACCCCTTACCTACCATCTCAAAAGTTCAGAAAGCTCTGAAAACTAAGAGTTTTTTCTTAAGTTTGAAACTAAGCTGGTGGCAAAACTGCCTTCCAAGTGACAAAGGGCTGTTTATGGTCTTTATTGATCCCAATATTTAGTGAGCATATTCATATGTTTTGCTAACAAAATATTACTGGATTTCATTACAGGGCACTGCCCGAGTCCCAGCTTGAAGTATTGTTTAATATGTGTTCTATGACCTGTCTTACCATTCTAAAGTTAGAAAAACTTGGAATTTCAAATGAGATCTGGCCTAGGGGGTTTGGGATAAGAGCTTATGGATCTGCAAAGTTGATACTTTGGGATTTATAGATGAAGAAGCTTTTCATCACTAAAAACAGAAGGCTTTTCTGATTTAATGTCATTCCCCGAGTTAACTTTCGCACATCCATTGCCCAGTAACTGCATTTTCAGAAGTTAAAAGGGTCCCAGACATCTGATATTTGAATTTTGGGGACCATTTCTATTGGGACCAAAGAGACTCAATATGAAAATGGAATTGAATTTAGAAATGATTCCAACAAATGGAGGAGAGGGAGCATGCACAAAAGTGATATTTGCTATAGATAAAGCAGAATAATCCACTTAGGTAGAAAAGTCTGAACTTCAAGGTAAAGAAGGGCTGGATTTGTGCAGATATGGCTGCAAAAGTCTGGAGAGGAGAGGAAGCAAATCAGTAGAGTGCGTCTAAGAATGGGAGATGCTATGGGGAAGTAAAGTAGAATTACTGATGAAAGGAGTTAGGCTTTTCTATCAGGAAAATGCCCCAGTGAGACCTGAAAACTTCTAATTCATCTAGTTTGGTAGCTGTTCACCTTCAATTAGATGTCAAGGCCTAGACCAAGGTCCTGATAACAGTAGCCATGGCCAAATGACCATCAACACTCCTTCCTCACTAGGAATTTTGTTTTTTTTTGTTTTGTTTTGTTTTGTTTTTCAGACAGAGTCTTGTTCTGTTGCCCAGGCTGGAGTGCAGCGGTACGATCTCAGCTCACTGCAACCTCCGCCTCCCGGGTTCAAGCAATTCTCCTGCCTCAGCCTCCCAAGTAGCTGGGATTACAGGCATGCACCACCAAGCCCAGCTAATTTTTGTATTTTTAGTAGAGACAAGGTTTCTGCATGTTGGCCAGGCTGGTCTCAAACTCCTGACCTCAGGTGATGCACCTGCCTTGGCCTCCCAAAGTTCTGGGATTACATACATGAGCCACCATGCCTGACCCCCACTGGGAGGTTTCTAATTCTGTAATGAATGTATAGAATTGGGAAATAAAGCCATTGAACAAAGAATGCTTTGGTTTGCTGGGCTTCAGGCAAAGAATAAAGCCCTTTGTTTTTCTGTGGTTCCACAATCCAGGAAGGTTGATACTCATTTTCCTCCAGCTGGGCAGACACAAACCCATGAACATAATTCTGGTACAAGACAGGCCATAATAAGCAAAGCCTCGGAGGCATAATTTTGAAAACCAAAGCCAGGATTGAGGCTCTGGCCAGGAAAAGGCCTTATCTCATTGCTCCAACCTCTGCTAGTTCGCCTTCTCCCAAGCTTAGTTCCAAGTTCCTAAAGGGCAGTGGGGGTGTGTGTGTCTGTGTGTCCGTATTGGTGTGTACTTTCATTTAGTGCCCAGTGCAAGGCACGTGGAAGGTATTCAGTGAATGCTGGTTAAATGATTCACAGTTTGTTTCCCGTGATCTTTAGCAAGAAGCCAGCACATGGTAGGCACCCAGTACAGTTTTCTGGAACACATGAATAAATAGTCAATTCATTTATTTAACAAATCTGTATTGAGAGTCTACTTTGCACCAGGCACTATTCTAGATGTTTGTGCTGTGTTAGTGAATGAAACAGACAGAAATCTGTGCTTCACTTAGAAATAAGGAATATAGATACATGTAGATATATTGAAACATGAAGTTCTCCGTGTTTTTTGTTGTTGTCATCCTAGTCTCCTGTAGGATTTAAATGAGGGTAGATACGGATCTTTTTATTGTTACTTTATTAGATTTTTAAATTCTACAAGTAATATGTAGAGACATTCTCCTTGTAAATTTAAAATCTATATTTAAAATAAACTTTGACCACCCCCTAAGTGCTTCCCTCGGGGTCACTGTGGTCAAAAGTGTGCATCAATGTCAGCATGCTCACCCTTTCCCAGCCCCGCCCCGCCCCTCCCCCTTCCTTTCCTTTCCTTTCCTTTCCTTCTCTCCCTTTCCTTTCCTTCTGCCCTCCCTTTCCTTTCCTTGATATAGCCTCACTCTGTCACCCAGGCTGGAGTGCAATGGCGCGATCTCGGCTCACTGCAACCTCTGCCTCCCGGGTTCAAGCGATTCTCCTGCCTCAGTCTCCCGAGTAGCTGGGACTACAGGTGTGTGTGCCACCACACCGGCTGATTTTTGTATTTTTAGTAGAGAGAGTTTTGTTATGTTGGCCAGGCTGGTCTCAAACTCCTGACCTCAGGTGATCCACCCATCTTGGCCTCCCAAAATGCTGGGATTACAGGTGTGAGCCACCACGCCCTGGTCAGCATGCTTTTCTTAAATACAAACGTGATCATACTGTGCACATTGTTGTGTGATTTACTTTTTCTCCTTCCATCTGTCTAGAAAACCTTACATTTGTACATACATGTGAGGCTTTTAATAACTGCATTGCGTTCTGTGGATGGGGATTTCATAATTGGTTAATCTTGCAGTAACGCCAGGTGGGAGTTAATTTGAACAGTGCTGCTGTGAGCATCCTCAGACGTGCTGTTGTACAGTCAGGTAAGTATTTCTTTAGGCTTGAAGTCCAAGAGGGTTGCCTGGGTTTAGAATCTGCCTCAGCGCCATTTGCACTGAGAGCACACCAGGCCGTTCTCTTAGCAGTTCTCTGGGGAACATCTCTCAGGGACAGGGACTGACCAGGACTTTTCTTCCATGCTATCTCTTATTTGTAGCCAACAGCCTCCATCCCTTTCATGTAAGCAATAAGTTCCTGCACCGCCTACCATGTCATAGATACTCAGAACATTTCCATTGAACAGAAACCGTTTTGTTCATATTAAAGTAGGATCTGTTTGTTTTGTTTGGTTTTGTTTTTAAAGAGGCTCAGTTAAATCACGTTTATTTCCGCAGCTGTGTCATTAGCCTTGCGTTGTTATGTTTAAGTGTCTACACCAGGCTCCAAGAAATGCCAGGATTTAAAGACAATTTACCCTACAGTTTAACACAGAGAAACATAAAAAGGGAGTTCTATGCGTGCAAGAGAGTGATGCCATAGTTGAAATATCACCAGCCTCTGGAATGGGCCGGGGCTGTCTGTGCTCAGATTTTCCAGCAGGTCGCGTGTGGGTCGAATGCTGAGCAGTAACCTGGGAGCAATCAGCCAAGCCCCCTGGCTCCTGCACTCCTTCACATCCAGTATGAGCCCGGTGAAATCATCCAGGCAATCAGTGACAATGCCGCCCTTCTGCTGAGGCTGATTAAAAGTGGTTGGAACTAATTTACCTTATATGACTAATTAGGGAACTGGGAATATTACTTAAAAAGTTGTTTCTGATTAGGTGTGTGATCGCCCTTCCACCCCTGCCAGCATTTTCTACGTGGCAGTCCGGCAGAGGAGACACACTGGCTGCTGTCAGTCCTTTATTCCAAGTCTCGGCGTCTTAACCCATTTTGTGCCTCGGATTCCTTCATCAAGTTGCTGAAGCCCCTGGATCCCATCTCAGAATAATATTTCTAAATACACAAAATAAAGTTCCTAGGATTTTCGAGGAAACCAATTCTATTGAAATACGGTTATCAAAATATTTTTTAAATTATTGGATATAGTAATAATTCATGTGTTGGTCTATTATATAACACAGTCTAATAGCAGAGCTAATAACTGTCATAGTTTCAAAATAGCAGTTGAGTTTAAGGCCAGGCACAGTGGCTCATACCTGTAATCAGAGCACTTAGGGAGGCTGAGGCGGGTGGATCACTTGAGGTCAGGAGTTCAAGACCAACCTGACCAACATGGTAAAACCCCGTCTCTACTAAAAATACAAAATTAGCCAGGTGTGGGGGCATGTGCCTGTAATCCCAGCTACTTGGGAGTCTGAGGCAGGAGAATCGCTTGAACCCAGGAGGTGGAGGTTGCAGTGAGCCGAGATCGTGCCACTGCACTGCAGCCTGGGCAACAAGAGTGAAACTCCGTCTCAAAAAAAAAAAAAAAGAAAAAGAAAAAATGGCAGTGAGTTTAAACCATACCCTGAATTAATCTGCAACAAGTGTGATGTGATGGGAAAAAAAATCCATGTGATCTCTGTTGGTGTGAAATTCAAGGGGGTTGTTAATACCTCTGTAATTTCTACTAACTTCATAATAGAAGGAAATGCTAAATATCAGAAGTTCATGAAAAAACTGGTTTCCTCCCATCGAAGTTCACAGGATGAACCCCAGATCCCCATGGCCCCAGAATAAGAGCCCACACCTGTGTGTACATACGCACATACTCTTGTTCTTTGACTTTTTGGAGGTACCTTTTCATGGTCAACATGTGGCTATTTTAATTGACCAAAATATAAACTCAATGGTGAAACTGTACCTTTAATTAAAGGCCAGAAGTCTTAATCGTAGCTAGAAAAGTGTGGATATTTGATTATTCAATGAAAAGAAGTAGCAAGAGCTCAATAATAGGGACTAGTTAACAGTTGCCTTTTGATTAGGTTAAAAATAAAAAGCATAATCTTTCCGTCTGGGTTCCAGTGTTTAGATCAAAAAGTGAAAACAGAGAGCCTCGCCTTATTTATTTGTTCAGTGAAGCATTTGAGAAGGCTTAAAATGAGCAAAAGCACACAGTAGAGAAGAAATATGTCAGGACCAAAGAAAATAAAAGTTCATATAGGAAGACAAAACCGCAGGGCGAAACAGAAAGGTCTTAAGAGTCCTTTTGGTTGATAGAATTCAGTTGAAGGTTCAGCCAGAGAGAGGTTGTCAAAGAAACAACATCTTATCCGTATCTAAGAGGAATTCAGCTTTTCCTGGAAAATCTTATCTTTAAAGAAAATTTTTATGAAACTTTCCTTCTGGGGCACTAAGTCATACAGTGTCCAATAGGGCAGGGGTTTTTTTGTTTTTTGTTTTTTGAGTCAGAGTCCCAATTTGTCGCTCAGGCTGGAGTGCAGTGGCGCGATCTCTGCTCACTGCAACCTTCCTCCTGGGTTCAAGTGATTCTCTCGCCTCACCCTCCCAAGTAACTGGGACTACAGGTGCCCACCCCCACACCCAGCTAATTTTTATATTTTAGTAGAGATGGAGTTTCACCATGCTGGCCAGGCTGGTCTCAAACTCCTGACCTCAGATGATCCGCCTGCCTCAGCCTCCCAAGTGCTGGGATTACAGGCATGAGCCACTGCACCCCAGTAGGGCAATTTCTCGGCGTAGGTTTCTTTACCTGGGTGTGAGCTCCATGGATGGGCTTCATCCAGCCAGTGGGCCCTGTCAGCTCTGCAAAGTCCAGTGTGTTTGCATAGATGCTTGAGGTCGTGATGATGCTCTGGGGACTGCAGTGGGGAGAAGGTCCACAGCTCTCATCAGATCCTTCAAGGACCTGGTGATGGTTCAGTTTACGTGTCTGCCTGGCTGGGCTAGGAGGTGCCCAGATAGCTGAGAAGACATGATTTCTGGGTGTGTTCGTGAGGGTGACTGAATGAAGAAGATATGCCTTCACTATTTTGGGCAGGCATCATCCAATGCATTGAGGGTTTGAATAGAACAAAAAGATGGAGAAAAGATGAATTTGCCTCCTGTTTGAGCTGAGACGTCTACCTTCTCCTGCCCCTGGACATCGGCACTCCTGGTTCTCAGACCTTTAGATTCAGACCAGCACTAACACCATCAGTTTCTCTGATTCTCAGGCCTTTGGATTTAGACTGAATGAAACCCCCGGCTTACATATGGCAGATGGTGTGACTTCTTGGCCCCTGTGACCCTGTGAACCCATTCCCTTACTAAGCCTCCTCTTACATATCTGTGTATCTCCTATTGGTTCCCTGGAGCACATGACTGATACAGGCTCCATGACTCAAAAAAAAAAATGAGGACCTCTGAGCAACCATGGAGCCAAAATGACTTGGGATCTGAATGCTCTTGTGTTCTGCTCCCACCTGGGAATGCTGTCGCTCATAGCAGACCATGATTGTAGAGGCCGTTAGGCAAATCGGCTATGGCAGTCTGATCAGAGACACCAGACCAGCCCTCTGAGCAGAAGAGTCCTAGAGCCTACCTCCTGTGCTTCCTTGGAGTTTTCTGTTTTTGCTTTTCTTTTTATTTGAGACGGAGTCTTGATCCGTCACCCAGGCTGGAGTGCAGTGGCGTGATCTCTGCTCACTGCAACCTGCGCCCCCCTGGTTCAAGCAATTCTCCTGCCTCAGTCTCCCAAGTAGCTGGGATTACAGGTGCCCGCCACCACACCTGATATGGTTTGGCTCTGTGTCCCCACCCACATCTCATCTTGAATTGTACTTCCATAATTCCCATGTGTTGTGGGAGGGACCCAGTGGGAGATAATTGACTTATGGGAGTGGTTTCCCCCATACTACGAGATCTGATGGTTTTATCAGGGGTTTCTGCTTTTGCATCTTCCTCATTTTTCTCTTGCTGCCATCATGTAAGAAACGCCTTCTGCCTCCCAGCCACGTGAAGCTGTAAGTCCAATTAAACCCCTTTTCCTTCACAGTCTGAGGTATGTCTTTATCAGCAGCACAAAAATGTACTAATACAATACCCAGCTCTCTCTCTCTCTCTTTCTCTCTCTCTCTCTCCCTCTCTCTCTCTCTCTCTCTATATATATATATATTTGTATTTTTTTTGTAGAGATGGGGTTTCACCATGTTGGCCAGGCTGGTCTCGAACTCCTGACCTAAGGTGATGCACCCGCCTCTGCCTCCCTTTGGGGTTTTCTGGAGCTAATGAACGCCTTCTGCAGAAGTTTGCACAATCCCCTGGCAAATCAACATGCCATAGACAAAGCGAGTGTCTTTCTAGCTTGTGCTTAGCTGACTGGATTATTTACATCTTCTTTTTCATTGTTTTTGCTCTAAACACTCATTTCCTGGAGTTAGAACATTTTGCCTCCTTGATGGGCCTATTTTCTGCAACGAAATGAAGCACTGAAAAGGAGCATGATCCCAAAGGGGTTCAATTATCAGGTAATTGGTCAAGTGATCAGAATGTGGAATGAAAAAAAATAATGAGAGGTTGGAAAATGGCGCATTTGAATGCCAGAACGGGTGAGGACATATATTTCGCGAACCCAGAATTTAGAAAGTCACCTGCATGTTTCAAATTCTGTATGGTTTTTCCCCAGTTCCTAAGTAGTTTATTGGAAAGCCATGGTAGGTTCTATTCAATATGTATTATTTGGTTTGTAGAAAAAATTTACCATTCCCTTCTTTCTTTATATATTATTTGAGTGAAATACCACTGTCATCATCCATAAATATTCTTGTGAAGAAATTTTGTATTGATCTGCAAGGTAGCAATGTAACAAATTTCACTTGGATAATATACCTTTCTTAATGTTTTTTTTCCCGAAAGCACATTAAAGCATATTTTATATCATACAAAGCTGCCTATTATGTCAGACAGTTAAATCTCTTTTATTAATTATATCCTAAGCAGGTTAACAGTACAGATTCAACAAGAGTTGCTATAAATATCTAGCAGCCAGCATAATCAGCTGTAGCTGTTAGCTGCAAAATTAAATGAATCTTGTCTGATAACATGTGTAATTTAAAAACTGGTAGAACGTGATGAAGCTTGAGCTGTTAGCAGTGTGGGGCTGGATCACTACCTGAGTAACGTTTATGCCTGCAAAGTTTTAGATCAATGAATTTACATACCTTCATTAATTAGGAAGAGATAATGAACAGCATTAGAGATGGAAGGGATTATGGCTCCATAAATTCTCTGGGACTAGATGAAAGTAAATGTGTTTAATCAAAGGAATAAATCATTTACTTGAGTTCCACTCCAGACTTCTTAGGTCACAGTGTTCCCAGTGCTAGCGGGGACATAGTTCATATGACAGACATGGTTTACAGCGTGACACTCTTCTGTTCCACCAGTCACTGCTCATGACCTTGAGGCTGGCAGGTGAGGTCAAGTTGTTTGACTTTAATTCATTTACTCATTTGTTTCTCTGATGGGAACCGAGGGGATCTGCCTATGTGTTTGCCCCTGCTTAGCAAGAAACAAATACGGTGTCTGTCCTCAGGACACTTACAGGCTAGACAGGCAGAGTCATGAGGCATCAAGAGGTACAAATAAAACAAAATGGTGGCTCTGAGCCTGTGATACCCAAGAGGGTGGGAGGTGGTTGAGTTAGAGAAGGCTCCGTTGAAACTGGAGCACGACTGGGTGGCTCCCACCAGGCTCATGGTTTATTAAAAATTCAAATCAGGCCAGGCGCAGTGGCTCATGCCTGTAATCTCAGCACTTTGGGAGGCTGAGGCAGAAGGATCACTTAGGTCAGGAGTTTGAGACCAGCCTGGGCAACATGGCAAAACTCCAACTCTACAAAAAAATTCAAAAATTTGGCCAGGTGTGGTGGCTCACGCCTGTAATCTCAGCACTTTGAGAGGCCAAGGTGGGCAGATCACTTGAGCTCAGGAATTCGAGACCAGCCTGGCCAGCATGGTGAAACCCCTCTCTACAAAAAATACAAGAATTAGCTGGGTGTGGTGGCATGTGCATGTTATCGCAGCTACTTGGGAGGCTGAGGCACGAGAATCGCTTGAACTTGGGAAGTGGAGGTTGCAGTAAGCTGAGATCGCACCACTGCACTCTGGCCTGGGCGACAGAGCGAAACTCTGTCTCAAAAGAAAAAAAAAAAAATTAAAATCAAACAGTACCAAAAGGTATCCAGAAAAAACCTTAATGTCCCTGTCACCATTGACCTGCTTCTCAGAGAAAGCTACAGTTAATGCTTTTTCATGAAAAATTATGGAAACTTGTCAAGTATGGGTACACTTGCATGTGTAGCTTTTTGTAAAAAAAAAAAAAAAAATGCAAATGGGAGCAAAAAAGACACAATGTTTAAATACCTTGTTGTTGTCCTGGTCTTTCCATAGCAGGATATGCAGATTTGTTTCACTTTTTTCAGTGGACAAAATACCAGCTTGTATTAGGTTGGTGCTCAAGTAATGGCAGTTTTGCCATTACTTTCAATGGCAGAAACTGCAATTACTTTGGCACCAGTTTAGTATTTGAGGCTCAGACTGTGTCCGAAGTCCTGCCAGAACCAGCACTGCAGGGCCCCTCCTGGAGTCCATACGTTTGTGTACATGGGCAGCAGTTGAGAACTGGCCTGTGATGTCAGATGGCTTAAATTCAGATCCTGGCTCTCTTGTTTCCTGGCCAAATAGCTTTGGGCAAGTTATCTAATCTCTCTGTAGCTGAATTTCCTTATCTGTAAAATGCAGATAATAATGGTACTCGCATCATAGGTTTCTCATAAGACTTAAATGAAATAATCTATAAAAGTGCTTAGAATATTGGCTGGCATTTAATACAGCCCAATAACTACGATTACTTCTATTTTTAATAATGACTCTATTGAGATTGAATTCCATACCATGCCACTCATCCATTTCCATTCATTGGTCTTTTGTGTATTTGCTGAGTTGTGTAATGATCACCAAAATCAGTATTAAAACATTTTTACCAAGGCGAGCCATGGTGGGCTCATGCCTGTAATCCCAGCACTTTGGGAGGCTGAGGCAGGCCTCGGGAGGATAGCCTGAACGCAGGAGTTTGAGACCAGCCTGGGCAACATAGTGAGACCTCATTTCTTTTTTTTTTTTTTCAAGGTGGAGTCTTGCTCTTGTTGCCCAGGCTGGAGTGCAATGGCACCATCTCGGCTCACTGCACCCTCCGCCTCCCAGGTTTAAGCAATTCTCCTGCCTCAGCCTCCCAAGTAGCTGGAATTACAGGCATCCACCACCACACCCGGCTAATTTTTGTATTTTTTAGAATAGAGATGGGGTTTTACCATGTTGGCCAGGCTGGTCTTGAACTCCCAACTTCAAGTGATCCACCCACCTTGGCCTCCCAAAGTGCTGGGATTACAGGCGTGAGCCACCGTGCCCGGCGCAAGACTTCATTTCTACAAAAATTTTTTTTTTTTAATTAGCTGGGTGTGGTGGTGTGTACCTGTAGTCCCAGCCACTTGGGAGGCTGAGGTGGGAGGATTGCCTGAGTCCAGGAGGCAGAGGTTGCAGTTAGCTGATATTGTGCCACTGCACTCCAGCCTGGAGGACAGAGTGGAACACTGTCTCAAAACAAAACAAAACATTTTTATCAACCCAGAAAGAAACTCCGTCCCTGTTAGCTGTCATTCCCTATTTCCCTTCACCTCCGACTCCAGCCCTAGGCAGCCACTAATCCACTGTCCGTGTGTAGATTTGCCTATTCTGGATATTTCATATAAATGAAATATACAGTATGCGGCGCCTTGGGATCGACTTCTTTCACTTACCATGATGTTTTCAGGGTTTATCCATGTTGTAGCTGTTGTTGAATAATATTCTACCATATGGATATACCACATTTTATCTATCTACTGCTACTACTTTTTATTATACTATGAGATAAATTCTTAGAAGCAGATTGTTGATTAATTTGAATCACTTTATTCAGATGATAACATTAAGGAAAGTGGAAATTAGATTCTTGCCCTGACATACAGCATAACTAGTACAATATCATATTTTTACCTCCATTACTAAATAATATCCCTAGTGGTCCAAGAAATTGAATTCACCATCTCCGTGGCGTTACCCTCTTCCCCCGACAAAGAAGTAAAAATAAATGAGAGAGTATTTTTAATGTGGAAATTTAAGTCCCAGGGGACTAAGCAGAAGAGGGAGGCCCAGTTCCCTGCCCTTGGGCAGACCCCAGGCTGTCCTCTCAATTAGCCGAGGATATGTTTATTTTAAGACTGTAACTCTTCTTTCCATTGTTCCCATTTAAAAAAAAAATTTACCTTTCCTATGGTGCTGACATTGTTCACTTTTTTTTTTTTGGAGACAGAGTCTTGCTTTGCTGCCTAGGCTGGAGTACAGTGGTGCAATCTCAGCTCACTGCAACCTCCACCTCATGTGTTCAAGTGATTCTCATGCCTCAGCCTCCCGAGTGAGTAGCTGGAATTACAGGCACGTGCCACCATGCCCGGCTACTTTTTGTATTTTTAGTAGAGGTAAGGTTTTGCCATGTTGGCCAAGCTGGTCTCGAACTCCTGATTTCAAGTGATCCGCCCGCCTCGGCCTCCCAAAGTGTTGGTATTATACTATGAGCCACTGTCCCTGGCTCACATTTTTTATCCAGAACATGTTGTCTGAAGATTAAGCCCAAACTTTTGGAAAATAGGAAGCGATTTTACTAGTGTAGTTCCATTGCTGGTATCCATAGCTTTTATTTATTTCTGGTTAACTAGTCTCTTCACAGGGACACCATTTTTCCTGATTGATTCATTATCATTGGGTAAACCTAAGCGGCTACTAGAAATTGAGAAGAGCTTGTTACTAATGTAAATAATAGTACTCGTCATAGTATAGAGCCACAAAGATTGCTGTTTTATTATGAAATAGTTGTACTTTTATCCCTTTTTGCAGATGACCAAACTGTCAGGTCAAACAACTTGCCCAGCACCGCCCAGCTGATGGGTAGTGACCATGTGCTTCCAGCCCATCTCAGAAACTCAGAACTTCTCCTCTTTTCTTTTCTTTTTTTTTCTTTTTCTTTTTCTTTTTTTTTTTTTTTTTGAGACAGAGTCTGGCTCTGTCTCCCAGGCTGGAGTGCGGTGGCGCAATCTCGGCTCACTGCAACCTCCGCCACCCGGGTTCAAGCAATTCTCCTGCCTCGGCCTCCCAAGTAGCTGGGATTACAGGTGCCTGCCACCACGCAGCTTGGCCTCTTTTCTACCCCTGTTTGCCAACTTAAAGCCATCCAAGGGGGAACTCTTATCCGCTGCCTTCTGATGGGCTGAGGCTGCATGCAAACTGGAGAAACAGGAACTGAAGAAGACAGGTGTTCCTCACTGGAACTTAATGACAGCCAGCCTAAGATGCCCTTTGGATCTGTACCTACGTAGTACAAAATGATCTGTCACTATGTCTCCATCAGGGCAAAGCCACATGTCTGCAAATGGAAGCAGGGGATGCCTAGTTACAGTCCAGGCCATCCTGCCAGCCCTGGGCCACATCAGCATTATCAGGTTTGGGTTAGTAGGATGATCCTGGCCTGGGAATTGCTTCTCTTTGTTTAATAGACTAGGGCAGCAGTACTCAAAGATGTCACATTTTAAAACTTTACTTATCAGTAAATTAAAAACTGTCCCCAGAGTCCCTGATCTAGGGATCTCTAAACACTTGTTACACGATGCAGGAGATTCTAAGTGCTTCTGAACAGGAGACAGTTGTGTCATTTTCGATGCCTAGGCCTGCTGACAATGTACCTCAGCAACAGCAGGCCCCCAGTAGCATATGACCATATCAGTACAGCAAGGCCCCCAGTGCACCCCGGGAACACCAGGCCCCCAGCAGTAGTATATGACCGTAGTACAGCAGTCCCCGGATTCCAGTAGAGATCACCATGTCCATCTTGTCCAGAATCTCAGCATCACCATCTTAAACTCTTTGTTCTTTCTGAGACACGTAAAATTGTTTCTACCTGTGAAGGGCAAAGTTAGCAATCAATTATCATCATCCTTTGGTATCCATGGAGGATTGGTTCCAGGACCCTCCCAAGGATACCAAGATCCACCAGTCCTCAGGTCCCTGATATAAAATAGTGTGGTATTTGCATATAACCTATGCACACTCTCCTGTATACTCTAAATCATCTATAGATTACCTGTACCCAATACAGTGCTACACATCACTTTATTCTTACGGATTCAGCGTCATACTCAGCACACAGCAAGTTCAAGTTCTGCTTTTTGAAACATCACGGAATTTTTTTTCTGAATATTTTCAATCAGCAGTTGAATCCACAGACGTGGAACCCACAGCTGCCATTGGAAGGATGACTTCATTTAGAAAAGACAGAACAAGGAGCTTTCAGTGGTTGTCCATTTGTCCTTTCTGACCTCCCAGTACTTTGGTATTCCCTTCTGACTTTTGGAGAGTTTGCCCCAGTATTAGTCTGTTTTCACACTGATATAAGGATACCACCTGATACGGGTTTAATTGTCTCACAGTTCCACATGGCTGGGGAGCCTCAGGAAACTTACAGTCAAGATGGAAGGCAAAGGAGAAGCAAGCACCTTTTTCACAAGGCGTCAGGAGAGAGAGCACAAGGGGCAACTGCCCAACACTTTTAAACCATCAGGTCTTGTGAGAACTCACGCACTGTCATGAGAACAGCATGGGGTAACCACACCACCCCCCGACCCCATGATCCAATCACTTCCCACCAGGTCCCTCCCTTGACACACGGGGGTTACAATTTGAGATGAGATTTAGGTGAGAACACAGAGACAAACCGTATCACCCCTTGAATATATTCACCTGCTTTGTGGTATAAACCACCTGCATGATGAAAGCTAGATGGCCTGATGGCCTCTCTGCTTTCTTTGCAGTTAGGACACAGGCATGTATCCCAGGCCCTAGTACTCAGACTCACCTTGAACCAGACTTTGAGCCTTTAGTGAGTGACACAAAGGAGAGGGCAGGATCCATGCTGGTGAGGAAAGTGGCAGCAGAGGCGGGGATCCCAGCATTGTTATTGTCCAGCACCTGCCATCAAGCGGGGCTCTGTGCCTGGGCTTGCGTTTCTCCCTGGGAGCAGTTTTGCATGTGATTTCCGGACTGCTTCTGCTTTAAATCTGGTTCTCTAGCACTTTTTTTTTGTCTTTTTTTTTTTTTTTTTTTTTTTAGAGACAGAGTCTTCGTCTGTTGCCCAAGCTGGAGTGCAGTGGTGTGATCATACCTCACTGTAGCCTCTACTTCTTGGGCTCAAGTGATCCTGCTACCCTAGCCCCCTGAGTAGCTGGGACTGCAGATACATGCCACCATGTCCAGCTAATTTTAAAATTTTTTGTAGGGATGGGGTCTTGCCGTGTTGCCCAGACTGGTCTCAGACTCCTGGGCTCAAGCGATCCTCCTGCCTCTGCCTCCCAGAGTGCTGGAATTACAAGCATGAGCCACCACACCCAGCCTCTATTTTTGTTGTTGCTGTTGTCATTGCTGTCATCATCATCATCATCATCGTGTCTTATTACTAGATTCAGCTGCAGTTCCTGCCTTCTTCCTGAACACTGCTCCAGAAGTACCAGTTTGTGGCAATTCCTTCTACTTGTAGTAAACTGTATAATCAGCCTACTTTATTAACACAGTGCTTTGGCCAGGCTTTCATCTCTTGCCATTGATCTCAGGCACATGATCTAATGGTGAAGAGTCTGGGTTTTAAAGTCAGAAAGTGAAGACATCATGGAAAATAGTGCCTTGGTCAGTGGGCTGGTGGGAGGCTGAACTGAAGTCATGAATGGGAACAATGCCAGGCATGTGACAGGCACTCAGTAATTGTCATGGCTATGAGTGATGGCGTTTCTTGTATTCGCTTCCAGCTTGTGGGCTTCTTGGATAGGTTCTCTGCCATTTATCTGATTGTATCCCAAGTACCTGCCTCACTGTCTGATGACACATCATAGGCGCTCAAAACATACAGGCTTTTTGGAGATTGGGTTTAAAACTCAATGTCATTTAGGAGCTATTTGTCCACAGGCATGCTCCTGGACCCCAATGAGCCTCTGCTTCCTTATCTGTACAGCAGGGGCGATGATATCTGTATTCCTCGGTTGCTTGGAGGATTAAACAAGATTATAAATTGCAGGGCCTGTGAGGCACACTGGGGGTGGCAGTAATGGAGTGATGTCATGGCTGTTTTCCTTTATCCTCACTTGACATGGTGTTCAACTGCATGGTACTGTGTCCCTTTTCCTGCAGGAAGGAAAAGTATGGGAGATAGAAAGGGGCTTTGTTTTCTCTTTCTTTGACTCTCCAGCTCTTATTCAGAATATTCCAAAAGCTTGCCTGGAGAAGCAGGGACAGCCAAAATGCCCTATGACAAAGAGTGGATACTTAATTGCATGATTTGCCTCAATAATGTGTTCTTCTTCCTTTTGTTGCCATATATTTTGCTCTGTTTTAGAGCAGCTGTAGCTATCTCTCAAATTTATTTGGAAACATGGTCTTTCCAGCCAAATGATCTGACACCCCACCGTCTCCTGTAAATAATTACACAATGTTTTAATCTGGCAACATGTGACAGCCTGCTAGAAGGACTTGTCATCCTTTTTTAAAAGGTTGCCATTAGGACTGGTCTGGCAGATTGTCTGAAAGGCATGAAGTCCGTTGCGGATGCAAAGTGTTACTCGCTCACAACACATACGCTGCTAAGGCCCCCAGTGTGCCTGCTAGGAAGAATTTGTGCAGGCACGGGCCCCCTTACATTACTTAGCAGTCTTCCCTTTGCAGTTTCCCCGGTGTGAATACAAGAGGTACAAACAGGATCCATGTGGAATATCGATGCCCAGGATCTGAGGCTCTATCTGTAAAATACAAAACATTCAAAGGGAAGCCAGTAGAGACATTCAATTTTGTGGGTTTTATTTTCCCCATGTAAGTAAGATCCCCCTGTGCAGTTCTGGTAGGCAAACCCTGTAGGCCGACTGCATTATATTGGGCCCTTCAAATTTGTAGTAATGCTTGTAGTTATGCTTTGGAATCTGTCTTCTTCCAAATTAGGGTGACCAACCAGCCTGGTTTGCCCAGGACTGTTCTGGTTTTAGCACTGAAAAGTCCCACATCCTGGGAAACCCCTCAGCCCTGGGCTATAACTTTGTTGGTCACCCTCGAGGTGCTATAACTTAGTTGGTCACCCTCGAGGTGCTATAACTTAATTGGTCACCCTCGAGGTGCTGTAACTTAGTTGGTCACCCTCAAGGTGCTGTAACTTAGTTGGTCATCCTCGAGGTGCTATAACTTAGTTGGTCACCTCGAGGTGCTATAATAGGGTCCTACCTTACTTACCCTGATTCTAGTTTGTGAAGATAAACGTTTTTTCACGGGATTGAATCTAAAAATTTTAGAAGTAAGATGTGGAAAGTTGTTGACATCATTTAACATGGATGTTTAATACTCTCTAGGGGGAAACACTTTTGGGAGAGCACTGTAGGTGTCTATAACTTTGATCTCAAGGGTTAAATTGGTATCATAAACTTCCATAGGGACCCTTAATTGCTTAGTTTTGTCTGATTTATCATTTTGCTGGCTGGCTTTCCTGGCATGTGTCAAGGGAATCACTCACTGTTTTAATTTTATTTTTTTAATTTTTTAGACAGAGTCTTGCTCTGTTGCCCAGGCTGGGGTGCAGTGGTATCTCGGCTCACTGCAACCTCTGCCTCCTGGGTTCAAGTGATTCTCGTGCCTCAGCCTCCCAAGTAACTGGGATGACAGGTGTGCTCCACCATGCCTGTGCCATCACACCCAGCTAATTTTTTTGTATTTTTAGTAGACACAGGGTTTTGCCATGTTAGCCAGCTGGTCTCGAACTGACCTCAAGTGGTCCTCCCTCCTCAGCCTCACAGAATGCTGGAATTACAGACATGAGCCACCGCACCTGGCTCACTGTTCTTAAATGCATCTCTGCTGCCACAGCCCCAGAGTAGTTTGCGTGGAACTGCCCACGTGAGATGCAGCATTGTTGCAGATCACTCCCATAATTTGCAGCATTTTGCCCTTGTGAATTTCAGTTTGAGACTCTTATTTAAGACGATAACTGACTACATCCACAGCTTCTCAGTATGGACAGCGTGTCCTTCCCAAATTGCCAGTCTTGTGGACGTGTCATTATATGAGTTTCAGCTGGCCTAGAGCTGAACCAACTTCCGATTTTTTTTTGTTTTTTTTGACGGAGTTTCGCTCTGTTGCCCAGGCTGGAGTGCAGTAGCGCGATCTTGGCTCACTGCAAGCTCCGCCTCCTGGGTTCACGCCATTCTCCTGCCTCAGCCTCCCGAGTAGCTGGGACTACAGGTGCCCGCGACCACGCCCGGCTAATTTTTTGTGTTTTTATTGGAGACAGGTTTTCACCGTGTTAGCCAGGATGGTCATCTCCTGACCTCAGGTGATCCGCCCGCCTTGACCTCCCAAAGTGCTGGGTTTACAGGCGTGAGCCACCGTACCCAGCAACTTCTGATTCTTTGAGGCATCTTGCAGAGTGCCCCCACCACGCCCCTGCCATGCAAATTTCATATATGCCACATAACTTGGATTTCACATGACGCTGTCCCAAACATATCTTCTAAATTTGCTGAATGTGTCTAGCTGTTTTCCTATGATGAAGCAAATGAGTAAATTAACTTTATTGTATGCGTATTAGCCTTCTGGAAAGTATTTATATCTATCACAAAAATGCCCTAACATCCTAACAAGTAGACACATAAAGATACATATTGAGGCAGGGTGTGGTAGTTCATGCCTGTAATCCTAGCATGTTGAGAGGCTGAGGTGGGAGGATTGCTTGAGGCCAGGAGTTCATACACCAGCCTCAGCCACATAGTGAGACCCCATCTCTACAAAAAATACAAAAATTAGCCAGGCATGGTGGCATGCACCTGTAGTCCCAGCTACTCAGGAGGCTGAGGTAGGAGGATTGCTTGAGCCTGGGAGGTCAAGGCTGCAGTGAGCTATGATCGTGCCACTGAACTGCAGCCTGGGCAACAGAGGGAGACCTTGTCTCAAAAAAAAAAAAAAAAAAGAATGCATACTGTATGCTTGTGAGAAGGTTACCCTGAGAGAATGTCAGTGATTAATACATGAGCATCACTGGTATGCTCGTCATAAAAATGATGCAATTCCAATGCCAGAAGGGACCCATCAGAGATGATTTGACCCCATTTTTGCCACTTTATGTCCAGGAGGAAACTGTTCACCTTAGTCTTGAATAAGCCACATTTGCCTGCAGCTTCCTGGGAGCAGATGTTTTCCAGTGAATCTGACTTACCTTTTTCTGCTAGCTACACATTTTTTGTACAACAGATCTCTCTGTTGCCCAGGCTAGAGTGCAGTGCTGTAGTCACGGCTCACTACAGCTTCTAACTCCTGTGCTCAAGCCATCCTCCCACCTCAGCTCCTGAATAGCTGGGACTACAAGTACACACCACCATGCCGGCCTAATTTAAAGAATTTTTTTTTTAATTTTAATAGAGACAGAGGTCTCACTGTGTCGCCCAGGCTGGTCTCGAACTCCTGGTTTCAGGTGATCCTCCCGCCTTGGCCTCCCAAAGTGCTGGGATTACAGGTGTGAGCCACAGCACCTGCCTATGCTACACTTTAACATTTTTTTCAGTTGGGTCCATTGTGGGGCCAAAGAAAAGCTGGTATTCTCCCTTTTGGCCTCTGCCTGTCAGCTGTGGAGAAGGTCCTGTGAAATTGGATTTTTATAAATAGACTATGCAGGAGGACCTTAGAGGGACTCTGCACTGGATGCTTTTGTAAGATGAAGAACCTGCTTATAATGTGCACATGCCCCTTTAATTTGTTTAATCAGATTTGTAGACATCAGGTTTAGAAATTGGGCCCCCCTTCCCTGAGTGTATTAAATGTGACTGCTTTTAGCATGGGGGGCCCGTCTCATGATGGGGAAAGACAGGCGCCCCTGTGTGTGTTCACCACAGCAGATCCACAGCTAACAAGCAGCTGCTGGTGAAATAAAGTTGCCTTGAACTAAGAGGGCTTCATCTGGTGTTTGGTTTGGCTTGAAAACACTCTGTCGAAATGTTCTAGAGGTGGAGCTGGTTTTAAAATCAATATTATTTCATCTGTCATCAAACAGAGCCTCTAAACCCTCAAATGGGTGGGTTCAAAAGCCACAGTGAACCCGAGTGTGCCCCTCCATCACTGAGATGCAGTTTAGGGACTAAGCGTCTCTGTTTTCTTCTACCTGAAAAAGCAATGGTGTACAAAGAAATGAAAAACTCTGCGTGCAGAGCCTCAGAGGGCTGTCAGCTGGAAAGGAGGGCTACCAAGACCCCCGTGAGACTGACTTTCTCGTGATGCAATGACCAGGATCACCCTTGCAAGCAACCAGAGCTGCCATTCATTACCCAGCCTGTCATTCTTACCTAGGTTCTCCCCAAGCCACACAGGAGGGCCAGCTTCATTTCCTCTTTTCCTGGATCGGTCACCAGATAGGATTGGATAACCTCAGAAAGCTACACTTTATGAAAGGGAGACGTTAAAAAAATAAATGAGAGGGGGCTCCTGTAGGGAGAAGAACCAAATAAAGAACCACAGGCTCCCTGTGGAAAACGGGAAGTGTGTTCACATTAGGGGCAGGAGGGCGGGTAGACACATGGATTCTGAGGAAGGGGGAATTTATGAATGTATGAGGTGGCTGGGGTTGTTGAGACTTGGGAAGATTGAGAATCCAGGGACAGGAAGAGTAGTCAGACCTGGAGGAGGAGGGGAGGGTCTAGGCATGGAGATCAGTGACCAGGAAAGGTGGCCATCTGACCAGGAAGGGTGGCGATCAGTGACTTTTGCCATCACTGGGACCGCATGGCCTTCTGTTCTCTGCTGCTGCTGCTGCTTTTGTTTGTTCCTTTGCCAAAGCCTGGCTTTCTTGGTTTTGGGGCACGCACGGGACCTACCCCTGCCATGGCTTCGTAGGATTTCACAGCTCAGCTCTTGAATGAGATGCGTTGACATCAAAATATTATCAGTTTCAATTTCACCCAAAGAGTAAAGGTGATTAGCTCTGCTGGGGACAGACGTCTCCCGAGGCCAGGATCACACTGCAGGACAGCATCACTGGGGGCTAGGATTTCAACATGCGAATTTGGGAGTGACACAAACATTCAGTCCATAGCAGTGTGTAAAGAAATCCAGTAACTTTTCAAAGAAATATTTTTCACAGTGAATAGAATAATAGGATAGTAAAAAAAAATTTAGATCATAAATTCACACTATACCGAATTTATGAAGGTTCAGACATGTTGAATTTGCTTAACTGAACATCATTTTGCTATCGGTCTTCAGTTTATGAATCTGAAAGGCAAGAGAGTTTGGAGTTTATGGCTAGAGAGGCGGAAATAGATATATGTCATTAATATATTGACATATTTATATATTATATAATGTTATTAATATGTAATTATATATTATATTAATAAATAGTACAGCTAGTATATAATACATAATCTAATTAATATATGTTATGTAATGTCTTGCCAGAGATGAATTTTAATAGATAATTTCTACTAGCTCCAAATGTTTTTCTTTGTTTTTATTTTATTCTGGTGCAGTTTTTGAAAGCACTTCATTTTTGGCATGTGTTTTAGTTTGCAAGATTTTATATATATAAATATATATTATATATCATATAATATATAAACATATACATAATATATAATATAAATATATATACTATATATATAAATTTTCATACCATTACATACTGTCTTTTTATTCATTTGTTTACCTGCCAGGATAGACTTCTAACTGATTTTCAGAATTTAATAAATTTGATCTACTCAGAGCTGACACAGATTGATTTATTCCCAACAATCTAAAGGCAACTGTGGTTGAACAGAAGGCCGTTAGAGAGAATTAAGTGAGGGCTGTCAAGATTAAACAAAGCTTCCATATTTCGTGTGGTAGAGTAGGAGATAACATAAGAGTTTCTTATCAAGCATGACAACTCATTAAACCCCTAACAGTGATTCAGGAGCCAGTTTATGTCATAAACTAACATCAATTAGGCTTTTTAAGAGCCAGAAGATGCTTTTCACACCAAAATCCAGTTACAGCCTGTGATGTTTTTTTAATAGACTTTCTTAAAGAAAGCAGGAGCCTTTTTATATTCAAACAGCACTTTAACCTCTGCTCTATTCTCATTGTGTTTAAGTTTATAAACCAGAACTAGTTTATTACGAGGAAGCTTTAATCTTCAAAGCAAAGTTGTGCTCAGTAATTTGGGATAGAGTGGGAAATGCTTTGACCTGGGGAGTCAGACAAAACTGGGTTTGAATTCTATGACTTTGGTGGCTCTAGGAAGCTTGCTTTTTACTTCCTATTCAGAGCTTCCTAGCACAGACATTTCTCATTTATTTTATCACTGAGTCCTGAAAATCTTACTGAGGATTAGGTATTGGGCTACAATTTCTTTTTAAGTTTTAAATGTTTCAGCATCTTAGAAAAACTGAAAAGCATAAAAAAACACCAAAAATAGTCTAAAGATTAATATAACGCATACACATGCATCCCTAGCCAGCTTCAGAAGTAAAACATTATCAGTCCTATTTAAGCCTCCTGTGTGCCAGTTTTAGTTAGGGATAAGGGCATGTGACAAGAAAATGCAAAGAACAGTGGCATATGTTAAGAGTTTATTTTTCTCTCAGGTAATGAGACATTTGGAGACATGGGTTCCTGGGACCCGGGACTTCCTAGCTTTCTGCTCCTTCATCTTTAGGGTATGGCTGTTGTCTTTGTGCTTACAAAATGGCTGCAGGAGCTGCAGCCATCACATCTGTATTCTACGAAGGAGGAAAGGTCAGTAGCAAAAGGACTTTTCAAGGAGGTCTATCCAATGACTTTTACTCTAGAGACCAGAATTGTACTGAAAAATGTAATATATTTTCATGTTGTGGCTGGTTGGATCTTCTATCCTGATCACTAAAACTTTCTTCATATCAGCCATAAGGCTGTTTCACTTTCCTATCATTTGTGTGTTTACTGGAGTAGCACTGTTAATTTCCTTAAGAACACTCTGCTGGAACACTTGCTGCCAACAAAAAGAAGGGTTATTAGATAGGAAGGTAGCCACCTCTCCCTGAGAACATTCCTCTGCTTCCCTCCAGAGGTAAGTATTATCTTTAAGAGTTTTGGGTTTTTGATTGTATCTCTCTATATTTTTATTACAGGCATACCTTATTTTATTGGGCTTCTCTTGATTGTACTTTATAGATACTGTGTTTTTTTACATATTGAAGGTTTGTGGCAACCATGCATCCAGCATCATTTTTTCTGTTTTTTTTGTTGTTGTTGTTTGTTTGTTTGTTTTTCCTTTTTTGAGACAGAGTCTTGCTCTGTCACCCAGGCTGGAGTGCAGTGGCACAGTCTTGGCTCGCTGCAACCTCCACCTCTCAAGTTCAAGGATTTCTCCTGCCTCAGCCTCCCGAGTAGCTGGTATAGACATGAGGCACCACGCCTGGCTAATTTTTGTACTTTTAGTAGAGACAGGATTTCACCATGTTGGCCTGGCTGGTCTTAAACTCCTGACCGCAAGTGATCCGCCCACCTCAGCCTCCCAAAGTACTGGGACTATAGGCGTGAGCCACTGCGCCCGGCCTCTGTTAGCATCATTTTTTCAACAGCATATTCTTACATCTTGGTAATTCTTGCAATATTTTGAACTTTTTCTTCTTTACTATATCTGTTATGGTGATCTGTGATCGGTGATCTTTGATGGTGTGATCATTCTGGGGTGCCACAAACCATGTCCATTTAAGGTGGCAAATATAATAGATAAATGGGTGTGTTCTGACTGCTCCACTGAGTGGCCATTTCCCTGTCTCTCTCCCTCTTTTGGGGCCTCCTTATTTCCTGAATCACACTAATAATGAAATTAGGTCACTTACTAACCCTATACTGGCTTCTAAGCGTTCAAATGAAAGGAAGAGTCATACATCCTTTGCCTTAAATAGAAAGCTAGAAATGATTAAGCTTAGTGAGAAAGGTATGTCAGAAACTGAGAGAGGCTGAAAGCTAGGCTTCTTGTGCCAAACAGCCAGGTTGTGGTTGCAAAGGAAAAGTTCTTAAAGGAAACTAACAAGTGCTAGCGATTCCTCTAAACACATAAATGATAAGAAAGTGAAACAGCCTTATTGCTGATATGGAGAAAGTTTTAGTGGTCGGGATGGAAGATCAAACCAGCCACAACATTCCCTTAAGCCAAAGTCTAAGGTTCACGAGGTTTAAGGAAAGAAGCCATCTCCACAACAGAAACGTTTAATGTATTTAAGAAATACGTTTCATAAAGCTGTAGCTGCCATAGATAGTGACTCCTTGGATGGATCTGGGCAAAGTAAACTGAAAACCTTCTGGAAAGGATTCACCATTCTAGATGCCATTAAGAACATTCGTGATTCTGCCAGGCGCGGTGCCTCATGCATGTAATCCCAGCACTTTGGAAGCCCAAGGCAGGCAGCTCATTTGAGGTCAGGGGTTCAAGACCAGCCTGGTCAACATGATGAAATCCCCCGTCTCTACTAAAAATACAAAAATTAGCCAGGTATGGTGGCGGATGCCTGTAATTCAAGCTACTTGGGAGGCTGAGAGGAGAATCACTTGAACCTGGGAGGCGGAGGTTGCAGTGAGCTGAGATTGCACCACTACACTCTAGCCTGGGTGTAGAGTGAGACTCCATCTAAAACAAACAAACAAACAAAATTTGTGATTCGTGGGAGGAGGTTAAAATATTAACATTAACAGGAGTTTGGAAGAAGTCGATTCCAGTCATCATGGATGACTTCGAAGGGTTTAAGACTTCAGTAGAAGACAGAACTGCAGATGTGGTAGAGATAGCAAGACAGCTGGAATTAAAAGTGGAGTCTGAAGATGTGACTGAATTGCAATCTCATGATCAAAACTTGAACAGATGAGGAGTTGCGTCTTATGGAATGAAGAAAGAGAGTGGTTTATTGGGATGGAATCTACTCTTGGTGAAGATGCTGCGAACATTGCTGAAATGACAACAAAGAATTTAGAGTATTCCATAAACTCACAATGCAGTGGCATTGTTTCAGATAATTCACTGCAATTTGGAAGGACATTCTGTAGATGAAATGCTATTAAACAAAACAGCTTTACATGCTACAGAGAAATCTTTCATGGAAGGAAGAGTCAGTTGATACAGACAACTTCATGGTTGTCTTATTTTAAGAAATTGCCCCAGCCACCCCACCTTTCAGCAGCTAGCGTCCTCATCAGTCAGAGGTCATGAACATCAAGGCAAGGCCCTCTACTAGCAAAAAGATTGTGATTCACTGAAGGCTCAGATGATTGCTAGCATTTTTTTTTTTAGCAATAAAGTATTTTTAATTAAGGTATGTATTTTTTTTAGACATAATGCTATTGCATACTTTTTTTTTTTTTTGAGATGGAGTCTCGCTCTGTTGTCCAGGCTGGAGTTCAGTGGTGAGATCTCTGCTCACTGCAGCCTCTGCCTCCTGGGTTCAAGTGATTCTCCTACCTCAGCCTCCTGAGTAGCTGGGATTATAGGCGTGCACCACCACAACCGGCTAATTTTTTATTTTTAATAGAGACAGAGTTTCACCATGTTGGTCAGGCTGGTCTAGAACTCTTGACCTCATGATCCGCCCACCTCAGCCTTCCAAAGTGCTGGGATTACAGGCATGAGCCACCGCGCCCGGCCAGTCTTGCATACTTAATAGACTACAGCGGAGTGTAAATATAACTTTTATATGCACTGGGAAACCAAAGAATTTGTGTGACTTGCTTTATTGAGATACTTTATTGTCGTGGCCTGGAACTGAATCTGCAATATCTCTGAGGTATGCTTTTAATATTTGTATGTATTCCTCAGAAATATATAAGCTTATTTCACATGTTTTTAAACTGTGTGTAAATGGTATCGTATCTCACATATTTTCTTTTACAGATTTGTTTCCCTGTATGTTAGAAAGCCTTCTGTATTCATATGGATCATTCATATGGATCATTCTAGTTCATTTATTTTCATTGTTGTAGAGTATTACCATATATGAGTATAACACAATTTAGTTAACCATTGTGCTGTGTTTGGGCATAGGTTGTTTTCAGCCTTTTGCTACCACAAATTATGCCACTATGAGTGAGCTTTCTCCTTTGTTACTGTGCCCATATGCAAGAGATTCTGGAATAATCACTTCAGCATTCCAGGATATTGCTAGATTTTGTCTACGAAATGGTATGTTAATTTATACGCATAGCAGAAATGTGTGCGAATGTCCACTGGCTGTTTCCTCACCGACACTTTCAGTTGTTGGGCTTCTAATTTTGACCAGTCTCTTGGGTGTGAGACGGGCACTGCGTGGTGTTCCTCTTTTAGGTTTATGGAGATATAATTGGCAGACATTTAAAAATGCGCACACAGTGAACAGTTTTTCAGTAGCTTTATTGGGTTATATGTTATATTTAACATGCAATGAACTGCACACGTTTGAAGTGTGCAATTTAATAAATGTTGACATATGTATATACCTGTGAAACTACAATCACAATAATGAGTGCACGTGTCACGCCCAAAGTTTCCTCGTTAAGGCCGGGCGCGGTGGCTCATGCCTGTAATTCTAGCACTTTGGGAGGCTGAGGCGGGCAGATTGCCTGAGCCCAGGAGTTTGAGACCAGACAGGCAACATGGGCCTGGAGTTTTCGTTGTGTGTAGGTTTTTACACATTTAATTTATTTAATAGCTACAAGGCTATTCAGGTGATGTATTTTTCCATGAGTGATTTTTCAGTATGATGTGCCTATAGAGGGATTTTTTTCCTTTTCTATGGAATGTGATTATTTATTTATTTATTTATTTATTTATTTATTTATTTTTAAAACAGAGTCCCCCTTTTCGTCCAGGCTGGAATGCAGTGGTGCAATCATGGCTCCCTGCAGCATCACCCTGTCAGGCTCAATCAATCCTCCTACCTCAGCCTCCTGAGTAGCTGGGACTACAGATGCCAGTCATTGTGCCTGGCAAATTTGTGTACTTTTTATAGAGAGGTGGGATTTTGCCATGTTGCCCAGGCTGGTCTTATATTCCTGGGCTCAAGCAATCCGCCCACCTCAGTCTCCCAAAATGCTGGGATTACAGACATGAGCCACCATGCCCGGCCTTATTGATATTTCTATTGGTAGAATTCAAACCTACCATGTTGCCATTTATTTCCCATTCTTCTTCTTTTTTTTTTTAATTTTTTTTTTATTTTTTGGGAGTAAACTCTGGAAAGCCTGGATTCCAAAAGAGTTGTAACACTACTTCCCATTTTTCTATATGTTGTCTGTTCCCCTTTTTCCTCTTTTCCTCACTTCTTTTAGATTATTTTTCCTGATCCCACTTGAGTTCCACCTGGCCCATTAGCTATAACCCTTTATTGTAGCATTTTCGAGGTTGCATTAGCGTGCACAGTGTACATCTTTAACTTCTCACAGTCCACCTGCAAGCGATATCACCCCACTTTGCGTATTACATAAGACCCTGATAACAATAGACACCCATTCCTCCATTCCTGTGCTTTGTGCTATGGGTGTCACATATTTTACTTCCACAAATAAATGCTAAAAACCCTGCCATATGCTGTCGTGATTTTTTTTCTTTTACAAAGACAATTTCCTTTCAAAGAAATTTAAATTATAAGAAAAAAAAAGGATTCTGTGTTTGCCCACATAGTTGCCATTTCTGGTGGGCTTCGTGCCTTTGTCTAGATCCAGAGCCGCATCTGGTATTGGCTTTCTTCTGCTTCCAGCCTTCCTTTAACCCTTCTTTTTGTAACCAGCCCCAGGCTGCTGATGATGTACTTTTTCAGGATGTCTGTGAAAGTTTTTATGTTACCTTTGTTTTGGAAAGTTTGTCTCACTGGACATCGAATTTTTTTTTTTTTTTTTTTTTTGAGTCAGAGTCTTGCTCTGTCGCCTAGGCGGGAGTGCAGTGGTACACTCTCAGCTCACTGTAACTCTGCCTCCAAGGCTCAAGCAATTTTCCTGCTTCAGCCTCCCAAGTAGCTGGGATTACAGGTGTGTGCCACCACACCCAGGTCATTTTTGTATTTTTAGTAGAGACGAGGTTTTTCCATGTTGGCCAGGCTGGTCTCGAACTCCTGACTTCAGGTGATCTGCCCACCTCAGTCTCCCAAAGTGTTGGGATTACAGGCGTGAGCCACCACACCCTGCCGGGACATAGAATTGTAGCGTGACAATTTTGTTTTGTATTGATTTTTCAGTACCTAAATTTTTTTTTTTCTTCTGGCTTGCAGTACTTCCAAGAAGAAACTGCTACAATTCTTACCTTTTCCTCTGTATAATGTGTTTTTTCTGTCTGGCTGCTTTTCAGATTTTCTCTTTATCGTTGGTTTTAAGCAATTTGATTATAATATGCCTTGGTGTCATTTTATGTTTCTTCTGTTTTTCATCTTTATTTTAGGTTTAGGGATACATGTGAAGGTTTATTACATAGGTAACTTGTGCTATTGTTGCATATTTTAACTTCCACAGTAACAGGTTTGCTATACATATTATGACATCACCCAGGTATTCAGCTCAGTACCCAATGGTTATCTTTTCTGCTCCTCTCTCTCCTCCCACCCTCCCGCCTTAAGCGGACCCCAGTGTCTGTTGTTTCCTTCTTTGTACACATAAGTTCTTATCATTTAATTCCCACTTATAAGTGAGAACATGCGGTATTTGGTTTTCTGTTCCTGGGTTAATTTGCTAAAGATAATAGCCTCCAGTTCCACCCATGTTCCTGCAAAAGACATGATCTCGTTCCTTTTTTTATAGCTGTGTAGTGTTCCATGGTGTATATGGACCACATTTTCTTTATCCAATCTGTCGTTGGTGGGCATTTAGGTTGACTCCATGTCTTTTCTATTGTGAACAGTGCTGCAGTGCACATTCGCATGCATGTGACTTTATGGTAGAATGCTTTATATTCCTCTGGGTATGTACCTGGTAATGGGATTGCTGGGTCTTCTTTATGTTTCTTTCATTCAGAGTTCATTGAGGTTCTTAGTCTGTGAATTCATAACTCGCATCATATTTGAAGAGATTTCAGCCCGCCTTTCTTCACGTATTTTTTCTGTCCCCACCTCTGTTTGAGGGATTTCTGTTGCACACTTATTAGCCTGCTTGAAGTTGTCCCACAGCTCACTGATACTCCGAGAGTGTTTGTTACTGTTTTTGTCTCTTTTCCCCCTCTATATTTCCTTTTGGACTGCCTTTAAGTTCATTGATCTTTCCTTTTGTAGTGTCTAATCTGTTATTTTTACTTTTGTATTTTTGAGACAAGGTCTGGCTCTATTGCCCAAGGCTGGAGTTCAGTAGTGTGATCTCAGCTCACTGCAACCTCAACCTCCTGGGCTCAAGTCATCCTCCCATACTCTCAGCCTTCCAAGTAGCTGGGATTATAGGCATGTGCCACGATGCCTGGCTTATTTTTGTATTTTTTGTGGAGATGGTGTTTTGCCATGTTGCCCAGGAGGCTGGTCTTGAACTTGTGAGCTCAAGCAGTCTGCCTGCCTCGGCCTCCCAAAGTACTGGGATTACAGGTGTGAGTCACCACGCCTGGCTTCTGTCCTTCAAACTCTTAATGCTTTGATGCCTGCACTCCCAGCTCTATTTTCTCATCTCAGGGAGACTGTCAGACCCTTCCTGTGTTCCCCTCTCTGTAGCATGGCCTAGAAATCCTGCAGTCCGACGCCTGTAGGGCCTGTCTCACTAGCGTCCTGTCTCTTACGGGTCACTGGCTGCCGTAGCCTGCTAGTCCATGTCTCAAGTACTGTGGCTTCGTGTTTCTTGTCCAGTTTTTTAATTCTTCCAGGCAGGAGGGTAAACCCAGTGTGTGTTCCTCCTCCTTGGCTAGAAGAAGAAATAAGTCCTCACTGTGGTATTAATTTCCTTTTTATAATTCTTAGAGAAGTTGAGCTTGCTTGCTTGCTTGCTTGCTTGCTTGCTTGCTTGCTTGCTTGCTTTCTCTCTCTCTCTCTCTCTCTCTCTCTTTCACAGAGTCTTGCTCTGTCGCCCAGGCTGGAGTGCAGTGGCACAATCTCACTGCAAGCTCCGCCTCCTGGGTTCACGCCATTCTCCTGCCTCAGCCTCCCAAATAGCTGGGACAACAGGCACCTGCCACCACGCCCGGCTAATTTTTTGTATTTTTAGTAGAGACAGGGTTTCACCATGTTAGCCAGGATGGTCTCAATCTCCTGACCTCGTGATCCACCCGCCTCAGCCTCCCAAAGTGCTGAGATTACAGGTGTGAGCCACCACGCCCAGCCACATCTTTCTTTCTTTCTTTTTGGTTTTTGTTTGTTGTTTGAGACAGGGTCTTGCTCTGTCGCCCTGGCTCACGTGAACCTCCCACCTCAGCCTCCCAAGTAGCTGAGACCACAGGTGTGAGCCACCACTCCTGGGTAATGTTTGTATTTTTTTGTAGAGATGGGGTTTCATCGTGCTGCCCAGACTGCTCTCAAACTCCTGGGCTCAAGTGATCCACCTGCCTTGACCTCCTAAAGTGCTGGAATTACAGGTGTGAGCCACCGTGCTCAGCCGAGTGTCTTTCGTATGTTTTCTGAGCACGTGGATTTCCATTTCTCTGCATTCTCTGTTCATCTCAGCCTGTTTGTTCCATTGAGATAAATGACTTTTTCTTGGTAACTTAGAGTACTTTGTGTATTTACAGGTTAATCCCTTATCAACTTATATCAGTTGCTGCTATCTTTTCTTAGATTTTTCTTTTCATTTTAAAAATTACATTGTTTCAATGAACAGAATTTTTAAGTTTTAACGTAGTCCACTTTGTCCATTTTCTTTATGACCGGTGCATTTTAGGGTCTTGTTTAAGAAATCGTTCTTTATCCTGAGGTCATAAAGATAGTCTACTGTATTTTCTTTTAAGAGCTGAAAAGGTGTTTTATATTTAATTTATTTGGGATTGGCTTTTGTGTGGTGGGGATAAGGATCACAATTTTATTTCATTTTTTTTCCACTTGGTTATGCCAGTGGCCCCATTTCCATTTTTTGAATAGTCTTTCTGTGCAGAAAAGACTTCACTAGCAGAGAAGTCCTGAGACTTACCCTTCAAAAGGCCCCATTCACAAGGCTAGCACTTGGCGTGCATCTGAGAACCTGGATTTTGGGGTGGTTCCTATAATGTGGTGTATGCTGAACACCCACCTTTCCTTCTGGGAGTCTGGAATTTGGGTATATGTTGGACAGAGGCTGCCTAAGTGACCAGCTTCAACAACAGCCCTGGGTGCTGGGTCACTCATGACCCATAGACAAAATGCCACACATGTTGTCACAGCTTATTGCTGGAGGAGTTAGCACATCCTGTGTGACTGCACTGGGAGAGGAAACTGGTGCCTGGTTCCCTGTGTATTCGTCCCACGCCTCCAGTCCCTTTGCTGATCTCGTTTTTTGTCCTTTTGCTGAGATAAATCACAGCCAGGAGTATGACAATATGCGGGGTCCTGTGAGTCCTCCTAACAAACAGTTCAATCTGGGGGTG
The DNA here is from genome assembly GCF_000001405.40 of Homo sapiens. Classification (NCBI taxonomy): domain Eukaryota; kingdom Metazoa; phylum Chordata; class Mammalia; order Primates; family Hominidae; genus Homo; species Homo sapiens. The sequence goes on along the minus strand of NC_000016.10, from coordinate 12,742,762 downwards.
ATCTTTGGGATCCCCAACAACTGTCGTTTCCCCACTGATAATAAAATAACTGAGAAGCAGCTATTGGGCAATGTTCTGAACTACCCTTGAACATTCATGTCTTCATCTGAACATCCATCTACTACCCCTGATTTTTCAGTGCAGGGTGCATATCCTGTATCACCCAATAAATGGTCATTGATCACCATAGGAAAGGAACAGTGAAAGCTCCACGGTGGTTTGGAGGAAGGTGGCAGGCATTCAGCGGTAACTCTTTTGAGCAGATAGATTTTATGTTTTTGCAATGAGTGAAATAAATTTTCCCATATCTATTTAAGGTTGGCAATCATTATCTTTTTATCATCTTGGAACATTTGTAATTCCTTTAATATGTTTAGTTAGGAATTTTCTACCTTCCTCATCTTGTCCGATAGTTTAAAATCCCACAGTTATTTCACGGGCTCCTCATACCTGCCTGTGTGATTTCTAACATGTCACGCTATGCAACCAGTTGCTTTTACTTGTAGAGTGTTTCTTTAGGTAATAGCTTATTATTGGTTATGTGATTACAGTGTGTTAAAGACAGGTCTGTAGTTATGTAAAATGCCGTTTCTCTGAGTATCATGGTCATTTCCACATATTTCTCTATTCATGTATTTGTAAGAATATATCTATTTTTGCAGTATTTTATTTATTTATTTATTTTATTTTATTTTCTGAAACGGAGCCTTGTTCTGTCACCTAGGCTGGAGTGCAGTGGTCTGATCTCGACTCACTGTGACCTCCCCCTCCCAGGTTCAAGCGATTGTCCCGCCTCATCCTCCCAAGTCATTGGGATTACAGTCATGTGCCACGAAGCCCTGCTAATTTTTTGTATTTTTAGTAGAGACAGGATTTCACCATGTTGGCGATGCTGGTTTCGAACTCCTGGTTTCGAACTCCTGACCTCAAGTGATCCACCTGCCTCGGCCTCCCAAAGAACTGGGATTACGGGCGTGAACCACCACGCCAGGTCAGTTTTGCAGTGTTTTAAATACTGTTGTCTTTGAGAGGAGAGAGGCACGCACATAGACTATGGTGATTACCATCATATACTGGAAAGTGCAAAGTGTAGCGCAGTTAACTGTGAGCCATCTCATCAAACCCTAACAGATGTCTCATTTGTCCATAAAGGGGCTTCTGTCCCATAGAAATTCATGTACCCAACCTACTCTTCAACCATGATTTTTCTCTGATGGCCTGTGTGAACAGATTAATGGTGTCCATCTAATTCCTTCCCCACTGGGGGAAAGCAAATCATCAGGCCCATTGCAAAAACTGCTCTTGGTTGAGCTTCCTGCCTTAAATCATACCCACAGTGAATGGCGTCCCTTTATCACCGCTAATGACTCTGACATCTCTCTCCACTCACATGTGAGCCTCCTCAGCTCTCGATAAACAAGTCTGTCTCGGTTCATTTATTCTACAAAAAAAAAAAAAAAAAGGGCAGCCAGAGGAGGATTTATTTTTTTCTGCTGATTTTTAAAAGTCTGATGTGAAACCATTCTGAGTGTCTCTGGTGCCATTTATGAGGCAGAACCATTCTTTCTGATGATTTACTCTCTCTGCCGTCCTGCCCACTATATTTTAAGTACTATCCTAGTTGGCCTGGAGTTACTATGATATTTTGTCATAATTGGGCCCCATTATATTGCTATGTCGGGCAGTTTTCCTGTTTTAGAAAGGGCACTGTTATCTAGTGCAATGCTGGCTCCTTAGAGATGTGGATTAAATGACTTGCTAAGCCTGTTAAATAGTTGTGGACTCATCCTTTTCTCTTGTGATCAGCCGGGAAAGCTGGTGGATCACTTAGGAGAGTGTTTGCCTGCAGGTAACAAGCCACCCAGTATTGGGAGCTGAAAGCAGTAGGGGACATGGTGCAGCAGCCCAGCAGCACCCTCCCGGACCAGGGGCTTTCTAACCTTCTGACAGATTCTCACACTCTGTGCTCTCCTTTCCTGCCACAGGGCCTTGCACCTGCTGTTCACTCTGCTAGGGATTCTCTCCTTCACCCCTGCTCCCCCAGCATTCTCATCACCCACTGAGGAAAGCTGCCCTTGCCCCTGCAGCTGGCTGAAAACCCCTGCTATATAAAGGAGTGGGCCAAGCACTCCCTTCTTTGTAACGCTAATAATATATTCTAATTTGACATTTAGCTGTGAGGCCCTTCTATTGTCCTCATCCCCAGTAGACGGTAAACTCCATGAGTGCAAGGACCAGACCTAATTAGTCATGATTGGTATGCACTAGGAATACTTTTGGCTACGGGTTTTTAAAAAGTAGCTTTTTTTTTTTTTTTTGAGGCAGAGTCTCGTTCTGTTGCCCAGGTTGGTGTGCAGTGGTGCAATCTCTGCTCACTGCAACCTCTGCCTCCCAGGTTCAAGAGATTCTCCCACCTCAGCCTCCTGAGTAGCTGGGACTACAGGTGCCTGCCGTCATGCCCGGCTAATTTTTGTATTTTTGTAGAGATGGGGTTTCACCATGTTGGCCAGGCTGGTGTTGAACTCCTGACCTCAGGTACCCGCCCACCTCAGCCTCCCAAAATGCTGGGATTACAGCCATGAGCCACTGCGCCCGGCCTAAAAAGTATCTTAAATAAAGCAGGGCTGGCTCGCTCTTTCTTTCCTTTCTTTCCTTTCCTTCCTTTCCTTCCTTTCCTTTCTTTCCTTTCTTTTTTTCTTTTCTCCTTCCTTTTCTTTTCTTTTCTTTTCTTTTCTTTCTTTCGTCTTTCTTTCCACATAATAACAAGGCTAGGCAGCTCCGACCATTGACTTATTTGGTTTACACTGTCATGACCAGTGTCTCTGCCAATTTCTTGTTATTTTCCTCATGGTTGCAAAATGGCTGCTGTAGCCCAGCCATCACCTCACTGTTTAAGAGAAGAAGGCAGGAAGGGAGGCAGTACCACTGACACCTAACCCTTTTATCAAGAAACCAAAAGTTTCCCTGGAATCCCCCAGCCAATTTCTCCTCATGTCTCCTTGCCACTTGGCCACCTCTAACTAGAGAGGAGGCTGCGAACCATGTTGTTGCTTTGGCATCCTCTATACTAGAGGCAAAAATGGGAGAAAAAGGAGGAAATGAGAGAGAGGTTAGCCTACTCGTAGCAATCTGCCCCACTCTTGCAGCCCCAGTGTTTACTCGAACAAGCACTTTTTTTTTTGAAATGGAGTTTTGCTCTTGTTGTCCAGACTGGAGGGCAATGGTGTGATCTTGGCTCACTGTAACCTCCGCCTCCCAGGTTCAAGTGATTCTCCTGCCTCAGCCTCCTGAGTAGCTGGGATTACAGGCGCCTGCCACCATGCCCAACTAATATTTTGTATTTTTAGTAGAGACAGAGTTTCACCATGTTGGCCAACCTGGTCTTGAACTCCTGACCTCAGGTGATCCACCCGCCTCAGCCTCCCAAAGTGCTGTGATTACAGGCGTGAGCCACTGTGCCTGGCCAGCACTTTGGTATTAATGGACAGGTAGAAAAAACTCACTTGCTTGGACTGTTTGTCCATTCATTTATCCATTCATTTAGTGTCCAGGGCAAGCCAGTCTCTCTACTACTTATTCTACATGCACACTTTCTTATTCTCATGACCATTCTGTCCAGTGAGGCGCTACTATTTTTATTTTGGGATTAGAAACAATCTCAGGAAGAATCAATACCTTACTTAAGGTTACACAGCTCGGTAAGCAGCAGACCCAAGACTCAATGCGAAAGCCGCCTCCCTCCCAAACCCACTCACCCTTCACCGTGTGGTGCTAACCTCCCTGAGCAAGCACTGCTGATCCTGGGATCAGAGTAGGAAAACTCCTTCATTTAACTTTTCTCTACCAGGAGGTAATGATCATTAGCCTGCCAGGGTTTAGCTGCTACATTAAACATGTTTTGGCAAAACAGTTTGCTAATAATATTGCAACTGAACAAAATATATTGAATCTGTAATTTGGGGTGATTTTATATTTGGGGCCTAACTAGATGACATTCGTTTTATGAGTAGGGTTATAATTTTTAGCAGGACCTTGTATGGTAGGCTACTAAATTACCCAGAGGTTAGTCCATACCCATAAACTCTCTAAATAATTTGAATAATTTTTTTCCTGTTTAAGTAGGTAAGGCACTTTGCTAGGAGATTTTGCTTTTACTTTCTTATTCCTGAAAAATCTCAGCATTCTTGCTTCTGAATAAATGAATCAGTGGTCATCTGTATTCATGTCCACAGCTTACAGTTACACATTTGTGAACTAAAATATTCAGAGACATTTCATCTCTGCAACATTTTTTTTAATAATAAGCAGGTGTGTGTGTGTGCGCGAGTGTGTGTGTGTGATTATAAAAGTAATAGATATGCAATCAAAAGACATTTTGGAAGAAGAGAGGAAAATCACTCGTAATTCTGTACCACCCAGAGGTAATAACTATTAACATTGTTGGCATATTTCCTTCCTAATTTTTAAAAATTTTTTTTGCATAGCTGAGTTCCTACATTATTTGCGGTTTTGTGTGCTGCAATTTTTCATATAATATCAACAACCTCCTTATTATTACAAGCATCATTGTGAACGGCTGCGTAATGTCCTTTCATTAAGAACACAACAATCCTTTACTGGGCTGCTCTTCTCGTGATGCACATTCGGATTATCTCCCGGATACATGAATTCTTAACATTTTCTAAAGAAAGAATAATCCAAGCCACGACGCATCTGCCAACAGGCCCTCTACCTGCGTCGGGTACCGTGTTAACCACTTATCCCCAGGAAGGCGTCAGTCATTATCATTTCCATGATGACTTTGTCCTGGTAGAACAGGATGCTGGCAATTTTTATACTTTAAAAAATGACCGGATTCCTCGGTTTTGCAGGCAGGGGTCCCCTGACACAGGGAAGATGAATGCCAAGAAGACCAAGAAGAGAGAGAGAAAATTGCTCAAATGTTCCCTCCAGCCGCTCCCTCCCACTGTTCCTTATCTGGCAGCCACTCTGGCGACCTCAGAGCCCTTTTGCTGCGCAGCTCCAGTGTCCCTTTTCTTCTCATGGCTCAGCAGCCCCTCTGACCACTGCAGCCTCACACAGTTCCTAGAATTCTTCAGGGGGGCAAGAGTAAGCTGCTCAGACCATGTGTTAACTTCAGTCTTCCAAAATATTGTGGCCAATAAAAGCATTGTAGCCAGAGAGGTTATTCAAACGCTCAGCCCTGAGTATGCCCTTGCCTGCTTAAAACCCTCCAGGGGCTGCCGGTTGCTCTGAGAATCCAGACAGGTCCCTGCATGGGAACCACAAGGCTCTGCCTGATCTGGCCCTGCCTGCTGTATCTCCTGTCACTCTGGGCCCCACCTGTAAGGGGTGCTTTTTGGTTCCTCTGTGTCCTTTTCACATTCTGTTCCCTCTTCCTACACACTGTTCCCTCTGCCTGCTCTCCCTTCTTCTCCTTCTTCCCATGAATTTGGACTGCCTGCTTGTCCTTCAGATCTTTGTTGCCCTACACCTTCAAGTTGTTGCTCAAATGTTACCTTTTCATTGAAATGATCTCTGATTTTTTTTATTATTATTATTATTATTTTTTTGAGACATGGTCTCACTCTCTCGCCCAGACTGGAGTGCAATGGCACAATCTCAGCTCACTGCAACCTCCACCTCCCGGGTTCAAGAGATTCTCCTGCCTCAGCCTCCTGAGTAGCTGGGACTGCAGGTGTGCGCCATCGCACCCAGCTAATTTTTGTATTTTTAGTAGAGACAGGGTTTTACCATGTTAGCCAGGCTGGTCTGAAACTCCTGACCTCAAGTGATCCACCCACCTGGGCCTCCCAAGGTGCTGGGATTACAGGGGTGAGCCACCGCACCCATCTGATGATCTCTGATTTTAGAGTTGCAGCTCTTCCCCTCCCCACTGCCTTCCCACTTGGTTTCCCTCCGTAACACTTAGCACCATCTAATATACTGCCTGCTTTACCTATTAGCTGCACTGATCATCCATCTTTCTCCATTAAAACATAAGCTCCATGAAGGCAGACACTTTTGTTGTATTCTTAGTGCCTAGAATCTTAGTGTTTAGATTGCCTAGCATTCTGTAAATAATGGTTAAGCAAATGGAAGAATACTGAATCTAAGTCTCTCCTCCTCCCTTTTCTTTGTATTCACTTCTATGGGCTAGAATTTACTTTGATTCCCTTCAACACAACAGCTAGAAGTTTCCAGACAATGAAAGCCAAAATCCAGGCCAGGTGCGGTGGCTCACACCTATAATCCCAGCCCTTTGGGAGGCCGAGGCAGGTAGATCACATGAGGCCAGGAGCTTGAGACCAGCCTAGCCAACATGGCAAAACCTGTCTCTACTAAAAATACAAAAATTAGCCAGGCATGGTGGTATGTGCCTGTAATCTTAGCTACCCGGGAGGTATGAGAATCACTCGAACCTGGGAGGTGGAGGTTGCAGTGAGCCAAGATCATGCCATTGCACTCCAGCCTGGGCATCAGAGTGAGACTCCATCTCAAAAAAAAAAAAAAAATCCAAAGGTGTTTAACCTTTTCTTCATCTGCTGATGGAGTTTAGTAATACTTGCATATGATCTACACAGTCTACAGCCCACTTCTGAGTTTGGGGCTCCTCTGAAGGCCCAAGCTTCCCTAGATATAAGGACTGCCCCATGCCCTGCTCACCCTTACAAAGTCAGAACAGAATACAGAAGTGCCAGGCACCAAGCTCCGTCAGGCTCCAGGGCCCAGGGGATCTTGCTTCCTAGGTGGGAGGTGACCTGATCCCTTTATGCACTGGACTAAAGTGACGGCCCATAATGGTCTCCAGGTGTAACCCTCTTCCACCATTAGGGGCAGTTTAAATATAACTTTCTTTCCTTACTGGGGCACTGGGGATGCAGGCCTCTTTTTAGTCTCATGCAAAACATTTAAACAGCATGTGAGCATAATGTCTGGACAGAGAGAGACTTCTCACGGCACCTTTGCAAACAAGTCATGTTCTCTTCCCCTGATTTATTTTATTTGTAATAACTAACATTTATATAGGGCTTGCTGTGTTCCAGGCATTGTTCTAAGCTCTTTGCAGAGACGAACTTACTGAATCTTCATAACAATCCTATGAAGCAGGTGGTATAGTTATACATATTGTTACACTAAGTGTAATTTATCTTTAGGGTGCCAGGCACGGTGGCTCGTGCCTGTAATCCCAGCACTTTGGGATGCAAGGTGGGCTGATCACTTGAGGTCAAGAGTTTGAGGCCAGCCTGGCCAACATGGTGAAACCTCGCCTGTAATAAAAATACAAAAATTAGCCAGGGACGGTAATGTGCGCCTGTAATCCCATCTACTCAGGAGGCTGAGGCGGAACGCTAAGGCGGGAGAATCAGTTGAACCCAGGAGGTGGAGTTTGCAGTGAGCCGAGATCATGCCACTGTGCTCTAGCCTGGGCAACAGAGCAAGACTCCATCTAAAAAAAATATATATATTTTTGGGGAAGGGGCCATTGGATCTTGGTGCAAAATACTTTATTGTCATAGTCTACTCATCCCATTCTCTTTTCCCAAGAGAAAGGCAAAAATAATCATTGGTCCATGGAGTATGTTGGGAGCAGATTTTCAGGTCCATAAAAGGGAATTTGTACCCGATATCACCTGGACATCCGTGCACTTGGGACAGTGGCAACACAAGCCTTCCCTAGCTCTCTGCTGCTGGTGACCCTCCAGATAGTACTCCCGGCTGCTTCTCTGCCTGTTGGTGGGGTTCACCCTATTGCCCTGGCTTTGACCCAAGATCTGTCTTGAGCCTCCCTGCCTTGCCTGGTCTCTGCAGTCTGGTGATGGGCATGGGAGAGCTGGGGAGTGCTAGGTAAGACAGGATCCCTTTACCACCTGACCCAGGTTCATCCCTGTGTTCCTCGAGGCTTGCACTTGGATTGTGATTTTTGTGGGGTGCAAGTCCTGATTCATGGTGTCCTGTGTTCCTGTGGGGAGACCATGAGAGGACTCATCTCTCTGATGAGTGATGCCATGGGAACCCTGTAGACTCATAGGGGAGTGGAACCACATCCTGAGGCCAGACATTTAAATACCTTTGGGGAAGAGGAAAATTATTTGCTAGTTAAAAAATTATTCCCAGCACTTTGGGAGGCCGACGTGGGCGGATCATGAGGTCAGGAGATCAAGACCATCCTGGCTAACACGGTGAAACCCCGTCTCTACTAAAAATCCAGAAAATTAGCCGGGGACAGTGGCTGGCGCCCGTAGTCCCAGCTACTTGGGAGGCTGAGGCAGGAGAATGGTGTGAACCCAGGAGGCGGAGCTTGCAGTGAGCTGAGATAGCACCACTGCACTCCAGCCTGGGCGACAAGAGCGAGACTCCGTCTCAAAAACAAAAAAAAAAAATTATTGTGTGGCCAGGTGCAGTGACTCATGCCTGTAATTCCAGCACTTCAGGAGGCCGAGGTGGGCAGATCACTTGAGGCCAGGAGTTCGAGATCAGGCTGGCCAACATCGCAAAGCCCCGTTTCTACTAAATATACAAAAATTAGCTGGGCATGGTGGTGCATGCTTGTAATCCCAGCAACTTGGAAGGCGGAGGCAGGAGAATCGCTTGAACCCGGGAAGCAGAGGTTGCAGTGACCCGAGATCGTGCCACTGCACTCCAGCCTGGGTGACAGAGCATGACTCGTCTCAAAAAAAAAAAAAAAAAAAAAAAAAAAAAACGTGTAATTTGAAAACAGAGACAAAGACAAATTATTGTCCTGTAATTATTGCCAACTAGAAGCAATTAATTGTGTAATGCTTTCTACAGGTTATGGAATTGCTGTTTTATAGGAAGCAAAAACGAGGTTATGATTTAGTTTTTTTTTCATTTTGTTTTCTGTCTTTATTCACGTTATAAATGCATGCAGATTAAGAAGTCAAGTAGCTGTACCCAGCAAGTTTTACAAAGCAGCAGTGCACAACTCCTCATTGGCCTGTTGCTCACTTCTAGAGGCAGCCACCCTCGTGAGTTGAGCTAATTTTGTGGATATTCACTTCCATTGTTCTAAACAACATGCTTGTGTTGATGTTTCTAGATCTTACTTACTGTTATGTATTGAATTTGTGTCCTGGAGAATGAGGATTTAGCTCTGTCCTTCTCTCCATCCCACTCCCACATTTCTTCCCCGTGTCTTTCCAGTGTCGTTAAATCCTAATTTGGTTGGCTGCATGCAGTGCCTCACACCTGTAATCCCAGCACTTTGGGAGGCCAAGGCGGGCGGATCACCTGAGGTCACAAGTTCAAGACCAGCCTGGCCAACATGCTGAAACCCTGTCTCTACTAAAAATACAAAAATTAGCCGAATGTGGTGGCGGGCGCCTGTAATCCTAACTACTCAGGAGACTGAGGCATGAGAATCTCTCGAATCTGGGAGGCAGAGGTTGCAGTGAGCCGAGATTGTGCCACTGCATTCCAGCCTGGGTGACAGTACAAGACTCTGTCTCAAAAAAAAAAAAAAAAAATTCCTAATTCGGGTCGTATCAGCATTTAGTATTTATAATATCTTGCCTGTACATATGTTATTTTAAACATCATTCACAACAGAGCCACATTGTAGGCATGGTTATTTTTCCTGCATGCTTTATTTGTTGTGGTTTTAAAATTGCTTTAAGTTTTTGAAGAGTGCTAATTCAACCTCAGACTCTTCTTCCAAAAGTCTGAGCTTACCAATTTCCCGTCAATAAATTTAAAATAATAACCAATCTCAGCTTTTTGGTGAAATTTCTCCTGGAGCTATTTCCTGATTGCTTGCTCTGTAGGCCTGCTAACAGCTGTGATCTTAGGATTTCTGTGTCTAGTCTAGGAACCATCTGTGCTTCTCTCTCATGTTGGATCTACCTTTGCCTCCTTTTTAGATGGATCCTATTGTCCAGTAGCTTCTGGAGAAGAAATTGCACCAAAAATGTCTTCATTCCACCCTCACATTAAAGTGATAGTTTGATAGTTTGGCTGGGTATAGAATGATAGGTGAGGAGTTATTTTTCTCTCAGAATTTTGAAGGCTTTGTCTCCTTGCCTTTGTTCTTTCAGTATGGATTTTAAGAAGTTCAATTTTATTTTGATTGTTGATCTTTTATATGAAACCAGAAACACATAGGATCTTCTCTTTGCATCCAGGGTTCTACAATAATACTGTGAGGGACTTTGGTATGAGTCCGTTTAAACTCATGCCCTTTTGTTCTCGGAAGTCCTTTTGAATTATTTCATCCTCTCTCTCTGTCTCTCTCTCTCTCTCTCTCTCTCCATCTGTGTGTGTGTGTGTTTGTGTGTTTGTGTGTGTGTGTGTTGTGTGTGGGCAGGGGAGCTCCCCTATACTGTGGTACTCATAGTCTACAAATATTGGACCTCTTGTTCTGGTCCTCAAATATTATTTCCTTTTTTTTTTTTCACTTCCTTGCTCACTCTACTTTTTGAGATGATTCCTCACCTTATCTTCTAAGCCTTCTACCGAGCTTTTCATTTTTGCTACCATAGTTTTAATTTTCAAGAGCTTTTTTTTTTTTCATTATTCCTTTTCAAAATAGCATCCTGTAATTGGTTGATTAATGCAGTATCTTCTCTGTCTGAGAATGCTAATGATTTTTTTTTTTTGACGGGTTTCACGTTTGTCATCCAGGCTGGAGTGCGATTTCGGCTCACTGCAACCTCTGCCCCCCAGGCGATTCTACTGCCCCAGCCTCCTGAGTAGCTGGGATTACAGGCGTGTGCCACTACGCCCAGCTACTTTTTGTATTTTTAGTAGAGACCGGGTTTTGCCCTTTTGGCCAGGCTGGTCTCCAACACCTGACCTCAGGTGATCCACCCACCTTGGCCTCCCAAAGTGCTAGTATTACAAGCGTGAGCCACCACACCCAGCCTGCTAATGGTTTTTTTTTTCCTCCTCCCCATATCGCCTCTGTTTCTTACCATTGGGGTTGTTTTGTTCTTTTTTTTCATATTAGACACATTGCTCATACATCTAATGGTCCTTGGCTGCCTGCTTCCATTTAAAAGTGCAATTTAAAAAAAAAAAAGAATGAAAAAGAGTACAGCACAGAAAAACTGACAAATGCGGGGGAGGGAGGCCTTCTCGCCCACGGCCTTCACCATCGCGTGATGAAGGCTCCCCATTTCCGTATTATCGGTGGCTTTTGGTTGTTTCTTTTTGGCTCTCAGATTCCCCAGAGACCACTCCTGTTGGAGGGCTCTGCCTGGCTTCTTTCGCTCTAAGTGTTCTAGGAGCCAAATGGAAGGAAAAGACTCCATCCTGAAATCCAGGGTAAAACTTTCATCTTTATCCCCTTGTTTTCCCCGGGGGACCCATGCCCCAGCAGTCTCTGCTGCCTCTCAGAACTTCTTTGTTTACTCTTTTTTTTTTTTAATTAAAAAAAATTTTTCTAATGCAGTGAAACCCCGTCTCTACTAACAATACAAAAAATCAGCCAGGCGTGGTGGCGGGTGCCTGTGGTCCCAGCTACTCGGGAGGCTGAGGCAGGGGAATGGCATGAACCCGGGGGGTGGAGCTTGCAGTGAGCCGAGATCGCGCCACTGCACTCCAGCCTGGGAGACAGAGCAAGACTCTGCCTCAAAAAAAAAAAAAAAATTTTTTTTTTTGAAGAGACAGGGTCTCCATATGTTGCCCAGGCTGGTCTCGAACTCCTGGGCTCAAGTGATCCTCCCACCTTGGCCTTCCAAAGTGCTGGGACCTTTGTTTACTCTTTATAAAGACTAAAAGTCCCATCTTCTGCCAGGGTGAGAAGGACAGTGGTCAAGCTTCATGCAGTTTCAAGCCATCTTTCTGTTTTAGCTCTCTTTTTATTCCTATACCCAAGGATAGCTAAAAATTGAGGTTTCTCAGGAACTAAAATGCGGGTAATGTGAAGTAAAGAGCTGGAGCATGTGAACTCATCCTTTCCCCACCACTCGAGTTGAGATGTGGAACATTTGCCAGACTCCAGAAGGCTCCCTCGTGCGCCTTCTCTGTCAGTCAACGTTCTGTCACCAGGACTAGTTGGGTTTGCTTGTTCTTGAGCTTCATAAAAATGAAATCATGCGGTATTGACTCTTGTGTCTTCTGGCTTCTTTCGCTGTATGTGATGTCTGAGATTCATCTGTGTTATTACATGTAGCAGCAATTGGTTCTGTGTTATAGCCATGTAGTATACCATCTAATGAACAGATCACAAATTATTTACCCACTCCACTGCTAATGGATCTCTAGGTTATTTCTACTTGGGGGCTATTGTGAATAAAGCTGCCAAGAGCATTCTGGTTCCTATCTTTTAATAGACCAACACCCTCATTTCTCTGGGTATATTCCAAGGAGTGGAATTACTGGGTCATCGGGAAGATGTGGGTTTGTCTTTGGCAAATACTGCCTGAGAGTTTTCCAAAGCCAGTTGATTCTTGACTTTTCTCGCTGCCAGCTGAATATTTAACTTAAACTAAGTCAGCTGCAGCTTGGCACAGTGGCTTACACCTGTAATCCGAACACTTTGGGAGGCCAAGGTGGGAGGATTGCTTGAGGCTCATAGTTCAAGACTAGCCAGGGCAACATAGGAAGACCCTTTCTCTCCAAAAAAATTTTAAAAAAAATTAGCTGGCCGTGGTGGCTCACACGTGTAATCCCAGCAACTCGGGAGGCTAAGGCAAGAGGATTGCTTCAGGCCAAGAGTTTGAAACCAGCCTGGGCAACATAGCAAGGCCCCATCTCTACACAAAATTTGAAAATCAGCCAGGCATGGTGGCATGTGTCTATAGTCCCAGAACCTTGGGAGGCTGAGCTGGGAGGATAACTTGAGCCCAGGAGGTTGAGGTTGCAGTGAGCTGTGGTCACGCCGCTGTACTCCAGCCTCGGCAACAGAGTGAGACTCCCATCTCAAAAGAAGCAATAATAACTCAGCTAAGCCCATTGCTACTTGTCCATGTACTTTCCAGTTTCCAAATTCTGTGGCTGTTCTCTCCTGTTTGTCCTTGAGAGTTTCCTGCCTTTACAGTGGGATTTGTGGAAGGAACAAAGCTGAATGTGTTTTCAATCTACTATATTTAACTGGAAACCTTTATTATGACTTTAAGATGGCTTTTTAGCTCTCTCAGTCTCCCCAGACAGAATACCCTTGTGTTTCCTCTGAGTCATTTCTGCTCAGTGGCTTTATAAAAACAAAATTTTAATGCCTCCGCCTCTCACCAGTACTCCAGACGTCGTTTTCTGCAGTCTGCATTGCCAACAAGATGACAACACGATTCTGATTCCACATCTTTATTAGATAGAATGATTAATAAACAGTTCAAACTGAAGGTACAGTCTGTGGGATGCTTTCTCTTAAATGTTTTTTTCTTGAGTTTGCAAAAATCTTTGTATACAATTATATGGACATTTAAGCTGATCACGTTCTTCAAGTCCAGGCAAATAAAAACGTCTTAACCTTAAACCTTGTAATGTCCCCAAATTAACCTTGTAATATTAATAATATCCCTGGGTCCCAGGTATTCCCCTGGCCCTTGGAGCCATCTTCACTATTTTGGTTAGGGTATGCCAGGGCTAGGAGGCACAGCTGAACTTCTAGAGACCTGAGTTGGATGTCAGATCAGGTTTTCCCAAAGAACTAATGATATATGCTGGACTCTCCACACCTCTCACCCCAGGGCTCCCTCTGGGGCTTCCTCCAGCACAGAGATGGTGACAGGCAGATCAGAAATTGCAAGGAGGACTCACAGACACCCATGTTTCCAGTGATGGTGACCTCACCAGCAGAGAACAAGTATACTTAGTGCCAAGATGCTCCTAAGCTCACAGACAGGGGGTCCCATTCACTTACTATCCAGGTCCCGCCCCAGTGAGCTCACCGTTTGTCCTCTGCTTCAATTCTTTGAACACTTTTTGAAGAGACAGGGTCTCCGTATGTTGCCCAAGCTGGGCTCGAACTCCTGGGCCTTGCCTCTCGCCTCACAGAACCCTCTTGCCTCACAGAACTGGCCAGGCCTCACTGCTCCTCCCTGGTTATAGCTCACTTCATTTGATGTCGTTGTACTCATTAAAATAGTATTAGCACAAGGAGAGGCCCCAGCCACCTGGTCAGCCAGGAATGTAGCATCTTGTTGTAGAGTAACAGGCTAGGAAGGTTGCAATCATGCAAGTAAAGTGCTCAGTGCCTGCCATGTGGTAAGAGTTTCATGAGTGATCGCTAGTATATTCATGATTTATTCTGTAGAGTGACTTTCTGGGCAGCTCAGGAAATGTTTTGCTTCACTTGGTCACACCCAAATTGTAATTGGCTCCTCTCAATCTTTCTCGGGGGATCTCAAGATTATAAGCAACCTGTAATCCTTTCTTCATCTCTTTTGCTTTTTTATGTATCAGGGATATGTTATCCTAAATCTACGAATTCAGTATATTTTATTTCTATTAATATAACAAATAGTATTTCTCAGTATAGATAATCACATAATTATACCTCTACGGACCCTCTAATCAAAGGCATTTAATATGCTTATTACTGTACGTAATACATTTCTCCCCTCTCTTACACTGAATTCCCTTATGATCATTGCTATTACACCTGTGGGTATAAATAGCAGTTAGGTTTTTATACTTGCTGATAAGAGCAATTTTGAAAAGCGGAAAAAGACACAAAATCCAGCAATAATAACAGAAATTGCAAATATTTCGCTGGGAAAGTAAACCATGCAGCAAGGGAAGGAAGCGTGATTGTAAATGAAGTTGAATTAGTGTATTCATCTGCATTGTGAATTAATTCAGTTTGTATGAGTTAGCCTGAGATCTCACCATCAGTTATAACGTGATCTCTATGACAAAACATAGTTGCATTCCAGGCAGCCAGTTTATGAACAAATTTTTGCATACCATACATTTGTAAGGTGAAGATGACTGTAGGAGAATAATAGTATGTTATAATTCTGGTGTCTTTGCTTTTTAATACTACTGGCTGCTGCAAGGGGGGATAATTTACGAACTGTGTGTTCATAAGTCCGTGTTGTAATGTTCTTTAGTGCAGGGTTATGATGGATTCAGAAGTTGTATAGCCTTGTCATTATTTGAGGAATTAACATTACTCCATCAGATTAAAATGTTTGAATTCAGATGGCTTTCGGTCAGGCATGGTGGTTCATGCCTGTAATCCCTACACTTTGGGAGGCCAAAGTGTGAGGATCACTCAAGCCCAGGAGTTCAAGACCAACCTGAGCAACATAGACCCCATCTCTACAAAACTTTTAACAATTAGCCAGATGTGGTGGTATACGCCTGTGGTCTCAGCTACTCGAGAGGCTGAGGTGGGAGGATGGCTTGATCCCAGGAGGTCGAGTCTGTAGTGAATTATGGTCATGCCACTGCACTCCAGCCTGGGCAGCAGAGCAAGATTGTATCTCAACAAACAAAGAAACAAAAGGCTTTGATATCCAGACTCTCCCCTACAGTTCTAGGGACCTCCTTGATAACCTCTGGGATTTGATCATTGAGTGTTACTGTTTTCCCTGTCGCCACCAGCCAGAATGCCTGTTGCCACCAGCCAGAATGCCTATCTGGATAATTAAACTGGAGACATTCCAACAGTGTCTAAAACCCCTCTATACTGGACACACATTTGGTTGTACTCTACTGAACTGAATGTGGCCAACGCAGGGCTCCAGTTGTATATGGTCTAAAGCCTGCGAGAGTTATTTGCTCTTCATCATCACTTAGTCAACGGTTCCTTGACAGGTGCTGTGAGGATGGTCCTTAGAAATGAGGGGCAGCGTCCTTCCCCTGACAGCTCTGGCATAAGCCTCATGTGCACATTCTGAGCTTCACAGGCATGGTGAGCATCCCATTCACCACCCTCTCCCAGGCACCTAGCCCCGTACACTAACACCATTTTTTTCCTCTATTCTTTGAAGATAAAGTACACTATTGCTGCTTTATTTTTATTTTATTTATTTATTTATTTATTTTGAGACAGGGTCTTGCTCTGTCACCCAGGCTGGAGTACAGTGGTGCCAACACAGCTAACTGCAGCCTCAACATCCTGCGTTCAAGCCATCCTCCCACCTCAGCCTCCCGAGTAGCTGGAACCACAGGCATGCCCCACCACACCTGGCTAATTTTTAAATTTTTTGTAGGCCTGGTGCAGTGGCTTACGCCTGTAATCCTAGCACTTTGAGAGGCCGAGGTGGGCAGATCACTTGAGGTCAGGAGTTCAAGACCAGCCTGCCCAACAGGGTGAAACCCCGTCTCTACTAAAAATTCAAAAATTAGCTGGGTGTGGTGATATGTGCCTGTGGTCTCAGCTACTTGGGAGGCTGAGGTAGGAGAATCGCTTGAACCCAGGAGGTAGAGATTGTAGTGAGCTGAGATCACCCCACTGCACTCCAGCCTGGGCAACAGAGTGAGACTCTGTATTAAAAAAAAAAAAAAAAAAAAGGGCTGGGTGCAGTGGCTCACACCTGTTATCCCAGCACTTTGGGAGGCTGAGGCGGGCAAATCACGAGGTCAGGAGTTCAAGACCAGCTTGGCCAACACAGTGATACCCCATCTCTACTAAAAATACAAAAATTATCTGGGCATGGTGACGTGCACCTGTAATCCCAGCTACTCGGGAGGCTGAGGCAGGAGGATCGTTTGAACCCAGGAGGCAGAGGTTGTGGTAAGCCAAGATTGTGCCATTGCACTCCAGCTTGGGCGACAGAGTGAGACTTCATCTCATAAAAAAAAAATGATTTTTTCTTTTTTAGAGATGGGATCTCCCTATGTTGCCCTGGCTGGTCTTGAACTCCTGGGCTCAAGCCATCCTCCTGCCTCAGCCTCCCCAGCCTCAGTGCTGGGATTATAGGCATGAGCCACTGTAGCTGACCTATTGCTGCTTTATACCTAGAGAAATTAAGACAGCACACAGCTAGGTAAGAGGTGGTGTCAAAGTGACAGAGGTATTGTCAAGATGAAATATATGTGAAATACTTGGCCTTGGTGCCCTGGCAGATGGAAGCACTCGCTAAAGATATCTAAGACGTGTTTTCATTCATTGTGGCACACAAGATTACAGCTAGTGGTCACTGAGAGAGATTTGAACACGAGGTCTCCACACTTCCCCCCGTCTCTACCTGTGGTCCTTTTGACAAATCAGTTCCCAGGCTGACCTTCTGTGGCTGTGCTGGACCCCCTGCAGCTGAACCCTGAGTCCTCATTCCTCCCTCCCCTCTCCCCATATGACTGCACTAAGCCTCAGTTTTCTCATCCGTAAATGGTTGTGGTGGAATAAAGGGATTGATGCTGCGTGAATCCAAAGTAGTGTGAAAAAAATAAAAGCCTATCTTGTAAGTGATCTTCACTTACAAGTCCCTTCAAAGTAAACACTTGTCAAGAATCATGTTGGCTGGGCACAGTGGCTTATGCCTGTAATCCCAACACTTTGGGATTACAGTTAGCCAGATCACTTGAGGTCAGGAGTTCGAGACCACCCTGGCCAACATGGCAAAACCCCCATCTCTACTAAAAATACAAAAATTAGCCAGGTGTGGTGGCACATGCCTGTAATCCCAGCTACTTGGGAGGCTGAGGCACGAGAATCACTTGAACCTGAGAGGCAGATGCTGCAGTGAGCTGAGATCACACCACACTGCACTCTAGCCTGGGTGACAGAGTAAGACTCCATCTCAAACAAAACAAAAAGAATCATGTTGGCCAGGCGCAGTAAGTCACACCTGTAATCCCAGCACTTTGGGAGGCCAAGGCAGGTGGATCACGAGGTCAGGAGATCGAGACTATCCTGGCTAACACAGTGCAACCCCGTCTCTACTAAAAATACAAAAAATTAGCCGGGCGTGGTGGCAGGTGCCTGTAGTCCCAGCTACTCGGGAGGCTGAGGCAGGAGAATGGCGTGAACCCGAGAGGCTGAGCTTGCGGTGAGCCGAGATCACGCCACTGCACTCTAGTCTGGGTGACAGAGTGACACTCCGTCTCAAAAAAAAAGAAAAAGAATCGTGTCATTTCAGAGCTGGTAATGAGTAGATGCAAAACGCTTTCCATTCTCTTGCAAAATGGCATGGACACTTCAGCTGGTAACGGAAATACACCCTTCTGTTGCAGAATTAGTCTTGAAATGTTCAAGCCTTGAAATGGGCAAGGTTTTCCAGAAGGATCTCTTGCATAAGATACCACAAGTCCATCTACAGCACCAGGGAAGGGATGATGTAAGGTGTCAGTGGGATAAGGGATCTGAAGATGAGATGAGTGCGGGAAGCTGTAAGCCGTTTGTGATTGGAAGAGGCCAGGCTGGTGACAGCTGAAAGAGCCACTGCTGGCAGCTGCGCGATAATGGATTGCACGGGCCACTCATGGAAGTGACAGGCTGGTCAGGAGGTTATTGTTTCCCCGGCAGTGAGCTGTAGCCCCGGGAGAAGGAGTGTGCTCTTGCCAGTTCTGCAAGGCAAGAGGGATGGGTAAAGTGTGTGAGGAATTGAAGCAGAGGACAGAGGGTGAGCTCACTGGGGTAGGACCTGGGTAGTAAGTCAGTGGGACCCCCAGAGTCTGTGAGTTCGGGGACGTCTTAGCACTGAGCATGCCTCTTCTTGTCTGCCATCCAGGCCGCCACCACTGTGAACACAGGAGGTGTCTGTGACCCCTTCCTTGTCATTCCTGACCTGGAGGAAGCCCCAGAGGGAACCTGGGGGCCGGAGTGGGGGGTGGTTTGCATACATCACAAGTTATTTGGGGAAGTATGCTCTGATTTAGGCAAAGGAAACCATGCACCATGAAGGGCTTGAGAGACGTTTGGGAAGTGTGATCCCCAAGACATGGTGGTGGCTGGGTATGAGGGTGGCAGGAAGGGAGTGGTCAGGGATCAGATCTCTGAGTCAGGCAGCTGGGTGGATGGCAGCTTTTCCCCGTGTGGTGGAGGCAGTGGCATGGGCAGAAACCAGTGGGGAGAAGTGAGGCATGCTACAAACCCACGTCCTATCCCATGGCAGCTGGCAGAATTTTCCAAAGAGCATTCCTTCTCCCAGAGCATCAGGAGGCTTCAGGTAAGAGAAGCACAGCTGCTCCGACCACACCTCACTGTCGTCCCTCCCTGGGAGTGAATTCCTTTTCTGTAAGGCTGGAAGGACCACAGGATTGGGGGTATACACAGCAGAAATTTGCTTTCTCACCGTTCTGGAAGCTGGAAGCCTGAGACCAAAGTGTTGGTAGATCGATTCCTTCCGAGGCCTCTCTCCTTGCCTTGCAGATGGCCGACTTCTCCCTGTATCCTCACATGGTCTTCCTCTCTGCAGCTGTGTTCTCATTAATCCCCTTGTCTTATAACAACTCCAGTCAGGCTGAACTAAGGCTCACCCTAACGACCTCACTTTAACTTACTTACCTTGTTGGAGACCCCGTGTCCAGTTGCAGTCATATGATGAGGTACTGGGGTCAGGACTTCAAATAGGAATTTTCAGGGACATAGTTCATCCAGAACAGGCATATCCTGCCCATTGCAGCTTCACAGATTGCAGTAAGCCAGAAGTCACACCTGTAATTGCCTAAGGCTCGCCCACTGCTCTGTTAGGGGAAGAGGCTATAGAAGACAAAGGAATGACACCCTGTGTGCATGTGTATGTGTGCACTATATGTGTGCATTGTGTACATGCGTGTGCATGTGCGGTGTGTGTGCGCACATACGGAAGTTAGATGGGAGCCGGGTGGAGACGTTGCCGACCCTCCTGTTCTCATCAGAAAGCCTGGACTGATGAGGAAGGATTCTGAGAGAGCCCCGCTGATAACCCACTCCTGAAATAGGGGTGAGGAGAGTCAAGAAGTGGGTATCCCGATGTCTTCCTGTTAATTTCTGCCCTCAGCTCATTTCACATTAGACCAACCCACACACATCTACTGAGCATCTTTATTGTGCAATGAAAATACACTGGAGCCTGCATCTTACTGCACCACCCAGCCTTGGGGTCCGTGGGAAAGCCAGTGGCTAGAATCCCTGGGAGAAAGAAACCCCTGAAAGCCAGGGCAGGCTGAGGAAACTATGCTGGTGGGAAGGGATTTTTTTTTCTTGAGACAGGGCTTCATTCTGTCATCCAGGTTGGAGTCCAGTGGTGCAATGACAGCTCACTGCAGACTTGACCTCCCCAGGCTCAGGTGAGCCTCCTGCCTCACGCTGGGACTACAGGTGCACACCACCACACCTAACTAATTTTTGTATTTTTGTAGAGACAGGGTCTCGCCGTGTTGCCCAGGCTGGTCTGAACTCTGGGGCTCCAGCGATCCGCTTTCCTTGGCCTCCCAAAGTGCTGGGATTACAGGCGTGAGCCACCGCGCCCAGCTGGGAAAGGATTTGACAAAGTATGGCAGCAGTCTTTCCAGCAGGAAATTCTTCCTCATTGCAAACTGTCATTCGTCTGGCTGCCCTGCAGCCTGCCTCAGCTGGAGAAATCATTTGGTTTGCAACTAACTGCTCGGCATCTACTTACCTGAGGGCGATATTGATTTTGTTGTTCTTTTGGCTGCTGCTTATATTGAGCTGGGAAGTCCACTCGCTGCCACCCCGAATGAGTAAAAGGCTCCATTAGTGGCCTGTTACATCACCTGACTGTTTCTCCGCTTACTAAGGTTGTCCTGCTATTTAATTTAAAATTTTCCAGCAGTGGCTGAGTGTATCATCATCAGTTCTCCTTTGAGTTGCCGTGCCTTCAGGGAATAGGGATTAGCGAGGTCTTATTTTCTTTAACTAAGCAGCATCTTTTCTTGTCTGTTTGCCTCAGAGAACATTGGTTTGCTTGTTCTTGCTGGGAAAAAAAAACATTCTTACTAAGACAGTAAATGGATTCATAACACAGTTGAAGTCTATTCACAGAATCTGTTATTTAGACAACCTCCATAGCGGAGAGAAAATATTTTGAAGGTCTCAGAGGTGGTTGGTTTTTAAAAATTATTTGCTAGTAGAATCTTAGCAGCTCTGCATATTGCTGGCTGGGATGGTCTGGTTGTTATTTATTTATTTATTTATTTTGCCTTTTTTTTTTTTTTAAGACGGAATCTTGCTCTGTCACCCAGGCTAGAGTGCAGTGGTGTGATCTTGGCTCACTGCAACCTTCGTCTCCCAGGTTCAAGTGGATTCTCCCGCCACAGCCTCACAAGTAGCTGGGACTACAGGTGCCCGCTACCATGCCCGGCTAATTTTTTTATTTTTAGTAGGGACGAGGTTTCACCATGTTGGTCAGGCTGGTCTGGAACTCCTGACCTCAGGAGATGCGCCTGCCTCAGCCTCCCAAAGTGCTGGCATTACAGGCGTAAGCCATCCTGCCCAGCCCCGGCCTCCTTTTTTTGTATTTTTTCTCTACTCCTAGTTCCAGCAAGCAGAGGGGTGGTCTGGTTGAATGGGAAGGTCAACACTTGGGTTTGCCATTTGTTTCTCGTTCTGTCTGTTTTATAACCGGGTTATATTCCTTGGTACTTTGCAGCAGTTTCCTTCTTCTTTTACCCTCAGAGAGAAACACAAAATGTGTATCATCTTGATGTCTTGGGCTTGGCAGGTAAGTACTAAGTTTCCGTGGTATCTGCCTGTCTTTCTGATTGAGATGGACTTTCAGTGAAGCATAGTGGTCATTTTCCCTTCAGAAGATAGAGCCTTAATCTGAAAAAAATAATCGTGGTAACGTGGACACCTATGTTCTTGGAAATGAAGTCACTCCACCTGGGTTCCCAGTAAACGATAAATTGTAGTATATTAAAATCCTAAGAAAAGCTTTGTGGCCAAGAGCTCATCCTATCCATCTAGGGCTTTACCAGTGGCTTCTGAAATACTATGGCAACATGCCATTCATAGCCATCCTAGGGACATTCCAAATCTTGTTTACTTTTAGTCCCCCATGCCAAAACAGTTTAACTGAGGGATAAATGAATTGGGCATGGGATTTTTATCCTAATAACATATAATTTTGTTTATTTGTGTTGAGCTGTAAACTAAGCTTTGCACAGAATTTGTATAAAATAAAACAGTTTGGGCTGGGCACGATGGCGCACGCCTGTAATCCCAGCACTTTTGAAGGCCAAGACGGGCAGATCACCTGAGGTCAACCAGCCTGGCCAACATGGTGAAACCCTGTCTCCACTAAAAATACAAAAATTAGCCAAGTGTGGTGGTGCACACCTGTAGTACCAGATACTCAGGAGGCTGAGTCAGGAGAATCGCTTGAATCCAGGAGGCAGAGGTTTCAGTGAGCCAAGATTGCGCCAGTGCACTCCAGCCTGGGCAATAGAGCAAGACTCAGTCTCAAAATAAATAATAAATAAAATAATAAAACACTTTGTTAATATCAAAGGTAAAGGTACAGAAAACAAGAAGTTTCCTTCACTGAAGCACAAATCCTTTGGTGTGCGGGATTTGAACACCTCTTTAGGAAAAGCTTGCTAGTAACTGAAGCCAAGTCACAAACAGGTGCTTGGTTTCAGGTACAGCTACAAAGAACACAGAAGAGAAGCTGACACTTTTGTATTTTTAGGGCAAAGGCTTCTTTCTCCAAGGCTGAAAAAGGCCTGGTCCCACACTGCTCTGATTGATTTATCTGGGGTGCCATCTCCTGGGGAGAAAACCATTGCCACACACTCACCAAACCAAGAGCGTATCTCTCTCGGGAAGACAGGATCGGTGTGAAGGCATCTGTGCTCTCCTGTCTAGGCCTGTCCAGAACTATATGAAGTCATCCAGTTTTGTTCAGTTTTAATAATGGCCTGATAAAAACAGATAGGTGTGTGTGTATGTGTGTGTGTGTGTGCACATAGTGTAATGGACATATAATTAACGTACACGTATTTATATAGGTGTTTAAATTTTTTTTTTTTCTGTGATGGAGTTTTGCTCTTGTCGCCTAGGCTGGAGTACAGTGGCATGATCTCAGCTCACTGCAACCTCTGCCTCCTGGGTTCAAGCAATTCTCCTGCCTCACCCTCCAGAGTAGCTGGGACTTACAGGACTGTGCCACCACGCCCGGCTAATTTTTGTATTTTTAGTAGAGACAGGCTTTTGCCGTGTTGGCCAGGCTGGTCTTGAACTCCTGATCTCAGGTGATCCACATGCCTTGGCCTTCCAAAGTGCTGGGATTACAGGCGTGAGTGACCGCGCCTGGCCTAAAGGTGTTTAATTTTTAAGGTCATTTGTGCGTATGGAGGGAAAAATCAAATCCTATATATAGGTAAGGTATATAAGGACATGGTAAGTCAATCTTTCCGTCTTCGCTCCTGGAGACCACATCCAGTTTCTTGGGTATCTTTCCAAGAGACATTTCTAGGCATATTTGCATAATCCCCACGTGTCAAGGAGGTGGTGCTAGGTGGACATAATTGAATCATGGGGGCGGTTTCCTCCATACTGTTCTTTTTTTTTTTTTTTTGAGACGCAGTCTCGCTCTTTCGCCCAGGCCAGCATGCAGTGGCGCTATCTCGGCTCACTGCAAGCTCCGCCTCCTGGGTTCACGCCATTCTCCTGCCTCAGCTTCCCGAGTAGCTGGGACTACAGGCGCCCGCCACCGCACCTGGCTAATTTTTTGTGTTTTTAGTAGAGTCGGGGTTTCACCGTGTTAGCCAGGATGGTCTCGATCTCCTGACCTTGTGATCCGCCCACCTCAGCCTCCCAGTCCATACTGTTCTTATGGTAGTGAATAAGTCTCAGGAGATCTGATGGTTTTATAAGGGGTTTTTCCCTTTTCTCTTGGTTCTCATTCTCCCTTGCCTGCCGCCATGTAAGACATGCCTTTCACCTTCTGCCATGATTGTGAGGCCTCCCCAGCCACATGAAACTATTAGCCCGTGAAACTTTTTTGCTTAAGAATCTTGCGCTGCCACCCAGGCTGGAGTGCAGTGGAAGGATCTCAGCTCACTGCAACCTACCCCTCCTGGGTTCAAATGATTCTCCTGCCTCAGCCTACCAAATAGCTGCTATTATTGGTGCATGCCACTACGCCCAGCTATTTTTTGTATTTTTAGTAGAGACAGGGTTTCACCATATTGGCCAGGCTGGTCTTGAACTCCTGACCTCAAGTGATCTGCCCACCTCAGCCTCCCAAGGTGTTGGAATTACAGGCGTGAGCCACCGCTCCCAGCTGAATGTGCATTTTCAGATTTGAATAAAAGAAACCATTTACATCCCAGCCAGCCATATAAGAGAATCCCTGTATCCCCATGCTCTCACCAACAAATCGTATTATCAACACCTTTTTTTTCTTTCTTTTTTTTTTTTTTTTTTTAAGACAGAGTCTTGCTCTGTCACCCAGGCTGCAATGCAGTGGCACAATTTCGGCTCACTACAACCTCGGCCTCCCAGGTTCAAGTGATCCTCCAGCCTCAGCCTCTCAAGTAGCTGGGACTATAGGCACCTGCCACCAGGCCCAGCTAGTTTTTGTATTTTTAATAGAGACAAGGTTTCACCATGTTGGCCAAGCTGGTCTCGAACTCCTGACCTCAAATGATCCGCCCGCCTTGGCCTGCCAAAGTGCTAGGATTACAGACATAAGCCACTGCGCCTGGCCAATCTACAGTTTTTGATTGTTGCCAGTGTGATAGATATCACATCAAGAAAAACGTGGCCAAGCTGACTCACTGCTTAAGGGATTGGACCTGAAGTCATAATCTTGTATCTCAACATTGAAATTCATGGAGCTAACTGTAGCTCTCTTCTCTTCCCCTGACAGAGTTCTTGCTGTATCTACTGGTGGTGCTGACCAGGAGACAGTGTAGTCTTTCCCATTCTTAGCTGAA
This sequence comes from Homo sapiens, assembly GCF_000001405.40. Lineage (NCBI taxonomy): Eukaryota > Metazoa > Chordata > Mammalia > Primates > Hominidae > Homo > Homo sapiens. The sequence goes on along the minus strand of NC_000016.10, from coordinate 12,718,027 downwards.
AACACCAGCTCTGGAGTCAGACTGGGTTAACCCAGATGGGACTTGAGTTTACGAAGGGTAAATTTGATAAGAAAAATATAGGAACAAGTCGGGTGCAGTGGCTCACGCCTGTAATCACAGCACTTTGAGAGGCGGAGGTGAGCAGATCACTTGAGGTCAGGAGTTCGAGACTAGCCTGGCCAACATGGTGAAACCCTGCCTCTACTAAAAGTACAAAAATTAGCTGGGCATGGTGACAGGCTCCTGTAATCCCAGCTACTTGGGAGGCTGAGGCAAGAGAATCACTTGAACCCAGGAGGTGGAGGTTGTAGGGAGCCAAGATTTGTGCCTCTGTACTCCCGCCTGTGCAACAGAGCGAGACTCTGTCTCAAAAATAATAATTATTATTATGTGTGTGTGTGTCTGTCTGTCTCTATTTCAACACAAGTATTGCCTGGAATATAGTTACACTAAAAAATGATCCCAGCCGGGCACGGTGGCTCACGCCTGTAATCCTAGCACTTTGGGAGGCCGAAGCAGGCAGGTCACGAGGTCAGGAGATTGAGACCATCCTGGCTAACACGGTGAAACCCTGTCTGTACTAAAAATACAAAAAAATTAGCCAGGCGCAGTGGCGGGCGCCTGTAGTCCCAGCTACTCGGGAGACTGAGGCAGGAGAATGGCGCGAACCTGGGAGGCGCAGCTTGCAGTGAGCCGAGATGGCGCCGCTGCACTCCAGCCTGGGCGACAAAGCGAGACTCCGCCTCAAAGAAAAAAAGATCCCAATAGGATTCTTATAGATTCAGATGAGATAATCTGTGTAGAGTACTTAGCCTGGTACATAGTTGGTGCTTCAGAAACCCAAGTTCTTTTTATTACTCTGATTTGTTTACTCTTTACTGCCCCACTTTCCAAAAGGCTCCCTGGTCTTTTTTTTAAACCTCTCCACCCTCACCCTACTATTACCTTTGGTTAGGAAAGCCCCCTCCCCACCTTCTTTCCCCCTGTTCAGCAGGCCCTAGTTCCACCTAAGCCCTGTGATGTTTGGTGGGAATGTTGCTTCTTCTGGGAAAGCTCTGGGGTGCCTCCCAACTGGCTTAGTTACCCCCACCCTGAGCTTCCACGGCACCCAGTGCTTCCGTGTCGTAACTTCATAACTCATGCAACACCACAAGGTCATTGCCTGTTCCCATGTCTGGGCCCCTCCCTAGAACTTGGGCCATTGAGAACAAAGACACTGTCTCAGTCATGCTGTTACCTAGCACACAGTGGGTAGCAGGGGTGCATTGAATAAATGCCTACCTGAAGACAAATAATTTTTATGTTTCTAGCCCTGTAATGACTAAGCCTGCTCAGATTCTGCCTCTGGCTTTGAAAGAGCAGTATCTATATATGGAGTTTAACTGTAAAACTCTTAATTGACTTTTCATTAGGTTGCGTATTTAAAATCCCAAATAGGACTGAAGTTTTAGGGGCGTAGCCACAAACACCTGAGTTCAGACTGTAGCATGGAATCTTAAAGTAAAAAAAGGCAGTCATTCTAAATAAGACTTGTTCGTGGATCTGACACCCCAGAATCTCTAAACAGAAATGAATTGTGCTCTTTCCTTCCAGCGAAGGGACTTGGCAGTAGTGAATCTGCATGTAATTGTCCTGGAACTTCTTCGTCCCTGGATATCACATTGTGCATCATTAGCCTTGAGCAATGCCTCATGTGTACCAAGTGCCCAGAAGCAATTTGTTAAATGGAATATTCTATGATTAAGTGTGTACATACCTTATAGCAGCACCAGCGTTAGCGCTAAAGAAGGTAAATACAGGAGAGGTGATCACTTTGGAGGAAAAATAATTTATGGAAGACCTTGACCAGAAGTAACATGTCCAGTGACATTCACAATTACATATTTTTCTCTTTCATGGTTTTTCATTTAAGCAGAATAAAGCTTACACATATGTAGATGGTTGTCTTCTTTTCTGTGCCCGGTATCATAGTTCTGTTCAGTCCATGTTACTTCTTGGCTAAAAACCATAAAATCACTACCTTGCCAACCCTTCTCCCTCTACTCTCTTCCCTCTAAACCAGGGGTGTCCAGTCTTTTGGCTTCCCTGGGCCACTTTACAAGAAGAATTGTCTTGGGCCACACATAAAATACATTCAGAGCCATCCTGGGCTGCATACGGGCTGCAGGTTGGACAAGCTTCCTTAAAACCATCCCATTGGGGCTGAGAGTGGTGGCTCATGCCTGTAATCCCGGCACTTTGGGACGGTGAAGCTGGAGGATCACCTGAGGTCGGGGGTTCGAGACCAGCCTGACCAACATGGAGAAACTCCGTCTCTACTAAAAGTACAAAATTATCTGGAAGATAGCTTAGCTTTTTTTGTTTGTTTGAGATGGAGTCTCGCTCTGTTGCTCAGGCTGGAGTGCAGTGGCATGATCTTAGCTCACTGCAACCTCCACCTCCCCAGTTCAAGCAATTTTCCTGCCTCAGCCTCCCGAGTAGCTGGGGTTACAGATGTGTGCCACCATGCCTGCCTAATTTTTGTACTTTTAGTAGAGATGGGGTTTCAACATGTTGGCCAGGCTAGTCTCGAACTCTTGACCTCAAGTGATCTGCCCACCTCAGCCTCCCAGAGTGCTGGGATTACAGACGTGAGCCTCCACACCCAGCCTAAAAGCTATAAGCTGCTTAAGTGTTGGACCTTGATCTTATTTCTCCTTGATTACACAGTTACCACAAGCTGATCCTAAATTTTATATGAAAATTATGTGGGCCCAGAATAGCGAAAACAACCTTGAAAAGGAAGAATAAAGTTGGAAGACTCACAGTTTCTGATTTCAAACTTACTAGAAGCCTGCAGTCATCAAAACACTATGGTACTGGCATGAAGATAAACATAGAGATTAATGGATTAGAATTGAGAATCCAGAAATCCTCACATTTAGGGTCAATGGATTTTTGACAAGGGCGCCAAGACAATTCAATGGGGAAAGGGTAGTCTTTTCAACAAATGGTGCAGGGACATCTGGATATCCACATGCAAAAGAGTGAATTTGGACCCCTACCTCACACCATATTAAAAAAAAAAATGAACTCAAAATGGATCAAAGCCCAAAGAAGAGCTAAAACTAGAAAACTGTTAGAAGAAAGCATAGGCAGAAATCTTTGTGATCCTCTATTGGAAAGTGATTTCTTAGATATAACGCTAAAAGCACAGGTGACAAAACAGAAAATAGATAAATTGGACTTTATGAAACTTGAATATTTTGTACCTCAAAGGACATTATCAAAAAAGTGAAAAGACAGCCCACCAAATGGGAGGGAATACTTGCAAATCCTGTATCTGATAAAGATCTGGTATTCATAATATGTAAAGAACTCTTACAACTAAATATTAATAATGAAAAGACAAATAACCCAACTGAAAAATGGGCAAAGTATCTGAATAGACATTTCTCCAAAGAAGATATAAAAATTGCCAGTAAGCACAACAACAAATGTTTAGCATCATTAGTCATTATGTAAATGCAAATAGAAACCACAATGAAATTTTACCTCACACCTACTAAGATGGCTACAATTAAAAGGGTGAAAAATAACAAGTGTTGAGGATGTGGAAACATTGGGACCCTCATACATTGCTGGTAGGAATGTAGGATGGTGCTTTGGAAGACAGTCTGCTAGCTTCTTAAAGAAGTAAACACATATAGTTACCATGTAACTCAGAGTTTCACTCCTAGGTATACACTCAAGAGAGATGAAAGATATCCACACATCTTTTCACATGTGAAAAACTTGCACGTGGATTTTTATAGCAGCATAATTCATAATAGCCAGAAAGTAGAAACAACCCAAACGTCCATCAGTAGATGAATGGATAAACAAAATATGATGATATATTCATACAGTAGAATAGTATTCAGCAATTAAAGAATGAAGCACTAACATAGGCTACAAAATAGATGAACCTTGAAAACATCATGCAAAGTGAAAGATCAGTAACAAAAGCCTACATTTTATATGATTCTATTTCTATGAAATGCCTGGAGTGGAGAAATCTATAGAAGGTAGATTAGTGATTGCTTAGAATTAGGGTGGTGGGAGTTGGGGGGCAATGGGGAAGGGCTGCTAATGGGTGAAAGTTCATTTTGGGGTGGTGAGAATGTCCCACAATTGATTTTCATGACAGTCCACAACTCTTTGAATATTCTAAAAACATACCTTCAGAGGATGAATTATATTGTTTGTGTATTTATATCTCAAGCTGTTATTAGTGGAGGGGAGATTAGGAAAAAGTCTAATTTTGGGTCTCCTGGGGGCAGCAATAATGAAAAAAAAATTGAGAAACACATATCATATTTTAGTAAGATTGAAGAAACGAGATTTATAGCCAGGTGTGGTGGCTCACACCTGTAATTCTAGCACTTTAAGAGGCTGAGGCAGGCAGATCACCTGAGATCAGGAGTTCAAGACTGGCCAGTATGATGAAACCCCGTCTCTACTAAAAGTACAAAAATTGGCTGGGTGTTGTGGCACATGCCTGTAATCCCAGCTACTCAGGAGGTTGAGGCAGGAGAATCGCATGAACCCAGGAGGCAGAGATTGCAGCAAGCCGAGATTGCGCCACTGCACTCCAGCCTGCGTGACAGAGCGAGACTCCATCTCAAAAAAAATAAAAAATAAAAAAGAAGAAACTAGATTTAAAAGACCAGGACAACCACCTTCTCCTTTGATGCTATTTCATTCAGATATCAAAATAGTAGCAGAGACATTGTGCTGCCTCTGATACTCACTAGGTGTTGACGTTTAAAGTCATCTGCTCTAGAAGAAAACTCTCTTTTTGAAAATGTAATTATTCAGATTCAGAAAGAACACAATTCGTCCTGAGCACAATTTTTTATACATTTTTTTAAATTGAATTTACCCACTGCGATTTTTTTTTTTAAGAACTTATTTCGAAATACCTTTCTGGTACTCTCTTTTCCCCATTTTCTCTCTTTCTGAGAGTAAAGAACAGTACTTACACAATTGGCCTTGTCACTTGTTTTACATTTGTTCCCATTTTATTTAAATGTATACTTGTTTACTTAACAAGATCTAATTTTAGTGCATCTGTGATTTTTTAATGTCTTGATTATTTTTCTATAATGAAAGTAACTTATGCTCATAAAAAATTAAGTTTTTCAGGAAACTGAAATGTTTTCTGTCCTTCCACTTCCCCACAGACAGGTACTATTAACAGTTTTGCCATGTTTTTCTAGATATTTTTATCTCTGAATATACCAACTCGTAGATTTATTTTTAATAAAATTGTGTCGTACTACTAGCTCTAATAACTTCCTGTTTTCACTTACTGTCCCCCACTGCCAGCCAACCCTTGCTCCCCAAACCTTAACAGTGCACCTTTTCTATATATCCGTGGCCACTAAATTCGGATCTCCTTCATTCTTTGTGATGCCTGTTTATTACTCTATACATATTATCTATTCCTTATTAATAAACATTTAAGCCAATTTAAATGTTTATATCTTCTCAATTGTTGCTACAAGGAATAGTTATGTTTTGCACACTTGTGTATGTGTCTGTAGGATAAAGGCTGATAAATGGAACTGCTGGCTCACTCAATATCATGAAGTTATTAAAGTTTAAATGGATATTTCCAATTCCCCCCTGAAAGGAGTTCTACTTGCCCCCTGAAAGGAGTTTTAATTACTGAGCTATGATCTTAACCATATAGTTGATGCCCTGGCTTGACTATTCCGTTTCCAACCTGCAGGTAGGGACGGAGCCCCATCGACTCTGTTTCCAGGGACCTCTTAGGGCTGTCTCTGGAAATTCTTGTCCTTGGCATGCTTCCCTTTCTGTGCAAGGGCCTAAGCACTGTCTCATCCATGTATCCATCTGTCTGCAGGACAGGTGTGGCCTCCAGGCACCACAGTAAACGAGTTGTCAGGTAAACGTGAGCTCTGGGCTAGGATGTCAACATGCAGACATGTGTGTTCTTTCCTGCATTTCTCAGGGACAGTAGCAGCGGCACTGGGGGCTAAGCTCCCTGAGAATGAGGAAAATGGGAGGGAGATCTCTGAACACCTGAGACCTGCCTCCCTCCTCCCCTGTCTCTTCCCTGGGTAGGGGGCTGTTAGAAAGAGGGGAAAGGAAGGTATGCACATACTACATACTGGACACTTTAAATACATGATCTCATTTATCTCACAGAATTTCCATAAAGGAGGTGATAATATTTTCATTTTAGGGTCTAGAAGACAGGCTCAGAGGGCAACATCCCCAGAGGACACCCCTAATAAAGAGCAACCTCAGGTCCTCTGAATCTGGAGCCCACTTATGGATCCCCTTGAAAAGCCAACCCCAAGGGCACCATCATGGGGGCTCCTATTAGAATGATGGTGAATGTGTCTGCTTCCAGCCCCACCCTCCACTGAACTCCAGACTCCTAGACCCAGCTGCCCTCTCAACAGCCCAACCTGGAGGGATCATGAGTATATTGATAACTTTGGTGGTTTCTTCTCTTTTCTTTTAGCATGGCAGAATATACGTAACGTTACATGTACCACCTTAACCATTTTAAGTGTACCGTTCAGTGGCATGAAGTATATTCCTATTTGTTGTGCAACCATCATCACCATCTGTCTCCATGGCTCTTTTTATCTTGCAAAATGGAAACTCTGTGCCCATTAAACAATAACTCACCATCCTTCCCTCCTGAAAGTCCTGGCAACCACCATTCTACTTTCTGCCTCTGAATTTGACCACTCTAAGTGCCTCATATAAGTGACATCAAACAGTATTTGTTTTTTCTGCATGACTTATTTCACTTAGCATATATCCTAAAGGTTCATCCATGTTGTAGCATGTGTCAGAATTCCCTTCTTTATTATGGTTGAATAATATTTCGTTGTATGGATATACCACAGTTCGCTTATCCATTCATCTGTCAGTGGATATTTGGGTTGCTTCCATGTTTAAGCTATTGTGAATAATGCTACTGTGAGCATAGGTGTACAAACATCTCTTTGAGACCCTGCTTTCAGTTATTTTGGGGACTCAGATATAGAATTGTTGGATTATCTGGTAATCCTACGTTTAATTTTTGGGGGAGCCACCATATTGTTTTCCACAGTGGCTACACCATTTTTCATTCCCATCAACAATGCACCAGGTTTCCATTTTCTCCACATCCTCACCAATACCTGTTATTTTCTGTCTCTTTGATAGTAGCTATCCTCATGGGTATGAAGTGGCGTCTCATTGTGGTTTTGATTTGCATTTCTTTAATAAGTAGTCGTGTTGGGCACCTTTTTAATGTCCTTATTGGCCATTTATATATCCTCTTTGGAGAAATGTCTGTTCAATCCTTTGCCAACTTTTGAGTTAGGTTGTTTTAGTGGTTGTTGAGTTTTAGGAGTTCTCCATATACTCTGATATTCATTCCCTATCAGATATTTAATTTGAGAATATTTTCTCCCATTCTGTGGTTTGCACTTTTTTCTCTGTTGATAGTGTCTTTTGATGCACAAACGTTTTGCATTTTCATGAGGTCCAATTTGTCTGTTCCCCCCCTCCTTTTTTTTTTTTTGGCCTGTAACAATACATCAAATTTTATATTCAAAATGACCTTTTGATTTCTACCTGTAACCTATTTCTCTCCTAGTCTTTTCCCTGACAGTAAACAACATGACCAGCCTCCCAGTTGCTCAGATGTCTGGGAATTAATTTTGAGTCCTTCCTGTAACCAGTACAATGAGGATTCCTGTCAGTTCTACCTCCCAAATATCTCTTAAATCCTTCTTGTTAAACCTCTAATTTTTATATTATGTTAGGATGTAGAAATACTGTTGATTTTTATATATTTACTTTGCATCCAAGCTAATTTCTCTTATTAGTGCTAAGAGTCTTTGATGTTTTGTTCTTTTGTTTTTTGTAGATTATTTGGGATTTTCTGTGGAGACAGTCTTCTGAGAATTGACTGATTTCTTTCTTTCTAATCTGTATGCCCTTTCCTTTCCTTCCCTCCCTTCCTTCCCTTCCTTCCTTCTCTTCTCTTCCCTTCCTTCCTTCCTTGCCTTCCTTCCCTTCTTTCCTTCCTCCCTTCCTTCCCTTCCTTCCCTTCCTTCCCTTCCTTCCCCCCGTCTTTCCCTTCCTTCCCTTCCTTCCCTGACTGCCTGCCTGCCTGCCTATTGCACTGGCTAGGATTTCTAGTATGATGTTCAGTGAGAGTGTGAGAGCAGACTTCCTTGTCTTGTTCCTGATCTTGGAGGAAGGCAGTCAGTCTTTCACCATTACCTATGATCATAGCTATACTTGTTTACAGATGTCCTTTATCCAGTTAAGGATGTTTATTTCTCTTCCTAACTCACAAAGAGATTTTATTAGACAATGTATTTTAAGGCTATTTGGAAAACAACCAAGATACTAATGTCTGCCTTAATGAATATGGACAAAAATAAATCATACCTCTCACAGTACCACTGATACAAATAAGAATTTTGTAATTATCGTTATCATGCTTTTTACCTCCTAGTTTTATTTTGACCAATTGCATTAAAATTTTTTTAAGTGTTTTAAACGCTTTGCAGCTTTCTACACTGCTCTCGCCATTCCCACCCAGGGCTCCTCTCCGTGGGGGTCAGGTGTGTGCTGACATTGGGGTCCCTGTACTCTTGGCACCCACTTCTCAGCAGATACCTCTTATCCACCTTGGAGACCCCAGAACAATCCTTCTCTGCCCCTCTTCTGAGTCATGTCTTGCCATTTTTCAGAGTCTTTCCCCTTGTTTCCCTGCCTTTCTTCCTGTCCTTTATATACATTCTTTTTGTGAACATAGAACCCTGCGTGAGACAGGAAACTCATTGAAGCTCTGTGTCCTTGGGCAGGTTTCTGTTTTTTCTGTTCATGATGCTGGTGAGGTTGGCTTTGGGCTTTGGGTTCTCATATATAATGGGACATTTTTGAGACAGAGTTTTGCTCTTGTCACCCAGGCTGGAATGCAATAGTGCGATATTGGCTCACTGCAACCTCTGCCTCCCGGGTTCAAGCAATTCTCCTGTCTCAGCCTCCTGAGTAGCTGGGATTACAGGCCCATGCCACCATGCCCAGCTAATTTTTGTATTTTTAGTAGAGATGGGGTTTTGTCATGTTAGCCAGGCTGGTCTCAAACTCCTGACCTCAAATGATCCTCCTGCCTCAGCCTCCCAAAGTCCTGGGAGTACAGGCATGAGCCACTGCACCCAGCCACAATGGGACTATTTTTCAGGAAGCTCTGCTAAGTTGTGCTATGATCTTTGTTAATACTAAGTTGTTGTTAATATAGTACGTAACCCTACAGAGATTCTGTTACATGCAAATGAGAGCTTGTTAAAGATCATGCAAATGTTGGCATTCAACTTGGGTTTTTGTAATCTAGGATTTACTCTTTTATTTCCAGATTCTTAACTAAAAACTATTTCTGTCCCTGGGGAAGATTTTCATTCCTTCTGAAACGATTTACTGGTTGTTATGCACACACAGTGGGTCGCTGATAAAAATGGAAGAATTTATTACATTTAGGGGGATGGGATGTGGAAAGCAGACAGCTGACAGCTTTGCATTCTTGTTTGTACCAGACTCTAGACATCATTATCTTAGTAGGAATTCTTACAGCCATTCCTGAGGTATGGGAATTATCATCCCCATTTCATACACGATGAAACCAAGACTCAGAGGAACCAAGGGACTTACCTAAGGCCATGCAGCTTGTAAGGGGCAAGAGACCAACCCCAGGGCACACTCACTCCACCTCAGCACCTGTGACTCCATGCAAGAGGTATAGAAAGTGTTGGAAAAGCTACACAAGAAAGAGGCTCATCTTTTTTTTTTCCAACAATAAATAAATAAATAATTTTTTTGAGACAGAATCTCACTCTGTTGCCCAGGCTGGAGTGCAGTGGCACGGTCTCAGCTCACTGCAACCTCTGCCTCCCGGGTTCAAGCGATTCTCCTGCCTCAGCCTCCCGAGTAGCTGGGACAACAGGTGTATGCCACCATGCCTGGGTAATTTTTCTATTTTTAGCAGAGTTGGGGTTTCACCATGTTGGCCAGGTTGGTGTTGAACTCTTGACCTCAAGTTGTCTGCCCGCCTAGGCCTCCCAAAGTGCTGGGATTATAGGCATGCATCAGTACGCCCTGCCAAGAGGCTCATTTTTGCTGAAGGAAATTTAGGGAAGATGAGCTGCGTTTTTTTTTTAACAGATTACTGGGGGATATTGGTGGTTTCCCCAAAAGCAGCATCCCTCTTTGTTTGGAAACACACATCACATTACTGTGTGTAATTCCCAGCTCTTCCTTGTTGGTTGCTTCCTAGACAAGGTTTCCTTCCCAAGTCAGCCTTTCTTTTGAACTGCCCCTTCTTAACTTTTCTGTTTATGGTCATTAGGGATTCGGACATTTTTCCATACCTGCCTCAGTTAGCATGTGAGGGGCCATACTTAATGACTTTGAAAATCAAGAACAGGAGATGCTCTGCACCCCAGTGTATTATAAAGTCCTCATCCTGTGTCTCAGGGCAGCCAGGAGAAGTCATCCTGAGAGCAACGACCTTAGTTTGTGACCAGGACACTGTAGACAGCACCTTGAGCCAGACCACCAAGTTCAAATCCCCACTCCTCCACTGGGTGTCCAGAGGAAGCAAGTCGGTGCACACACAGCTCTGAGAACAGTGCCTGGCCTGTAGGAAGTGCTAAGAAGTATTGTCAGTGATTGAATATCCCAAAATCCCCAAGTCAGTGTGAACAGAAAGAAGAAGAAGTGAGAGGGGCGGCTTTGAGGTCTTTGAGAAAATCCAGTGAGGAAAGTGGTAATGAATCAGCCTTGGACCACAAGGGTCGCTTTGAGAGAGTTTGTTGTGTTCAAAGCTACAAAGGACTTGTCTTTCCTAAACTGGCATGGGAAAAGAACCAGACACTGGAGTCTTAGAGAGGATCATGTAAGTCAGCACAGATGCCTGCAGTCCGGGTTCGGCTAAAGAAGCAATGTCAATCAATGGCACCTTCGATGCAGACGGTAGGTGAATGAACCCCCAGCACCCCTGAGAGAGAGGCCTCCTGGTTTCTGGTGCAGGCAGAACCTGCTTCTCCCTAAGGCTCCCTCCACTAGGCTTCAGGCCGTGCAGCCACCTCTCACCTCTGGACACCAGTGGAATGGGCTCGGGAAAGGCTGGCTGACCCCTGCAGCAGGAGTTGGGGTCTGAAGCCCAGTCTGCTCAGCCTCCTGTGGAAGCAGGTCGTGCCTGCTCCAGGGACCGAGAGTCCTCTCTTCCAGGGGTGCTAGGGTTTGTCTGCAGTCCACATTGGCCTCATGGCTGGTCTGAGTTGATCCAGGCTGGCCCTGGGGCTGCCAGTCCAAACATTCATTCCAGCCACCTGGCTGGCTTCCTCAATCTTCTTTAAGCCCCAGAACCATGGAGTCAAAATCTTTGAGTTTTTTTTTTTTTTTTTTTTCGGTGAAAATTATACATAAGCTTGGGAAAAGGGAGGAAGGAAAGAAGGAAGGGAGGAAGGAAAGGAAGGGAGAAAGGAAAGGAAGGAAGGAAGGAAGGGAGAGAGGCAGGGAAAGAAAGAAAGTATTTAGGTTGGTGCAAAAGTAATTGCAATTTTTGTCATTACTTTCAGTGGCAAAAACTGCAATTACTTTTGCACCAACCTAATATAAAGGGTTTTAAACCAAGTGTAAGACTCCCTCCCTCTCTGCTTCTGTTTCCTGGATTTAACCAGAGTTAACAGTTTTCTTTGAATCTTGGGGGACATTTTATCCATAATACATGAATACATGTGAGGCTTTTAAAAATTTGTGTGTGATTTTATTCCTCTGTGCCTTATATTATTAACTTACTATATATTAAAGATTTTCTCATAGCATTAATATAGATCGCCTGTTTCTTATCTTGATATTTATTTATTTCATTAGGGTTAAATATAAAACTATTGCAGTGAGATATTGAAATTCTGAACTCTTACACGTCTAACAATGTAACTAAAAGTAAATGACGTGAACCTTGGCAGAATTACAGAAAGAGACAGATCAATCCACAGTTACAGCGACAACTTAACCAAGTCTCTCAGAAACAAATATACATCAACAGGCCGAAAGAAAAGGATAATGACACAGAAAATTTGAACCACACCATTAATGAGTTTGATTGAGTAGAAATATGAGGAACTTGGTATTCAACAGTGAAAGAACGCATGTTCTGCCCGGCGCGGTGGCTTACGCCTGTAATCCCAACACTTTGGGAGGCTAAGGCAGAGATTCGCTCTTGTTGCCCAGGCTGGAGTGCAATGGCGTGATCTTGGCTTACTGCAACCTCTGCCTCCCGAGTTCAAGCGATTCTCCTGCCTCACCCTGCCGAGTAGCTGGGATTACAGGTGCCCGTGCCCATGCCCAGCTAATTTTTGTATTTTTAGTAGAGACGGGGTTTCACCATGTTGTCCAGGCTGGTCTCGAACTCCTGACCTCAGGTGATCCACGTGCCTCGGCCTCCCTAAGTGCTGGGATTACAGGCATGAGCCACCACGCCCAGCCTAATTTTCTTTTTTATGAAGACAGGGTCTCACTGTAGTGCCCAGGTTTGTCTCATAATTCCTGGGCTCAAGTGATCCCTCCCACCTCAGCCTCCCCAAGTGTTGGTATTACAGGTGTGAGCCACTGTACCCAGTCCACTAATATTTAATCTCAGGATTGACTTCACACCATCACTCAGCAACATAGGGCAGGGGGCCATGTAGTCATGGAATTTCTAAGGTATCCTGGGGAAGGATGGGCAGAGGCCCCCGTCGGACTTGTTGGTTTGCTTTTAGCACGTGACTGCATTTTGCAGTTTCCATGTGCTAGGTGGAGTGGATTTCCAGATTACTCTTTTTTTAAATTTTATGTTAGTAAGTACTTAAGTTAGTTATTTCAAGTGAATAAGCCCCTGGCTTTCTCAGGACGTGACCCTCACTCTTCCAGGGAAGCCGTGGCGGACGGAGCAGACGGAGGACCTGAAGCGAGTGCTTAGGGCAGTGGACAGGGCCATCCCACTGGTCCTTGTCAGCGGCAACCATGACATTGGCAACACCCCCACGGCCGAGACCGTCGAGGAGTTCTGCCGGACTTGGGGAGATGACTACTTCAGCTTCTGGGTCGGGGGCGTCCTGTTCCTGGTCCTCAACTCCCAGTTCTACGAGAACCCCTCCAAATGCCCCAGCCTGAAGCAGGCTCAGGACCAGTGGCTGGACGAGCAGCTGAGCATCGCGAGGCAGCGGCACTGCCAGCATGCCATCGTCTTCCAGCACATCCCGCTGTTCCTGGAGAGCATCGACGAGGACGACGACTACTACTTCAACCTCAGCAAGTCCACTCGGAAGAAGTTGGCAGACAAGTTCATCCACGCAGGTAGAGGCCCCGGGCCACGGGTTTCAGGGAGGAAGGACAAGTCTAGAGAGGGCATTTCCAGATCTTTCTCCCGTCTCTCTGCAATGTGTCAAAAAGGGAGAGAGGACTAGGCCGGGAGTTCTGATACCAGCTCTTGGACTTGCAGACTGCATGTCTGGCTAGTTAATCCTCCTGTGCCTCAGTTTCCTCGTCTATAAAACAGGAATAGTAATAGTAGCCTTATTGCAGGATGGTGTCAAGGATTAAATGAGAAAGGCCTCCAAGACATGGAGAACAGACCCTAGCCTAAGTACTCAGTGTGCCATAGCTGCTCACAGTTGAAGATTGGAGTTCTGGAAGTGGCAGGAGGGGTTTATTGGGGGAAGTAGACTGGGTAGTGCAGGTGGGTGTGAATGTGGCTTGCATGTGCCTTGGGAGAAGGCAAGATGCCAGGGACATCTGCTTTCACTTCTCTGGGAAGCAGGCACCTTGCTCAAGGGCAGACGATCTTTAAGAGTCAAGCTGCCCTCCAGTATTCATCAGCTGTGACTCAGGAAATCCTGGGATGTGGCTTTAGCGGACAGTTCCTGGGGCCTGATCAGTTTTCCTCTGCCAAGGTAGATTAAGTTCTCCTCCAGAATCAGGAGAGAGTAACGGATTTAGTCCCATCTTTTGCTGCCAGTGATATATGTGACAGACACGTGCACGCACAGAATGAAGACCCTCCATTTCTGGAGGTCACACCTCAATTTCTGATGGCACTCTAAGGCACTAGCCCACCCACCTCCTTTATCTTTCTGGTAGCACCTGCCATGGGCCTTTCAAGAGAAACAGTCTGTTCTAGGCAGATTCCCTGGGTTACCAGTGATTTGGCAAATTCCAGTTTTGACAACTGTTGTGTCTCTTCTCTTTGTCCTCGTTCTTCCTTTCACCAGGGCTTACTTTTTTTTTTTTTTTTTTTTTGAGACAAAGTCTTGTTCTGTTGCCCAGGCTGGAGTGCAGTGGCAAAATCTCGGCTCACTGCAACCTCCGCCTCCCAGGTTCAAGTGATTCTCATGCCTCAGCCTCCCAAGTAGCTGGGATTACAAACGCTGACCACCACGCCTGGCTAATTTTTGTACTTTTAGTAGAGATGGGGTTTCACCATGTTGTCCAGGCTGGTTCCAAACTCCTGACCCCAAGTGATTCACCCACCTTGGCTTCCCAAGGCCACGGGACGTGATCAGTTTTCCTCTGGTGAGGTGGATTAAGTTCTCCTCCAGAATCCGGAGAGAGTAACGGATTTAGTCCCATCTGGGAATACAGTGCTGGGATTACAGGTGTGAGCCACCCCACCCAGCGGAACATTTTGTATTTTCAAGACATTTTGCAATAAGCTCACATAATTGGAGATGTTTTCCAGCTGTTCCATGGAGATAAAGTTAGAAAACTTCTATTAAGTCGTTTGAAATTTCATGCCATGCTTGAGTTGGTGCAGAAAACTGTCTTGATGACAAGGAAACAAAGCGTCAAGGCGGCATGAGCACCACCATGGAGACTATTCTGTAGTGGAGAATAAAGCCAGAGAGAACATTTAATGCCATTGAAGTGATTCCTTTCATATCCAATGGTATTTCTTTTTTTTTTTTTTTTGAGACGGAGTCCCGCTCTTGTCACCCAGGCTGGAGTGCAGTGGCACCATCTCGGCTCACTGCAACCTCTGTCTCCTGGGTTAAAGCAATTTTTCTGCCTCAGACTGCTGAGTACCTGGGATTACAGGCACCCATCACCATGTCCAGCTAGTTTTTGTATTTTTAGTAGAGACAGTTTGGCCAGGTTTAGTTTCACCATGTTGGCCAGGCTGGTCTCGAAACTTCTGACGTCAGGTGATCCACCCACCTCGGCCTCCCAAAGTGCTGGGATTACAGGTGTGAGCCACCGCAGCTGGCCAGATCTAATGTTAGATGATGTAAAGCCCATGACTGCCCTGAGTTCTTTGTTCTTGTTCTTGTTGACCACATTCCTGAGTGGTATGTAGTTCTGTGGTTTTCCCCTTGTAGGACAGAGCACCCCCAGATACTGAGAAGACTCACAGTTCTAATTTTTTCTATTGATTGATTGATTGATTGATTGAGAGTCTTGCTTTGTCACCCAGGCTGGCGTGCAGTGGCGTGATCATGGCTCACTGCAGCCTCGACCTCCTAGGCTTAAACAATCTTCCCACCTCTACCTTCTGAGAACCTGGGACTATAGGCACACACCACCATGCCCAGCTAATTTTTTTAATTATTTGTAGAAACGGGGTCTGACTGTGTTGCACCTCACTGGGCTTTAACTCCTGGCCTCAAATGATCCCCCTGCCTTGGCCCCCCGAAGAGTTTAAATTACAGGTGTGAGCTCTAACAGGGCACCCTTGGGAGAAGCCTGTTGACCACCCACCAAGGGCCCTACAGGGTGGCATCATATCCATGATGCCCCAGCCCCCTGCCCACTCAGATCTGCAACCCCTCAAGCACAGGAACCAGAGTTGCTGGCAAACCAAGAGCTGGTCTGTGTCTCCAATTATCCCAGCTCCCAGAGACTGATAGCTACAAACCAGAATGGCAGTTGATTAATTTAGAGCAAGACCGCAGCCCTGGCCTCCACCCCAGCGGTGCTTTCTCTTCCCGTAGGCAGAGCTACATGGGAAGCCCAATTATAATCAGGAGGCTGCTTGGTAGGCATGAGAAAACAGGGGGGTTAGCTGCCTTATTCCACTCTCAGTGACATCAGGCGCTGGAATCCAATGGCTCCATCTCCGGAGGAGCTCGCTAGCTGAAGGCACTTGGTTATTTCATGTCCCTTTAATTCTACCTCCTTCGTGTCTCTGTAGCCTGTCCACTGTCTCATCTGGGTCTTAGCAGCAGCTCTGCACTGTGCTCCCCACTCTGCTCTTACCCATTCTAGTTCATTCTGCACCTAACAGCAAGATGGGTGTGTAACTGACTGCAAAGCATGAGGCTTCCCTCCACCCCCAGGTCCGGCCCAGCTCTTCACTGCAGTGTCCAGGGCCCTTCTCAGTCACATCTGCCTTCCCCTCCAGCCTCTTCTGGTTCACCTGCCTAGGCCCACTCAACAATTTTTTGTTTGCTGAGACATTCTCACTCTGTCACCCAGGCTGTAGTGCAGTGGCATGATCTCGGGTCACTACCACCTCCTCCACCTCCCAAGTTCAAGTGATTCTCCTGCCTCAGCCTCCCGAGTAACTGGGATTACAGGCGCGCACCACCATGCCTGGCTAATTTTTGCATTTTTAGTAGAGATGGGGTTTCACCATGTTGGCCAGGATGGTCTTGAACTCCTGACTGACCTCAAGTGATCTGCCCGCCTCAGCCTCCCAAAGTGCTGGAATTACGGGTGTGAGCCACCACACCCGGCCTCAACATTTTTTTTTTCTTGAGATGGAGTCTTACTATGTCACTCAGGCTGGAGTGCAGTGATGTGATCATAGCTCACTGCAGCCCTGGATTCCTGGGCTCAAGTGATCCTCCCACCTCAGCCCCCTAAGTAGCTGGGACTACAGGGGAGTGCCACGATGCCTGGCTAATTTTTTTATTTTTTGCAGAGATGGAGGTCTCACTGTGTTGCCCAGGCTGATATCAAATTCCTGGCCTCAAGTGACCCTCCCGCCGGGGTATCCCAAAGTGCTAGGATTACAGGCATGAGACACCACATCCCGCCTCCCACTCAACTTTGACATCTTCTGTATAAGGCTCTCCCCTCCTCCCCACCCCAGGTTCTTCAGCTTCTCTTATCCCAGCACTTGTCAGGTGGATTTGCAAGTGTTGACTTGTCTGAATCCCCGCTAAACTCTCAGCTCCCTGAGGGCAGGGACAGGGTCATATTCAGCTATGCAGTTGGGAGACCTGGCTCAGATATTAGCTCATAATAAATGTTTTATCAGTATTTGTGGAATGAATGAATGAAAGTCTTTGGGCCAGGTGTGGTAGTTCACACCTGTAATCCTAGCACTTTGGGAGGCCAAGGCAGGTGGATCACCTGAAGTCAGGAGTTCAAGACCAGCCTGGCCAGCAGGGCGAAACCCTGTCTCTACTGAAAAATGCAATAATTAACCAGGCCTGGTGGTGCCCACCTGTAATCCCAGCTACTGCGGAGGCTGAGGCAGGAGAATTGCTTGTACCTGGGAGGTGGAGATTGCAATGAGCCGAGATCATGCCACTGCACTCCACCTTGGGCAACAGAGCATGTTCAGACCTCTGTGTTCAACACGTGGCCTCTGTGGCCTTTGGTCTTAGGGAAGCCACTTGTGCCTCTCTCTGCTCTGGTCCCCAGGCTGGCTCTCCAAAGTCACTCAGCAGTCTTTCTCTTCCCAAGCACCCCCTCCCACTGCTTCCTCCAGGCACCACCTGCAGGTATACAAAGGCACCTACCTCTTCTTGGCCACTGGCCTAAGGGTCTTCACCTAAACCTGCTTCACAGAGAAGGCCAGAGAGATGAGAGCCCTTCCCGAAATTCCCTGTCAGTTTCCGTGGCCTGCCAAACCAGGCCTTTTGCTGAATGACCTTCCAAACACAGAACAAATCTTAGGCAACATCAGAAGGAAATATGAGTCGGATGTGGAGGCTCTCCGCTGCAGGCAGATAGACTTGCTGGGCTTGGAAGCTCATGTAGGTGGGCGCTCTTGGCTGTACGCATCCATGACTCAGTTATGCAGAAAGCGGCTCAGGTCACAACAACATAATTGGAACTCATTTTGGAGAGCCAGAAGTTCAAGTGATATTTTGTAAAATTCATTAACTTAAAGGCTGGGATAAAATTGGGGGTGACGATGGCAGCTGGTATTTAATATTGCCTTTGTTTTCTTCCCCCCATGGCAATATTATTCCCTACTACTGTCTCAGTCTCATTTATCTCCTTGTGCTGAAATGCCAGTACTCAAAAATATGTCAAAAGCTCATCAGAATATCAGGGTAACTTTTAATTATGATAATTGTGTTGTTATAAAATACCCTTTTAAAGAGCACATCTCTCCCCAAACCACCGTGGAGGTAAAACCCAGCTTCCTTCCAGCAAGCTTGATGAATAATTCTGAATCATTGTGTGGGATGAATAAATGATTTAATAATGAGCATCAACAATCATCTCTCATTGTTGCATTAATTTTTAAAAATGGGATGAGATAAACGAGGAGGAGGGTGTCACTGTGCAGTGGACCACCGGGAGTGGAGGGGTGTGCTGTGTGAATCGAAGCCTGCCAGCCTCCAAGTGCAGGTTTCCCTAGAAACAGATGCATCCTGTTTCTACTTTTGAAGCTCAGTGAAAAACCGTCTTTGTATGATACAAAAACATTGTCAATAGCCGGTACAAATAAACAGTTATCAGGTCAGGACAGATATACCAGTGTGAAGCAGCACCTGTTATTTTCTGTCTTCATTTCACCTGCGTGAGGATAATCAATTTCATCACATCCAAGGGATGTAGAAATTGGTTTTCCGCTTTATTCACCTGATACCTAGTTGGAGTAGCAAAGACAGATAGTAGATAATGAAATTTTGGTTGAACCTAGACATTTTCTCGGTCCTTTATGCCTCTTTCAGCAGAGGGTTAATATATGACCCATTTAATATTGATTCCAATTTAGAAGCTCAGTCTTAAAAAACAAAAGCTAGATCTTTAACTGACCATGTTTCCCTTGATGTCTCGATACCTTTTCTTTTTTTCCATTCTCCGAAGAGAGATTAGAACTGTGTGTTAGAGAGCCCAGAGCAAATTTGGCAATTATGAAAAATTCCAATAAGTTGATCTTCCCCGCAAAAGTTAATGAGTCATTTCACAGAATTAGAGTTTCATTTCTAGTATTTATGCTTTTTTAGAAAATGAGAGAGAGAGAAGATAAATCTTAGTCCATGGTTATAGTTTTAAGATTTCAAAGTTTTGGCAGGTGCAGTGGCTCACACCTGTAATCCCGGCACTTTGGGAGGCCGAGGTGGGTGGATCACTTGAAGTCAGGAATTCAAGACCAGCCTGGGCAACATGGTGAAACTCCATCTCTACTAAAATATAGAAATTAGCCGGGCATGGTGGCAGGCACCTGTAGTCCCAGCTACTTGGGAGGCTGAGGCAGAAGAATCGCTTGAACCCTGGAGGCGGAGGTTGCGGTGAGCCAAGATTACGCCACTGCATGCCAATCTGGGCAACAGAGCAAGACTGTGTCTCAAAAATAAATAAAAAAAATTCAAAGTTTTAAAGAACAAAAAGATCAGGTTCCCAGGATTTACTTTATAGGAAGATAAAACATCAAATCCTGCTCTGACATCCTTTGCGCTGTATTGCAGTCACTGTTTAGATCCTGATTCCTCCAGGAAACAGAAGCCCAGCCTTATTCACCTCTGTAAGGCCAGCCCCTAGCTGAGACTGTCATATAGTAGCCCCCCAATAGGTGAATAGTGGTCAATGGAATTGAATTAAGCGTGATTCAAGTCTACTTATCAGCAGGTAATATCCGTATCACTTGTGAGTTGGTTTTCATGAACTGACTTTTTTTTGGTGGGGGTTGGGGTCAGAGTCTCACTCTGTCACCCAGGCTGGAGTGCAGTGGTGCCATCTTGACTCACTGCAACTTCCGCCTCCCAGGTTCAAGCAATTCTCCTGACTCAGCCTCCCAAGTAGCTGGGATTACAGGCACACGCCACCACATCTGGCTAATTTTTGTATTTTTAGAAGAGATAGTTTCACTGTATTGGCCAGGCTGGTCGCAAACTCCTGACCTCAAGTGATCCGCTCACCTTGGCCTCCCAAAGTGCTAAGATTACAGGCATGAGCCACTGCACCCAGGCCACAAGCTGACTTTTGTATGGGAAATGCTTCGCCTAGAGGGGTCAATAGAACTTTTCGGTAAAGGGTCAGATAGTAAATATTTTGGGCTTTGTGGCTCTATGGTCTCTGTAGCAACTACTCAACTCTGCCTTCATAACAAGAGAGCAGCCACAGACAGTGCAGTGTTCCAATAAAACTTTATTTCCAGAAACAGGTGGTAGGCCTGCCGGTGATAATTTTCCAACTCTTGGCTTAGAGAAATGTTCCCATTACAGGGTGACGCTCTTGCTCTCCCCAGAACCTTGTCCACATTCTGTATGTGTCTAAGTTTAGGATGCATCTGACGACCCCATTGTAACAACTGCCTGACTGACAGAAAGGTCTGCCCAGAACAAGCCTCCTGAAGGTCTTCAGTGGAGGGCGTGCCTGGGTGAGGCACATGTTCCCCTGAAGACCAGGATGTGATGGATTGCAGACAAGAGGGTCCATGGTGCATGTAAGATGTCTAATAATTGGGTGATCAGCTTCACATGTATTAGAAAAAAATAGAACTAGCTTATCAATTTAAAGAAAATGATTTAATTATCACCTGAGCTCAGGAGTTCGAGACCAGCCTGGCCAACATGGAGAAACCCCATCTCTACTAAAAATACAAAAATTAGCCAAGCGTGATGGCACACACTTGTAGTCCTAGCTACTTGGGAGGCTAAGGCAGGACATTGGCTTGAACCTGGGAGGCAGAGGTTACAGTGAGCTGAGATTGCGCCACTGCACTCCAATCTGGGCAACAGAGCAAGATTCTGACTCAAAAAATAAAAAATAAAAATAAAGAAAATGATTCAGTAAATAGTAGTATGAGTACTGTGCAGATAAGGCAAAACTTGGAGGTTTGTACAGGGGGAATTAGCGTCTGGGCCGGTGGGCAGGGGGTCCTATAACATGGCAGGTGAACAGACAGGATTTGGCTTCTTAAGTTGCTTGGGATAAGCCACTAAACATTTCTCTGCCTTAGTTTTCCCACTTGTAAAAAGAGGGTACTCACCCCAACCTTGTCAAGTTGGTGTATCCCTTAAGGAGAGTCATATATAAAATCAAAAAGACAAGTCAGGCCAGGCGCAGCGGCTCACACCTGTAATCCCAGCACTTTGGCAGGCTGAGGCAGGTGGATCACCTGAGGTCAGGAGTTCGAGACCAGCCTGGCCAACATGGTGAAACCCCATCTCTACTAAAAATACAAAAAATTAGTGGAGCGTGGTGGTGAGTGCCTGTAATCCCAGCTACTCAGGAGGCTGAGGCACGAGAATCACTTGAACCTGGGAAGGCGGAGGTTGCAGTGAGCCGAGATCACGCCACTGCATTCCACCCTGGGCGACTGAGTGACACTCCATCTCAAAAAAAAAAAAAAAAAAAAGAAAGTCACTTAGCACCATGTCTGGCTCATAGTGAGCACTCACTAAGGGCGTGTTTGTTGTTCTGTATGATCCCGAACCGTTTGGGGACCCCACAGCAGGCAAATGTGCTTTATCCATTAGCTAGACCGGCATGCTTCTCACCCCTGGGGTGCTGGCGTCCTTCTTGCGGGCGTTCTTGAGAATCTCCAGGACAGGCGGACCTGGTTTGGGGACATGCCTGCTGCCTGCTGATATAGCTGTGTAGATTTGAAAGGGAAAATAATGATCAACTCTGTTCAAAATGCAAACTATAGGAAGTAAAGCTAGACAAAATTCTCTTGGCTCCTGGGATATGCGGGAAGATAGACGATTACAGCCAGTCTGAGAGTTTTCAGGGTAGATGAGGAAGGCATGCTACTTTTAATTTTAACAAAAGGGGGTACTGGTTTAAAAGGATGGTAGTCGCTGAAGTAGATGAAAAATTCTTACAGAATGTAGTGATAAAATTTGATCCTTTGTTTATTTTTTAAAGCACACACCTGTTTCAAAAGAAAAAACCTTAGACAAATTAAAGTTCACAGTTTAGTTGAGCAAAGAATAATTCGTAAATCAGGCAGACCCTGAACCAGAATAGAGGCTCAGAAAGACTCGAGCACAGCCAAATGGTGAGAGATTTGTGGGCAGAAAAAGGAAAGTGGAAAGTGAGGTACAAAAACAGCCAGATGGGTTACAACTCAGCATTTGCCTTATTTGAACACAGTTTGAACAGTTGACTGCCTGTGATTGGCCAAAACCGGAGATTGGCAAGAGTATGTTCTATTCTGTTTACACATCCAGTTCACTGTGTATACAGAGAAACCTTTGGCTGAAATTAAAATGTATAAAGAAGGCTGGGCATGGTGGCTCACACCTGTAATCCCAGCACTATGGGAGGCCGAAGTAGGAGGATCGCTTGATCCTAAGAGTTCGAGACTAGCCCAGGCAACATAGTGAGACTCTGTCTTTGCGAAAAGGATTTTTTTTTTAACTAACCAGGCATAATAGTATGCACCTGTGGTCTCAGCTACTCAGAAGGCTGAGGTGGGAGGATCGCTTGAGCCCCGGAAGCCAAGTCTGCAGTGAGCTGTGATTGCACCACTGTACTCTATCCTGGGCAACAGAGCAAGATCCTGTCTCAAAAAAATAAGTAAATAAAAATAAAATATGTAAGGAGGCAGCTTGAGCCTCAACTTAATTTAACATACCTCACCAATTAAGTGTTAGTAAACACACCTTTGAATGTATAATTTCATAGTCAGATTTTTTTACAAATGCAGCAAACCTGTCCACAGGGCAGTGACAATCATGTTACAGTGCCCTCCCATTTAAAATGAAATTTTTAGGCTGAGTGTGGTGGCTCATGCCTGTAATACCAGTCCTTTGGGAGGGCGAGGTCGGTGGATCACCTGAGGTCAGGAGTTCAAGACCAGCCTGGCCAACATGGTGAAACCCTGTCTCTACTAAAAATATAAAAATTAGCAGGGTGTGGTGGCGCACACCTGTAATCACAGCTACTCCAGAGGCTGAAGCAGGAGAATCGCTTGAAGCTGGGAGGCGGAGGTTGCAGTGAACAGGGATCGTGCCACTGCACTCTAGCCTGGGTAACGAGAGCAAAACTCCATCTCAAAAAAAAAAAGGGGGGGGTTTTTAAAAAACTATCTCACACTCATGCCCCCGCCCCCCCCCCCACCTTTTTTTAAGCATCCATAGAATCCAGAGTTTGTGGGACCTTATCAGCTAGAGGAAGTTTACCCTCTTTGTTTTATTTCCTCAGATTTAGTCTTGAATTCATTTTCCCACGTTTGGCCTATTTTTTAGGTTCCAATCAGTTCACCGCAAAACATCACACACTAGTCATTTAATGTCTGATTCTCATTCACTATAAACCTAGATAAAAGACTAACTGCCAAAGCTACATCTGGTGTAAAGTGATGGATTAGATTTCTCACTTTGGAGGTATCCTTAACAGTTGGGCTAATTAAAGTTGAAATCAAGTCCTGATGGTAAATATTTATAAATTGAGAATCTGGCGTGTGTAAATGTATGCTGCTGATTCCTAAAGTTAAATCAACGTTTATCCATTCAGCAAATAGCATGGATCCCACGCTAGGCACTGAGGATGGAGGGATGAACAAAACAGAGAAGTTTCTTCTCTGAGGTTGTAGATTGCTCTTCAACTAAAAATGTCTGGGTTTTTCTGTTCTTTTGTTTTTTGTGAGAGGGTCTCACTCTGTCACCGAGGCTGGAGTGCAGTGGCGCAATCTCGGCTCATTGCAACCTCCACCTCCCAGGTTCAAGTGATTCTCCTG
This sequence comes from Homo sapiens, assembly GCF_000001405.40. NCBI lineage: Eukaryota > Metazoa > Chordata > Mammalia > Primates > Hominidae > Homo > Homo sapiens. The sequence goes on along the minus strand of NC_000016.10, from coordinate 12,694,110 downwards.
CCTCAGCCTCCCAAGTAGCTGGGACTACAGGTACCCGCCACCACACTTGGCTAATTTTTGTATTTTTAGAAGCTATAGGGTTTCACCATGTTGGCCAGGCTGGTCTCTAACTCCTGACCTCAGGTGACCCGCCCACCTCAGCCCCTCCTAAAGTGCTGGGATTACAGGCATGAGCCAACACAGCCGGCCAAGTAAAAATGATTTAATTTTTTAATTTCATCACAACATTTCAAAAAGGAGCCCCCAGAACATGGGGAACAGCAGTGTCTGTTGAAGTTTATGAAGTCAAAATATTATATCTTCTCCTTTGAGATCATGTTTCAAAAATAGCAATTAGTGTCATTTTGAAATTAGCAGTGAGATTCCTTTGTAAAATTCCAGTATCTCCAGCTTAGTGAAACGCTCATTCCGTCTACTAGTTCAAGTTATTTTTTATTTACTGCACTTGCCTTCACTTAAAAGACATTTTCCCTATTTCCCACAGTGTAAGTACAAATCTACAACATTGCTTTGTAAAATAAGTTCAAAAATGCTTTGATTTCATTGCCTTTTAAATTTTACTTAAAAATGTTTGCATATGAATTGATTGAGTTGAAAGTAAAAAAAAAATAGCATGGCCAGGCACAGAGACTCACCCCTGTAATTCCAGCACTTTAGGAAGCCGAGGTGGGCGGGTCGCTTGAGCCCAGGACTTCGAGACCAGCCTAGGCAACATGGTGAAACCTGTCTCTACAAAAAAACACAAAAAATGAGTCCAGGCATTGTGGTGCACGCCCAGCTACATGGGAGGCTGAGGTGGGAGGATCGCCTGAGCCTGAATGTTGAAGTTGCAGTGATCCATGATTGCACCACTGCACTCCAGCCTGGGTGACAGAGTGAGACTCTCAAAAGCAAATACCACTCATTTAGGTGAAGCCTCCTGGGTGCCAGACATTGTCCTGGGAGCCCCTCTATCAGGACCTTAAAGGTGCCTTCTCCAGGTCTTCGGCACAGGTGTGGAAACTGAGCACGTCAGTTGTAAGGAGCAGAGGCCCTCTAACTCTTGAATCTATTTTAAATTTCATAGGCACGGTAAGAGGAAAGGAAATCTTTTTTCCTCACACGTCTCCCTTCTGTAAGCACTGTGCTGTGTGCAGTTGGAAGTCCAGGTGAGGGTACTATTCCCTGCAGTAACATTGTCCAGATAGAAGGGGCCATGTCAGGCAGTTGTGATGTTCTTTCAGCCACTGAGCCTCCTCTGGGGCCGCCCTGCCAGGTGGGGCCCTATGCTGCGTGCTCTTTCTCCCTGGGGACTATAGTATTCTCTGATCTCACTCCTCCATGGTGCCACTGAAGGCACCTAATAGAGCAATTTCTCTCCCGAAAAGTGCAGGAGATGAACAGGCTTCTTGAGAGACATGGTCAGTGTTCACTTTTATTTTTATTCACATTATTGTCAGCGGCTGCTCCCATGGTGTGGCAAACCTCCACCGCAACCCCACAAGGTACTGGTATTTTTTCCGTTTTGCCGACAGACATATTCAGGTCCTAGAGGCAGAGTCATCCATTCAGATCACAAAGCTATGAAGCAGGTGCGGTGGGTTTTGTGGGGATCAGATGAAATAATCCAGTACCTTGAGACAGTGTCTGGCTCCTGGTAGGTGCTCAGTGATAGCGAACCTCTATTCTTATCATCATGGTTATTGAAAAATGTTTTAAATGACTGGACGTGAAAAGGATGTGTAAGGGACACAGTTTCTGATATCCCTTGAATTGGTACCCCTGACCCACTGCCGAGTGTTGCCAGAGTGGGAACCAAAGTCTTCCTGGCAGTGTTTGTTCTGTTCACCACACCGGGGACAAATTAAAGTTAGCCTGTCTCTGAGATGGCTCTGTGAAGTGCCACCAGTGGGTATTAAAAACCACCTTCCTCGAGGGTCAGTGTGACTCCATTGGTCATTTAAAATGCAATGGACACGGCCGGGCACAGTGGCTCATGCCTGTAATCCTAGCACTTTGGGAGGCCGAGGCAGGCAGATCACTTGAGGTCAGGAGTTCAAGACTAGCCTGGCAAACATGGCAAAACCCCATAGCTACTAAAAATACAAAAATTATCCAGGCATGGTGGTGCATGCCTTTATGTTGTTTTTGTTTTTTTTTTATTTTGTATTACACTTTAAGTTTTAGGGTACATGTGAACAATGTGCAGGTTTGTTACATACGTATACATGTGCCATGTTGGTGTGCTGCACCCATTAACTCATCATTTAACATTAGGCATGTCTCCTAATGCTATCCCTCCCCCCCTCCCCCCACCCCACAACAGTCCCCAGCGTGTGATGTTCCCCTTCCTGTGTCCATGTGTTCTCACTGTTCAATTCCCACCTATGAGTGAGAACATGCGGTGTTTGGTCTTTTGTCCTTGCGATAGTTTGCTGAGAATGATGGGTTCCAGCTTCATCCGTGTCCTACAAAGGACATGAACTCATCATTTTTTATGGCTGCATAGTATTCCATGCTGTATATGTGCCACATTTTCTTAATCCAGTCTATGATTGTTGGACATTTGGGTTGGTTCCAAGTCTTTGCTATTGTGAATAATGCCGCAATAAACATATGTGTGCATGTGTCTTTATAGCAGCATGTTTTATAATCCTTTGGGTATATACCCAGTAATGGGACGGCTGGGTCAAATTGTGTTTCTACTTCATGCCTTCAATCCTAGCTACTTGAGAGGCTGAGGCAGGAGAATCACTTGAACCCAGGAGGCAGAGGTTGCAGTGAGCCAAGATTACGCCACTAGCCTGGGTGACAGAGTGAGACTACGTCTCAAAAAAAGAAAGAAAGAAAACACACACAGGACACTATACTAGTAAAATAGTAATAATGACTGCTTAATAAATAGTACACCACAGGGACTCTTGCTCTGATTTTGTAGACAAGGAAACTGCAGCGTGGGGAGACAAATCGGCTTCCCCAGCATCAACCAGCTGCAAAGTGGTGGGTGACACTAATTGCTTGGGGCCTGGGCAGTGGCCCTGGGTCCTGTGTTCTCAACGACATTGCTGTTGGGTGCCCCAGAGCATGTTGATGAGCAGAATGCACCGTGGGCACGGGTGCTGATGGCAAGTAGAGAGGAGCCGGGATACCCGTGTGGGGCAGGGTCCCACCTGCTCACCCTCCTGCCCATTCTTCACCTGCTCCTCTACAGGGGCTGCCTCAGGAAAGGAGCTGGTGCTGCAACCACAGAGGCTCAGCACTGGGATATCCAAAGGGATCTGCCAAGTGAGGGTCCGTGGAGCCTACTTGGTGTGGAATACAGGGGTGTGGAATTCCCCTTTGGCCTCAACAAGCAGGAATTTTTCTTTCATAGTAAGCCTCTCCGTTCATCCGTTCATCTTGAGTATGTGAATTGTGCCTTCTGCAGACAAAGATGCTCTTGATGGTGTCTTTTTTTTTTTTTTTTTTTGGTAGAAACTAGATCTCACTGTTTCACTATTTTGCCCAAGCTGGTCTCGAACTCCTGAGCTCAAGCAATCCACCTACCTCGGCCTCCCAAAGTGCTTGGATTACAGGCATGAGCCACCACACCTGGCCTTTTTTTTTTCTTTCTTTCTTGAGAAGGAGTCTTGCGCTATTGCCCAGGCTGGAGTGCAGTGGCATGACCTCAGCTCACTGCAACCTCTGCCTCCTGGGTTCAAGTGATTCTCCTGCCTCAGCCTCCCAAATAGCCAGGACTATGGGTGCTCCCCACCACGCCTGGCTAATTTTTGTATTTTCAATAAAGACTGGGTTTCACCGTGTTGCCCAAGTTGGTCTGGAGAACTCCTGAGCTCAAGCAGTCTGCCTGCCTTGGCCTCCCAAAGTGCTGTGGTTATACGCATGAGCCACCACACTTGGCCTTCTTGATGGTGTCTTTCATGAAACAGGGAGGGATCTGTACCCACCCCCGCAGACTCTGGCCAGCCCCTCACCAGTTCAAGCCCAGGTGGGCTCATTATCTAAAGATTATGGCTGCCAAAAAAAAAGCTCACTTAAAATGCAGACCGTAGCTACAGAAAATGGCAATAAAATAAAAATAAAGGTTGGTTTGAAACATTGTCTTGAGAAAAGAGACAAATTATGGCAATCAGTTAATTTCAACTTGTGTTTGATAAAATGGTTGTTACTGCCAGTATGCAGCAACTCAGGATGAACAGAGAGGTAATCAAGTGTCGACTTGGTTTCCTTGGAGTAAATGGTCTGAAAAAAATTCTTTTGACAGCATCCTGTACTTTACATTTGACATTGGCAGGAGCATCACTGTGGGTTCTTTTCAGATTTTATCAATCTTCATAAGAGTCTGTTTCTGAATCCATCAGTAATCTGATGATTGGCTTCTCAGGAGCTAATGTGGGCATGTATGTTTTCTCTGTGAGAGCCTTATTTGCCGATGACTTCCCCAGTGTCGTTTCCTTCGGCTTTGTGAAATCCTGCATCTTTAGTGTGGTTTGTGGTCTCACATACAGGTGCACTCTTGTTGCACAGCTTGGGGGATTGGGGGTGTGGGCTTGGTTTATAAGCAGTCCATTCATGAACAGTTTCTTGTTAAGAAGAAATACTGGCTGGGTGTGGTGGCTCTCACGTGTAATCCCAGTGATTTGGGAGGCCAAGGTGGGAGGATCAGTTGAGGCCAGGAGTTTGAGACCAGCCTGGGCAACATAGCAAGACCCCATCTCTACAAAATATACTTTTTTAATTAGCCAGGCATGGTGGTGTGCACCTGTGGTTCTAGCTACTTGGGAGGCTGAGGTGGGAGGATCTCTTGAGCCCATAAATTCGAGGTTGCAATGAGCCAAGATTGCACCACTGAACTCCAGTCTGGAGGACAGAGTGAGACCCTGTGTCTTTAAAAAAAAAAAAAAAAAAAAAAAAGCCCTCTTTTCATATAGCTGATCATATATGGGCATTTAGGAAGCATAAGATGATGTCATACAAAGCATTATCTCATGTCATTAAAAACCCAGACCACAGCTCATTGTACTCTGTAGACATACCACGTTCATTTAACTCTTGTCATTGTTGGACACTGAGGTTGTTTCCACTTGTTCTTTGTCATACATAATAACATCTTGAACTTCTTCATGCATAAACAGACCCAAATCTTAACATAAAAATGCTTGTGCATTTTCATATTTGTAGAACAAATGCCTGCAATCAGTCTTGGTAAGTAAGGCCACATGTGACTGTGTGTCGTGTTTTGCTGAAGACATGTAGCATTCTGACTGGAGCTCTTGACATTGGGGTCAGGTATTTTGCTTAGTGTTATATTTGTCTTTACATCTTTTAACTTTGACAGCACATGTTCTCTGCATGTTCCCACGTGTTCCTTGGAGACAAGGGAAACACATGAGGTGGAGTAAGCATCGGCCCTGCCCTCAAGAAGCTCAGAGTCTTGGAGAAAAGTCAGGAAAGAAACCAGAGAATTACACTTAATGCAGAAGTCGTGGAGTAGGGGCTGGGCGCGATGAATCAGGCCTGTAATCCCAGTACTTTGGGAGGCCGAGGCAGCAGATCACCTGAGGTCGGAGTTCGAGACCAGCCTGGCCAACATGGCAAAACTCCATCTCTACTAAAAATACAAAAGTTAGCCAGGTGTGGTGGCGGCTGCCTGTAATCTCAGCTACTCGGGAAGCTGAGGCAGGAGAATAATCACTTCAACCCAGGAAGAGGTGGAGGTTGCAATGAGCGAAAATTTTGCCACTGCACTCCAGCCTGGGTGACAGAGCGAAACTCCATCTCAAAAAAAAAAAAAAAAAAAATCCTGGAGTAGGATTCTAGGACACTTTAGAGTTGTTTCTTATTACTTAAATTTCTCTCCCCATAAGTCACATGTGAAGATGTGCAAGTACTTTGCTTTCTACCTATTGGATAGGGGTGTGGTTCCTCTTAAGATTGTGTGAGTGTTGTGGTGTGCACCTGTAGTCCCAGCTACCCCGAAGGCTGAGGCAGGAGAACCACCTGAGCCTGGGGTGGTCGAGGCTGCAGTAAACCATGATCGCACCACTGCAGTGTAGCCTGGGAGACAGAGTAAGACCCTGTCTCAAAAAAAAAAAAAAATAGTGTGAGTTGCGTGGCACCTGCTGGCCTTGTGACTTTCATGTTAGTGACATTCCATTCCTCCTTCTTCTTCCTTCCCTCCTTCTTCCTTCATTCTTTTGTTGTTGTTATTCCTTTAATTTATAAAATGTTTACGTTATTACTGTCTTCATAAAATCACTCAGTTAAGTGCCTGCTTTTGGGGCATCTGTTCAATTAATTGAGTATAAATTTGGGGATTGACTACTCTATGCCAAGCCCAAAGAAAGCTTTTTTATGTGATTAATCCATCAATACACAGGAGTATTGTGACCTGGTGCCTCTCTTTCCTCTATTCCAGTCAGGGTTGTGGAATAACCATTTTCTTGCTTACTGCAACCTCAGCCTTCCGAGTAGCTGGGATTATAGGTGCTCGCCACCACGCCTAGCTAGTTTTTGTATTTTTAGTAGAGATGGGGTTTCACCATGTTGGCCAGGCTGGCCTCAAATTCCTGATGTCAAGTGATCTGCCCACCTCAGCCTCCCAAAGTGCTGGGATTGCAGGTGTGCCTGGCCTAGGAATAACCATTCTTAATCTTGTTGAGGTCACTGACACTATGGCCAAATCCCTGGCCAAGCCCTATCCCAAGAAGGTGCACATTGCTTAAAAGTAAAGCTAAGACCCTCTGGTGCAGTGGGGAGCAGTTAAAGGGGACTTGGGATATCATTGTAATATTTCATTTCTTTTTTTAAAAAATGTAAAGACAGATCTTACAAGATGTTAATATTTATTATCTCTGGGTGGTGGCATTACGAATGTTACATTATTCTTTTGTAGTCACCGTATCTTTTAAATTTCTCAAAACATGAAAAAATAATAATATTATAAGAAGGATGCCTGTAGTGGAGTGAGTATAGGTCAAGAGTTGGCAAACGGTTTCTGTAAAGAGCATGATTAAATAGTTTAGGTTTTGTGGGACAAGAGGCAAAATTGAGATTATGATACAAGTGCTTACATCCTAAATGCAGCCATTTATGATAGAAATGTAAGAAGCATTCTTAGCTCACAGGCCCCATCAGAAAGCGGGCAATGGGCTTTAGTTTCCAACCCCTGGTGTACGTACTGAATCAGTCACCACTGATGCTTATATTTAAGGATCATAGTTACAGAGCCATCAGTTCTTTTCAAAAAAAAAATTATGCCACTTTACATTTTCTGCACTTAAATCTCTTCAGCCACAAGTAAAAGGTCACAATCTAAATCAAAGGGAGGAAGAGATTGTCTTTGTTTTCAGTTGCCAACATTTTGGGTGTTTTAGTAACTGACACTCTGCCTCTCATGTCTGTCGTCTGGTTCTCATTTCCAAATTGCCTCCAAGTTGTCATACAGACATGGGCCAGGGTTACTAAGCCACCTTTCCCATCCCAGCATCCTCCCCTCTCTGATGAGGAATGTGCCACAGCACTCACTGCCTTTGGACCTGTGCATGCTTTGGTCCTACTGAAGGCAAGAGGGTTGGGAAAGCAATTTCACAGGAATAGAAATGATACAAGAAGTTTATTGACAAAACTGTATTCTAATGGAGTCTCACTGAATCCCACCCTGACAAAGAAACCCTCTGCGGCCTCTTGGACAGCAGGGGAACTCTGTTATTTTGTAGGAGTTTCCAAAGACCAACTTACATAGTATTTGTTCACAAATGGATTCGTGGACATGGTGGCTCATGCCTGTAGTCCCAGCTACTGGGGAAGCTGAGGGAGGAAGATCACTTGAGCCCAGGAGTTCATGACCAGCCTGGGCAACATAGCAAGACCCCATCTCAAAAAAAAAAATATATATATATATACAATTAATAAACAAGCAATCTTCAAAACAAATGGATTACTGGCCACCCCAAAAGGAGAGTGACTGTTCTAACAAGTATAGGATAGTATCAATAGCATCTGTTCCTTTGGGCTGTACAGAACAGGAAACTCCCATCACCCCAGCTCAGAGAATAAGGAAGTTCTCTGTGTGGACAGAGGGCCACGGGTGGCTCAGGCACTCGGCCTGGCTGAATGCATGAGCAGGATCTCTCTGCACACCCGCTGTGCTTCTCCCTGTCATGACCCATTCCTTAGGCTGGACTTCTCAGCTGGCTGATGCAATTCTGCACGTCACATTCATTCACATTGACAACCCCAGAGGAAGAAAGGGGGACTTTTTAAAAGAAACATAACCTTTCTCAGACACCCCCGTGGTTTCCTCCCAAATCTCCATATCCAGACCTGGGTTCCTGCCCAGACCCTGGGTGGCCGTGGTAGGAGAATTGTCACAGCTGCATCCATCCTGGTTTGGGGAATGAAGCTGGTGGCCTCCCTGAGGAGGACATTGCCCAGAACAAAATCAGGAGGAAAAGGGAGGGTGTGGATAGTGAGAGGCAACCAGCACTGTCTCCAAAGGCAAGGAAGAAAAATGTCCTTGTCCACACTATGTTTCAAACACGGTCCCAAGAAGCATCAGGTCCCCGGCATGCAGTAGACAGTGTGCCAGGGGTTTAAACGCATTACGTCTGAAACTCCTAACAGCCTCGTGAGGCTATTATTATTGCTATTATTATCATTTTATTCATTTATTTATTTTTTGAGATGAAATCTCGCTCTGTCACCCAGGCTGGAGTGCAGTGGCATGATCTCGGCTCACTGCAACCTCCGCCTCCTGGGTTCAAGCAATTCTCTTGCCTCAGCCTCCTGAGTAGCTGGGATTACAGGTGGCCACCACCACACCTGGCTAATTTTTGTATTTTTGGTAGAGATGGGGTTTCACCATGTTGGCCAGGCTGGTCTCAAACTCCTGACCTCAGGTGATCTGTCCACTCAGCCTCCCAAAGTGCTGGGATTGCAGGCGTGAGCCGCCGCACCTGGCTGAGGGATCTATTATTGTCCCCTTTTTAAAATTGAAGAAACAATGTACAGCGAGGTGCAGTCGCTTGTCATTTGACATTTAAGTAACAGACAGGATCCAGAGTCGGTGCTCGTTCCACTGTCTCCAGTTTCCACCCTGTCGTGAGTAAGGCCTCCTTCTGTAAGGAACATGGCAGTTCTTTTGTAAAATCAGGAAATACGGGAACTCTCCCTTCCCTTTGATAATATCAACGAAGGGGAGATTTGGGTTTCTCCTCCAGGATACCTACTAAAGTATAGCTTCTGAGTTGCCACAAGTTTCATTTATTCATTCACTGTGCATCCATCCATCCATCTCTCCATTCATTCATTTATCCAGCAGTCACAGAGCGGCCGCTCTCTGCTATTCATCCTGGGGATGAGTATTCAGTTAAACACACGTGGCCTCTGCCCTTAAGGAGCTCATAGACCAGTAGGGGAAACCAAGGTGGGAGCCAGAAATCAGGGCAAAAGTAAAAGAATTTGCAAGGGAGAGGATGAAGAAGAAGCAGCCCTGTGCACCTTCACCAGGGATGTTTTCCCATTGGAGGAAACGAATGAGCAGGGTCTTGAAGGATGAATAAGTGCACATCAGGCAGACCTGGGCAGAAAGAGGGCACAACATGGGCAGAGGCTGGAGCCACAAAATAGCTCGTCCTGTACTGGCACTGGCACTGGAGTTGCTCAGTGAGTGGAGTAGGCTCAAATGGAGACATTGTGTTTGATCAGGATCCTAAGGTGATGGAGAACCCTCAAATTTTACTTGACGAAGTGGCCCAAGTGGTTTTGCTTTAAAAAAGAAATTGTAGAGATGGGGTCTCATTTTGTTGCCCAGGCTGGTCCCAAACTCCTGGGCTTAGGTGATCCTCCAACCTCAGCCTCCCAAAGTGCTGGGATTACAGGCATGAGCCACTGTGCCCAGGTTTTGCATTTGAGAAAGATGGCTCTGCTCAGTTTACCGGGATGCATTTTCTCTGCGTTCCTTCCTAACAGAGCAGGTTTTGTTCAGGGCACTAGCATGGCAGGCTGAAACACTCCGTCTCCAGACCCCCATGCAGCTGTGTGTGGCTGCATGACCTAGGTTCAGGGGTTTAGCAAGTGGGGCTTCCAGAAAGGCTTTTCGTTGGCCCTTACCTCTTCTTCCGCCTTGGAACTTGGACCCAGTGCCCGGAAGCCCTGCAGCCATCTTGCGATCTTGAGGATGGAAGCTACAAACTGAGGAAGGCAAAACAGAAAGATGGAAGGAGGCTGGATCCTTATTGAAATCCTGGAGAGGCTGCGCCCTCCCTGGACTGCTCACCTCCTCTTTTTACGGGGTAGATAAATCATAGTTAAGCACAAATACAGCCTTTACTTTTTTAAGCCACCATAGCCACTGACAGCTGAATATCATACAGGAGATCAGGCAACCAGGAAGATCACACTGAGGATGGAGAGGAGATGGGGGTAAGCGTGTTCAGGCAGACAGGTCAACAGGACGCATGGACCAGGCGGAGGAAGGGAGTCTCGGGGTGACTCCCACATGCCTGGGTTGGATGACTGCATGGTGCTCCAGTTAAACCCACACGAGGAGGGGTGTGCATTGGGGCAAAAGAAGTAAGCGGGTTGAGTTTGCAGAGCTTGCAAGGATGTCCAGAAGAGAGGTCCACGAAGCCTAGGAACCGATTGTTGGCTGGGAAATGATTCTGAATTTTTGGCAGGTGGAGTTGGTTCAGGTTATAACAGAACCGGTGGTCATCAGTGAGAGGGAAAGGGACGAGAGAAGGGGAATGGACAGAGCCTGGGGAAGGCCACCATTGAAAGGGCTTGTGGAAGCCGGAGATGTATGCAGGAAGAATAAGCTGTTAACTGGAGGAGGAAGTGCCTCGAAGCCCAGGGGTAAGGAAAAGTGCACAAATTTAGTTAATGTGTGTTCTTTAAGGGATCATCGCCTGATCAGAATTTTTCTTGGCCCAGTTATTCAAACGGAATCTCACTTACCCAAGGTCCTTACGTTTTGATGGATGCAGTACCCCCTTCTTGGCTTTCCCTGGCTCAAGTCAGAGGCAGGGCACTTTCTCCCTAGCAAATTTCATCTTGAACAAATTCTGCAAAACATTTTCCTTCCGTGGCTGGCCGCCACGTCTGTCTACCTCCCTCGAGTATTTTTGGATGGATTTCCAATTTGATACACGAACATTCTGTCAGTCAAAACAATCTTTTTAATGAGCCTCTTGTCCTGACAGCTGTGTTTAAGATAGAGCATGGAAATCTAGAAAATTGTCCATTCTGGATTGAAACCTTAATGTGGGCCCCACGCTCCATTTCACACGCAAGCTGCCATCTTCTTTTAAAAATAAAGAGGAAATTATGAATAGTGAGAAAGATGTAATTTGTGCAAATGAAAAGAAAAAGATCTTCTGATCAGATACTTAGAGAAGGATGAGAGGAAAGTATAATTATTGAGTGCTGCCTGAGTACAAGACACGCAGCTTCCTGCTGTGCCACCCAGGGCGTGTCCCTGATTCTCACTTATCTTCCCAGTGGCCCTGGGGATGGTTGATACTAGTCTTGCCTTCCAAATGAGGAGTTCAGATATGTTGCTGCCCATGCCACACCTACACAGCTCAGCAACAGCAGAACTGAGGTTCACGCCTGAGTCTCCCAACCCCTAGCTCCCACCCCAGGCTGCCACTGCTTTTCTGACAACCAAATATTAGTATTAAAAAAATACAGCCCTCCTCTTGCATATTCTACAGGTTTTGAATCTGTAAGTCATCAGGAAGGGGAAAAAATAAAAAGTTGAGCATAGCCCCCCATGTAGAAAAGTAATAAAGGGGCTGGGCGCGGTGGCTCGTGTCTGTAATCTCAGCACTTTTGGGAGACCAAAGTGGGTCGATCACCTGAGTTCAGGAGTTTGAGATCAGCCTGGCCAACATCGTAAAATCCTGTCTCTACTAAAGACACAAAAATTAGCTGGGCATGGTAGCGGGAACCTGTAATCTCAGCTACTCGGGAGGCTGAGGCAGGGAGAACTGCTTGAACCCAGGATACGCAAGTTGCAGTGAGCCAAGATCGCGCCACTGCACTCCAACATAGGCGACCGAGAGAGACACTGTCTCAAAAAAGTAATAAACGGCAGTGAGTCTGGGGGTTGGAGGAGCATAACTAATCCTCGAGTCCAGGATAGGGAAGTGATGCTATGCTGTAATCACACTCTCAAGGCTGTGGACTCAAGTGGGCAGCCAGCCACCTCTAGCCCCTGGAGAGTAATTATTTCCCAATTCTGCTCTTTGCCCTGGAGTGTGAGAGCACATCCCCATGTCCTTTCTGATTCTAAGTCGGATGCAGATGCGGTGGGTGGAAGTGGGAAACGTCATTTTATGAACGGGAATGTGGGCCCCCCTCAGCTGCCTCCAGGTGTTGGTGTGATAACTGTGACCACTGAACCTCTTCCATCCACTCTTTCTCAAACCTTTTGCTGCAGAACTACTTACATCCTAATGAAGCCGAGAATGCACAGCCCTAGGTGTTTTCTAGGCCACTTCTGTGCCATCCCCATCTCCCACATTCTTAGTTTTAATTAAGAGGAGCTTTGAAAAGGGAAGAATATAATTTTTGTGAATCGTTAATCAGGTGAGGTATGAAAAGTGTAATTTACATGGTGTCTTAGTTCGTTTTGTGCTGCTATAACAGAATACCTGAGCCTGGGTAATTTATAAAGAACAGAGATTGATTTTTTACAGTTCTGGGGGTTGGGAAGTCCAAGGTCAAGGGGCTGTATCTGGTGAGGGCCTTCTTGTTGGGGCATCCCTGGCAAGAGTGAGGAGGAAAGGGGCCTGGCCAAATTCATCCTTGTTTTAAAATCAGGAAGCCACTTCTCTGATAACAGCATTAATGCATTCTTGAGGGCAGAGCCCCCGTGACCTAATCATCTCTTAAAGGTCCATCTCCCAACGCTGTTACCCTGGGGATTAAGTTTATAACACTTAAACGTTGGGGGGCACATTGAAATAATAACGCATGGCTATTCTTTACGGGGGGAAACGGGGGTCGGGGGAGGAATCCTTAAAGCAAAGAAATCTCTTCAGGTTTTAGAGTATGAGCTGGCTTTAGGTAAAGGTCATTTTGACAACTGGGCCATTGCTTCCTACCCAAGCAAAACATTAAAAAGAAAGAAAGAGGAAGAGAATCTCAAGAGGAGGCTATGAATCCTAAGATAAACCAGATGCTTTATATCACATGGACCAGACATGTGAACAAATGCCTGAAATGACCAAGTGTATAGGTGTTAATGTCACATGCATCAGAGGAGATGAGGCTTGAACCCAGGTTTCCAGCAGGGTTCAGCCCAGGAGCACGTGGACCCATCACAGTGAAACCTTTGAGAGGCTTAGCTCCAGAAGGAGATATTGCCCCTACAGCCCACCCCAGGTCTCACAGGGGCAGAGCTGCTTGGCTTAGGCACTCCGTAACCTGAGAGTGTCTCTCTTCTCATGCTGATGATACAGCAAGCAGGAGTAGTTGGGCTTCTCCCCCAAGACCCAGATCAGAGGGGCTGTGCAGACAAGACTCCTTCTTCCCTGGGGGCTGTCTCTGCCCCCTGAATCTGGATGCTCTCTGAGAAGCTGTAGTAACTATGTGTGTCCCCATGCATGTGAGTAGTCCTTAGAGGGCTGAAAGGCTCTGAACTCTCCTGACCTCCCAGTTTACAGTATTTTTATTATTAAGATACAGATTGATCATCCGGCAACCTAGATTTTACATAGCAGTGTGGGGGCAGAGGGAAAGCTTTTGTTCCACCTTCTGAAGGTTCACTGTCGAAATGAACTGACAATAAACAGGTGAACAGGAAAAAATGCATACAGATTTATTAATGTGCTGAACTTGAGAGCCATACAATATATAAGACTCGGGGCAAATGGTTGAAGCTTATATACCCTATTCATAGGGGAGAGGGAGATGGGAGAAATGCAGGCAATTTTGAGCAGTCATAAATGATTTTTAGGGGAATTGAATGGGCCTAGGAAGCAGACATTACCTTCTAAATGATTTTTTTAGGAAACTGAATGGGACCAGTAAGTTATGGGAAGGTAAGAGGCAGAACTGCATTGTGAACAAAGGTTGTCTTATTATGTAGATAAAGTCTCCCAGGTAATCTCTTGGAGCTACTCTCAGAAGAATGGAAGAAAAGTCTGTCTGGGCATGGTGATGACTTTTAGTCTCTTCTCTTTTCCATTGGCTAATCTTTCTCGGTTATTTGATGAGATTCCTAGGGAGGGATTCTTAAGATAATTGCATTTCTTTTAGAAAGACATCTCCTTAGTCAGATAAGGAAATTCCAGAGACAGTCTGTCACTGCTCTTGGGGAGGGAAGGTCAGAGAGACCTTGAGGCTGCTGCTTTAGTTTAGCGTGTCAAAGTGCCATGTTTTGGGGTACCATTTCTGAGCCCCAACATCAGAAATACAGTTTTCAGGATGTTAGTGAGTAGCTCTAAAATAGGGCAGCATATCCTGAATGGAATAAGTAAAAGATACATTGTCGAATATATAAAAGCAAGTTGCAAATCTGTATGTAGCCTATTCCATTTTTGTGAAATTTTGTGTATGTATATATGTTTCTTTAGATCTATATCTAACATATATAGTAGTATACACATTTAAATTATCTGGAAAATACACACTAAACTCCTAAAACAGGAATAGGGATTTCAAGAAATTTCCCTCCTCCCACTTTCTTTTGTTTGATATTCTGTATTTTTACAACATTTGGGTTTAATTTAACAAGTATGCATTGTTTTTGTTTTTGTTTTTGTTTTACATTTTATTTGGAAATATTTTCAAGCTTACAGAAAAGATGCAAGAAAAGGAATAGTAAAAAGAATATCCACCTACTCTTTACACACACGTCCAACCATAGTAAGTCCGTGAACCTGCTTTGTTCAGAGGAAGATGAAAGGGATTATCCAGCATGAAAAACGAATGGGGAGGATAGCAGTTACTCAGAAGTTCTGGATAAACAAATATTTACTTTAGGTCCTCCTGAGGAGTTTCCCTTTTAATCTTTGCAAGGCTTTTGTGAGATCACCAAAGAATGAGCTTTCACTGATCAAACTCTCAAATCCTTGTTGGGTATTTAAATTGATTATGTTTTTCTGAAGAATAATTTAGCAGTCATATCAAAAGTCTAAAAAATAGGAATATGAAAACTAAATTTATAACCAACAAGAAAAAGAGTATTTTCACCAATACTTTTTAACATTGTATTGGAGATCCTAACTATTGCAAAAAGCAAGAGAAAGAAATAAGAAACATAAAGATAGGAAGTAAAATGGCCTATTTGCAGATGATACGATTTTTTTTAACTTAGAAAATCCCAGGAATCTACAAAATAATTACTAGAATGAATAAATGAATTTAGCAAGGTCTCAGGATACAAGGTTAATAGACAAAAATAATTGTATTTTTATATACTATCAGCAAGCAATTGTTAAGTGAAATTACAAAAATAATTCAATTTACAATAGCACCATAAAACATGAAATACCTAGGAATAGCAAAGGATGTCCAAGACCTCTACCTTTACAAAACATTGCTGAAAGTAATTTTAAAAGACCTGAGTAAATGGAAAAGTAGACCATGTTCATGGATTGCAGGGCCAATGTTAATACGGCATTTCCCCCCCGATTGAGCGACAGATTCAACAAAATCCCAATCAAAATTATAGCAGTTTTATTATTTGTAGAAATCAGCATACTGATTGTAAAATTTCCGTGGAAATGCAAGGTACCTATAATGGCCAAAACAGTTGAATTAGATCTGAGTTACTTTTTTAGATGGAAGGATGTGGACACTTTTAAAGTAGATATAGAAGTCTCTTTCTGACCGTCAGGACAGATGCTCTTACTTATAGAATAGTTGACCTTTTTTGTGTTCACTAACACAATTCACTTGCCTCCCTTATTTGAAATGGCATTCATGGTTTTATAAATGAAACTACAAATTACTCTTTCCTTTGTTGTCACTGTTTTTTGATTTTTATTTTTGAGAAGCACAGAAACTTTCAGACTTTTGAAGAATCAAGAACTCTTGGCTGAACTTTACCCAAGTGTATTCTTTTTAATGGTATGCTTTATTAGTGAGGGTGGCCTTCCTCCTATTTTTGTAAATAAAGTTTTATTGGATCACAGCCATGCCCACAAGCTTATATACTTTCTATGGCTGTTTTCACGCTACAAAGGAAGGCGGAGTTGAGTAGTCGTGACAGAGACCACATGGCCCACAAAGGCGAAAATATTTACTGTCCAGACCTTTCTGGAAAATGTTTGCTGACCCAGGTCAATTAAGTTCCAAGTGATCCTCAAAAGAAGTTCCATGAAAATGTCTTTAAGATGCCATGCTAGTTAACAGGATTTGGGGATGAGAGGGTTTGAATCAATGAAAGGCTGAAGCCGGAAGTGATGGGATGCTTTGATGCTTACCACAAGAAGGAAGACACATACACGACCGTGGCACTTCCTTTTTTCTTTTTTTGAGACAGAGTCTCGCTCTGCCACCAAACTGGAGTGCAGTGGCACGAGCTCAGCTCACTGCAGCCTCTGCCTCCCAGGTTCAAGTGATTCTCGTGCCTCAGCCTCCCAAGTAGCTGGGATTACTGACGCCCACCACCACATCCACATCCACATTTCTGTATTTTTAGTAGAGACAGGGTTTTGCCATGTTGGCCAGGCTGGTCTCAAACTCCTAGCCTCAAGTGATCTGCACGCCTCGGCCTCCCAAAGTGCTGGGATTACAGGCATAAGCCACCGCGCCCAGCCAACCTTGGAATTTTTTGTAAGTCATTCCATTTCAGCCAGTCTATAGCCCCATGCAGCCCTCTGGCCCCGCCTTTCCCCGCCCTCGCCTATCCTCTAGCCAAGCCAGAATCTGAACTGGAATTCTGGTACCACCCACCAGCTGACCTTCAGTCGTGTCCTCTGGGAAATGTGCAGGAGTTTCTTGATGTTGGGTGTCAGAAGGATTAAAAATGCTGAAGAGGAAATTCGGATGCCCAGCAGGTGCCAGTCTGCAGGAGCCTTTACGTTTGGTGCCTGCTGCTTCCTAGACACACTTGACTCTCTTCACTCGCTCGTGATATTCCCCTCACCTGATGTGTCTTTACCTCTACTTGGCAGGTGTTTTAGTGCTGACTCTGGGGACAGACTCCTGGGTTCAGATCCTGCTTCAACACTTACAGGCTGAGTTAGGCAAACTACTGAACATCTCTAAATCGTATAATAAAATCACAGGTAATAACCATGCCTCCTTCATGGAGGAATTGTGGGAATTAAATGAGCTAAAAACAAGTGAAGTGCCTAGAACAATGTCTAGACAGATAATGAACACTCCATAAATATTATTATCATCATTATTATTATTACCACCATAATATGATGCCCCCTCAGGCCTCAGGTCAGACATGAGCAGAGAACTAGGAGAAATTAAGGATGTGTTTAGGTCAGAGCCACCCCCTCCAGGAAGCCTTCTTACAGGGCCTATGGCACGGTGATCTTTGGCACTTTGCACCTCTCAGATGGTGGACAGAGCCTGTGCTTCTGAATTGGCCTTATCCAAGTATACATCTTAGCTATGTGAATCCAGGCAAGTCACTTAACCTGTCCTCGCCTCATTCCCTCATCTGCAAAAGGGGATGATATCTTCCTGGTCAGCGTCCTCATTAGGCTTGAGTGAGATGATGCAGGTGCAAAATGCAGGTCGTAGATGTCCAGCGAATAAAACGCTGCTGAGTGATGTCGATTTCTGCATTTTGTTATGAGTAGCTCTTTCTCTGACTGCCTGGCTATAGACCTTGAGTTGTTGATTGCTGGGAATGGTTGATCCCACCACACTCCTTAATACCTGGCACCAAGAGGGAGCTCAACAGATGTTTATTGTCTCAAGCTAACTGAAGAAGCAGCCTCCCACCTTACCCGGATCCCTTCCACCATGTCCCCTGGCAGTCCTGGGCCACAGGCATTGGGTCACTGGGGAAGATATATACCAGGGAAATTCTGATGAGAGTGAGCAAATATGCTGGAATCTAGAATTCCCCAATTGACGACGAAAAGTGAAGAACCTCTTCCTGAATGAGTCAGGTGGGGCTTAACCATGACTTCATATTCAATCTGCACCTCCCAAACCCACTTAAGAAACATCTGTCGCTTCCCCTTTGCCCCCTGGCCAGAATCTCTTATCTCAAAGCCTGCTAAGGAAATTCTTTACCGGCAGGAGGGATTATTTATACCTACTTTCTGTACATTCACACCCAACCTTTTTTAACTTTCCATTTCTCTCCCTCTTTTTTATTTGTGTCACATTTTTCCCTACCACTGAGGCAGAATAAATTCAGTGTGAGTGATGGTTTGCAATGCAGTTTTCACTGTTATAGCTGGCAACGTAAAGCTGGATCACATTTTCACAAATATAGTCTCATGCAGGATAAAAGTAAAGGCTGTCCAGTTGGAATGTGTTTACACTTTCCAGGTCTAAGCCCCAACACCAAGGCATTAAAGAAGGCCAGTGTTTAGTATCAGAATTGTACTGGGTTGCATCTCAATTTCCTGATTGATTTGAAGCAGGTTTCCAATGTTAGAATATTACATTATACAGTGACTGTGTCCCAATCCTCTGATTGATTTGAAATGAACTTGAATCAAGATAGCTTAAAAATAGCTTTTATAGCGTCTTCATGACTTGATACCGTGGAGAAAAAAAACATATGAAGCTAATGCCACAGAAATCATCCTCTGTTGATGCAGTGGCTGCCTTTGCTGGAAATTCTTCTGGCAGTAATTTAAAAAGATGCCTGTCATCTCCTTACAGCAGTTCATAATTCAAAAACAATCTATACATAATACTCAATTAAGGAACCATAGAGGCATGTCAGCCACAGATGACTGATGCCCAGGCTGAGTGGAAATTCTGCCCAGCTCTTGAAAACATCACTAAAATCAATACCCCGTCAGGGAAACCAAGATTTATTAATACATTCCTTACCTCCATCGAGTTGTGAATCAGTGCTTCCCTATCAAAAGCTAATAGAAAGCTGAGATGGGTAAAACTTCTTATAGGTCCTTGTGGCCTGTCGGCATGAAAGGGACAGGATTATAACTCGGAGAGAGGCTGCGTGTTGCAGAGCTGGACTGCCATGCTGTGTGCCCCCCTCCAGCAGTGAGAAGCTGGCCCTGCCCTGGAGAAAGCCTCCTGGGTGGGGCGATGAGGAGCTTGGTACTGACACCCATGCTCCCCCCCAGACCTCTGCCACCCATGATATGGGCTGTCATTTTAATTCATGGTACAAAAGAGGAAATGCCAACTCACAGAGGTCAGTAATGGGTCCAAGGTCCCAAAGCAGAATGGGCTCTGATGTCTGAGTACCCTGAGTTCTGATCCTGGATGCCCTGTTGTCTAGCTGTGTGGCTTTGTGTTTGTTTCTTAACTTCTCTGGGCCTCAGTTTTCTCATCTGTAAAATGGAGACGATGTGAGTCCCTAGGACAGAGGTGCATTGGGAGGATTCAGTAAAACAGGATGAAGGATACAGAGTGCCCCGCCACTGTGCCACCCCCTTCCAGGCCCCGCCTCCTTTCACTCCACCTGGAGCGGTTGCCCTTACTGGAGGTGGAACTAGGAGAAATATTTCGGGTTCAGAACTTCCGGGCCTCCCTGGAGCTGAGAAATAGACTCAGAAACCCCCACGTCTGGAAACTCACCAGGCTTCTTCTGGACCTGGCTCCAACCCAAGAAGTGTTTCCCCCATTTTCCAGCTCAACATCTCATTCCTCGTTTCAGACTCCTTGAGCCAGCCAGGAACATGCCAGAGCCTTGAACTCAGCATCAGAACCCAGGAGGACGGAGTTAGTCACATCTTCCTGCTTCTGAGACAGACTTTCGTCCCCTGCCTGACCGTCTCTTTGTAAACTCATCACATAGTCATTGCTTCATTTTTTTCATGCAGGACCTCAGAAGGCCAAGTTCCTCATTGGAATTGGGGGAGGACTCTCTTTTACCAGAAGGAGAAGGTTTTGAACACAACTGCTTTGCTCACTAGTAGTTTCTCTCATCGTTATTTTTTATTATTATTATTTTGAGACAGGGTCTTGCTCTGTTGCCCAAGCTGGAGTGCAGTGGTGCAACCATAGCCCACTGCAACCTCCAACTCCTGAGCTCAAGCAATCCTCCCTTCTCAGCCTCCCGAGTAGCTGGAACTACAGGCATGCACCTCCATGCCTGGCTGATTTGATAAATTTTTTTGTAGAGACAGGGTCTTATGATGTTGCCGAGGCTGGTCTCCAACTCCTGGCCCCAAGCGATCCTCTAACCTCGGCCTCCCAAAATGCTGGGATTACAAGTGGGAGCCACCGCACCCGGCCTCATCTTTATTGCTAGTCCTCTTGCAGCATCTTTGCTACTCTTAAGAATCCTCGTTTGGTCACATTTTCTGTGACTTCGGACGTTAACAATAATTGGTGAGCCCTGAGGGGCAGATGGAGAGGACATGCATATTACAGAGAGGAACAGCTGTCCACGGGTCTGGGGAGACCCGCTCTGAGAGGTCCTCTGGGCACTTGAACAATCACCATTAAATGCTCCCCTCTCTGTTAATGCCACTCAATATGGTGTGAAACTTAAACATAAATGAGTTTTTACAGCTAATTATGGCTAATGCAAGCTTCTTTCAAAATTGCCAGACATTCTTTCCAGAATAGTACAGTTTGCAACTATGAGTTAGGCATGAAGAGCCAAATCTCATAAACATAATTTAGCATGCAAAGAAATAATAATGCTAAGTGCTTTCTGTCCAGCCGTTCAGCGTTCCCCCAGGCAGGGCTGATCTTACGCGGTCCCATTTGAGCTACAGACTGGCTGTGAAACCCCAGGAGAGCCACAGAGGAGGCAGTCATTTCCACCGCCCCTGCAGTCTGTACGATTGGAGCCTTTCAGTTGTCTATTTATGGCAAGGACCCATCAGGCGCCCAACCCAGCAGTCCCAGCTGCAACCTGAGAACTGCACAGTTTGTGCCCTGGAGTGGCAGTGGCTGCATCTGTCACGCCACCCTGCCCTGTTCATGTTGCCCTAATGTTTCTTTTTCTTTTTTTTTCTCTTTTCTTTTTTCTTTTCTTTTGAGACAGGGTCTTGCTCTCACCCAGGCTGGAGTGCAGTGGCACAATCTCAGCTCACTGCAACCTCCGCCTCCCGAGTTCAAGCGATTCTTATGCCTCAGCCTCCCAAGTAGCTAGGATTACAGGCGCCTGCCACCACGCCTGGCTAGTTTTTGTATTTTTAGTAGAGATGGGGTTTTGCCATCTTGGCCAGGCTGTTCTCGAACTCCTGACCTCAACTGATCTGCCCACCTCGGCCTCCAAAAGTGCTGGGATTTCATTCCCAATCACCCGATTAATTCGTGATCATTGGAAGCATTACACTACTGTAATAAGAGAGAATGATGTGCCTCTCACTAATCCCACCCCACACCCCTCACCTGGAGCCACCACTATAAGCAGTTTAATGTCTATGCACACATACCCTCTGAGGTATACATATACACAAATAGGCACACGAGCCTGTATATGCACACAAACCTTCTAAGGCATACGTTATTTTACACAGGATCACACGATGTTTTTGCAGCAGTGTGCTATACATATTAATGGTATTTGGCACCTTTTGGTGCCAGTACATGTAAATTACCTCTTTTTAAAAAATGCGCATAATGTCATTTAACAGGTCTTCCATAAATAAACATTACTAACGGTACTGTGATGCACATTGAACCATATATTAATGTCCACAGGTACAGCCCGGATACATCTTTGGGCTTTTCCCTGGGGATTTCTGAAGGATAACTGTCTACCAAAATGGTTTTTTTGGGCCAAGGGAATGTACAGTAAAATGTGCGACAGTATTGCTAGATTGCCCCCTTAACATGAGTTCTTTCTGTTCAAATTCTAATAAGAAGTCAATGGAATTGCAGTCATGCATTGTTACACAATTTTGTAGTGTTGCAGACATCACAGTGTCCTTACACAAACCTAGATGGTGTAGTCTACTGCACACCTAGGCTGTGTGCTATAGCCCATGGCTCCTAGACTGCAAACCATGCAGCATGGTACTGTACTGGATACTGCAGGCAACCATAACACAATGGTAAGGATTTGTATATCTAGACCTAGGGAAGGTACAGTGAAAATACAGCATTATAATCTTACGGGACCCCCTTCATATATGGCGTCCATCACTGACTAAAACGTCCATGGTAGGGATTTGTGTATCTAGACATAGAGAAGGTACAGTGAAAATACAGCATTATAATCTTATGGGACCACCTTCATATATGGCGTCCATCATTGACTAAAACGTCCATGGTAGGGATTTGTGTATCTAGACATAGAGAAGGTACAGTGAAAATACAGCATTATAATCTTATGGGACCACCTTCATATATGGCGTTCATCATTGACCAAAATGTCCATGTGCTGCACGTGACTGTAGCTGTTTCTCTCCACCTGTGGCTGTCTTAAGTAGGGAAGGCTGAGTACTTTATGCACCTGAGCTGATCCACACCTGCCCACAGGTGAATCTCCAGTTCCTGCCAGCACAGGTAGCTATAGTCCCAAGAGCTCTCTTTACAGCCTCCCAGAACCCCACTCACCAGAAGCAGAGGCTATCAGCATATTCCCTTCATGCCCTTTTTTTTTCTCTCCCCTTGCTCTCTTGTCTCCTCATTTTCTTTCCCTTACCCCTCTTTACCACCATTCTCAATCTCTGTTTCCTTCCTGTTCCCCAGTGTGGAACTAGTAAAAATCATTCAGATCCTGGAACAGAAAAAGGACATTAGGAAAAAACTAAGGGAATCTAATCATGGGCTTTAATTAATCTTAATATGTCAATATTGGTTCATTAATTGTAACAAATGTATTATTCTGATATAATATGTTAATGAATGGGGAAAATGGTACAGGGGATAAGTATACTTTTAAAAATACAGCCAGACGCGATGGCTCACACCTGTAATCCCAGCACTTCGGGAGGCCAAGGCAGGTGGATCACTTGAGGTCAAGAGTTTGAGACCAGCCTGGCCAACATGGTGAAACCCAATCTCTACTAAAAATACAAAAGTGAGCTGGGCATGGTGGCAGGCACCTGTAATCCCAGCTACTCAGGAGGCTGAGGCAGGAGAATCACTTGAACCCGGGAGGCGGAGTTTGCAGTGAGCCGAGATCGCACCACTGTACTTCAGCATGGGCGTCACAGTGAGACTCCACCTCAAAAAATATATTAAAAATAAATAAATAATTAAAAAAATAAAAACACATGGATCATTTACATTTAGTCATCGTATGTGCTTCGGTTCCTCTTGGCTGTGATAGTTTCTCACTCATTCCTTGTTTTTGATGACAGTTTTGAGGAGTGCTGGTCAGGTATTTGATACAATGTGTCTCTCTTGGGAATGTGTCTGATGTTTTTCTCTGGATTAGACTGGGGTGATGGATTTGGGAGAGGAAGACCACAGAGGTGAAGTGCCATTTCTATCACATTCATATCAAGAGCACATACTAATCATGTGACTTATCGCTTTTGGTGTTTGTCCAGTTTCTTCACTGTAAATACATTCTTTTTTTTTTTAACCTTCTCTTTAAACTATACTCTTTGAACAGAAGTCAGGATGCACAGCCCACACCTAAGGGATGAAGAAAGATGCACTACTTCCTAGAGGGTGGGGTGTCTGTGTCATTTATTTGTTACTCTTCTGTGTGTAGGAGATGTTTCTCCCCCTACCATTTATTTATTTATTCAGTAGTTTATTATTATGGTCTTGCAAAGTTTTTATTTGTTTGTTTTTAGAGACAAGGTCTCTCTGTCACCCAAACTGGAATGCAATGGTGCGGTCATAGCTCACTGTAGCTTCAAACTTCCAGGCTCAAGCAATCCTCCCACCTCAGCCTCCTGAGATCTAGGACCACAGGCATGAGCCACCACACCTGCTAATTTTGTAATGTTTTGTAGAGACGGGATCTCACTGTGTTGCCCAGGCTGGTCGAACTCCTGGCCTCAAGCGATCCTCTCACCTTGGCCTCCCAAAGTGCTGGGATTGCAGGCATGAGTCAATGTGCCTGGCCGCCTCGTGGATTTTTTTATACTGTGGGTTGTAATTCAACACTAGTTTATTTCACTACTCAGATTGTTAAGCTTTGGCCATTGGGAATCCTGTCACTTGATTCCTGAGTCCATTTGCCATACCCCATCGTTGCAGGGTTTTTGTTTCTGAGCACCACTATCCTTTCTGGCAACACAAGATGTTCCAGGTTCATCTTCTGTATTTCTTGCTCAATGCTATGGTAGCCATTTCTCCAAGGAGCCATAGTTCCTTTTATTAGAGAATCCTTACTAGGAAGCCAGATCTGAGTGCTAGGTGCTCTCATTGCTAGTACATACTTCTAGGGGCTCTCAGCTGACAGAGCAAGGAAACGAATGTCTATGTACTGGCCTATGTATATACACATCTATAAATATTTCTATGTGAAACCACAGCAATATTAAGCTAAACATGAATTACCACTGATATCTCCAACTCTAATCCGTTGTTGTGATATGGATCATTTTAGCTTCCTCCTCTTCCTGTAAATTTTTTGCATTTTTATTGAGCTATAATTCACATACCATAAAATGCACTCTTTTGAAGTATCAAATTTAGTCGTTTTAATATATTCACAAGGTTGTGCAAGTATCACCGTGATCTAATTGCAGACCATTTTTACCATTCCACAAAGAAACCCTGCACCTGTCAGCAGTCACTCTCCCGTTCCACCCTTCCCTCAGCCCCTAGCAACCACTGATCTACTTTCTCTATGGATTTAGCTATTCTGGACATTTTATATAAATGGAAGCATACAAGATGGGGCCTTTTGCAAGTGGCTTATCTCACTTAGCTTAATATTTTTAAGGTGCATCTACATTGCAGCTTGTATCAACACTTTATTCCTTTTCGTGGTTGAATAACATCCCATTGTATGGGTAGACCACATTTTGTTTATCCATCATCAACTGATGGACATTTAGGTTGCTTCCGTATTTTAGGCTCTTTTGAAAAATGCTGCTAGGAACACTCACCTACAAGTTTTTGCATGGGCAAATGTTTTCATTTCTCCTAGATACATACTTAGGAGTGAAATATCACAATTATGGTAAATACGTGTTTAACATTTGAGGAATTGCCAAAATGTTTTCCAAAAGAACTGTACCATTTTACTTTCCCACCAGCACTGTATGAAGGTTCTAATTTCTCCAAATCCCTGTAAACACTTGTTGCTTTCCATCTCTTTCATCACAGCCATCCGAGTGGCTATGAAGTGGTTATCTCATTGTCGCTAATCGCATTTCCCTAAAGATAAATGATGTTGAGCATCTTTTCATGTAATTATCGGCCATTTGTGTATCTCCTTTGAAGAAATGTCTGTTAAAATCCTTTCCCGCTTGTTAATTGGGTTGTCTTTTGGTTGAGTTGTAAAAGCTCTTTATGTTTTCTGGGTATTAGACCCTTATTAGATACATGATTTGCAAATATTTTTGCCCATTCCATGGGTTGTCTTTTCACTTTTTATAATGTTTTGGGAGCACAAAAGTTGGTAATTTTGATGAAGTTTAGTTTGACTGCTATGCCCAAACATTTTAAAGAAATAAGGTAACTATACATTTTTTTCTTGCAAAGTATCAGGTTATTCCGTATTTTTATCTCCCTTCCAAACATGGCAATAACTTATATATGCTTTAAGTTTCCACCAAACTCCTTATCTTGACATTTTTGATGTTTAGTTTCACTTTTAACATTAAAAAATAGGTTTAAAAAAATCAATAGTTAATTCAGTTTACCAAAATATTGGCGTTTGGTCATCATTATTTTTTAATATTTCATCCTTTCTTTTGCTGAAGCAATTCATTCAGTGAAGATTTAGACGTGGTAAACTTTTAGTTTTTATGTTCCAAACATGTCTTTTTTTTGCCCTCAAACTTAAATGATAGTTTAGCTAGGAATAAAATTTGAGGTTCATAGTTATTTGCTGTCAGCATTTAGAAGGCATTACTCTTTGATTCTGTTATTGTTAAGATTCCTGCTATCTGTGTGATTATCATTTCTTTATAATGTTTTTACTGCGGTTCTTTCTATGGTTTTTCTCTTTGTCTTTGCTGTACCACAATTTTATTGCACCATATGTCAGTAGGAATTAACTGTCATGTTTCCTGTGTAGTACTTTTTATCTGAGGACCTGTGTCTTCCTTCTTTCTGGAAAATTTCTGTTATTTCTTCAAATTCTTCTCACTATTATTTTCTCCTTTCTCCTCCACCAGCTCCTCTAAACTTCTGCTGATCTTAATCTATCCTTTGAATTTTTGAATTCAGAGAACTCAAATCAAGAGCATGTTCCTATTGCTTGTGTCTGGGTCTCTGTATTGTCTTCTGGATCATTTCCTCAGTTTTACCTCTCAGTTCACTAATTTCCTCTTTGATTGATGTCTAGAATTGATCTCATTTATTTTACTATTTTTTATAGAGATGGGGTCTTGCTACATTGCCCAGGCTGATCTCATACTCCTGGCATCAAGCAATTCTTGCACCTCAGCCTCTCAAAGTACAGGGATTACAGGCATGAGCCACCATGCCTGGCCTATCTCATTTATTGAGGGTTGTTTTTATTTTAAATTTTAATGGATGTTTTGTGTCCACCATCTCTAAATGTTCATTACCTCCTGTTCTCATTCAATTTATGCCTATGTTGTTTCATAACATCTTTTTATGGGTGTTAGTCCTTTATTAAGGACCCTTTGATATCTTAAACACATTGATTTGAAATATTTGTCAGACAATCTTAAATAATTAATTTCATCTGGAGTGAATTTGTGTTCCCAATTGAAGGGTTTGTAGACTATTTTACCACGTGATTTCTCCATGGGCAGCAGAATTTTTCATTTCAGGGTCAATGTGAGTAAGGGGTGTTTTTTTTGTTTTTTGTTTTTCCCTCATTCTTTCTCTCTTGACTAACTTCTCTCTCTCTAGTGGTTTTCATTACCTCCACCCCCACCCCCGTTCAGGACCAGGCCTTATAATAGTGGTTTAGGGCCCCATGGTAATATCGGGGAAGTCATTTCAGTTCCTAGACTTGAACCTGTGTCTCTCCTTCCTTCCTAGACTCTCAGGTTGCAGTAAGCCTTAGCCTAGTGGTGTACTGGTGACAGCTCCTACTAACTCATTAGGACCAATCATTACATTTTAAGGAATGTTGTGAGCTGGTTGTTAAGTGGCCATTATTAATAATTATATAAACTCAGTATTAAATAGATTATATTAAAAAGCAAAGGTAATAAATACTCAAAACTGATCACTTTGTAATTCTTTTGCTAAATATTGCTGTCATCCATGCTCTTGAGGCTGTTGGCAGCTCTTGTATCTCTATGGTAGAAACAGATCTGATGTATATGTAATGGGCACTACTGGGCATCTCTTCTACATCTGGTTCAGTGACATCACCTTGGCAACTTGAAATCAGCCACGGCCACAGTGGAAGTATTTACACCATGGAAATTGACAAATGTGACAAATCAGGTCTTTAAAAAAAATAATAACATGTGAAACATTTACCAGCCTACCACTTCCCCAGCCCCAGGCAGCAGCAGCGTTCTTCAGCCTCCTTCCGTAAACGGAGGCACCCACAACAGCCCTTCTTCCAGCAGGGAGCCAGGCTTTATTTTCCCCATTTTCCCCTGAAAATGCTTTCAGTCTCTATGATCTTCTAAGAGCTGAACTCCCGGTGACATTTTACTCCCACTCATGACTTTGCCTCTCTGTTTTGTGTCTGGCCTGTAGAGCTATTTGTTTTGTTTTTGAGCCTACCTGTGACCTTGGGTTTTCTGTTTTACGTTTCATCCACTACGGCTGTTTGGAGCAGAGGGGGTTGATCATATGTCAGACATGCTCTGCTACCTTAATTAGAATGCCATAAACATTATTTTTATTTATTTATTTTGAGATGGAGTCTTGCTCTTGTCGCCCAGGCTGGAGTGCGGTGGCACGATGTAGGCTCACTGCAACCTCTGCCTCTTGGGTTCAAGCGATAACCTGCCTCAGCCTCCCGAGTAGCTGGGATTACAGATGCCCGCCACCAGGCCCTCCTAATTTTTTTATATTTATTTATTTGTTGGTTTATGTGTTTATTTTTGAGACAGAGTCTCGCTCTGTTGCCTAGGCTAGAGTGCAGTGGCATGATCTTGGCTCACTGCAACCTCCACCTCCCGAGTTCACGTGATTCTCCTGTCTCAGCCTCCCAGGTAGCTGGGACTGCAGGCACCTGCCACCACGCCTAGCCAATTTTTGTATTTTTTAGTATGAGATTTCACCATATTGGCCACGCTGGTCTCAAACTCCTGACCTTGTGATCCACCCACCTTGGCCTCCCAAAGTGCTGTGATTACAGGCGTGAGCCACCACACCTGGTCATTTTTTTTTATATTTTTGGTAGAGACAGAGTTTCATCATGTTGGCCAGGCTGGTCTCGAACTCCTGACCTCAAGTGATCCACCCATCTTGGCCTCCCAAAGTGCTGGGATTACAGGCATGAGCCACCATCCCTGGCCATAAATGTTATTTTTAAAATACATAACTTTTGTCATCTGGATATTTCTATAGGACTCAGGCTGTTTTCTTCAGTCTCCTTTGTCTTTTCTCAAAGTCATTCACTTCATCTTCCTTCTCTCATTTTCTTCCCTAGTACGTCTTTGTACAAGTTATGACAAACATGTTAATAATATATTATATATATGAAGTATCCTTTCAAAGATTCTGGACATCACATACGCTTTCTATTTGTTGATTATATACAGAATAATATTATACATTTAATATGATAATTCTACATGATGGTATAATAATATATTTAATATATTACTGTTCACAGAATAAAATGCTGGAGACCCTAGGTTACCTAATGGAAGTCCTCGGCCCCCTAATGACTTTTTCCCTTCTCTGCAGGTGTCAAAGTCGTGTTCTCAGGCCACTACCACAGGAATGCCGGGGGTACCTACCAGAACCTCGACATGGTGGTGTCATCTGCCATTGGATGCCAGCTGGGCAGAGACCCCCACGGGCTCCGAGTCGTGGTGGTCACCGCCGAGAAAATTGTTCACCGATACTACAGTCTAGATGAGCTGAGTGAGAAAGGAATAGAAGACGATCTCATGGATTTGATCAAGAAAAAATGACGCTCCTTCCCGTTCCCGTTCACTTTTCACTTGCACTATTTTTTTATTTTGCCAGAAACAGCAGCTGCACACAACCTCTTGCTGAAATATAAAAATAGCCCAGGCAGGTTTGTGAATTTATGTCCTTTTGCATAAATCAGAGAGCTGGGGCCCTGTCCTGAATTATATTCAAAATAGAACTGCATTTCCTTTAAAATGGAGCGAATGATCCTGGAAATCAGTTTTTAAAATATTAGACTATCTCTGCATGGATGTTTGAATAAATTCTCCTAATGCTGTGTTTCTCAACTCCACTTTTGAATTGGATTGTATTCTGGTTAGCATATGGTCAAAGTCTGCCTATCGACCTCAATTCCAATCTGACAGCCAAGTATGATCTTTGATAATTCCTTAAACAAACTACACCTGATTGTATTAAATTGTGGTCACGATTCCCAAAACGCTAGGCAAAACAAAGTTCATCTCCTTTCCTTTCCAGCGGAACGAACAGCTGTCTCCCTTGTTGTGAGAGCCATGCAGACTTATTTTGACAAGGAGCCAAGTAGGCACCATTTACTGTTCAATTCTGAGACTTCTGATGATAGGAACAGAATGCAGTTGATACAGCTCGGAGCTTAAATTTGCCTTCCTGGGTGCCTAGAAAAGTCACCTTTGCACATAAATTGGCCATTTCTGAAAATCTCCTCCAAGAGACTGAAACCAAAGCTCTAAAACGCCGCTTCTTCAGTCTCTGGGGAGCACGTTGAGTTGGTTCACATCCACATTCTGGCTGTGTAGCCACTCCACAGATGGGTGGTCTCTTGGGATCAGAATGCCCCTCCACTCATGAGACTCTTCATTTTGTCCACTTTGACAGGAAAAGTGGGAATGTATGCAGAGCTCTCAAAAGAAACAAAAAAGGCCAAAACGGTGCCTTCAGCCACATCCTCTGAATTGGCCCTGACTTGGACTAAATGCACTAATGCAAAATCCCTTGACAAAAGCGCATAGGTTATTTCAAACCAGCATTGTTTTTTATGTAACCTGTTTTACCGCATCTTCTCAGCAGCTTCTGACCACTGCTCAATTTTCTCCTTTACAGCCATTGTTCTGGTGGACAAATAACCTAGGTACTCCAAATCCTGGCAGGAAAAATATACAGCATTATGAAACAGCACTCAGTAATCCTAAAATGATTTCCAAAGCTGGTTACACATGACCTGCAAAGTCTATTAAATTAAAAGACTTTCTCATTACAGAGTTTAGTCAACGTAGCAAAACCATGGGAAATTAAATGGAAAGATAATTAAATATGTAAATTCATAAGGAACAAAAGACGAGAAGTTAATTATACAATAGGCTGGTGACACCAGAGTTCATTGTTATGTGCCACAAGAAAATTAAATTTTTTAAAAAACTAGAACGCTCTTCTTTTAGTGTTTTGCTGAAATCCTGTTTTGTATTTGTTTCTTTACAACAGGTGTAGGTATAGGAGGTCAAGAAAAGGAGTTCGGTAAAGGGCATAGCTAATAACAACCACACATTGGGCCAGGCACAGTGGCTTACGCCTGTAATCCCAGCACTTTGGGAGGCTGAGACGGGCAGATCACCTGAGATCAGGAGTTTGAGAACAGCCTGGCCAACATGGTGAAACTCCATCTCTACTAAAAATACAAAAATTAGCCAGGCATGCTGGTGCACACCTGTAATCCCAGCTACTCGGGAGGCTGAGGCAGGAGATCGCTGGAACTCAGGAGGCAGAGGTTGCAGTGAGCCAAGATCATGCCACTGCACTCCAGCCTGGGCAACAGAGCAAGACTCTGTCTCAAAAAAAAAAAAAAAAAACCACACACACACACATTGAGACTTGAGATGTGGTGACACTTGGATCATAAACAGAGGGCTTCGATTCCAGGATGGGGGTTCCTCCAGGGGGAAATGAAAAGGAGCTCTCACTCTGTTCTTACGTATGCACAATGCTCTGAATTGTGGCACATGGGTTTGCAGAAGGATAATGGAGATAATTGAAAGTAATGAAAATGAAACCAAATCTCCTTCCCCAAAAACTTAAAAGAACTGATTCAAAAGTACCCCAAGAATATGCAAAGAAAAGGGAATCACATCAACAGATGATTGGATAAAGAACATGTGGTATGTATACATAATGGAATACTATTCAGCCACTAAAAAGAATGAAACCATGTCTTTTGCAGCAACCTGGATGGAACTGGAGGCTGTTATCTTAAGTGAAATAACTTAGAAGTAGAAAGTCGAATACTTCATGTTCTCACTCATAAATGGGAGCTACATAAAGTGTACCCATGAACATAGAGTGTGGAACAAACATTGGAGACTCAGAAGGGTGGGAGGAGGGTAAGGGATGAGAAAGTACCTGATGGGTACAGTGTACACTTTTCTGGTGTTGGTTGCAGGAAAAGCCTGGACTTCACCACTTCGCAATATATCCGTGTAACAAAACTGCACTTGTACGCCTTATATTTATACAAATTTAATTTTTTAAAAGGGAAGAGAGAATCATATTAATTTCTCACCACTTTTTAAGTAAGCAAACAGCAGTATTTCCCAGAGGCAAGAGGTTCAGCAAGAAGTCAGGAAATGTTTTTGTAGATAAGCATCTATCATTCTGATGGGCCATGACTAGTGTGTTCACTTGTAATTCCTTTGCCTTTAAAAAAAGAGAATGATATCAAAAAATAAGTGCCTTATACTGTGAAAAACGATAAAAGGACTTCCTGATTCTAAGTGCTATGGTTTTGAATGTTTATTATGTGTTTTAAGTGCTTTGGCTCAGAAAGGTGGGGGTCACGTGGCCAAGGTCGCCTAACTCATCTTGGTGGAGAAAGAACGGATGTAGATGGCCCAAGGCTTGAGTCCATGCTCCATAACACTGTCCTGTCTTGGAAAACGTTTCTCAGAGGTGAAAGGTTGCACCAGCTCAGCCAGTGGCAACACACTGAGTACGGTATTCAGCACCTTGGACAGCGTTAGCTGGAGGCCCAGGGATTTCCTCCCAGCTCTGCAAAGCCTAGACCAGACCCTGATTGCACCAGGTTCAGGGGGCAGAAGCTTGTCCAAAGAGCAGATGGTTCCAGGGGGAGGATTTTTACTGGGGGAGATTTAGAAACCGAACTGAACCATAATGAGTCACGGGACACAGCCCTGTCTGCAGCAGTAACTGTCCGCAGCTCTAGCTGCTCCATGTCTGGAGTTACCACCACAGGGTGTAGGAAACCACCAGCTGTCTCAAGGCAAGGAATGTCACCTAATGCTCCCCTTTCCAATTAATCACTTTAATTGGAGGAAAAAACAAAAACACAAGGACATGTTACGGGGGAAGGTTTTTTAAAGTGATCTCAAATTGGATTGCAAAGGCTCAAGTGACTTTGGGAATGGGGCTGGGGAGATGATCATTTACTTTTTACAATAAATAATTTTATCTCACATCTTTAGTCAAGTTTCTCCTAAGTTTGGGGAGAATGGGGAAAAAATGTAGTAAGCTTTATGGGACTAGCAACAGAACGTTTTATCCTATTTTGTGATTTTCAGTATTAAGAGATTATTGATCACTTGCAGAGTTACAAGGCAAGCACTAGTTTAAATCTGAATTAGACTAGGGCCATTGACCTTATATACCTGTAAAAGACACTACGGTGTATACAACTGTAGAAACAATATACACATAGTAGTTTAATATTACAGTCTGTATTCCAATGCAGAATCTTTTGAGAAAAGGTTGCCAAAACATCATTTGCATTTACTTGAACCCTTTTTTAGACAGAATCTTGCTCTATCACCCAGGCTGGAGTGCAGTGGTGTGATCACAGCTCACTGCAGCCTTGAACTCTTGGGCTCAACCAACCTTCCCACCTCAGCCTCCCAAATTAGCTGGGACTATAGGCTCGTGTCACCACATCTAATTTTTTATTTTTATATTTGTGGAGTTGAAGGTCTTGCTCTGTTACCCAGGCTGGTCTTGAACTCCTGGCCCCAAGCAGTCCTTCCACCTTGGCCTCCCAAAGTGTTGGGATTACAGGCGTTGGCCACTGTACCCAGCCTTACTTGAACTCTTAATACTTATTCCCAAGTGGTACCTAAAATGGTTTTGTGCAGTCACAATATTAGGTAGCAATATTATATTGAGCTGGAGGAAAAAGAAGATTTAGGAGTAAATTGCCAAGGCAAGTTCTGTTAAAAGCTTTCTGTAATAGACATCAGGGATTTTTTTTATTCAGGTAACCTCAACAGTTTTGATTGCACATGTAACATAGTACTTGACAGGTAATACTGATTTTTATAACTTCATAAAATATTCTCAAGCCATGGAGGAGCTCTTATGTATTTTTTAATGAGTACACACACACACACACACACACACACACACACACACATATAGTAAAAGTGGAGGATTCTTTTCTTGGAATAATGATTTCTAGCATTTATCTAGAAAAGATTTTGCTGACTAAATTTTCCTTTTCCTCCAGTGGATTTTTAAACATCAGTGCATGCACATAAATACAGATTGGATTTTTCCTTTAGGCTTTATCTATGTAAATGAAGTCGATTAAATGTGAATAATCATGTTACCCTTCATTATTCTGACCATTATGTTTGAGAAGTAGATTTCTTCACTAAAGGGGCTTTGCAGCACACTTAGAATGAGTGAGCCACTGTGCCTCTCTAGAAACTGGCTTCTTGTCATCATTTCAACATCCACTCAAACGCTCACCCCTGAAAGTGGCCTTCCTGCTTGATATGGTTTGGCTCTGTGTCTCCACCCAAATTGGTTTGGCTCTGTGTCCCCACTGAAATCTCATCTCGAATTGTAATCCCCATAATCCCCATGTGTCAAGGGACGGACCTGGTGGGAGGTAATTGGATCATGGAGGCAGTTTCTCCCATGCTATTCTTGTGATAGTGAGTTCTCATGACACTGATGGTTTTGTGTTTGATAGCTCCTTCACACTCTTTCTTTCCTGTTGCCATGTAAGACATGCCTGCTTCCCCTTCCACCAGGATTGTAAGTTTCCTGAGGCCTCCCCAGCCATGCGGAACTGTGAGTCTATTAAATCTCTTTTCTTTGTAAATTACCCAGTCTCAGGCAGTTCTTTATAGCAGTGTGAAAGTGGACTAATACACTGCTCCACCCTATCTAAGGTTACACTCCTTGTCCCAGTATTGCATTCTTGTTCCCTTGCTTGTTTTTTTCATAGCGCATCGCTGAGAAATATCCTTGCTTAATTATCTCGAAGTGTAACCCACCACACCCACCCACCAGAATGCAAGCTCCAGACAGCAGGGACCATGTCTGTCCCATTTGCCACTCTATCCCCAGCAGCTGGAACTGTGCCTAAGGGCATAGAGTTGCTGCTCAAAGAATACTCAGCAATGGATGGTGGGTAAAGCTATATAGCTATGGCGATCACATAGTAATCTATACCGATTATCACTATGAACACTCAATCGATAGGGGAGGAAGAAAGGGAAGGAAGTGATATTCCTAAGCCTGGTAGTAGTCCTTGTGGGATTGTCCTCAAAGTGAAGTATTCTCAGTAGTTCCATCAATAACTAGCAGCATCATTGTCATCTTTAGTTCAGTGCACTCGGTGAAGAAATTGGAGGTGATAACAAAAATATCCTCTACTTGTAGTAATTCTAAGCCTAGTTCACTGAACAAATACTGTACAGTAACCAAAGCAGGTGAGCCAGACAAGAGAGTGACTCTAGACTGAAGGTTCTATGTGAATGTAAAAGAGATGGCTTGAAATACAGGCATGAAACTCAGGAAACACTGAAAACTGCATCATGGGAGTGCAGCCCAGGGACGTCATGGGAATGAATAAGATTCCTGGGAAAATCTAGCAGCACTGCAAGATACCTAAGGACAGAAAGACAGGAAAGATGGAAGTCACAGAAGGAGTAAAAGGGAATCTGAAAACTCCAGGCTTGTGCACCCTGAACAAAAAAGGAATTGACTCCAGCTGGAGTTGAGTGGTTTAAGCCCCTATAGTCCAAACTTCCTACAGATAACTTTATAGACGAAAAGACCTACCTGGCGATTCAGAGTGAAGACATGCAAGGAACTCAAAACCTTGGTGAGTCTCTCCTCCCCTCCACACTGGTCTGAGGGCAAACCACAATTGCAAAGCAGCACACCAGAGGTCAATAAAGTTTTTCTCAAAATTCACTTTTTTTTTTTTTTTTTTGACACGAGGTCCCGCTCTGTTGTCCAGGCTGGAGTGCAGTGGCTTAATCTCAGCACATGAGAATCTCCACCTCCCAGGTTCAAGCAGTCCTCCTGCCTCGGCCTCCCAAGTAGCTGGGACCAAAGGCATGCACCACCACACCCAGCTAATTTTTGTATTTTTGGTAGATGGAGTTTCGCCATGTTGCTCAGGCTGGCCTCAAACTGCTGGGCTCAAGTGA
This sequence comes from Homo sapiens, assembly GCF_000001405.40. NCBI lineage: Eukaryota > Metazoa > Chordata > Mammalia > Primates > Hominidae > Homo > Homo sapiens. The sequence goes on along the minus strand of NC_000016.10, from coordinate 12,658,462 downwards.
CTCACCTGCCTTGGCCTCCCAAAGTGCTAGTGTTAACAGGCATGAACCACCAGGCCTGGCCTAACATTCACTGTGTATTAGACCAGAGATACCAGAGGAAGAAGCCTGGGTCACTGGGGAGTGAGGAGTCCTAGCAGGGAGACAAGCCAGGGATAGGAAGCCTCTGATTTGTATATGAGCGTCACACAGATCTCTTGCTTACCCCCAAAGCATGCATGAGCAGGACAGACAGGGCAACAGAGGCTTAAAGAATTGAACCAAGATTTGAATCACTGCCCAGAGGAAGCAATAGAAAGCTTACCACTGGAGTCTGATCAAGTTAATTGCCTGCAAAAGCCTCAACATTCTTCAGAAGAATATAACTGAATCCTAGTTCTCCACAATGTAATATCCACAATCCCCAGCATACAACCCAAAATTGCTTGACATACAACAAAAGCAACAACAGAAAAAAGAAAAGAAAATACATCACTCTCAAAGGATAAAACAGTCCTAAGATGCCCCAGATGTTGGAATTATCACTGCAGGAGAACAGAGCAGCTCCTATAACAAAGCTTTATAAAGTAAAGGAAAATATACTTAGTATGAATGAAAAGAAATGATATCTCCTAGAACATAGAAAAAATCAAATGAAAATTTCAGAACTGAAAAATATAACATCTGAAATTTTAAAACTTACTGGATGGGCTTAATAGCAGAATGGAGAAGAGAGAAAAGAGTCAGGAAACATGAAGACAGATCAGTAGAAAGTATTCATTCTAAAATACAAAGACAAAAAGGATTTTATTAAGCAAAGCTTCAGGACCCTATATCAAAAGTCTAAAGTACAGGTGATGAGTACCAGAAAGGAAAGAAAGAATGGGCCCCCAAAAATTTGGAAAAATGCTAGCCAACAACTTCTCATATTTTGTGAAATTTTTTAAAAAATTAAATTCTCTATGCTCAACAAACAGAAAACGTGAGTCACGAAGCAAAATATTACTAAATTGGACTTTATTATAAAGATTTTGCTCTTCAGTGATATTAGAAAATGGGAGGCAAGGCTGGAAAAATAAATTGCAGCACATTTATCAGATAAAGGGCTTGTATCCAAAATACATAAAGAACTGCAGCCTGGGCAACATAGCCATATCTCCAACTCCTGACCTCAAGTGATCCACCCACCTTGGCTTCCTAAAGTGTTGGGATTACAGGTGTGAGCCTCCATGCCCAGCCGAACCCTTCTTTTTAGAGACCAGAATGGAGGGAATGGAAAGGCCAATGAGGCTAGGGCAGTGGATGGAGACGTGGGATAATGTAATCGATCCATTGTTTGATAGGCGCATGTCCATTTCCTGCTAATTCCTCTCTCAGAGGCACCCTGTGCTGTGTTTCATTGTGAAGCAGGTGAGGCTTTCTGGATTTATGCACAGTTCGCCTTGGTCATGTCAGGAAAGAGCCACCATCTGTATAGAACGGGTGACATCTGCCTTTCACGGAATCCCTGCCTCTGGGCAGACCATATGGATGTGTTGTAGGCACTGAAGGAGAGCGGATCCAGGATGTAGCCTGTTACTGTGATGTTTGAAAGTCTCTCCTTGGTCTTCCAAGCTGTCCTTTCAAGCTTCCACAAAAAGAGCTAATGATTTCATCTCATAGTATTTTTGAAATACTCTGGATTTGCTCTCTTAAGCTACCAAGGAGGCCGGGTGCAGTGGCTCACACCTGTAATCCCAGCACTTTGGGAGGCCAAGTCAGGTGGATCACTTGAGGTCGGGAGTTTGAGACCAGCCTGGCCAACATGGTGAAACCCCGTCTCTACCAAAAATAGAAAAATTGACCAGGCGTGGTGGCACATGCCTGTAGTCCCAGCTACTCGGGAGGCTGAGGCAGGAGAATCACTTGAACCCAGGAGGCAGAGGTTGCAGTGAGCCAAGATCATGCCACAGCACTCCAGCCTGGACAAAAGTGAGTGAGACTCCATCTAAAAAATAAAATAAAATAATGAGTAATTAATAAAAAGCTACCAAGGCAGGTTTTTGGCTCAGTGGTGCAGTAGCTCACACCTATAATCCCAGCACTTTGGGATTCTGAGAGGGGAGGATTGCTTGAGTTCAAGACAAGCCTAGGCAACATAGTGAGACCACCCCTCCCATCTCTACAAATATAAAAAGTTAGCTAGGCATGGTGACACACATCTGTAGTCCTAGCTACTTGGGAGGCTGAGATGGGAGGATCGCTTGAGCCCAGGAGGTCAAGACTACAGTGAGCTGTGATCATGCCACTGCACTCCAGCCTGGGTAACAAAGCAAGACCCTGTCTCTGAAAAAAAAAGGAAGAAAAAAAAAAAGGCTACCAAACTGCAATATCACACCCTTAAACCACATATTTTGGTGTGAAAAACTGTTAAAGTGACATGGTATTGTATTTACCCTATAGGTTCGGGTTTTCCTGTTCTGTTATGTCGTTGTGGGATGAAATCCAACATGATACCCTGAGAGCAGGAGCAGTGTCTTCATAGCCACTGTGTCCTCATTGCCTGGCCTGGGGCCTCACCCTTCTTATAAATGTGTGTTGCCTCCTTGTTGCTTCCTCTGTGCTGTGTTTCATTGTGAAGCAGATGAGGCTTTCTGGATTTAAGGCTTCCCTGCTCAGCAACCCTCCCAACACCATGAACCTTCCGATTATTCATCCATTCCAAAGACTTGCCGAGGAGGTACCGCGCCCTGTGCCTGGCGCGGGTGAACAGAGAGCAGCCTTTGTCTCTTGCGAGACGACTTAAACACTGATGTTTCCTGTGTCCTGGGCAGCCTTCTCTGCTCCCTGACGTTCCTAGGAAACCTGACCGACACCAATCACATTCATTACTGTGTATGTGATGACAGTTCCCACATAGAATGATTTTAAGACAAGATGAACTTCCGCTGACTGGACAGCATGACAGTGTCCCCAAAACAACGCACACACACCATTTCCAAACTTTAATTCATCTCTGTTCCGAAAGCACTTTCTCTTGTTTTTTTTTCTTTTCTTTTCTTTCTTTCAAGACAGGGTTTCCCTCTGTACCCCAGGGGGGAGTTCAGCGGCACGATCTCGGCTTATTGCAACCTCTACCTCCCAGGCTCAAGTGATCCTCCCGCCTCAGCCTCCCCAAGTGGGAAGCTGGACCACAGGCACCAGCCACCATGCCTGGCTAATTTTTGTATTTTTTAGTAGAGACAGGGTTTCACTGTTTCCCAGGCTGGTCTTGAACTCCTGAGCTCAAGCAATCCACCCACCTCAGCCTCCCAAAGTGCTGGGATTACAGGTGTGAGACACTACGCCTGTCTCGTATTTCTCTGTCTCGACAAATAGCAACAGCCCCTACCCACGTGCCTTAAACCAGAAACTCAGGTTCTGCCTCTGTCCTGTGCCCCAATGTCTCACAACTCACAGTTGCTAAGGCCTCAGGACTCTCCTTGGAGGAACCGCCTCCCCCAGGGCCTCTTTTCCTTAGGCCTTTCCTGGTGATGTTCCTTAGTTAGAACAACTCCTGGACCACTGCTCCGCCCAAACTTCTTTCAGGGACCAGCTCCCATCTCACCTGCTCCCTGACTCCCCCAGCCATACCTGAGCACCTCCCCCAGCACCGCCGGGTGGGCAGCACAGTGCAGAAGTTTTCAGTCCACTCCTCCAAGAGCCATTCTTGTAGTGAGCACACAAGACACAGAACGTCACCTCCAGGGCAGGGTGCGTCTCCTCAATTCTAAGATGCGCATTTTTTTCACATTTTACTGTTTCTGAAATCAAAACCCAGCTTCGCCATCGGTGGCCTCCTTAACGTGCAGAAAATGCTAGAAAGACAGATACAGTTAAAAATGGGCCAGGCACGGTGGCTCACACCTGTAATCCCAGCACTTTGGGAGGCCAAGGCAGGTGGATCACTTGAGGTCAGGAGTTCGAGACCAGACTGGCCAACGAGGTGAAGCCCCATCTCTACTAAAAATTAAAAAATTAGCCAGGCGTGGTGGCGCACGCCTGTAGTCCCAGCTTCTCGGGAGGCTGAGGCAGGAGAATCGCTTGAACCCACGAGGCAGAGGTTGTAGTGAGCCCAGATCGTGCCATTGCACTCCAGCCTGGGCAACAGAGAGAGATTCTGGGAAAAAAAAAGAAAGGAGAGAGAGAGAGAGAGAAGGAAGGGAGGGAGGGAGGGAAAGAGAAGAAAAAGAAAGAAAGGAAAGAAAGAAGAAAGAAAGGAAGGAAGGAAAGGAAAAAGAAAAAGAGAAGAAAAAGAAGGAAAGAGAAAAGGAAAAAAGAAAAAAGAGAAAGAAAAAGAAAGAAAGAAAGAAAAAGAAAGAAAGAATGAAAAAGAAAGAAAAAGGAAGGAAAGAAAGAAAAGGAAGGGAGAAGTGTTAAAGGGATGGAGTTGGGCCACCTGGGTTCCATTGCTAGCTCTGCCACTCAATGATTCTGCGGCCTTGGGTAGGTCATGTCCTGTTTCTGAGACTCAGTTTCTTTATCTATAAAATGGGGACAATATAGTACCTTTCCCTTAAGGTTAACATGAGCCTTCTTGACACCTTAGCACTGATACATGAGCAAATCTTGGCAGAATATAACCAAATGCTTCTGCACTGTCCATTGTGTCTGTGCAGAGTATTTGCATAATAGATAATCATGACATTGATCATCTTCAAACATCACGTGTTTGTTCCTCCACCCTCATCCCCCAGCACAGAGCCCAGCCGTGCATCCATGAGGGGCCCATGGTCCCCCTTAAAATGTGCTTAGCCTCCCAGACTGGGTTCTTAAAGCTAGATTTGGGCTGGGTGCAGTGACTTATGCCTGTAATTTCAGCACTTTGGGAGGCAGAGGTGGGGGGATATCACCTGAGGTCAGGAGTTCGAGACCAACTAGCCAACATGGTGAACCCCATCTCTACTAAAAATACAAAAATTAGTCGAGTGTGGTGGCACATGCCTGTAGTCCCAGAAACTCGGGAGGCTGAGGCAGGAGAATCACTGATCCCAGGAGGTGGAGGTTGCAGTGAGCCGAGATTGCACCACTGCACTTCAGCCCAGGCAACAGAGTGAGTGAAGCTTAGTCTCAAAAACAAACAAACAAACAAAAAAAAACTACATTTGATAGCACAGCAGCAGTCAAATTTTTTTATAATGCAGCTTCAAAGGAACAAAACAAACTTTCCCTCTTGTCTATAAAGGAGCAGGCAGCTGAGACGTCAGCTACGTGGCCTGAGACTATTGTGATTACTTCCCATGTATGAACTCACTGAGCGCTAAAAACAACCCCACCAAGGTAAGTATTTTGATTATTCCCATTTTTCAGATGAGAAAACTGAGACCTCAGACACTGAGGAACTTGCTCAAGGTCACGTAGCTTGTGAGTGTCAGAGTTGGGATTCAAACCCAAGCATTGTGGTCCCAGCACCAATTACCCCTCCACTGTACCAAGCCTCTAGCCTTCTGTGGCAGGGGGAGTTGGAATGACATATGTACTCCCTTACCCAAAAAGGATAAAGCATGTTCACAAATAGGACCCCAGGCTTTCTTCTTTTAGATGAAGAAGCAGGTCTGCTCCTCTTGGAATCAGACACTGGAATGTAAATTATTTTTGGCCGGGAGCAGTGGCTCACGCCTATAATCCCAGCACTTTGGGAGGTCAAGGTGGGCAGATCACTTGAGGTCTGGAGTTCGAGACCAGCCTGGCCAACATGGTGAAACCTCATCGCCACTAAAAATACAAAAATCAGCCAGGCATGGTGGTGTGCGCCTATAATCCCAGCTACTCGGGGGGCTGAAGCAGGAGAATTGCCGTTGCACTCCAGCCTAGGCAACAGAGTGAGACTCTGTCTCCTCAAAAAAAAAAAAAAGTAAGTAAATTATTTTCATCCTCAAATTATGTCTCCACTGACAAATGGAACCAAGTTTATTTATTTCATTATTCAATTTAGTTAAGTATTTTTTTTTCTCTCCAAGGAATTCTAGGAATAAAGTCACACATTACCCGAAAGATCTCCAGCAGAGGCGTTTCTGGGCCAACGTTACTCACCTACGGAGAGTCTGCAGCTCCTAGCTTGGATGAAAGGAAAGTTTCATTAGCTTTATTTACTTCTTCCGACGTAATTGGTCAGCAGAGTATAAATGCTGATGTCATGTCTAATTAGCGGTGGCCTCTGCCCTTCTGGTCACAGCACCGCGTCTGGCTTGTTTGTGTGGATGGAGCAGTTTCACGGGGAGCGTCTTTATGAACTAGCTCTCCCATGGAGCTGCTCTAATTATCATTTAAGAAAACAAGCGTTTTGATGTTGTGTAGACAGTTCAGCAACATCTCCCCAGCAGGGCTGATAATTTTAACACCCTTTCAGTACATGATGGGCTTTTTCCACAGGTGATCACATCAGATCCTGGGGAACCAGAAATTGGGAACTCATGTCTGCTCCTCTTTGTCGTGGACACCTTGCTGATCTTGGCTCCAGTCGGATCCGTCAGGTGCTCTAAAGCTAATTGTATTGGCATGGATTTTGCCAGGCATCCAAAATTCAGATTAAACAACCAATGCAATCATCATGCCCCTGGGTACCATTTATTGTGATGAAATCAGACCTAACATAAAGGAAACAGTTCAATACCTAAAAGATTTAGCGTGGATACAAATATTCATTGATACTAATAAATTTTACAGTATGCTTTGTTTAAAAACAGAAAGGAGTAGTTAATTACAGACTGAGAATGTCAATTTGACAACAACACTTTCTTCTTGGTTTACATCATTCAGTTCCAGAAAATCAGTAAGATAAAAGCCATGCGCCACTGGGGGAGAAAGGAGGTGACCTCCAGGTTCTCTTTCTCTCTCACACAGACACTTCTCAACCCCAGTGACCTCTGCTTTTCCATCCAAACACAGGACCAATCGCCAGACTCCAGTTTGCTTCCAGGACTTTATATGGCACCCTGAGGACAGCTCATTCCACCATGTCCCCCACCCATATCATCCTTCCTCTCCATGCAGACTCTAGCTCAATCTGTCAATCCAGTCTTCTGGTTTTTGGGTTTTTTTTCTCTCTCTCTTTTTTTTTTTTTAAGGCAGAGCCTCACTCTGTCGCCCAGGCTGGAGTGCAGTGCAGTGCTGCCGTCTCAGCTCACTGCAACCTCTGCCTCCCAGCTCAAGTGATTCTCGTGCTTCAGCCTCCCGAGTAGCTGGAACTACAGGTGTGTGCCACCACACCCAGCTAATTTTTCTTTTTTCTTTTTTTTTTTTTTTGTATTTTCAGTAGAGATGGGGTTTCATGTGTTGGTCAGGCTGGTCTCGAACTCCTGGCCTCAAGTGATTCACCCACCTCTGCCTCCCAGAGTGCTGGGATTACAGGTGTGCACTGCCACGCTGGGCCCAGACTTGTGTTCTTGTGCACACACACAGCACGCTTCCTTTCCCCCTTCCTGCCCCTCCTTCTCTCAATTTTCCACTGAAGCCCCCAGAGCTCTTGTTTCTGTGAAGCAAATCCCCCTGCATTCTCAGCCTCTCCTCTGAGTCCTGAGCCCCTCTTACTCCTCGTTTTACTTTGTCTGCAACTCCCTCTGAGTAGAAGCTGTTCCCTCCTCCATGTGCCACTTTCCACGATGCCCATAAACCAGCTAGGGGTCTTCCAGTTCCCCAGTGTGCCCTCCACTGCCTTTCACTCATTTCCTTTTTTCTTTTTAGAGACAGGGTCTTGCTCTGTGGCCCAGGCTGGAGTGCTGTGCTCTGATCATAGCTCACCACAGCCTTGACTTCCGGGCTCAAGTGATCCATCCTCCTGCCTCAGTCTCCTAAGTAGTTGTGATTACGGGCGTGCACCACCACACCTGGCTAATTTTTTTAAAAAAATGTAGAGATGGGGTAGGGAGCTATGTTGCCCAGGCTGGTCTTGAACTCTTGGGCTCAAGCTATCCTCCTGCCTCAGCCTTCCAAAGTGCTGGGATTTCAGGTGTGACCCACTGTGCCCAGACTTTACACTCATTTCTACATTAATTCAGCAAATTATCGAGTACCTACTCTGTGCCAGGGATATATCTGATGGCTCCTTCTCATGGAAATCACCCAGTGATTTCCTGGTGACTCATCTCTCTTTTATAGAAGGTTCTTGGATTTGATTAACAGTCTTTCTGACCACCGAAATGTAACCTCCATCCAGGGTGACTTACTGTCCATGGGAACCACCCACCTATGATGGACACCTGTGCAGCATCCATTATGCCTTTTTTTTTTTTTTTTTTTTTTTTTGAGACAGAGTCTTGCTCTGTCACCCAGGCTGGAGTGCAGTGGTGCAACTTTGGCTCACTGCAACCCCTGCCTGCCAGGTTGAAGTGATTCTCCTGCCTCAGCCTTCCGGGTAGCTGGGATTACTACCACGCCCAGCTAGTTTTGTATTTTTAGTAGAGAGGGGGTTTCATCATGTTGGTCAGGCTGGTTTTGAACTCCTGACATCAAGTGATCTGCTTGCCTCCCAAAGTGCTGGGATTACAGATATGAGCCACCATGCCTGGCCCATTATGCCTTCTCACTGTACTTTGGAGGTCCTACTATCCCCGACATTAGTTTCTGTTGTTTAGATGGCACTGGCGTTATCCTGGGCTTTGCCATGGTGGAAGCAGAAGTACCTGTGAGGTATCAGGTGCCACAGTTCTGGCCACATGCCAGGGGTGTCACAGAGGGCCACAGAACCCAAGTCAAACCAAGGATGTGTATCCCAGGCTTCTCGTTGGATGTATTAGCAGAAGATCTCTTTCCACTGGAGTTCGCTGGAAGGGGTGGTGCATGTTTGGAACTGGTGGGGGATCCCACCTAGAAGAGAGCTTACCAAGGAATGTAGCCATCATAGAAGAAACTAGGGAAGAGAAACAGGGAGAAGAGAGAATAAGAAGAAAGAAGCAAGGGACCAGAATGAACCCCTGGGTCTAGCCATACCTGAAGCTAGTCAGTGCCTGGCTGCCAATAACTTTCTTTCTTTGCTTCAGTCAGTTTTCTGTTGTTTGCAAACCAAAAGAGGCCTGATTGCTACAACATTCCACAATGTTGATCTCAAGTCCCATTTCTTGTCCATTCTACCTCTGCAACTGACTCCCATAAGCCAGAGCTAGAGGCTGGGGAGGGGGTTTTAGGCTTGACAAGGGAGTATGTTTTTTGTTTGTTTTTTTTTTTTGAGACAGAGTCTTACTCTGTCGCCCAGACTGGAGTGCAGTGGTACAATCTCGTCTGACTACAGCATCCGCCTCCCAGGTTCAAGTGATTCTCGTGTCTCAGCCTCCCAAGTAGCTGGGATTACAGGCATGTGCCACCACACCCAGCTAATTTTTGTATATTTAGTAGAGACAGGGGTTCATCATATTGGTCGGGCTGGTCTCGAACCCCCGATCTCAGGTGATCCCCCTTGGCTCTTGGCTGGCTGCAATTCCTTACTGGCCAGAGGTCTTTGTTTCTTACCTGCATCTCTTCATAGGCTGCCTTGAATGTCCTCATGACCCCATGACATGGGGATTGGCTTCCCCCAAAGTTAGTGATCCAGGGGAGAGAGAATCCTCAAGATGGAAGTCGTCGTGTTTTAAAACTTAATCTTGAGAGTGACATACCATCACCTCTGCCATATGCAACTGGTCACAGAAACCAAGGCTGGTACAATGTGGGAAGGGATCACACCTTACAGGGTGTAACAGCAGGAGGTGGAGAACATTGGGTGCCATCTTAGAGGCTGGTCCCACAGTCAGGGAGAAAGACAGTAATCAAACATCACACTAACACATATGTCATTGCAAACTGAGCTATGTGCTCTCAAAATACAGCCCATGGTCCTGTGAGAGCATAAAACAAGGGGTCCAACTTAGACGTAGGTGGAAACCAGAGATGAAATTTTGACATCGCCTCTAAGGGATGAGTTGATGAGAGCGGAGGAAAGGAAAAAGGGCATCCTAGGCCATTGGTTCACAACCTTGGTTGCTCATTGGAGTCATCTGGGGAAATTTAAAGAGTACTGTTGGCCAGGCATGGTGGCTCACGCCTGTAATCCCAGCACTTTGGGAGGCTGAGGTGGGTGAATCACCTGAGGTCAGGAGTTCAAGACCAGCCTGGCCAAGATGCTGAAACCCCGTCTCTACTAAAAATACAAAAACTAGCTGGGTATGGTGGCACATGCCTGTAATCCCAGCTACTTGGGAGGCTGAGGCAGGAGAATCACTTGAACCCGGGAGGCGGAGGTTGCGGTGAGTCGAGATTGCACCATTGCACTCCAGCCTGGGCAACAAGAGCGAAACTCCATTTCAAAAAAAAAAAAAATACTGTTGCCCACACTGCCCCTCCAAAGACTCTGATCCAAATGGTCTGGGGTAAAGCCTGGGCATTAGGATTTTTTTAAGCTCCCAAGGCGATTCCAATATGCAACCATGTTAGAAAACAGCTGTTCTAGGATAGGGGACCACCGGCAGAAATGTCTGTTACCAGAGGGAGACTAACATGCTTGAGGAACTGAGGGCCAGGAGGGCTGGAGGGTAGAGAGTGCAGGAGAGTGACGTAGAGTGGGGACGAGAGGTGGGCAGATGGTGGACCTGATGATTCGCCTCAGAGGACATGTTAGGGAGGCTGGGCTTGGAGGGTACAAGGACGATGGGGGAGTGACATGATCCAATGGGCATTTCCAAAAGATGCCTCTAGCTCAGGTTCATGAACAGATTGGAGGGGAGCCCAAGGGTGGGGGTACCATTCTGGAGTGATAGAACCTTGGTCCCAATGGTGACAGGTGATGAGGACTTGGACTAAGGCAGTGACAGCAGGTGACAGCAATATGGTGGGCAGAGTCAAGAGTTCTATGTTGGCTGGGTGCAGTGGTTTATGCCTGTAATCCCAGCACTTTGGGAGGCTGCGGCGGACAGATCACAAGGTCAGGAGTTCGAACCAGCCTGGCCAACGTGGTGAAACCCCGTCTCTACTAAAAATACAAAAATTAGCCAGGAGTGGTGGCACGCACCTGTAGTCCCCAGCTATTGGGGAGGCTAAGGCAGAAGAATTAGTTGAACCTGGGAGGCGGAGGTTGCAGTGAGCCAAGATCATGCCACTGCACTCCAGCCTGGGGGACAGAGTGAGACTCTGTCTCAAAAAAAAAAAAAAAAAAAAAAAAAATTCAATGTTACCAATTCTTATGATCCAATCAAAACCTTTGATTTGACAGATGGGAAAGTGAGGTCAGAGAGATGACAGGGCTCATTCTAGATAATTCCATAATAGGATAAAGCAGAAGGAAAGAGAAACCAACTTGGCCCTAACAACCTGTGGTTTAAATGATAAACAAGACCAGAGGAGAAGAGAAAAGGAAATGAGGATGAGAGCATCAAGCAAAGATAAAAGAAGACACATCCAACGCACACACATACACACATGCTCGCATGCTCACAAATGAGAAGACCAAAAGGTCAGTGGCAAGTTGAAAAATAGATGGTGTAATTATAAAGCTGTCTGAAATGCCAGCCAGGGTCAGCCCTGTGACCCGTCCTTCCGTGCCTGGCAGGGACACTGGGGGAGGGCTGGGGAAAGCTGCCAACCTGCTTGACATTCAGCTTCTATGGCGGTGGGTGGAGGGAGCGTTCCATGCCATGCCTTGCCTCTGTTCTCCATGGCAGAATCTGGGACTTTCTCTCCAAGATAGCCGAAGCCTGTTGACAGCCTGTCCCAACTCTGTAGTCACGTGGAGAAAGGTTATTTCCAGCACCCCACTTTTAGCCACACATTAAACAGATGGGGTCCTTCCTTTTCCGTTGGTAATGATCCCCTGCCTCTAAAGAGGTGACTTTTTAGTGTCTTTCTTGAGAAAAGGAAATGGTGACTCACATCTCACCAGCCTGAAATAATTAGCTTCAGGCAAATGCATGTAGATATGGGTAAATACTTTAAAGTGAAGCCTTCTAATCAGTAGTCTCTACGTTTATCAGGAAACAAGCAGATGGTGTGAGGTTTTCTAAAAAACACAGAAATCAGAAACAAATAGTTCCATGACATCCTGGGTTAGACAGATCATTAATTGGGTACTAAATTCTACCGAAGGCTTAGGGAAGAATATATCATTCTGAAATGTTAGAGCTAGAAGGACCCTCTAAGAAAACGTAGTCTAGGGATGGCCAATAAATGACACTCTCACCATCACATTCCCCCTCATACCCACACCAGGCATTAATAATCTGTCACAGAACTACTGACCGCTGAGTCCTCCTAAAGACAGTATTCCAGGCATGCATTATCAATCACGGTTATCACCCAAGATCTGCATTGTCTTTATATAGTAAAATAAAATTTTAAAATTCAGTGCCTCAGTTACACTAGCCACCTTTCAAGTACTCAATAGCCACATGTGGCTATTGGATAGCACAGAATAGAACATTTCAATCATTGCAGAAAGTCCAGCTGGACAGCCCTAGAACCATATTTCCCAAATGGCAGTCATGTTTAATATATCATCTTCACACTTTTTGCCACATTGACTTGTTTTATTTATTTATTTATTTATTTATTTATTTATTTATTTTTATTTTTGAGACAGAGTCTCGCTCTGTTGCCAGGCTGGAGTGCAGTGGTGCAATCTCAGGTCACTACAACCTCCACCTCTCAGGCTCAAGAGATTCTCGTGCCCCACCCTCCCGAGTAGCTGGGATTACAGGCACGCGCCACCACACCCAGCTAATTTTTGTATTTTTAGTAGAGACGGGCTTTCACCATGTTGGCCAGGATGGTCTCAGATTCCTGACCTCAAGTGATCCGCCTGCCTTGGCCTCCCAAAATGCTGGGATTACAGGTGTGAGCCACCGCACCCGGCCACACATTGACTCTTTTTTACAAAAAAATTATCTAATAAGTAAATGTTTAAAATTATCAAAGGAAATGGAAAGCTAGTTTACTTTTTTGTTGTTGTTTTTTTTTTGAGACCGAATCTCACTCTATCACCCAGGCTGGAGTGCAGTGACACGATCTTGGCTCACTACAACATCTGCCTCCTGGGTTCAAGTAATTCTCATGCCTCAGCTTTCTAAGAAGCTGGGATTACAGGTGTGTGCCACCACACCTGGCTAATTTTTGTATTTTTAGTAGAGATGGGGTTTCATCATGTTGCCCAGGTTGGTCTCAAAGTCCTGACCTCAATGATCCACCCACCTCGGCCTCCCAAAGTGCTGGGATTACAGGCATGAGCCACCACCCCCAGCTAAGCCTTTCTTATTGATTTTAAAGTACCATGAGTTGCACACTCTCATGATTAGCACGGATTGGAACAACCATGAGAGGAAGAGGAGTTTGCTCAAGGTCAATAAACAAGAATGGTGAGAGGAAGGGGGATGGCATGTACACACACACAAACACACATACACACACACACATGCTCGCAGAGGCATTGCAAACAATGGCTATCGGGTCGGTTCAGGTCTAGACTTCTCCAAATTAGATAATGTCTGAGCCTCAGTTCCTTCATCTGTAAAATGGGGAAGGGTGGAACAATCTTGAAGGATCCCTGGAAGTCAGATTTCTCAACCTCAGCAATGTCAACACTTTGGGCTGTATCATTCCTTGCTCTAGGGGCTGTCCCATGAGCTGTAGGATCTTACCCTGGCCTCTATTCACTGGATGCCAGTAGCACTACCCCTCCCCTGGTTGTGACAACCAAAAATGTTTCCAAACATTGCCCAGTGTCCACTGAGGGGCAAATTCACCCCTGGTTGAGAACCACTGCTGAAAGGATGAGAGATGATGTAAGTAAAATAGTTCACGGTGCCTTGTACATAGTAAGTGTTCAATTAATCATCACTGTTGTTGTTGTTATCTGTATTCATATTTTCATTTGGAGCAGGGTCTATTGTCCCCACTTTACAGGTAAGGAAACAAAGCCAGAGCCAGGCTTTGAGCAGAGTTCTGAGTGTTTCCAGCATCTACCTTCCCACCGCACTTGAGGCAGCCCTGCCTAAGCTTGCATAATCTGGACTCCACTGTATACCCCACATCAGCTCCGAAGGACCCAGGTGGTCAGAAAAGAGGTTTTCTGCATTTGAACCGGTTTTCTGCACTTCCATCCAGCCAGTGCATCAGACCAGGCTGATGCAGAGAGCCTCCCTGGAGCTCTCAAGAAATTTCTCAGCAATGCCAGTGTTTGTCCCCCATCTTGAGGCTGACGATGATGCCAAGAAAAGCACAGCTTCTGACCCACAGGAGATGACGTACTGAAGTTTTCAAATTGCTTTATTGCCTTCAACTGCAATGAACTTATCTGACCTCTCAGTGCCCGTGAACAACGTCCCTCTTTCGATGAGCTCATTGGGGGCCAGGATGGTGACTTCCACAGTCAGGGCAGGGCACCGGGGCTGCACTGTGAGGCTGCCTCTTCTGTGTTGATGTTGACTTCCTGAGCTTTATTTGCTCATCCCACGAAATCCACATTGCAACACCCGGTCATATTCCCCCCCTCCACACTCATCCCTCTTCACTTGGTTTTGGACCTATTGCTCTACACTGATATTTTTGCCACAAGAAGCTCTTTGAGCAAAACAGGGCTAGTCTTTAAGTCAGGATGAGAAACACCATTCACTCCCTGCCGTCTTAGCAATTCACAATGCACAGTAGTTCACTAAAGGACCTAAGATGTTCCACAGTAAGGTAATTCATCTGACTGGGTTGTTTTGTTTTGTTTTGTCTTTTTGTTTTTGTTTTTTGAGACAGTCTTACTCTGTTGCCCAGGCTAGAGTGCAGTGGCGTGATCACAGCTCACCAAAGCCTCAACATCCTGGGCTCAGGGGTCCTCCTGCCTCAGCCTCCCAAGTAGCTGGGACTACAGGTGTGCGCCGCCACCTGCCTGGCTATTTTTTTGTATTTCTTGTAGACACGGGGTTTCACCATGTTGCCCAGGCTGGTCTCAAACTCCTGGGCTCAAGCAATCCTGCCGTCTCAGCCTTCTAAAGGGCTGGGATTACAGGTGTAAGCCACCACACCCAGCCCCCATCTAACTGTTTTAAAAACAACTTTTCCTAAGTCGATTTCATCACAAACTCTTTTCCACCATGGTGGCACAGATTGGCTAGCAGTTCATTCAATCCACTTCCTTATTCCAGACACCCCGATAGACAGTCTCCCTTGCAGTTCAATGCAGCCACACGATAGAGTTCTAGCAAGTGGGACAGGAGATGAAGTGACAGGCACCTCTTCCAGGCCTGCCTCGTACACACACCCCATACAGTGCTTCACTCGCTTTCCCTGTCTGCCAGCTGAGTAGAGTGGACCCATGGGAATGAGGAAGTCAGAGCCACAGATGGAAAGAGCTTGAACCCTCGAAGCACCGTGTGGAAGGCTGACTGCCACACACTTGCATGGAACTGTAATGTGTGCCATTGATATGGTGGGATGTTTTATTACTGCAGCTGCCATTACTCGTCCTGACTACTTGCGATGAACTGTTTGTTCCCCCCAGCCCAAATTCATATATTAAAGCCCTAACCCCAATGTGGCTATATTTGGAGATGGAGCCTCTAAGAAAGTAATTAAGATTAATTGAGGTCAAAAGGGTGGGGCCCTGATCTGATAGGATTTGTGTCCTTATAAGAAGAGACACCAGGTTGGGCTTGGTGGCTCACACCTGAAATCCAAGCACTTTGGGAGGCTGAGGTGGGCAGATCAAGAGGTCAGGAGTTTGAGACCAGCCTGGCCAGCATGGCAAAACCCCATCTCTACTAAAAATACAAAAATGAGCCAGGTGTGATAGCAGGTGCCTGTAATCCCAAGCTACTCAGGAAGCTGAGGCAGGAGAATTGCTTGAACCCAGGAGGTGGAGGCTGCAGTGAGCTGAGATCATGCCACTGCACTACAGCCTGGGCAACAGCAAGATTCCATCTCAAAAAAAAAAAAAAAGAGAGAGAAGTGATGACACCAGGTTGGGCTTGGTGGCTCATGCCTGAAATCCAAGCACTTTGGGAGGCCAAGGCAGGAGGATCTTTTGAGGCCAAAAGTTCCAGACCAGTCTGGGCAGCACAGCAAGATCTCATCTCTACAAAAGAAGAAAAAAAATTAATTAACTGGACATGGTGGCATGCACCTGTAGTCCTAGCTACTCTGGAGCTTGAGGCAGGAGGATCACTTGAGCCCAGGAGGTTGAGGCTGCAGTGAACTATGGTTGTATCACAATCTTGGTGCAACAGATTGCACCAATCTGCTGCTCCAGCCGGGGCAACAGAGCAATACTCTGTGTCTAAAAAGATTTTTAAAAAGCAGAGACACCAGAGTGTCTGCTCACTCTCTTTGTCTGCACGTGCACCAAGGAAAGTCCAGGAGAGGACATAGCAAGAAAGCAGCCATCTGCAAGCCAGGAAGAGATTAAGTCACAGAAAGTGAATTGGCCAGCACCTTGACCTTGGACTTCCAGCCTCCAGAACTGCAAGAAAAAAAAAATCTGCTGCGTAAGCCACTTAGTCTACGATGTTGTGTCATGGCGGTCTGAGCAACAAATGCATTACTACAACATGTGACACACAAAAAAATCAGTGTGATCAGTGTTTTCCAGCTCACACTGTGAGAATGTGTGCCTTACACAAATAGTTCCCTTCAAAGTGAACATTCAGTGGTATTTGGACAGGCCCCACAGGTAAATGTTCACCGAGATCCACACGGTGTCCAAAATGTAGCTGCGCTATAGCTCCCTCAAGTATTGTATTATTTAAATGGGAATATTATTCAGCCTTTAAAAAGGACTTCCTACCCTCTGTGGAAGGGTACCTGGAGGACATTATGCCAAGTGAAATGAGCCAGACACAGAAACAAAAACACCGCATGATCTCACGTATATGTGGAATTTTAGAAAGATAAATACATACAAACAGAGTAAAATAGTGGTAGCCAGGGGTGGGGAAGTGGGGAGATGGTGGCCAAAGAATGTAAAGTTGGAGTTATGTGGGATGAATATGTGTATATTCATACAGTAATTTTTTTTTTTGAGATGAATTTTCGCTCTTGTTGCCCAAGCTGAAGTGCAATGGCATGATCTCGGCTCACTGCAACCTCCACCTCCCCAGTTCAAGCGATTGTCCTGCCTCAGCCTCCTGAGTAGCTGGGACTACAGGCACCCGCCACCATGCCTGGATTATTATTATTATTATTGTTATTGTTATTTTTAGTAGAAATGAGGTTTT
Source organism: Homo sapiens (assembly GCF_000001405.40). Lineage (NCBI taxonomy): Eukaryota > Metazoa > Chordata > Mammalia > Primates > Hominidae > Homo > Homo sapiens. The sequence continues at coordinate 12,641,312 of NC_000016.10, read as the reverse complement.
ACCATGTTGGCCAGGCTGGTCTAGAACTCCTGACCTCAAGTGCTCCACCCGCCTTGGCCTCCCAAAGTGCTGGGATCGCAAGCATGAGCCACTGAGCCTGACCTGATACACTATTATAATGATAGTCCTCATGTGGTATATTACACCTCAATTACCTCTTGAGGTGTAATACACCACATGAGGACTATCATAATAATACTGTAATAGGTACTGGAAATCTGCTAAGAGGGTAGATTTCAAGCACTGCCACCAAAATATATGCAACAAGTGGTGGAAAGCTAACTCAAATCAGCTTAAACCAAAACCAGAAAACTGTATTGGCTCATGGGATGCAAAATGGGCGGTTCACCCAGGTCACGGGAAGGGGAGGGAGAGAGAGTGTGGTCTCAAGGATCTCAGTGTCTCCAAGTCATCCACCTTGTTCCTTTTCGCTATGCCTTCACTCCCTCATACTACAGACTCTTATTTCCATGCACCAGGAAACACAGGTGCTTCCATGCGCCAGGTTCCCATCTTATGATTTCTGTCGCCAACCACAAGAGAATGAATGACTTATTCCTGGCTAGAAGAATCCTCAGGGAAAACCCAGATTGGCTGGCTTAGGTCAAGTGCCTAATTTTGACCAATCAGCTATAGGTAGGGCAGGGCAGGGTAACTTCCAGTAACACAGACAGGGCTGTGGGGGTTCCATTCCTGTGATTGGAGACCTGGCCCCCATGAAGTGTCTCATTCTGAGCTGGCTGTCCTTTGAAGGGGCATGCGCTACATGTGTCCTGAGCACCATGGCTGTTTGGGAAGGCACGTACTGATACCTGTGTTAGTTTGCTGTTGCTGCTGTGAGAACTTACCATAAAATGGGCAGCTTAAAACAACAGAAACTGGGCCGGGCGCGGTGGCTCATGCCTGTAATCCCAGCACTTTGGGAGGCCCAGGAGGGTGGATCACCTGAGGTTGGGAGTTTGAGATCAGCCTGACCAACATGGAGGAACCCCGTCTCTACTAAAAATACAAAATTAGCAGAGTGTGGTGGCGCATGCCTGTAATCCCAGCTACTCAGGAGGCTGAGGCAGGAGAATTGCTTGAATCTGGGAAGTGGAGGTTGTGGTGAGCCGAGATCGCACAATTGCACTCCGGTCTGGCCAACAAGAGCAAAACTCTGTCTCAAAACAAACAAACAAAAAAAAAATAGAAATTTATTTTCTCACAGTTCTGGAGGCCAGAAATGTGAAATCAAGGTGTGGGAAGGGTTTGGAAGGGTTCCTTTCTTCTAGAGGGTCCGAGGGAGAATCTGTTCCATGCCTCTCTCCCAGCTGTTGGTGGTTGAAGCAATCTTTGGTGTTCCTCAGCTTGTAAACTATCACTCCAGTCTCTGCCTCCGTCTACACGTGAGTTCACATGGCTTTCTCCCCCGTGACTGTGTATCTTAAATTTCCCAGTGTTTTCTCTTATAAGGACAATAGATATTGGATTTAGGACCCACTTGGATAATCCAGGATGCTTCCATCTTGAGATCCTTAACTTAATTGCATCTGCAAAGACTGTATTTCCAAATAAGAGTCCATTCCCAGGTACGTGAGGTTAGGAAGTGGACATATCTTTTTAGGGAACACTCGTTAGTGCATACATGAGAGTACCAGCTCTATTCCTTCAGGGACATATTGGATAATTGTACTTTTATATAAAAAGGATTGAAAAGTGGCCAGGGCTGTTTTTATTTTTTCTCTCTCATTTTTCAAGGTAACATTTGCTGACCTAAATAAGACATTCTACATCACTTAAGTGCTTTGGAAATTATAGATTTAATGAAGAAAAGACAAGCGTTTGGGGAAAAGCTTCAATGTCATCTTCTTCAGGAAGTCCTTTTTTGGACACCCCTTTTGCTCTGTTTATTGAAATTTATTGTTTTTCTGGAGGTTCCCAGGGTGGACACAGCCACCCAGACCCTCCTGTTTGAAGATTACCTGCTCCACCAATGAGCAGGCTACTTGACTTTCTAGCCATAGCTGATTGGTCAAGAAGTAAACACGTGGTCCAGCCTGGGCCAACCAGATTGTCTTTCCTTGGAGGAGTCCTGTTGCTATCTCGGCTGGTCTCCTCCATGGAGATGGTATGTATCAGTCATGGAGATGGTATGTGTCTGAGTCAAGGATCGTCATTTTCTGCCCTGTGCTCTGAAGACAGATTGACGATGAAGAAAGAGGCAGATGCACAAAAGGAGGCAATGATGAAAGAAGGAAAGACAGGCCTGGCTTTGATGCAGAAAATACTTTGTCCTACTTCCTATTTTTCCTGGGGGAGGGCTAGCTACATTGTCTGCACTTTGATGACAGGCATTACATGAGGCCCCTGGATCCCTATGTCAAATTTCCTCCATTTAAAAAAATTGCTTAAAGTAGCCTTGAAAGAGTGTGTTAACTGTCACCAGAGAACCCCAGAGAATTCTCTTGTCTGTTAGCCAATTAACTTCCTTTACCTTCCAGTGCACTGCTCCACTTTTCTCTGGACCTTCATTTCCTCATGTATAAAATACGAATAATAATAGCTACCTCAGAGGATTGTAATAAAATTAAATAAGATGATAAATCTGGGACAGTTTTTTTCTGGGATTGTTTTTTAAAAACTATTAATATTATATATTACCTCTTTTCTGTTTGACTGTGAATTACTTAACGGCAAAAACCATGTCACTGTTTTTTTCTTTTTTAGAGACAGGTCTTGGTCTGTCACCTAGGCTGGAGTGCAGTGGTGCAATCATATCTTACTTCAGCCTCAAACTCCTGGGCTCAAGAGAGCCTCCTCCCTTAGCCTCCTGAGTAGCTGGGACTACAGGATGTGCCACCACACCTGGCTAATTTTTAAAAAAAAGAGTTTTGTAGAGACAAGGGTCTTATGATATTGCCCAGGCTGGTCTCAAACTCCTGGGCTCAAGGGGTCCTCCTACCTAGGCCTCCCAAAGTGCTAGGATTACAGGCAGAAGCCATCTTGCCCAGCCGTTTAAAAAAAAAAATTTGGCCGGGTGCGGTGGCTCACACCTGTAATCCCAGCACTTTGGGAGGCTGAGGCAGGAGGATCACTTGAGGTCAGGAGTTCAAAACCAGCCTGGCCAACATGGTGAAACCCAATGTTTTCTTTCATTTTGTCTCCACAAAAAAATACAAAAATTAGCCAGGCATGGTGGCGGGCACCTGTAATCTCAGCTACTCAGGAGGCTGAGTCACGAGAATGGCTTGAACCCCGGGGGGTAGAAGCTGCAGTGAGCGGAGGTCATGCCATTGCACTCTAGCCTGGGTGACAGAGCAAGACTTTGTCTCAATAATAAATAAATAAATAAATAATTTTTTAAATCTCCAGCTCCTAGCAGGGGATTTGGCACCTACTAGCGTGCCTGATAAAGGTTTGTTCATGAAATAAATAATTGATATTTGATGAATTCTTCCTACAAATGACCTCATTTAATTCTTACAGCCCCTGGAGAGAGAGATATTATTAACTCTATCTTACCAATGAGGAAACAAGGGCTCACAAAAACTGGGTACAGTTCTCAAGGCTGCACAGTAAGTGGTTGAAGCGGGGTTTTTCTTATTATTATTTTTAATTTGAGATGGATTCTCACTCTGTCGTCCAGGCTGGAGTGCAATGGCATGATCTCGGCTCACTGCAACCTCCGCCTCCCAGGTTTAAGCGATTCTCCTGCGTCAGCTCCCGAGTATCTGGGATTACAAGCGTATGCCACCAAGCCCGGCTAGTTTTTGTACTTTTTTGGTAGAGATGGGGTTTCACCATGTTGGCCAGGCTGGTCTCGAACTCCTGACCTCAGGTGATCCGCCTGCCTCAGACTCCCAAAGTGCTGGGATTACAGGCGTGAGCCACCGCGCCTGGCCTAAAGCAGGTCTCCAAGGCACTTCTCTCTGCCCTCTGAGCCTACACTCATGACCATCACATTAGACTGGACACAGGTGGGCTTCAAGGCACGGTAGCCACTCCATGAACCTGGGAGGAGGCATTTACAGCACAGAAAGGGCAGGTGGGCTGCCTGGAAGCTGGAGGCTGAACACTCTGCTGCCCTGTATCTGTCATAGCAAGAAGCCTAGTGAGCTGGGAGCTGATCTGGGAACCCGCGGTCTGAACTCCAGCTGCCCAGGCTGCAGGGCCGAGGCTCCACATTCCACATGCTCAGCATGCTAGCCTCCCGCTGTGGCGGGACCGGTGACAGATGCACTCCGAGAACCAGCAGACACCTCTGTGCTCGCCCACTTTAATTAGGTGAAGGTGTCAAGACCCATTAGGATCACCTAGAAATACGACGCCGGGCCTGTGCTCCACCCACACATGCTCCAAATCACTGCCTTCCCGCTGAAGCTACTGTTTCAGTAGCATCTCTTTATTTGTAGTTAGTTCTTAAAAAGTTTTTAAAAATCCTCCCACCTCAGCCTCCTGAATAGATAATACAACCACATGGTAAAATTTTCAAACAGCACCGGAAGATACATTATAAAAATCAGCTGGACACAGTAGCTTAAGCCGGTAATCCCAGCACTTTGAAAGGCCGAGGTGGGAGGATCCGTTGAGCCTCGGAGTTCGAGACTAGCCCAGAGAAACATGGAGAATCCTCATCTCTATAAAAAATAAAAAATTAGCTGGGCAAGGTGGTGCACGCCTATAGTCCCACCTACTTAAGAGGCTGAAGTGGGAGGATTACTTGAGCCTCAAAGCTGGAGGCTGCAGTGAGCCATGATAGTGCCATCGCACTGCAGCCTGCCAGGGTGACAGAGCAAGACCCTATCTCAAAAATAAATACAGGAATAAATAAATAAATAATCAAATCTCACTTTTATCACTGACCTGCAACGCCACCTCCCCACAAGTCATGACTATTTTAACTGTCCCTTGTGTATCCTTCCATAAGTGGTTTTTTTTTTTTTTTTTTTTTTGAGATGGAGTCTCGCTCTGTTGCCCAGGCTGGAGTGCAGTGGCACGATCTCAGCTCACTACAGCCTCAAATTCCCAGGCTCAAGTTCAAGTGATCCTCCTGCCTCAGCCTCCCAAGTAACTGGGCCCGCAGGCACACACCACCATCATGCCCAGCTAATTATTTTTATTTTTGTAGAGACAGGGTCTCTATGAAAATATGAATACTCATGTCTAGGAATACGTATATCTAATTTTTTTAAAAAGGCACACAATTATTTTAATAAGATATTTGGAAGTGGCTCAAAAGCACAAAGAATGCTACATTCTTTCCATGGTGTTTATTACATCATTTCCGTATTGTGTGGATGGATGTCTATGCTGTATGTGGTCATTCGTTATCACAAACAATACCTCAGTGAGCTCTTTACATCCTCAGTCCTTGCTTTATGTGCAGTATATTCACAGAAAAACAATTCCTTGCAGTAGAATTGTTGGATCAAAGTCTAAGCTTTTTTCTTTTTGTTTGTTTGTTTGTTTGTTGTTTTTTTTGAGACAGGATCTTGCTCTATTGCATGGGCTAGAGTGCAGTGGTGTGATCATAGTTCACTGCAGCCTCCAACTCCTGGGCTCAAGGAGTCCTCCCACCTCAGCCTCCCAAATAGTTGGGACTACAGGTGGGTGCCACTACACCTGGCTAATCTTTTATTTTTTTTTGTAGAGAAGGGGTCTCGCTGTGTTCCCCAGCTGGATGTGTATTTTTTTTTTTTTTTGAGATAGAGTCTCGCTCTGTCATCCAGGCTGGAGTGCAATGGCGCGATCTCAGCTCACTGCAACTTCCTCTTCCCAGGTTCAAGCAGTTACCCTGCCTCAGCCTCCCAAGTAGCTAGGATTACAGGCGCCCACCACCACGCCCGCCTAATTTTTGGATTTTTAGTAGAGACGGGGTTTCACTGCCAGGCTGATCTTGAACTCCTGACCTCAGATGGTCCACCCACCTCAGCCTCTCAAAGTGCTGGGATTACAGGCATGAGCCACCGCGCCTGGCCTGGATGTGTATTTTAAATTTGACTAGATATTACCATCCAGTGTAATGTCACCAATTCATGATTTCCTAAAAACGTGTGAGTCTCTAGGACAGATTCCACTTCACTCTGTTTCCTGATTTTTGGGTCCAATTTGTCTCATGGAGATTCCACAAACGTTCCCCTCACTCCAGCCAAGCGCCCGACTCTAGGCAAATCCTCTCACACAAGTTATAAAGCAGAATTATGAGTCTGGCTGGTAAAAGATCTTTTAAAAAATTATTTGCATAATATAAATAATGCATGCTCATATAAGTAATTGACAAGAGCTTCCAGTGGTGAAGGGAAATGTTTAGGAAATAATATTAAATGACAAAGGCAGAATGCAAAGAGTGGTTCTTAATCTTGAGTGGGTATACCAGCACACCTGAGAACTATTGGAAAATATGGATGCTGAGATCCCCAGCCCTGGGGATTCTGTTCAGTAGGCTTGGGATAGAAAGAGCAAGGGCAAAAGTCAGTATTTTTATAAGCTTGCCGTGAGAGGCTACGTACCCACAAAATGTTATGTATTCACTATAATCTCAAATGTGATCAAAGAACAAAAATCGAGGAACCCGTCCAAGAGTAAACAATGCTTTACTGGGCTTGGTGATTCTGTAGTGAGATTTTTCCTCTGGGTTTTGCTATGGTTTTCCAAATTTTCCTGCTGAGAAATGTTGATGTTCAGACAATAAAAGGATGTTCTAAAAATGTGGAGGCTCCCTCCCTCTCTCCTTTCCTTTTTTTTTTTTCCTTTCCTTCCTTCCCTCTTCCCTCTTTCCCATCTTTCTTTCATTTTTGTCTTTTCTTTTCCTTTTTATACAGAGTTTCACTCTGTCGCCCAGGCTGGAGTGCAGTGGTGTGATCTCGGCTCACAGCAACCTCTGCCTCCTGGATTTAAGCGATTCTCCTGCCTCAGCCTCCCAAGTAGCTGGGACTACAGGCATGTGCTACTATGCCCGGCTAATTTTCGTATTTTTAGTAGAGATGGGGTTTCACCATGTTGGCCAGGCTAGTCTCAAACTCCTGACCTCAGGTGATCTGCCTACCTCAACCTCCCAAAGGGCTGGGATTACAGGTGTGAGCCACCACACCCAGCCCATCGTTTCTAGTTCAGTCCAGACTGGAGACGAAAGAGACAGGAAGATTGATGAGAGCATGCGATCCTGAGCTGTGTCCCTTTGCTCTAAAGAGCATCACTGGGACAATTATCAAAACTTGAATAAGGTCTCCAGGTGAGAGGTATATGGAAGTTCTTTGTTCTAATATCACAGTTTTTCTGTAAGTTGGAAGCTTCAAGGCTTTATGGAAGCATCTCACCATCACTTTGCTAAGAGTTTTCTGGTTGGGCACTGTCGCTCACGCCTGTAATCCCAGCCCTATGGGAGGCCAAGGTGGGAGAATCACTTGAGGTTAGGAGTTTGAGACCAGCCTGAGCAACACAGGAAGACTCCATCTCTACCAAAAATACAAAAATTAGCTGGATGTGGTGGCATGCACCTGTAGTTCCAGTTACTCAAGAGGCTGAGGTGGGAGGATGGCTTGAGCCCGGGAGGTGGAGGTTGCTGTGAGCTCCCAAGTAGCTGGGATTACAGGCGTGCACCACCATGCCTGGCTAGTTTTTGTATTTTTTAGTGGAGATGGGGTTTCACCATGTTGGCCATGCTGGTCTCGAACTATTGACCTCAAGTGATCCACCCACCTCAGCCTCCCAAACTGCTGAGATTCCAGGCATGAGCCACCACGCCCAGCTTGGGTGACAGAGTGAGACACTGTCTCAAAAAAAAAAGAAAAGAAGAGAAAAGAAATTGACGTTGTCATCGTATTACGATCTAATCCACGGATTAATTTTCCCAAGAATGTATCTTATATCAAAATTTTAAGAATTTTTCTGGCTCAGGATTCCATCCAGGATCATCCATTGCATTTAGTGGTCATGTGCCTTTAATCTCCTTTCACCTAGAATGTTCCTCAGCCTTTCACGACATTGAAGGTTTTGAAGAGCGCAAGCCCATTATTAGGTACATGTCCCTCGATGCTGTTTGCCTGGCATGTTCTCGTTATTCAGTTCAGGTTTTGCATCTTTGGCAAGATGATCACAGGCTGATTTTGTTTTGCCTTCGCATGCCAGGTGAAGCCCATGATGTCGGTTTGCCTTGTTTTGATGTTGTTAACTTTGATTACTCAATTAACAGTACTGCCAGATTTCTCCAATGTAAAGTTGGTACTCGTTTCTTGGTAATCGACAAGTAATATGCAGGGAGATATTTTGAGATCATGTAAATACCCTGTTTCTCATTAAACTTCCATCCTTTAATTTTTGCCTCCATCAATGATTCTCCACTGGAAAAAAAGTATTCTTAGGATGGTTGCAAAGTGTTTCTGCATTCTTGAAGATTTAAAGCAAGCATGTATGAAAGGACCTTTGACATACTGGCTTTATTTCAAGGAGGATATCTCAAGGAAACAATATGAGATGTAAAGAAAGATTTAGATATAAAGAATTTCATTGCAACAGTGCTTATAAGAGTAAAACTTGGGAATAACCTAAGTGAAGCAATACGGTAAATTGATATCAACAAATACGAAGTAACCTTTAAAACAATGTTTTTGAAGAGATTTCCACCACGTAATGCTTAGTAAGGTGGTAAGTAATGGCAAGATATTAAACCACATTTGGCTAAATGCAATGTGAGATGCTGGATTGGATGGTGGAACAGAAAAAGGACATCAGTGGAAAAGCTGATAAAATTCAAATAAAGCCCATAGTTTGGTTAATAGTAATGTGCCAATATTAATTTCTTGTGTTTTATTTAATAAATATACCATAGGCATGTAAGATATTAATATTCAGGGGACTGAGAGATAAAGAATTGTCTCTACTATCTTTGTAAGTTTTCTGTAAACGTAGAATTATTCCAAAATAAAAATGTCATTAAAAACTTAACCTGGAAGTGTTGAGTGTTGGAAATGTTCATTATCTTTTTTTTTTTTTTTTTTTTTTTTTTTCGAGATGGAGTCTCGCTGTGTCTCCCAGGCTGGAGTGAATTAGTGCGATCTTGGCTCACTGCAACCTCTGCCTCCGAGGTTCAAGCAATTTTTCTACCTCAGCCTCCCGATTAGCTGGGATTACAGGCACCTGCCACCACACCGGCTAATTTATGTACTTGTAGTAGAGACAGGGTTTCACCATTTTGGCCAGGCTGATCTCAAACTCCTGAGCTCAAGTGATCCGCATGCCTCAGCCTCCCAAAGTGCTGGGATTACAGGTGTAAGCCACTGCACGCGGCCATGTTCATTATGTTGACTGTCATGGGTGTATACAAGTGTGAAAACATATTCTATTATACAGATGAAATATGTGCTGTTTAATTATGTCAATTATCCCTTTTAAGTCAATTATAGCTGAATAGGTGTTTTCTTAAAAAAGGAGAAAAATGCTGTATTTGGTAAGCTCCTAATTATGCTAAAGTATATGCATAGGAAATAAAAACCAGCTGAAAAAATATCAGTGTTAATGGATGCTGGTGTCTGTGGCTAGTAGGATTACAGGTGATTCTAATTCTTATTTTTTTGTTTTTATAGAGACAGAGTTTCTCTCTGCCAGTCAGGCTGGAGTGCAGTAGTACAATCATAGCTCACTACAGCCTTGAAGTCCTGGGCTCAAGTCATCCTCCTGCCCCAGCCTCCAGAGTAGCCGAGACTGCAGGTGCATGCCACCACACCTGACTAATTTTTTTATTTTTTATTTTTTTGTAGTGATGGGGTTTCACTATGTTGCCTGGGCTGGTGTTAAACTCCTGGTCTCGAGGGATCCGCTCACCTCAGCCTCAAACTGGGATTATAGTCGTGAGCTACCACACCTGGCCACTATCATTTTTATTTTTACAATTGGATGTAGTTTTCAAATTCTGCATAATAGGCATGCAAGACTTGAATACAGACGGGAGCCACTGTGTTCAAACAGCCTGATGTGCGATAATAAACCGTTGCTTCCGTGTACGTAATGTGTCTGCCTCAAGGTTGGAAGTGAGAACTGAGATCCTCCCTTGGCTTGTTAAGACAATGAGATAAAACACAAAGAAAGAACACCCCTCATAGATGAGACCTCTCTCATCTCCTGGTAATAAAGAGCTTGGAAGTAGACACACCAAGACCTGGATCCAGGAGGAGGAGGCCTCTGTGTGTGTCACGGTGGGAGGAGACGGTATTCGATGCTCGTGAAAATGCAGAGTCCCAGGCCCCACCAGCAGCAGCGCTGGCTCTGGGGTGGGGCCAGGGAATGTTTCTTAACCACCCTGGGTAAAGCCAACACAGGTGGTGGAGATCCAGGCTCTGTCCTGGGACCCAAGTTTGCCACGGACTTGCACAAGCCTGGGGCAGGTGTGGATCGTATTAACCAGCCCCTTCTAAATCTTCCAGGTTAAGGCCCAGCTGCACCTCCCTGGATTCCCCACAGCCCCAAGAGTAGGTTCCTTGGAAGTCAGAGAGGTAAATAGTCCCTTTCTCCCTCTCCCCGCAGACCTCAGACAAGCTGTGTGCATTTCTCCGGTGACCCAGCCCTGGAGCAGGCTTCTGAGCTGCCACTCATTCGGGGGACTCAGGGAGTGTTTAAGCACCCTGGGTGAAGCCGACACAGGTGGTGGAGATCCAGGCTCTGCCCTGGGACCCGAGTTTGTCACGGGCTTGCAGAAGCCTGGAACAGGTGTAGATTGTATTAACCAGCCCCTTATAAATACTGCAGGCCCATGCCCCGTCGTTTCTCGCTGGATTATCCACGGCTTCGGTAGTACGTTCCTGTAAGTCAGAGTGGTAAGTAGTTATCTTTCTCTTTCCTGCAGGTTTTAGGTAAGCTGTGTCCATTTGTCTGCGTGACCCGGTCATGGAGTAGGCTCCTGAACTGCCAGTCATTAGGGGGACTCAGTTGGCCACTGAAGTTCAGGAGGGAGGAGCGAGGGGATTGCTTGAGAGAAGCTTGGTGTGGTAGGTAGAGGCAGAAAGTCTGAGGGAATTAAGGCTAGGGGGAGGCTGGATGGGCTTGGTCATAGTACAGCAGGGACGGACAGAAATCGGCAGTAGGGGCCCAAGGAAGCCTTTTTTCTTCTTTTTTTCTTTTTTTAAGGCGGAGTTTTACTCTGTCATCCAGCCTGGACTGCAGTGGTGCAATCTTGGCTCACTGCAATCTCTGCCTCCTGAGTTCACACCGTACTCCTACCTCAGTCTCCGGAGTAGTTGGGACCACGGGTGCCCGCCACCATGCCCGGCTAATTTTTTTGTTTTTTTAGTAGAAAGTGTTTCACTGTGTTTGCTGGGATGGTCTATTTCCTAATCTCGTGATCCACCCGCCTTGGCTTCCCAAAGTGCTGGGGTTAGAGGTGTGAGCTACTACGCCTGGCCAAGAGGCCCTTTTTTTGTTCAGATAGTCATGCTGTATCACCCAGGTAGGAGTGCAGTGGTGTGATCTCAGTGTCTGCTGGTTGCAACCTCCGCCTCGCGGGTTCAAGCGATTCTCCTCCTTCGGTCTCCCGAGTAGCTGGGATTACAGGTGCCCATCACCACGCCTGGCTAGTTCTTAGATTTTTAGTAGAGATGGGGTTTTGCCATATTGGTCAGGTTGATTTCAGTTGCTCCACCTGCCTCGGCTTTCTAAAGTGCTGGGATTACAGGTGTGAGCCACAGTGCCCAGCCCTGGGAGAAGCTTTCTTAAAAGTGGGGGCTACTCATTCTGAGCACTGTTCTGGGAGACGGTGGGCGTGCAGAAAGAGCGGCAACCCCGTTACTCCTCCCCGCTGCAGGCAATGATTTAACTAGAAGGCAGCTCCAGAGACCGCTGTATTAGGGGAGTGCCCACTGCTTCCCGGGTCATGATTCATCCCGAAGGACCCAAGAGTCTAAGTCTGAGCTCTGTCAGCCTCTGTACTTTTGCCAGCTCCCCTTGAGCAGGTCTCCCAAAGTGCTGAGATTCCAGGCATGAACCACCATGCCCAGCTTGGGTGACAGAGTGAGACACTGTCTTTAAAAAAAAAAAAAAAAAAAGACGTTGATATGGTACTATGATCTAATATACGGATCAATTTGCCCAAAAATGTATCTTACATCATAATTTTTAGGAATCTTTCTGGCTCAGGATTCCATCCAGGATCATGCTTTGCATTTAGTGGTCAGGTCCCTTTAATCTCTTTTCACCTAGAATGTTCCTCAGACTTTCACGACATTGAAGGTTTCGAAGAGTGCAAGCCCATTATTAGGTACATGTCCCTCGATGCTGTTTGCTTGGCATGTTGTCGTTATTCAGTTCAGGTTTTGCATCTTTGGCAAGATGATCACAGGCTGATCGTTTTTTGCCTTAGCATGCCAGGTGAAGCCCATGATGTTGATTGGCCTTGTTCTGACATTAACTGTTCTGCCAGTTTTCTCCAATGTAAAGTTGGTACTCATTTCTTGGTAGTTGACAAGTAATATGCAGGGAGATATTTTGAGATCATGTAAATATCCTGTTTATCATTAAACTTCCATCCTTTAATTTTTGCTTCCATGAATGATTTTTCACTAGAAAAGTATTCTTGGGATGGTTGCCAAGTGTTTCTGCATTCTTTAAGATTTAAAGCAAGCATTATCAAAGGACGTTTGACCTGGCTTTATTTCAAGGAGGAGATACCAAGGAAACAATGAGATATAAAGAAAGACGTAGATACAAAGAATTTCATAGCAGCAGTGCTTATAAGAGCAAAACTTGGGAATAATCTCCAAGTTAAGCAATAAAGTGAATTGATATCAAGAAAAATGAAGCAACCTTTAAAACAATGTTTTTGAAGAGATTTCCACCACACAATGCTTAGTAATGTGGTAATGGCAAGATATTAAACCGTATTTGGGTAAATACAGTGTGAGATGTTGGATTGGATGGTGGAACCGAAAAAGGATGTAAGTGGAAAAGCTGATAAAATTCAAAAAAGCCCATAGTTTGGTTAATAGTAATGTGCCAATATTTCTTGGGCTTTAATAAATATAAGCATGTAAGATTTTAATATTCAGGCGACTGAAATAAAGAATTGTCTCTACTATGTAAGTTTTCTGTAAACTTAAAATTATTTCAAAATTCATTAAAAACTTAGTGTTGGAAATGTTCATTATCTTTTTTTAGATGGAGTCTCGTTGTCTCCCAGGCTGGAGTGCATTGGTGTGATCTTGGCTCACTGCAACCTCTGCTTGGCTCCCAGGTTCAAGCAATTCTACCTCAGCCTCCCGAGTAGCTGGGATTAGAGGTACCTGCCACCACCCAGCTAACTTATCTACTTGTGGAGACGGGGTTTAACCATGTTGGCCAGGCTGATCTCGAATTCCTGAGCTCAAGTGATCTGTCTCCCTCAGCCTCCCAAAGTGCTGGGATTACAGGTGTGAGCCACTGTACCTGGCAATGTTCATTTTCTTGTCATGTGTGTACACAAGTGTGAAAAGATTCTATTATACAGATGAAACATGTGCTGTTTAATTGTCAATTATCCCTTTTAAGTCAATAACACTCTAATAGGGTTTTTAAAAAAATGCTGTATTTGGTAAGCTCCTAATTATGCTAAAGATATGCATAGGAAATAGAAACTGGATAAAAAAAGTGTTAATGGATGCTGTTGTCTGTGGCTAGTAGAATTACTGGTGACTGTAATTTTTATTTTAGTAGGGACAGCTTATCTCTGCCAGTCAGGCTGGAATGTAGTGGTACAATCATAGCTCACTACAGCCTTGAAGTCCTGGGTTTGAGTCATCTTCCTGCCCCAGCCTCCAGAGCCGCTGAGACTACAGGTGCATGCCACCACACCTGACTAATTTTATTTTTTGGAGAGATGGGGTTTTATGTTGCCGAGGCTGGTCTCAAACTCCTGGTCTCAAGCAATCCTCTCACCTCAGCCTGAAAGTGGGATTACAGTCGAGAGCCACCACACCTGGCCACTATCATCTTTATTTTTATAATTGGCTGTAGTTTTCCAATCCCCATAATGGGCATGTAAGACTTGAGTACAGAGGGGAGCTGCTGTGTTCAAATGGCTTGATGTGCGATGATAAAGCATTGGTCCCTGTACGAATGTCTGCCTCATGGTTGGAAGTGAGGACCGAGATCCTCCCTTGGCTTAAGACAATAGGATAAAACACAAAACCTGTCACAGCTGAGAGCTCTCTAAAGTAATAGAGCTTGGAAGTAGACACACCAAGACGTGGATCTAGGAGGGTGGAGGTGGTCTCTGTCAGGGTGGGAGATGATATTCGATGCCCATGAAAATGTAGGGTCCCAGGTCCTACCAGCAGCAGCGCTGGTTCTGGGGTGGGACCAGGGAGTGTTAAGCACCCTGGGTGAAGCTAACGCAGGTGGTGGGAGACCCAGGCTCTGTCTTGGGACCTGAGTTTGCCATGGGCTTGTACAAGCTTGGAGCAGGTGTGGATCGTATTAACCAGTCCCTTAGTAATTTTCCAGGCTCAGGCCCAGCTGTACCTCCTTAGATCTGCCACAGCCCCAGGAGAACGTTCCTAGAAGTTAGAGGTAAGTGGTCCCTTTTTCCCGTTCCCACACACCTCAGACAAACTGTCCATTTCACTGGTGACCCAGCCCTGGAGCAGGACCCTGAGCTGCCACTCATTCGGGGGACTCACTTGGCCACTGAAGTTCAGGAGGAGGAGTGAGGGGGCTGCTTGAGAAAAGCTTGGTGTGGCAGGATGAGGCAGAGGCGGAGTGTCTAAGGGGATGAGGGCCAGGGGGAAGCTGGATGGTCCTGGTCACAGTGCAGCAGGGACGAACAGAAGCCAGTGACAAGGGCAGGAAGAAGCCCCCTTTTTGGGGGGGGGTGGGGACAGTCATGCTGTGTCACCCAGGCTAGAGTGCAGTGGTGTGATCTTAATATCTGCTGGCTGCAACCTCTGCTTCCCAGGTTCAAGCAATTCTCCTGCCTCAGCCTCCCAAGTAGCTGGGATTACAGGTGTCTGCCACCAAGCCTAGCTAATTTTTAGTAGAGACAGGGTTTTGCCATGTTGACCAGGTTGACGTCAGGTGATCCGCCTGCCTCAGATTTCCAAAGTGGTGGGATTATAGCCGTGAGCCACGGTGCCTAGCCTGGAAGAAGGCTTTCTAAAAGTGGGGGCTATACACTTTGAGCACCGTTCTTGGAGACAGGGTGGGCGTACAGAAAGCACGACACCCGCTCCCCTTCTCTGCAGGCAATGACTTAACTCGGAGGCAACTGCAGAGACTGCTGTATCAGGGGAGTCCCCACCACTTCCCGGGTCATCATTCATCCCAGGAGACCCGAGAGTCTGTCCAGGCTCTGGCAGTGCCTGTGCTTTCACTGGCTCCCCTGGCACAGGCCCGTGCTGCTCCCTCCAGCGAGTCTTGAGGAAAACATCTAGTATGGCCTTAGCATAAAAGTCTGTTTGGGAGTGGGGCGGGCCCTGGCATTGGAAGCATCTCGAAGTAGAGGACTGCACCCCCCAGCAATTGGGGTGGGGGGAGGGGAGGAGTGCCCTGGCATCAGCCGTATCCCTGGCTTCCACCCACTAGAACTTCGTAGCCGCCCCTGAGTGGTGACAATGAAAGTGTCTCCAGTCGTTGGCAGGTGTGCCCTGGGGGACACAACCCTAGCTGAAACCGCTGGCCCTAGAAAGATATTTTTCCCCCCGAGATGGGGTCTCACTCTGTCACCCAGGCTGCAGTGCAGTGGCACTACCTCAGCTCGCTGTAGCCCCCACCTCCCAGGCTCCAGCAATCCTCCTACCTCGACTCACCCCGACCCCCTACCAAGTACCTGGGACTACAAGCACATCACCACACCCAGCTAACTTTTTTGTACTTTTTGGTAGAAATGAGGTTTATCCATGTTGCCCAGTCTGGTCTCCAACTCAGCTCAAGTGATGCACCTGCCTGGGTCTCCCAAAGTGCTGGGATTACAGGCATGAGCCACCAAGCTAGCCAGGGGGGATCCTCCTGAGCCCTGAAAAGAGAAATCATGTCTGCTCAGAACCCTCCTAAGACTTCGGTCTCACTCAGAGTAACACCTGGGCTGAGTCATCTGCCAGCGCCCCCTCACGCCTCTTGCTGGTTCTCAAAGGCACTAGGCATCCCAGCCTTGAGGGCTGTGCCACTGTAGTTCCCTCTGAACGTCCCTGCTCGGATGTCCTTGTCTTTGCTTTGCCCCACAAAGCAGGGCAAAGGGATCCTCAGTGCCCAGCGGCTAATCGGAGAGAGGTCTTCACTGGCTGATCTAGTCACCATGCTACAGGCTTTTTTTGAGTGTGGCTTTTGCTTGGATGTCTATAAACATTAGCCCAGTGCCCGGCACGTGGCACAGTGTTTGACAAATGTTAACCTGCCTTCATTACCTGCCAGATCTCGGCTCTTTCCAACCCTCACCTTCCCCTGAAGACCAAATCAATCAGGTCTCTTAAAATTTGTTTTTTTTTTTTTCTTAGCATTTTCAGCCTGGTGTAATGGCTCGTGCCTGTAATCTCAGCACCTTGCTCTGCTGTTTTTTTTTCTTACCATTTTCCGCCTGGTGTAATGGCTTGTGCCTGTAATCTCAGCACCTTGGTAGTCCAAGGCAGGAGAATCACTTGAACCCAAGAGTGAGACCAGTCTCGGCAACCTAACATAGTAGGACTCCATCTCTATCCCCCTAAAAAAAAAAAAAAAAAAGGCATGGTAGAGGTGCACCCGTGGTCCCAGCTATGCGAGAGGCTGAGGTGGGAGGATGGCTTGAGCCCGGGAGGTCAATGCTGCAGTGAGATAGTGAACCACTGAACTCCAGACTGGGCCACAGAGTGAGACCCGTCTCCAAAAAAAAAAAAAAAAAAAAAACTTTCAACTGTCTACAGTATGTGATGAGCTTATGTTGCATTGGTTTAATCAGAATATATTAGGCTATGCTGCAGTAACAAATGGCAACATTCTAGTGGCTGGACCCAGGCAAGCTGCCTCTTGACTCTCAATCCACTGACTACACAGCCCTCCATGTGGTGACTCAGGATCCAGGCTGATGCCACCTTCTGATTGCACTAGCTCAGTTTGTGGCCCCCAAGGAGGGGCTGAGAGTCATGCCCCAGCTCCTAAGTGCTTCAACCTGGAGAGGATACCTGTTACTGCCGTTTGGGACTGAGCACCTGGGAAGTGGCAGGTGAGGGAGGCAGCACCTGGGAACTTGGTGATGAGTGAATGTTTCCAGCTGTCGCCAGCTAGGGATTTACTTCCTGGGAGTCAGAACCTTCAAACCAAGAGGTTAACATAACAGGCAATATATAGATAAAAACGAAAGTTAACTATCCTGAGGCAAGTTTGAGGACGATAGGCCAGGAACACAGACTTAGTGGAAACCGAGAAACCTGCACTGGGCAATGAAGTGAAGGTGATTTTCTTAAAACTGAATGGAAAGGTGGGCCAACTCAAAGAAGGGAGGGGGCTTCCAGGTCCTAGATAAGACACAGTTGCGTTCTCTTGTGTGTGTGTGTTGTGTGTGTGTGGTTTTTTTTTTTGACACGGAGTCTCACTTGTTCAGGCTCGAGTACAGTGGTATAATCTAAGCTCACTGCAACCTCTGCCTCCAAGTTCAAGCAATTTTTCCTGCCTCAGCCTCCCAAGTAGCTGGGGTTACAGGTGCCTGCCACCACACCTGGCTAATTTCCGTATTTTTAGTAGAGACGGGGTTTCATCATGTTGGCCAGTCTGGTCTCAAACTCCTGAGCTTAGGTGATCCTCCCACTTTGGCCTCCCAAAGTGCTGGGATTACAGGTGTGAGCCACTGTACTGCCTGCTTGGCTGCATTTTGAGTTTCTGATTAATCTTTCCAAAGTAGGCAATCAGATACACGTTTATCTTGGTGAGCAGAGGTGTGACTTTACATAGAGAGGGAGGCAGGTTGGCCCTAAGCAGCTTGCAGGTTGACTTTTCTCTCCAGTGATTTGGGGGCCCCGAGATTTATTTTCCTTTCACAGTATATATGATAAAAAGTACGAAGGCCTCTTAGGGTCTGCAGAGGGAGGACTGAGTCTCCTGCTTTTGCCCTTCATCTGATAGGCACCCGTTGCACAGCAGTGAAGTAGCTGAGGAACTCCAGCCTCGGTGGCCAGCGTTCAGATTTCGTTCATAGGCTTAGTTTCTATTATCTGTATGTCCAACCTACAGCCATCTTGGGCTGCTTTTTAAGCTTTCAGGTTTTTTTCTGACAAGTTCGTGTCTGATTCATTTCTGTGTCCCAGTTGCCTCAGTACCCAGGAGGTGTCCGATAATGGTGTTCACCTGTAAGAATGAAGGAATAGGCCGGGCACAGTGGCTCATGCCTGTAATCCCAGCACTTTGGGAGGCCCAGGTGGGAGGATCACAAGGTCAGAAATTTGAGACCAGTCTGGCCAATATGGTGAAACCTTGTGTCTAGTAAAACTACAAAAATTTGCTTGGCGTAGTGGCAGGCACTTGTAGTCCCAGCTACTCAGGCTGAGGCAGGGGAATTGTTTGAACCCAGGAGGTAGAGGTTGCAGTGAGCCGAGATTGCAGCCAGTACACTCCAGCCTCCTGACAGAACGAGACTCCATGTCCTTCCCCCCTCCCCCTAAAAAGTGTTCAGAGTAAACCCCAGCTTCAGGGTGTGGTTTAGTGCCCCAACTCTGCGGGTGACTTGCTTGGTGGTTTTAGACATGCGATGGTAACCTTGGTTATTGTTTTAATCTGTGAAATGGAAATGATAACACCTTGGCCATAGGCTTGTAAGAGATTTGCGTGTGGAAATAGAGATGGTCTTCCTGCACTGCTAGAGCAAGGTGGGGGCCGAATGATCCCAACACAGTGGCTTCCAGAATGGCTCATCATGGGTCAAGTGCATGATAATGAAAGGGCTCTTGGCCGGGCACGGTAGCTCACACCTGTAATTCCAGCGCTTTGGGAGGCTGAGGTGGGTGGATCTGCTGAGGTCAGGAGTTGGAGACCAGCCTGGCCAACATGGTGAAACCCCATCTCTACCAAAAACACAAAAAAGCCAGGCGTGGTGGTGGGTGCCTGTAATCCTAGCTACTCAGGAGGCTGAGGTAGAATTGCTTGAATCCAGGAGGTGCAGTTTGCAGTGAGCTAAGATCGTACCACTGCACTCCAGCCTGGGCCACAGAATGAGACTCCTTCTCCAAAAAAAAAAAAAAAACTTGCTTTACATACTGTGGATTAGACTCTGGTAGGACCACAGACCCTGGAGACAAGTACTGTGATCATCTCGGGAAGAGGGGCATGGGGTGAACCCTGCCTCGTGGGACTCACCCCTGCATCCCCAGTTTTCTGCTGGGGTAGCAGTCCACCAAATCCTAGCCCCACAGCTTCCCAGATGTTTGCCTTTGACTCACTTGTTTTCTGTAAAATGGTGATGACAGTTCTGACTTGAGAAATAGCTGTGATAATTAAATGAGCATCTATTTAAGGCATCGCGCACAATAGCTCTTTACCTAGAGAAGGGTAGGTTCCCATGTGGGGGTTTCCTTTTTCTTGGTGCTATCTTGGCCTAATGTCTGAGAAGCAGTGTCCTAGGCGGTGTCCCGCTGACCCAAATCCCCAAGGAGTGCTGGGAGCCACTGTGGGTGACTGGGGGAGGGAGATTGCACACCCAATTAGGCCAGAACTGTGAGGAAGGGGGGAGAGCATGGGGTTTGGGGCCAGTTCGCTCCAGTTCCAAGGACAAGTGGTTCTTTGCTTACTAATGAGGCCCTAAGATGTCCTTTTCTAAGCTTGTTTCCTGCATATAAGTAGAAAGGGGTACAAATGACAAAGGATGCAAAGCATTTAGCATGCAGTCTACTTGGTAAAAGGAGCCTGTTGCTTTAAGTATCATTCTTATTCCCATAGTTTACAATTTACAGCGTGAGAACTGAAGAGGGTAGCAATTGACTAAACTGCTCTATGTGCCTCATGGCAAAAGTCACAGCAAGAACAGGGCAGCCTGGAAGGCACCTGTGGATGAGGCCAGGACGGTTGAGTCTGGAAATCGCAGGGAATGTTGATCAGACAGCACGGTGATATCAGGGTTTGGGAAACTCTGGAAAGAGCTGCCTCCACTTGTAGCCGGGACCTGGGTTGGGCGGGTGCACTTATTCTAGAACTGTAGCCTTCAGTATGGCAGCCACCAGCCACAGGTGGCTTTCATACACTTGAAGAGTTGTCAAGGCTAGGTGTGGTGGCTCAAGCCTGTAATCCGAGCACTTTGGGAGGCTGAGATTGGATATTCACTTGAGCTCAGGAGTTTGAGATCAGTCTGGGCAACATGGCGAAACCCCATCTCTACCAAAAATTAAAAAATTAGCCAAGCATGGTGGCACATGCATATGGTCTTAGCTACTCCAAGAGGCTGAGGTGGGAGAACCATTTGAGCCTAGGAGGCGGAGGTTGCAGTGAGCTGTGATCCTGCCACTACAGCGTGCGTGACAGTGAGACCCTGTCTTCACAACCACCACCACCTCCCAAAAAAGGTTGGTGTGACCGAGGTAACTGGATTGAATTGTATTTCAACCACTCTGGAATAAATTGTAAGACCTGTTACTCATTCTGTTACTGGGAAGCTTAAATATGTTGGAAACAACTTAAGTATATGAATGTCCTTCTCAATGGAAAATTTTATGAAACTTAAATTTGTAGTAAAATTTTGCATCTGGATTGAGATATAGTAGGAGCCTAAGACACATGGCAAATTTGAAAGAATTAGTACCCCTCCAAAAGTGAATAGCTCGTAAATGTTTATAGTGACTCGAAATACTTCTGATATAGTGTTTAAATATAGTACTAAAATTGCACCTTTTTCTTTCTGCAATGGGTTCTGGTAGTGTTAGAAGATACACATATGGTTTGTATCTATTTTCTTTGGACAGTACTGCTGGGAATGGTTCATCCTACTTTGTCAACATTATTTTTTCATTTGGACCATTTTGGTAGCCAAAAAAATGTTCTACCATTTGTTTTAATTTCTCTCCCTGCCACGTGAGGTCAGACATGTTCTTGGGTCTATTGGTTTAATTCTGGAAATTGTGTGCCTATTTTATTACAGTATTCTTGGTCTTTTCTACCTTGGTTTGTAGAACTTTCTATATTACATATGTACTTAATGCTCTTCTAGATTTCTCTGCCTTTGGGTTTTTGGCTTCTGTTATTTGATACAAAGAAGTTAAGGTTTTTATTAAAGATAAACTATTTTCTCTATGTTCAGGAACCCTTTTTGATGCTTTCATTTTTACTGCTTGGGTGATGATCTCATCTGGGCTTTTAGAATGCAGTGTAAAGTAAGTATCCAACTAATGGGAAAGCTGGGGGACAAAACAGATTTCTATTTTAAATGGGTTTTTACTCAGTTGGTTCATCCTTTGTCTTGATTTTTAAGATTGTTGGTGTGACTAAAGTCTTTTAATAGCAGCAAATGTAAACACCTGCAGAAGGTGTTTGGTTTTTTTTTTTGTTTTGGGTGGGGGGAGGTGGTAGGAGTCAAAAAAAAAAAAAAAAAAAAAAAAAGTCCAGCCTGTTGCCCAGGCTGGAGTGCAGTGGCGTGATCTTAGCTCACTGTAACCTCTGCCTCCCCGGTTCAAGCGATTCTTTTGCCTCAGCCGCCTCAGCAGCTGGGACTACAGGTGCATGCCACTGTGCCTGGCTAATTTTTTGTATTTTTAGTAGAGACGGTTTCATCAGGTTGGCCAGGCTGGTCTCAAACTCCTCGCCTCAAGTGATCCACCCGCCTCTCAAAGTGCTGGGATTACAGGCATGAGACAGCACCTAGCCAGAAGAATTTGACCCAGGGGGCATATGGTGGAAGGAAAGCCCAAGGCAAGTTTTAGAGCAGGAATGAAAGGAAGGTAAAGTATACTTGGAAGGAGGCCAAGTGGGTGACTTGAGAGATGATGGGCACTGGCTGATCTTTGACATGGGTTTGTATGTTGGCATGCTTCTGGGGTCTTGGGTCCCTTTCCTGATTTTTTTTTTCCCTTGGGGTGGGCTGTCCACATGTGCAGGGCCTGTCAGCACTTAGGAGTGGAGCATGCCCAGTGTGCTTACTGAAGCTGTGCACAAGCCCACTTGAGGTGTTCTTCTCTTACCAGTCGAGTGTTTAAAACTCTGCTATTTTGCCTCTCTGCATGTTTGAGCCCACTTGCCCAGCTCCTGAGATCTTACTGGTAAGCTGTTGATGACCAGTTTAGGGTGTCTTTTTTTTTTTTTTTTTTTTTTTTTTTTTTTTTTTCTTGAGACGAATTCTTGCTCTGTTTCCCAGGCTGGAGTGCAGTGGCACAATCTCAGCTCACCTCAACCTCTGCCTCCTGGGTTCAAGCGAGTCTCCTGCCTCAGCTTCCCGAGTAGTTGGGACTACAGGAGTTCATCACCATGCCTGGCTAATTTTTGTATTTATAGCAGAGACGGGGTTTCACTATGTTGGCCAAGCTGGTCTCAAACCCTTGATCTCATGATCCACCCACCTCGGCCTCCCAAACTGGGATTACAGGCATGAGCAACTGTGCTCGCCCTCAGGTGTGTCTATCTGTTGTAAGCCTGCCTTTCCCTGGCACTGGCTGAGACCAATTATTTCAGACCATTAACAACTGCCAGAACATGACCTGGTAGTGCCCTGGCATTCCTGGTGGTGGTGGGGGGATGGGGGCTGCTGCTTCCCTGCTCATGTCTGACTAGCTACCCACTGTACCATGACCACCTACCATGATTCTAGGACTCAGTCTCCTTCCCCCTTCCCTGGGGCAGATCTTGTTCAGTTTCATGTGCACTTTCCCAGGCCTTTCCTATGCGTTAACATCTATGCTTTCAGCAACTGTTAGGTATAAACTGTATCATGTACATATCATTCAGCAACTTGGTTTTTTCGCTGCTTGCAGCTCAGCTGTATCAGTATACTCGGAGAAATTTTCTAACTGCTTGGTTTATTATGGTCCAAATATATAAAAGTTTACACAACCATCCTATCAATTGGACGCGATCTGGGTGGTTTCCTGTTGTTTTTCTTTACTACACACAGCTCAGGCCCCTGGCCAGGCCATCTTGATGTTTGGGTAAATGCTTTTCAAGCGGAGATACTGATGGTGGCTCCATCTTGGGGCATGCACATATTTCTTTGTCAAAATTTTCTCCAAAACGGTTATAGGAATTGGACCACAAGTGAGGTGTGAGAACACCTGATCATATTTAAGCTTTTGGTGATTTAATAGCTAGAAATACTTCATTAACCTATAGCCCCCTGATTGCTGATGAGGTGAACATCTTTTCATATGGTCAGTGAGTGCATTTTCTGTGAATTGCTTATTTATATCCACTTTTTGATTAGTATCTCATTTTCTTGGGAAATGGGGAGGCCTTGGGGAGAGAAGCCTATTTTCTTGACCAGTTTCAGCCAATGTAAAAAACAAAAGGGGTGTTCTCTAAAGCACATACATTGTAGATTGGCAGTCAGCAAACTCTGGCAACAGGAAACCGGTTGTGTGGAGGACAGTTTTTCCACAGATGGGGTTGGTGGGAGGGGAGGACAGTTTGGGAGATGGTTCAGGCACCTTACATTTCTCGTGTACTTTAAAATTATGACATAATAATGAAACTACACAACTCACCATAATGTAGAATCAGTGGGAGCCCTGACCTTGTTTTCCTGAAACTAGACGGCCCCATCTGGAGGTGGGAGGTGGGAGACAGTGACAGATCATTTGGCATTAGTTACCTTGTCAGAAGGAGCACGCAATCTAGATCCCTCACACGCGCAGTTCACAATAGGGGTTCATTCTCCTGTGAGAATCTAATGCTGCCACTGATGGACAGGCAGAGCTCAGGTGGTGATGTGACCAATGGGAAGAAGCTGTAAATACAGACGCTTTGTTCGCCAGCTGCTTACCTTCTGCTGTGTCACCTGCTCCTAATGGGCCACGAACGTTTCTTGGTCTGTGGCCTGGGGTTTGGGGACCCTTGTCATTAACAATTTGCTGTAAGTTACAAATACCTTCTGGAATGTTGGTGTTACTTTGTTCATATTTTTGTCATGCAGAACCTCAACACTTCACTGTGGTCATCAGTCATTTCTTCTATAGTTTTTGAAAAACTTATTTGTAAGTCTAATAGTGCAAGGTCTATAAATTGTATTTCATTATTCAAATAGTTCGAGGATTTGCTAAAGTTCACTTTTGTGTGTGACAAGTGTTCCAATGTACTGTTTTTCTGGATGCACAGGCAGTTGTTTTAAGACTGAGTCTTGCTCTGCTCATGTGAAAATACCCGCTTTAACCTCTGTCAAACCTTTGTCTCTACTTGGGTGTTGATTCTTTGGTTTATGTATTCCTGCCCTGGTTTCATAGAGCTTTGTAATATGATTCTTGTTTGTAGTGGTCAAAGTTTCCCTTTATTTTTCCCTTCCCAAAACTGCCCTAGCTCTTCTGCGTTTCAGAATAAGTTGGTCAAATTCTACAAAGAATTGACATACGGAACAAGGGTTGTGATGCATTACGTTCATAAAATTTGGGAAGAATTGACTGACAGTCTTTGAGGGTGATACAAGTCTGTCATTTAGTGAAAATTTAGTTTTATATAGATCGTTTAAAATAAGATTTAGCTTTGCGGCTATTGTTTCTAAAAAGCTTTGTGTTGTATATTTGACTTGTTCGTTTTTACGTTGATACAGTATGGGACTACCCTGCTCAAAGTAAATGTCAGTTTCCTGACCATTTTCTAGCTTGGAGAATAATGTGTAAACAACTGCAATTTTGTATCGCCCTGCTACTTAAAATTCTTATTACATAAGCTACAACCTCAAGTGCAATTTTGAAAAGTAGCAATGGGAGGGGTGCAGGGGCTCAGACCTGTAATCCTAGCACTTTGGGAGAGAAGATGGCTTGAGCCCAGGAGTTCAAGACCAGCCTTGTAGTCCCAGCTACTCAGGACGCTGAGGTGTAGAGGAGGATCTTTCAAGCCTGGGGAGGTCAACGTAGGAGGATCCCTTGAGTTGAGGGAGGTTGAGGGTGCAGTGAGCCATGATCGTGCCACTGTACTCCAGCCTGGCTAACAGAGGAGACCCTGTCTTTCCCCTATCCCCACCACCCAAAAACGATAGCATGAGTCTCTTGTTCTTTATACTTGGGGACATCTTAAGGCTATTAATACAGTTGCTATTGACCGGAGGTTAATTCTTAGAGCAGGGTGATATTAGTATATCTATTCAAGCTTTATGTCACATTTTAATATAGAGGGCTGAGTTAGTGTCACTTTTTCTTCTTTCTTGTATGATGTCTTGTTTAAACATGAGACCAGTAGCTTCGTGTGGCATAAAATTGTTAGGTCATGGCTCAATCCTTTAAACTTTGTTCTATTCTGGATTTTTTTAAAAAAAACTGCGGCCTATTGTGGTTAACATTTTATTATCCTGGATATATGCAGGATTATATAAGAACTTTGCCAAGCTAGAGATCTCCTTTCACCTGTTCTGTTGATGCTTTCTGATCCATGAAATGAGTATTTTCAGCTCCAAGTTACTTCAGCTATATCCTTGTTAATTGTTTCAATTACTAGGGAAAGGATTGGTTTCGTCATTCTTTTTTGTCCTCCGTATTATTAGTTTTCTGGTTCTTCTCCTTTAATGTTTTTCTGGTCTTTGGCCCTTCTGCTTTATGGGAGAAAAGGATTTTCTGAAGTCATTTGGTATCTCCAATGCTGAGTTACCCCCCCACCCCCCAACTTTTTTTTTTTTTTTAAACACACGGTCTCACCCTATGCTTTAGGCTGGAGTGTAGTGGTAAGATCATAGCCTCGATCTCCTGGGCTCGAGTGATCCTCCACAAGTATCTGGGGACTACTAGTGCATGCCACCACTCCTGGCTAATTTTTAAACTTTCGTAGAGACAAGGTCTTGCTATCTTGTCGGGGATGGTCTCAAACTCCTCAACTGGAGCAATCCTCGTGCCTTGGCCTCCGAAATTGCTGGGATTATAGGCATGAGCCACCAGGCCTGGTCTGACTCGTTCAATGTAGTTAAATCTTCTGTAACAAGGTTCTCTTATACTTTGGGGGATGGCCCCATTTAGGCAAAAATAAGATTTCTTACTATTTTCCAGTGATAAGTACTTGTTAGAACTATGATAATGGATTATATGTGCATATCATAACTCAAAGGCTTTGACACGCATTATCTGATTTGATTACCAGTCATGCATTTAAAGAGATTAGTGTATCCTTTTTCAAAGGATACACTAAGAGGTGAACTGAGGGTGTTCTGTAGCGACTTAATGTTGTAACTAGTAGGTAAAAGCAGAGAGCTAGTATTTAACTCCCAGTCCCCATATTGGCTGACCACTGAATTGCCTGGGCAGGTTCCTAAATGCTTTCTTGCCAGAGAATTCCCTAGATCTGCCTACAGAAAGCACACAGGTGTCTGTGAAAGGCAGGGGCACCCAGGGGTCAAGAGCAAAGGCTCTAGAGTGAGCATGTGTACATCTGTAAATGCTGAAAATCTGAGACAGGTTGCAGTTAATCCAGAAAGTTTATTTTGCCAAAGTTGAACACACCTGTCTGTGACACTCTCAGGAGTTCCTGACGACCTGTGCCCGAGGTGGTCAGAACACAACTGGCTTTTACACTTCCTAGGGAGACATAACACATCCATCAATACGTGCTGGATGAACATTGGTTCGGTCTGGAAAGACGGGGCAGGTCTAGAAAGGCAAGACAACTTGAAGCAAAGCTGGGAGGACTCGACGGCGCGGTGGGGGAGGGGCGGGGTGGGCTTCCAGGTCCTAGGTAGATAAGAGACAAATGGTTCCATTCTTCTGACTTTAAGTTCTTTTTTTTGGTGGTTTTTTCAATGTAACTTAAAGACTTACCGTAATTTAGAGTTTATTACCCTGAGTCTTGAGCCAACTTGGCTGACTGTGAAATGCAAGGTATATTCATGAGAGAACTGCGACTCTCACATGAAGATTTTAGTATACACGGTTAAACACTTACTGTTACTGCAGAATCAACGTTCTCTTTCTGTGATTTCAAGTTATAAACTGATAATGCATAACCTTGTCTGAAAAGAGACGATGTGCCCAAGGAGAGCACACGTGCATGATTGCAGCTTTGGCCCTGAGCACGATGCTTTTCTTTTTGGAGAGTGGATTCCAAACACAGTGGCTGTCACAAGGCTTCTCATGGACCAAGATGTTATAAATAATCGGTGCCATAAAAGAAATAGCACTGAAATGTAAATTTAACTTTCTGCAGCTTTTACTTCTATAGAAGGGTGCAACTCGTGAGTGGAGCAATACTGAGGGCATACCTGAACAAGGGATGGGAAGGGGTTTTTATTCCTGATGTAGGTAGCCCCTACTGCTGTGTCATTCCCCTATTGGCTAAGGTCGGACCACACAGTCTAAGCTAATTCCGATTGCCTATTTTAAAGAAAGCCAGGGGTATGAGTCGGAGTGGTGGGGGTGAGTAGCTTGGCAGGAAAGACGGTTACAGAACAGGTGACTAAGGATGAGTCAGGACACAGCAGGTGACCAGGGTGACTCAGGTCAAAGCAGGTGACCAGTGGAACAGATGTGAACTACTGATTAGAACTGGTGGGAAAGTTGCTCACTGAATCTAGAGGCAAGGGGGTGAAGGAAAACCACAAAAAACGTTAAAATGGAGAACAAAGAATGAGAGAGCTGAACATACTGACATAATGATTCTTTGAAGAGAAACTTGGAGTTCACTATATTTAACAAAGAGGTGGTGGAAGGCGTGGAAAGAAAAGGAACAAGCATCCTGTCTTGGTCCCTGTCCTTCAGCCCTTGAGTTCAAAGGGCAGAGGCATCGAAATGTTTGTCGGATTAATGATTAACATCTGCTGGTCTGCCGCCGTTCTCCTTGGGAGCATGGCCAAGGTCTACATCCCCTATTCTTCCCCCTCTATCTGGCTTGATCTGTGACTTTCATCTAATTTACAAACATTTGCATTGAAATGACAATCTCAAGGCTCAAAGACTTCAACCTCAAGCACCATGTAGTAGCCCAGTGAATTTTTTTTTTTTTTAAGCAGCGGGGGTGGGCTTTGGGGAGACGGGGGAATGAGTAAGAAACTTCTTGGGTCTGTTATCAGAGGCATTCGAACCAGAGCAACTCCGTCCTGAATGAGGGCTAGGAAAATGAGGCTGGAACTTGGGAGGCGGCATTCTGGACTGGTAGCTATTCTTGGCCTCTAGATGTTTCTGGTTAAGGGAACAGATTAATAACACTTAAAAATTATTGATGCCACAAAAGAAATAGCACTTGAAAATTTCCTCAAGGCAATTTTACTTCTATAGAAGGGTGACTTACAGATGGAGCAATGGCGAGAGCACAGCTGAACCAAGGGAGAGGAAGGGGTTCTTATTTCTGAGACAGGTAGCCTCTACTGCTGTCATTCCCCTATTGGCTAGGGTTGGACCACAGTGTAAGCTAATTCCGAATGGCTATTTTAAAGAGCAGTGGGTACAAGTCTGAGAAGCAGGAATGACTGCTACAGAACCGGTGACTCACGATGATTGAAGTCAGAGCAGGTAACCAGCGTTGACTCAGGATGGAGTAGGTGACCAGGGCAACACATGTGACCTACTGATTAGAACTGGTGGAAAAGCTTGTTTACTGAAACTAGGGGCAAGGAGATGAGAACGAGGAAGTTAAACTTTAAAATGGACAAAACGGGAGCCGAACGTGTACTGATAGATTGGCTCTTTGGATGGGATGTCAGAACTCATTGTACTTAACAATTGACAGGCTAAAATCTTGGAAGAGGTATTACATCCTTCAATGCTTACTAAAGAGACCCAGATGTGGGAGTGTCATGTTATCCTGATACCTTGAACAGAAGGATTCGTAATTTCGCTTCGAAGATAATACTGATTCTTGTAAAATGTAGTAATTAAGAATTATTACAAATCCTTGTAGCAGAGCATGTCTCTCATCAAGATGTTTTGTTTTTTGATGCAGTCTTGCTCTGTTGTCCAGATTGGAGTACAATGGTGCAGTCTCAGCTCATTGCAACCTCTACCTCCCGGGTTCAAGCAATTCTCCTGCCTTAGCCTCCCAAGTAGCTGGGCGCACAGGCACGTGCCACCACCCCTGGCTAATTTTTGTATTTTTTAGTACAGACTGTTTGACCATGTTGTGTAGGCTAGTCTCAAACGCATGACCTCAAGTGATCCCCCCCACCTCAGCCTCACAAAGTGCTGGGATTACAGGCGTGAATCACCATGCCCGGCCCCTCATGATCTTTTTTATTCTCTATAAACAAGCATTGTACCTAGAGTGGATGCATTCCCCTTTCTTTTGGGAATGCCCTACTCTATGGCTAACAGTACTTAGGCTACTTCCTTAATAAACATACTTTTGCTTTGCACTGTGGACTTGCCCCTGAATTCTTTTGTGCACGAGATCCAAGAAGCCTCTCTTGGGGGTCTGGATCAGGACCCCTTGCCTGTAACATTGTTACCTCCCTTTTCGACCAAAGCAGCCTCATTTTTTTTATTGCATTGTGGTGTGGAGCCCCAAAACTAGTTGGCATCTCTGGACCCCTAAAGATCTAGGTAACACTTGGTGAATTTTTAAAATCTCCCTTTTCATGGGTTTTTAGAAATTCAAAGTACTCTCCAAGATTTTCCCAAATCCCAGGTGCTTCTACCATTATTGTTACATGAAAGGGTTCCTGATGCAGTCCCGAGAGAGATGGTTCTTGGATCTCCTGCAAGAAAGAAAGAAAGCACAAGTCTGTAAAGTGAAAGCAAGGTGATTAAGAAAATCAAGGAATAAAGAATGGCTACTCAATAGACAGAGCAGCCCTGAGGGCTGCTGGTTGCCTTTTTTTATGGCTATTTCTTGACATGCTAAACAAGGGGTGGATTATTCATACCTCCCCTCTTTAGACCATATAGGGTAACTTCCAGATGTTGCCATGGCATTTGTAAGCTGTCATGGCAGTGGTGGGAGTGTAGCAGTGAGGACGGTCAGAGGCCACTTTAAGCACCATCTTGGTTTTGGTGGGTTTTGGCCGGCTTCTTTACTGCAACCTGTTTTATCAGCAAACAGGTCGGCACAAGATACAGCTATCTCATCCTGTGACTAAGTGTCTTAAGCGTCTGGGAATGCAGCCCAATAGTTTCAGCCTCATTTTATCCAGCTCCTACCCAAGATGGAGTTGCTCTGGTTCAAATCCCTCTGACACCATTATGACATCTTCTCTAATTTTCATGCTTGTGTGAAATTATTTGGGCTGAAGTGGTCAGACAGCTTGGGCTACCTTGTCACCATATTGTGCTAGGTGGAGGCTACTGCCTCTAGAAGACTGTCTATTGTGCCTTGAATACACAGCATTGACTTTGCAGGGTCATCTTGCTGGATAACATAGCACCACCCAAACAGGAGAATTGAGGCTGAGACTGGATCAGGCCCAGTGGAACATAGCGAAATGAGAATAAGCTTTCGTGTTAGAATCCTGCCTATGTGATCTCCAGCAACTTAACATCTCTGAGCCACTTCATTTATCTGGAGAATGGGGCTAAATCTTCCTGAGTTTTTGAGGCTTACAGCGAATAATGTACGGCACCTGACATGCAGTAAACAAGAAATCAAAGGTAAATACCATTATTCAGTCTTCAGCACAGAATTTGTTCATTTTCTTACCATACCGCCCTTCCTCCCCCACTTTATAAAGAACAGAGACAGATCTCATTTTTTCAGATCTAACAGGTACCCCCATCCCCATGACTGGCTTTCAATAGATTGATCATAGTGTGCAGAGGTCAGCAAACTTTGGCCCACCTGTTTAGTAAATAAAGGTGAGTTGGAACACAGCCTTGTCCACGCATCAGTTGAATAGTTGGCAATGGGAATCTCATGATCTGCACCTAAAAATATTTGGCCCTTTACAGAAATACTTGGCCATCCCCTGGCTTATAGCCGGTTGTGTTTTGTTTCCCTGTGTCTCTTTCCCACCCCAGCTGGGATTCAGGCTAGCCTGTTTGTCTAATCAGATCTGAGGAAAGTGCATTCAGTTGATGAAATCGGCTAACAAGGGTTCATTGCTACGGGCTCATTGTGTTTGGAGATGGGGAATGTGCGTGGGTTGGTCAGAGCCTTAACCCACAGCCCTGCTCCCAGGAAGCTTTCTGACCACTTCTGTGGATAAACAAGGCACGCATAGCTGGGCACAGTAGCTCACACAACACCTGCACTTTGGGAGGCCGAGGCAAGAGGATGGCTTCAGCTCAGGAGTTTGATACCATCCTGGGAAACAAGGCAAAACCCTGTCTCCACTAAAAACACAAAAATTAATGGGGTGTGGCAATATGTGCCTGTAATCCCAACTACTTGGGAGGCTGAGGGAGGATGGCTTGAGCCCAGGAGGTAGGGGCTGGAGTGTACTATGATTGTGCCGTTGCACTGCAGCCTGTGTAACAGAGCAAGAACCTGTCTCAAAAATACAAACAAAATATAAAAAAGCCATGTGAGCCACAGGCCAGAACTTTAACCCAAACTTGTATACGGATTAGCTTCAACCTTTTAATCTATCTGGGCCTCAGTTCCCCCATCCATTAAATGGCAATAATTTTAAGTTTTACGGTACATGTGCATAACATGCAGGTTTGTTACATAAATACACATGTGCCATGTTGCTGTGCTGTACCCATTAACTTGCTTAACATTAGGTGTATCTCCTAATGTTATGCCTCCCCCTCCCTCCACCCCACAACAGGCCCCAGTGTGTGATGTTCCCCTTCCTGTGTCCATGTGTTCTCATTGTTCAACTCCCACCTATAAGTGAGAATATGCTGTGTTTGGTTTTTTGTCCTTGCCATAGTTTGCTGAGAATGATTGTTTCCAGCTTCATCCACATCCCTACAAAGGACATGAACTCATCATTTTTTATGGCTGCATAGTATTCCATGGTGTATATGTGCCACGTTTTCTTAATCCAGTCTATCATTGTTGGACGTTTGGGTTAGTTCCAAGTCTTTGCTATTGTGAATAGTGCTGCGATAAATATCTGTGCATGTGTCTTTATGGCAGCATGTTTTATAGTTCTTTGGGTATATACCCAGTAATTGGGATAGCTGGGTCAAATGGTATCTTTAGTTCTAGATCCCTGAGGAATCGCCACACTGACTTCCACAATGGTTGAACTACTTTACAGTCCCACCAACAGTGTAAGTGTTCCTATTTCTCCATATCCTCCCCAGCACCTGTTGTTTCCTGACTTTTTAATGATTGCCATTCTAACTGGTGAGATGGTATCTCATTGTGGTTTTGATTTGCATTTGATGGCCAGTGATGAGCATTTTTTCATGTCTGTTGGCTGCATAAATGTCTCCTGAGAAGTGTCTGTTCATATCCTTTGCCCACTTTTTGATGGGGACTTTTTTTTCTTGTAAATTTTGAGTTCTCTGTAGATTCTGGATATTAGCCCTTTGTCAGATGGGTAGCTGGCAAAAATTTTCTCCCATTCTGTAGGTTGCCTGTTCACTCTGATGGTAGTTTGTTTTGCTGTGCAGAAGCTCTTTACTTTAATTAGATCCCATTTGTCAATTTTGGTTTGGTTGCCATTGCTTTTGGTGTTTAAGACATGAAGTCCTTGCCCATGTCTATGTCCTGAATGGTAATGCCTAGGTTTTCTTCTAGGGTTTTTATGGTTTTAGGTCTAAAGTTGAAGTCTTTAATCCATCTTGAATTTTTGTATGAGGTGTAAGGAAGGGATCCAGTTTCAGCTTTCTACATATGGCTAGCCAGTTTTCCCAGCACCATTTATTAAATGGGGAATCCTTTCCCCATTGTTTTTCTCAGGTTTGTCCAAGATCAGATAGAAATAAAGCCACATATCTACAACTGAGGGCTCTGTTCTGTTCCATTTATCTATATCTGTTTTGGTACCAGTACCATGCTGTTTTGGTTACTGTAGCCTTGTAGTATAGTTTCAAGTCAGGTAGTGTGATGCCTACAGCTTTGTTTTTTGCCTTAGGATTGATTTGGCAATGTGGGCTCTTCTTTGGTTCCATATGAACTTTAAGGTTTTTTCCAATTTAGTGAAGAAAGTCATTGGTAGCTTGATGGGGATGGCATTGAATCTGTAAATTACCCTGGGCGGTATGGCCATTTTCATGATACTGATTCTTCCTACCCATGAGCATGGAATGTTCTTCCATTTGTTTGTATCCTTCTATTTCATTGAGCAGTGGTTTATAGTTCTCCTTGAAGAGGTCTTTCACATCCCTTGTAAGTTGGATTTCTAGGTGTATTATTCTCTTTGAAGCAGTTGTGAATGGGAGTTCACTCATAATTTGGCTGTCTGTTACTGGTGTATAGGAATGCTTGTGATTTTTGCACATTGACTTTTGTATCCTGAGACTTTGCTGAAGTTGCCTATCAGCTTAAGGAGATTTTGGGCTGGGACAGTGGGGTTTTCTAGATACACAATCATGTCATCTGCAAATAGGGACAATTTGACTTCCTCTTTTCCTAATTGAATACCCTTTATTTCTTTCTCCTGCCTGATGGCCCCGGCCAGAACTTCCAACACTGTTGAGTAGCAGTGGTGAGAGAGGTCATCCCTGTCTTGTGCCAGTTTTCAAAGGGAATGCTTCCAGTTTTTGCCCATTCAGTATCATATTGGCTCTGAGTTTGTCATAGATAGCTCTTGTTATTTTGAGACAAGTCCCATCGATACCTAATTTGAGAGTTTTTAGCATGAAGGTTGTCCAAATTTTGTCAAAGGCCTTTTCTGCATCTATTGAGATAATCATGTGGTTTTTGCTGTTCTGTTTATGTGCTGGATTATGTTTGATTTGTGTATGTTGAATCAGCCTTGCATCCCAGGGATGAAGCCCACTTGATCATGGTGGATAAGTTTTTGATGTGCTGCTGCATTCGGTTTGCCAGTATTTTATTGAGGATTTTTGCATTCATGTTCATCAGGGATATTGGTCTAAAATTCTTTTTTTGTTGTCTCTGCCGGGCTTTGGTATCAGGATGATGCTGGCCTCATAAAATGAGTTAGGGAGGATTCCCTCTTTTTCTATTGATTGGAATAGTTTCAGAAGGAATGGTACCAGCTCCTCCTTGTATCTCTGGTAGAATTCGGCTGTGAATCTATCTGGTCCTGGACTTTTTTTGGTTGGTAAGCTATTACTGCCTCAATTTCAGAGCCTGTTATTGGTCTATTCAGAGATTCAACTTCCTGGTTTAGTTTTGGTAGTGTGTATGTGTTGAGGAATTTATCCATTTCTCCTGGATTTTCTAGTTTATTTGTATGGAGGTGTTCATAGTATTCTCTGATGGTAGTCTGTATTTCTGTGGGATCAGTGGTGACAACCCCTTTATGATTTTTTTATTGCATGTATTTGATTCTTCTCTTAGTCTTGCTAGTGGCCGATCAGTTTTGATCTTTTAAAAAAAAAAAACAGCTCCTGGATTCTTTTTTTTTTTTTTTTTTTTTTTTTTTTTTTTTTTTTTTTGGGTCTCTTTCCTTCAGTTCTGCTCTGACCTTACTACTTGCCTTCTGCTAGCTTCTGAATGTGTTTGCTCTTGCTTTTCTAGTTCTTTCGTGATGTTAGGGTGTCAATTTTAGATCTTCCCTGCTTTCTCTTATGGGTATTTAGTGGTATAAATTTTCCTCTACACACAGCTTTGAATGTGTCCCAGAGATTCTTGTATGTTGTCTTTGTTCTCGTTGGTTTCAAAGAACATTTTATTTTCTGCCTTCATTTTGTTACGTACTCAGTGGTCATTCAGGAGCAGGTTGTTCACTTTCCATGTAGTTGAGTGGTTTTGAGTGAGTTTAATCCTGAGTTCTAGTTTGTACTGTGGTCTGAGAGACAGTTTGTTATAATTTATATTTTTACATTTGCTGAGGAGTGCTTTACTTCCAACTATGTGGTCAATTTTGGAATATGTGTGGTGTGCTGAAGAATGTATATTCTGTTGATTTGGGGTGGGGAGTTCTGTAGATGTCTATTAGGTCTGCTTGCTGCAGAGCTGAGTTCAGTTACTGGATATCCTTATTAACTTTGTCTCGATCTAATGTTGACAGTGGGGTGTTAAAGTCTCCCATTATTATTGTGTGGGAGTCTAAGTCTCTTTGTAGGTCACTCAGGACTTGCTTTATGAATCTCGGTGCTCCTGTATTGGGTGCACATATATTTAGGATAGTTAGCTCTTCTGGTTGAATTGATACCTTTACCATTATGTAATGGCTGCCTTTGTCTGTTCGGATCTTTGTTGGTTTAAAGTCTGTTTTATCAGAGACTAGGATTCCAACCCCTGGCTTTTTTTGTTTGCCATTTGCTTGGTAGATCTTCCTCCATCCCTTTATCTTGAGCCTATGTTGTATCTCTGCATGTGAGATGGGTTTCCTGAATACAGCACACTGATGGGTCTTGACTCTTTATCCAATTTGCCAGTTTGTGTCTTTAATTGGAGCATTTAGTCCATTCACATTTAGTTAATATTATGTGTGAATTTGGTCCTGTCATTATAGATGTTAGCTGGTTATTTTGCTTGTTAGTTGATGCAGTTTCTTCCTAGCCTCGATGGTGTTTAAAATTTGGCATGTTGTTGCAGTGGCCGGTACTGGTTGTTACTTTCAATGTTTAGTGTCTCCTTCAGGAGCTCTTTTAGGGCAGGCCTGGTAGTGACAAAATCTCTCAGCATTTGCTTGTCTGTATTTTATTTCTCCTTCATTAATGAAGCTTAGTTTGGCTGGATATGAAATTCTGGGTTGAATATTCTTTAAGAATGTTGAATATTGGCCCCCACTGTCTTTTGGCTTTTAGTTTCTGCTGAGAGATCAGCTGTTAGTCTGATGGGCTTCTCTTTGTGGGTAACCCGACCTTTCTCTGGCTGCCCTTAACATTTTTTCCTTCATTTCAACTTTGGTGAATCTGACAATTATGTGTATTGGAGTTGCTCTTCTCCAGGAGTATCTTTGTGGTGTTCTCTGTATTTCCTAAATTTGAATATTGGCCTGCCTTGCTAGATGGGGGAGGTTCTCCTGGATAATACCCTGCAGAGTGTTTTCCAACTTGGTTCCATTCTCCCTGTCACTTGCAGGTACACCAATCAGACGTAGATTTGGTCTTCTCACATAGTGCCATATTTCTTGGAGGCTTTGTTCATTTCTTTTAATTTTTTTTTTCTCTAAACTTCATTTCATTTGATCTTCCATCACTGATACCGTTTCTTCCAGTTGATTTGAGTCGGCTTCTGAGGCTTGTGCATTCGTCACGTAGTTCTTGTGCCTTGGTTTTCATCTCCTACAGGTCCTTTAAGGACTTCTCTGCTTTGGTTATCCTAGTCATTCATCTAATTTTTTTTCAAGGTTTTAAAATTCTTTGCCATAGGTTCGAACTTCCTCCTTTACCTCACAGTAGTTTGTCTGAAACCTTCTCTAAACTCGTCAGTCATTCTCTGTCCAGCTTTGTTCCATTGCTGGTGAGGAGCTGCATTCCTTTGGAGGGGGGGAGAGGCACTCTGATTTTTAGATTTTTTGTTTTTCTGCTCTGCTTTTTTCCCATCTTTGTGGTTTTTATCTACCTTTGGTCTTTGATGTGCAGATGGGGTTTTGGTGTGGATGTCCTTTCTCTTTAGTTTTCCTTCTGACAGACAGGACCCTCAGCTTCAGGTCTGTTGGAGTTTGCTGGAGGTCTACTCCAGACCCTGTTTGCCTGGGTATTAGCAGCAGAAGCTGCAGAACAGTGGATACTGGTGAACAGCAAATGTTGCTGCCTGATCCTTTGGAAGTTTTGTCTCAGAACTACCTGGCCATGTGAGGTGTAAGTCTGCCTGTACTGGGGGGTGCCTCCCAGTTAGGCTACTCGGCGGTGAGGGACCCACTTGAGACTGTCGATTCTCAGATCCCAAGCTGAGTGCTGGGAGAACCACTGCTCTCTTCAAAGCTGTCAGACAGGGACGTTTAAAAGTCTGCAGAGGTTTCTGCTGCCTTTCCTTTGGCTATGCCCTGCCCCTAGAGGTGGAGCCTACAGAGGCAGGTGGGCCTCCTTGAGCTGCAGTGGGCTCCACTGAGCTCAAGCTGCCCGGCTGCTTTGTTTACCTACTCAACCCTCAGCAATGGCGGGTGGCTGTCCCCCAGCCTCACTGCTGCCTTGCAGTTTGATCTCAGACTGCTGTGCCAGAAATGAGTGAGGCTCCATGGGCATAAGACCCTCTGAGCCAGGCGTGGGATATACTCTCCTGGTGTGTCATTTGCTAAGACCATTGGAAAAGCACAGTATTAGCGTGGGAGTGACCCAATTTTGCAGGTGCCTTCTGTCACAGCTTTGCTTGGCTAGGAAAGGGAATTCCCTGACCCCTTGCACTTCACAGGTGAGGCAATGCCTTGCCCTCCTTTGGCTCAGGCTTGGTGCACTGTGCCCACTGACCTGCGCCCCTCAGTGAGATGAACCCGGTACCTCAGTTGGAAATGGAGAAATCAGCTGTCTCTTCTGCATTGCTCACTCTGGGAGCTGTAGACTGGAGCTATTCCTATTCGGCCATCTTGGCTCCTCCCCCCAGATGGCAATAATAGGACCTACCCTTCTACACCTGATGCCGTCACTGCAAAAACTGAAATATTTTTGTTTTAGAAGTTCTTGATTTGAACAGCATTTGGGGGATATATGACCTCTTCACCTGCACTCCCAACTTTGCCTAGAAAATGTGATCACCCATAGAAAGACATGACTGACCCCACTTCAGATCCATCTGTCCTGGTGCCAGCCTTCCTGCCTCAGTGCCTTCTCCCTACCCAAACCTCTTGCTCTGGCTAACTTATTGTCCTCTGGCTGTGCCTCTGCCTGGAGAACCCCTCCCACAGACCCCCAGTGCTGACCGACTACAATGGGTGACCATGTTGTCATTGAGAAGATGAAGGGCCCTTTCTAGGTGGGAACCATGGAAATGGCCTCTGCCTGCTAAGGGCATCACCAAGGACACCTGGGCCCTTACAGCCCAGACCTTGAGACAGCTGCAGTTGAGACTAAATTGGGGTCACTGACTCTACATCTGTCCTAGTCTCTCCCTTTCCCCAAAGCCCTGGAGCAGATGGTGGTCATTTTCTTCCATTCCCCTTCAACTCCCTCCTCATTAACATGCGTCTTCTTCCGCCAGGGCCTCTCTCAGCACATGGCAAATGACGACCGTGTTTCACGTCAAATGTTCCTCCGGGGACAGAGGAGGAACTTCAGGGAGTGTCAGCAGTTTTTGCAGTCTGTTTATGGGAGGAGGTGGTGGAAGGGATGTGCTACCGACATACCTCCTTCATCCTGTCCCCTACCCCGAGTCTGAGACGGCAGGCCACTGTGGGCACCCCTTGAATCAGTCCACTGGGGGGTCTCTTCCTACATGGGAGCCCTGGGCTGGGCTTCTGGAACCGCCTGCATGGATGTTGCAGGAGCCTCCCGTCGGGGCTGCTTGCGTTGCTGTTTGTGCTTCACTCAACCCCACAGCAACAGAGTAGTGGGCTTTTATGGAAGGCGGCCTTGAGGCCAAGCCCCACTGTGTCCAGTAGCTCCTAGTCCCTGACACTGTTTACCATGCACCTCCCTCTACGTGGAAGGCAGCCATGGCTGATCAGCTCTCCCTACACCTTGGGCACTGCCAAAGTCCTTTAAAGGCGTCTACCTCATAATCCTTGGAACCTACGGGTATTACCTTGTAGGACAGAAGGGACTTAGCAGCTGTGATTAAAGCAACAGAGATGGGGGAGATTATGCTGAATTACCCAGGTGCATCCAATATAAGTTCTTTCTGAGGCTTGCTCTGTCATCAAGGCTGGAGTGCATTGGCACGATTTCGGCTTACTGCAACCTCTGCCTCCAAGGTTCAACTGATACTCCTCCCTCAGCCTCCTGAGTAGTTGGGATTACAGGTGTGCACCACCATGCCAGGCTAGTTTTTGTATTTTTAGTAGAGATGGGGTTTTGCCATGTTGACCAGGCTGGTCTTGAGCTCCTGACCTCAGGTGATGTGGCTGCCTTGGCCTTATTTCCATAAGCTCTTAAAAGCAGAGAGCCTATCCTGGCTGTGTTGAGAGAGATGCTACAAGGACTTGAGAAGTGAAACTAAGTGGAAGATGAGAGATCTGAAGTGAGAGGGGCTAACTTCATCTGGCTTTGGAGATGAAGGAAAAAGGCCACACCCCAAGGAATGTCTTAAGCTACTAACTCTGGTCACCTGTTACAGGAGCAATAGGCCCCTAATAGTGTTTAACCTAGGGGTGGAGTCTTCAGGGAATAGGGCAACAGGGCGTACACATGTTCATTTCTCTAGACAGGATCACATCGATCTCCGTCAAAAGTGAGATGAGTCTCTGGGATAAAATGAAGGTGTCCATTGCATCCCTTCAGGAAGCTCCTAGAGGTGACTGTTTCCTTTTTCCAGCTTTTAGAGGCCACCTGTGTTCCTTTGGCCTGTGGCCCCTTCCATCCTCGAAGAGCATCTCTTGGCAGTGACCTTCTCTGCTCTCCGCTTCCACTTCTAAGGACCCCTGTGAATGACACTGGGCACACCCAGCTAATCCAGGATAATCTTGCCATCACACTCAGCTGGTTAGCAACCTTGATCCCATCTGTATCCTTCATGCCCCCTTGCCATCATCACAAGATCCTTAGGGTGTTGCTTTGCAACTGGAAACCCCTGTGGTCAGTGGGACCTTCTGCCTGAGCATTGCTCACACCTGCTGGGCTCATTGTGCTCACCTGGCTAAGCAGGCTGCACTTGGCTCATGCCACTGGCCCAGAACCCCATACCTTCCAAGGGTGAGCCAGGCACGAAGTGACGACGGGTGTGTGGGTGACAAGCGTGGGGCCTGGCTGCTGTGTATGGCCAGGTGTGCTGGGTGCTACAACAGGGCAGGCAGCTCTGGGTACTGGCACAGGTGCTGACTCTGCAAGGCTGACTGGACCAGACGTACCACATGTGGCTGTTTCTGTGGGTACCCTTGTCTGAACAAGGGGTATGTGCTGGCAGCTGGAAGCTTGGAGATGCCAGGAACTCCTGATCCCCAAAGAGGGTGTTACAGTCCTGGCTTGGGGAGCCCCCTAGATCTGGGTTCCCTGGAGGACTGCAACTCTTTCCTTCTCAATACATGCAATGTGGCAAGTTAGTGTGTGTGGGTGTGTTTCAGCCCTGTTTGTTACAGCTCTTTCAGTCCCACCATTTGGCGGGTCCCAAGTACTTGTCCTCCTTCCTAGAAGAATGAGGTACACGGACAACTGGAGGGTGAGCAAGGTAGAGAAGAGCTTCACTGAGTGACGGAACAGCTCTCAGGAGGCTTGCGGAGGGTAGCTTCTTCCCAAAGGCAGGTTGTCCTGATGACTGTCCAGCTTTCACCAGAGAGGAGACCCGAAGTGGGTAACTCCTTCCTGTAGCTGGTAGTCCCGACTTGTGTTAGTCTGGCTGAGTCTGGGGTTGTTAGAGGCTCAGAAGAAAGGAAGTACATGCTGATTGGTCCATGAGTGGGCCCAGTGAAAGCAGTATAAGTTCTCACTCCACCTGGAACAGACAGCCCGGGCTTCAGGCCATCCCTGGCTTTGAAGGTGAGGTTTCACCAGGGACCTACCCCTTTCTGTCCAGAAACGTGTCTGCCTCCCGCCATCAACATGCTGTCCACAGCACCCAGGCTGTTTGGGCCTAGGGATTCTTGCAGGCCCATGCTGAGCTGCCCTCAGCCACCCCGACCTCCCTCCCACACTTAGTGCCACCCAAAGTCCAGAGGGGGCCAAGGTAGTGGTTGGGGGTGGTGGTGTATATGCTGGTGTTTGAATCCTGCCCGAAGCACATGTACCCCCCAGGTGGGTTACTAAAGTGTCTAGGCTTGGCCACAACTTTGCTTTGAAATTGAAGTGGGCACCGGATCCAGGGACAGGCCAGGGAAGTGGGAACAGGCACTTCGGAGCCTGCGGTAGGAGGGGAGGCTTCCCAGCCCCCTGAGAGCACAGGGATGCCCGGGTCCAGAACCACAGCCGGGTGGCTGCAGTTGTGCCCAGGAGGGTGGGGCTCATGCATGTTCCCAGGTCTTGCTGGCTCTGAATTGCGCAGCCCTGGCCATGCTGCCGCCTCTGCAACTGGCATCCTGCAGTAGCTGCTCCACATGGGCTGCCCTTGCCATTGCCATGACCCACGATGTGTCCCATGACAGGAGGAGATGGATGCTTGCACGGGGCCATTTCTCTGCCTACTATAACGTATTAGGTTTTGACATTTTTGCCAGCCTGGTATTTCTAAAATGACAAATCACTGTGGTCTTAATTTGCATTCATTGGAGGCATGTTTTTTGTATAAGGAACAGTAGTGACTTTGGGGCTTAGAAACTGATAAGCATTAACACGCTCTTAAGTGTTATTGATGTTGGTATTTGGACTTTCACCAAGGATCGCTAGCTTTGGGAGTTGGCTACCCTGAGTGTGAGTGTGGCTCACTCTAGTTGTGTGGCCTTGCTCTGGGTGTCAATTCCCACCTAACATGGTAGCTCTAAAATGTGTTAGCCACCTGTCCTTGTGAGTAACAGATGCTCAAAAAAATGACTTCTACTGAAACCAGGGAAGATGAGCAGGATCAAGGTGGTATCTGCTATGTGAGGAGGAGGACAGAGGCTTCCTGAACTGTGAAGGTACTGAGTCTGAGAACCCCAGAAAACAAAGGCCAACCTGCATCTCCAGGCCTTCCCTTACCTTGACTATTTCCATTGCAATGGGATGAAGTTCCCCAATTTTCAGAGCCTGACTGTTTAGGCAATATGCACATTATCTACACAGCAGCCAACACTTAGCCAAAGGCAGATTCTTCATTGTCCAAACAGGATTCTTATTTGAGGTATAAGAAGTTTGCTCACTAAAGCTGAGCTCTGTGGGTAAGACCTTGTGATGCTTTCGGGGAGTGGAAGGAAGAGTTATGATTGCTTTTCTTAATACCTCAGATGGAAATCCTGGACCTCTTTAAGGCTGCCATGTGCAGTTGAACAGGTTGCACACAATTCCAGGATGTCCTCTGATGGAGCCTGTAGGAGTTGAAGCCTGACCGGTGCCCCACTCGCCAAGCCTGTGAAGCTAAGTGTAGGACTGCATCTGTCTAGGAGAATAAATACTTTGGTGATTTGTGCAGAGGCAACTTAAGAATTAACAGCAACTTTGTTCCTGGTGATATTCAACTGAAGGACTCTTTATGGATTGGGGACAGTGAGAGGTGGATTGTTCCGGATTGCCACCAGAAACCTAGAAATCAAGCTTGGGTCATGTCTACACAACAGCTTGTAACGCACCGTGGGTCTTACTTTTGGGCCCTATGTGGTGATGGACAGACGCTGATGGACAGCTTCAGAATGAAGGTCTCCATTTTCTCATTCATGTTACCTAACAAACAAAGGTTACATGTTTATCATGGGACTTAAGGGTTCTTCTGTGTTCCTTCCATGACAGTCTAAAAAGGTTTATCTTTTGTGGGCTGATTGTGGGAGGATGGTGAGGGATATAGCGCATCAGCAAGGAAGACGTCTTATGAATGGGACACGGCCAGAAATTAGTGGCATGGGCCAGGCCTGGTGACTCATGCCTGTAATCCCAGCACTTTGGGAGGCCGAGGGAGGTGGATCATCTGAGGTCAGGAGTTTGAGACCAGCCTGGCCAACATGGTGAAAACCCCATCTCTACTAAAAACACAAA
The DNA here is from genome assembly GCF_000001405.40 of Homo sapiens. NCBI lineage: Eukaryota > Metazoa > Chordata > Mammalia > Primates > Hominidae > Homo > Homo sapiens. Next base: position 12,598,665 of record NC_000016.10, on the reverse strand, counting down.
ACTCAGCCAGGCGTGGTTGGGGTGCAAACGTGTAACCCCAGCTACTTGGGAGGCTGAGGCAGGAGATACACTTGAAACCAGGAGGTAGAGGGTACAATGAGCCCAAGATCATGTCACTGTGCTCCAGCCTGGCTGACAGAGCAAGACTTTTCTTTTTTGAGACAAAGTCCCATGGCCATTCGTAACTTCCAAGAGGCTGGGAAACAGCTTTTATTCTGGGTGGCCATGTGTCCCATTGAAAACTGGATGTTCTGTCCTTCTATAAAGGAGGAGGAATAGATATTGGGGTCTTAAGGGCTGTCCACCACAGTGGCTTCCAGAAATACTCCGGCTACTGGGGAAGTTCTCGTGATATGCATGTAGACAGTTACATACTTCACACAGCGCAGCCCAATTCGGTACTCTTTGATGGAAACCTCTAGAAAGAGGTAGAAGAAAAGGACAGGAAGCTGAAACGATGGAAATGGCCCCAGGTGCCTTTTGTCCCATTCTCTCAGCCTGAGTCCCAAGGCTGTTCCTTAAGAGGAACGTGGCTGGTGACTGCTGTGAAGATAATGACTGTCCTGGGACAGAAGGTTTGGCTGCTGGACTTGAATTCATTTGTTACCATTGTACTTCGGGAGCTGGTTGAGAAGAATCGTACAAACTCCATCTAATGCCGAGGTTGCTGCGATGGGGTCTGTGTGCCCTAGGGGACGCATAAAACAAGTCGTTGGGTAGATGTATAAACCTAAGAGTCAACTTTAGAAAATCTTACTTCAAAATTTTCCTTTGGGGTATCTGTTGTAATACAGCATATTAGAATACAGTTAATTTCTGAGCTGAAAAAACCTGTTCATGCTCAATGTTTGCTGACAAAGGCATGTGACGACAATTGAAAGCACTGCACCCAGAGAGGTTCCATCACAGCAGTCCCCTTCAAATCGAGGCCCCTTCTGGAGCTGCGAACTTCCTGTCCATTTGGACCAGCCCCCTTCCCTAAAACTCATGCGTTGGAATCACGGCTGGGGGTGGTGGTTCAGCCTATAATCCGAGCACTTTTGGAGGCCAAGGCGGCAGGATGGCTTGAGCCCAGGAGTTTGAGACCAGCCTGGACAACCTAGTAAGATCTCCTCTCTACCCCCTCAAAAAAAAAAAAAAAAAAGCCAGGTGTGGTGGCTGAGAATGGTGGTTTCCAGCTTCATCCATGTCTGTACAAAGGACATGAACTCATCATTTTTTATGGCTGCATAGTATTCCCTGATGTAAATGTGCCACATTTTCTTAATCCAGTCTATCATTGTTAGACATTTGGGTTGGTTCCAAGTCTGCTTATTGTGAATAGTGCCGCAATAAACATATGTGTGCATGTCTCTTTATAGCAGCATGATTTATAGTCCTTTGGCTATATACCCAGTAATGGGATGGCTGGGTCAAATGGTATTTCTAATTCTAAATCCCTGAGGAATTGCCACACTGACTTCCACGATGGTTGAATTAGTTTACAGTCCCACCAACAGTGTAAAAGTGTTGCTATTTCTCCACATCCTCTCCAGCACCTGTGTCCTGACTTTGTAATGATTGCTATTCTAACTGGTGTGAGATGGTATCTCATTGTGGTTTTGATTTGCATTTCTCTGGCCAGTGATGGTGAGCATTTTTTCATGTGTCTTTGGGCTTCTTAAATGTCTTTTGAGAAGTGTGTGTTCATATCCTTTGCCCACTTTTTGATGGGGTTGTTTTTTTCTTGTAAATTTGAGTTCACTGTAGATTCTGGATATTAGCCCTTTGTCAGATGAGTAGGTTGTGAAAATTTCCTCCCATTCTGTAGGTTGCCTGTTCACTCTGATGGTAGTTTCTTTTGCTGTGCAGAAGCTCTTTAGTTTAATTAGATCCCATTGGTCAATTTTGGCTTTGGTTACCATTGCTTTTGGTGTTTTCGACATGAAGTCCTTGCCCATGCCTATGTACTGAATGGTAATGCCTAGGTTTTCTTCTAGGGTTTTTATGGTTTTTAGGTCTAAAGTTTAAGTCTTTAATCCATCTTGAATTAATTTTCGTTTAAGGTGTAAGGAAGGGATCCAGTTTCAGCTTTCTACATCTGGCTAGCCAGTTTTCCCAGCACCATTTATTAAATAGGGAATCCTTTCCCCATTGCTTGTTTTTCTCAGGTTTGTCAAGGATCAGATAGTTGTAGATATCCGGCTTTATTTCTGAGGGCTCTGTTCTGATCCATTGGTCTATGTATCTGTTTTGGTACCAGTACCATGGTGTTTTGGTTACTGTAGGCTTGGAGGATAGTTTCAAGTCAGGTAGTGTGATGACTCCAACTTTGTTGTTTTGGCTTAGGATTGACTTGGCTAAGCGGGCTCTTTTTTGGTTCCATATGAACTTTAAAGTAGTTTTTGCTAATTGTGTGAAAAAAGTCATTGGTAGCTTGATGGGGATGGCATTGAATCTATAAATTACCTTGGGCAGTATGGCCATTTTCACAATATTCTTCCTACCCATGAGCATGCAATAGTTTTCCATTTATTTGTATCTTTTTATTTCATTGAACAGTGGTTTGTGTAGTTCTCGTTGAAGAGGTCCTTCACATCCCTTGTAAGTTGGATTCCTAGGTATTTTATTCTCTGAAGCAATTGTGAATGGGAGTTCACTCATGATTTGGCTCTGTCTATTATTGGTGTACAAGAATGCTTGTGATTTTTGTACACTGATTTTGTATCAAGCAACTTCAGCAAAGTCTCAGATCAGCTTGAGATTTTGGGCTGAGACAATTGGGTTTTCTAGATACACAATCATGTCGTCTGCAAACAGGGACAATTTGACTTCCTCTTTTCCTAATTGAATACCCTTTATTTCCTTCTCCTGTCTAATTGCCCTGGCTAAAACTTCCAACACTGTGTTGAATAGGAGTGGTGAGAGAGGGCATCCCTGTCTTGTGCCAGTTTTCAAAGGGAATGCTTCCAGTTTTTGCCCATTCAGTATGATACTGGCTGTGGGTTTGTCATAGATAGCTCTTATTATTGTGAGATACGTCCCATCAATACCTAATTCATTGAGAGTTTTACCATAAAGGTTGTTGAATTTTGTCAAAGGCCTTTTCTGCATCTATTGAGATAATGTGGTTTTTGTCTTTGCTTCTGTTCATATGCTGGATTACATGTATTGATTTCTGTATATTGAACCAGCCTTGCATCCCAGGGATGAAGCCCACTTGATCATGGTGGATAAGCTTTTTGATGTGCTGCTGGATTAGGTTTGCCAGTATTTTATTGAGGATTTTTGTATCAATGTTCATCAAGGATATTGGACTTAAAATTTTCTTTGGTTGTCTCTGCCTGGCTTTGGTATCAGGATGATGCTGGTCTCATAAAATGAGTTAGGGAGGATTCCCTCTTTTTCTATTGATTGGAATAGTTTCAGAAGGAATGGTACCAGCTCCTCCTTGTACCTCTGGTAGAATTTGGCTGTGAATCCATCTGGTCCTGGACTCTTTTTGGTTGGTAAGCTATTGATGATTGCCACCATTTCAGAGCCTGTTATTGATCTATTCAGAGATTCACCTTCTTCCTGGTTTAGTCTTGTGAGGGTGTATGTGTCAAGGAATTTATCCATTTCTTCTAGATTTTTTAGCTTATTTGCGTAGTTTGTGTAGAGGTGTTTGTTGTATTCTGATGGTAGTTTGTATTTCTGTTGGATCAGTGGTGATATCCCCTTTATCATTTTTTATTGCATCTATTTGATTCTTTTTTTCTTTTAGTCTTGCTATTGGTCTATCAATTTTGTTGATCCTTTCAAAAAACCAGCTCCTGGATTCATTTTTTTTGAAGGGTTTTTTGTGTCTATTTCCTTCAGTTCTGCTCTGATTTTAGTTATTTCTTGCCTTCTAGCTTTTGAATGTGTTTGCTCTTGCTTTTTTTCTAGTTCTTTTAATTGTGATGTGAGGGTGTCAATTTTGGATCTTTCCTGCTTTCTCTTGTGGGCATTTAGTGCTGTAAATTTCCCTCTACACACTGCTTTGAATGTGTCCCAGAGGTTCTGGTATCTTGTCATTGTGCTCGTTGGTTTCAAAGATAATCTTTATTTCTGCCTTCATTTCGTTATGTACCCAGTAGTCATTCAGGAGCAGGTCGTTCAGTTTCCATGTAGTTGAGTGGTTTTGAGTGAGTTTCTTAATCCTGAGTTCTAGTTGGATTGCACTGTGGTCTGAGAGAGTTTGTTACATTTGCTGAGGAGTGCTTTACTTCCAACTATGTGGTCAATTTTGCAATAGGTGTGGTGTGGTGCTGAAAAAAAAATATTCTGTTGATTTGGGGTGGAGAGTTCTGTAGATGTCTATTAGGTCTGCTTGGTTCAGAGCTGGGTTAAATTCCTGGGTATCTTAACTTTCTGTCTCGTTGATCTGTGGAATGTTGACAGTGGGGTGTTAGACTCCCACACAATAATAATGGTAGACTGTCTATACGTCACTCAGGACTTGCTTTATGAATCTGGGTGCTCCTGTATTGGGTGCATATATATTTAGGATAGCTAGCTCTTGTTGAATTGATCCCTTCACCATTATGTAATGGCCTTTTTTCTCTCTTTTGATCTTGGTTGGTTTAAAGTCTTTTATCAGAGACTAGGATTGCAACCCCTGCCTTTTTTTGTTTTCCATTTGCTTGGTGGATCTTCCTCCATCCTTTTATTTTGAGCCTATCTGTGTCTCTGCACATGAGATGGGTTTCCTGAATACAGCATACTGTCGGGTCTTCACTCTTTATCCAATTTGCCAGTCTGTGTCTTTTAATTGGGGCATTTAGTCCATTTACATTTGAAGTTAATATTGTTATGGGTGAATTTGATCCTGTCATTATGATAGCTGGTTATTTTGCTCGTTAGTTGATGCAGTTTCTTTGTAGTCTTGATGGTCTTTACATTTCGGCATGGTTTTGCAGTGGCTGGTACCTGTTGCGCCTTTCCATGTTTACTGCCTCCTTCAGGAGCTCTTTCAGGGCAGGCCTGGTGGTGACAAAATCTCTCAGCATTTGCTTGTCTGTAAAGTATTTTATTTCTCCTTCACTTATGAAGCTTAGTTTGGCTGGATATGAAATTCTGGGTTGAAAATTATTTAAGAATGTTGAATACTGGCCCCTACTCTTCTGGCTTGTAGAGTTTCTGCTGAGAGATCAGCTGTTAGTCTGATGGGCTTCCCTTTGTGGGTAACCTGACGTTTCTCTCTGGCTGCCCTTAACGTTTTTTCCATCATTTCAACTTTGGTGAATCTGACAATTACGTGTCTGGGAGTTGCTCTTCTCCAGGAGTATCTTAGCGGCATTCTCTGTGTTTCCTGAATCTGAATGTTGGCCTGCATTACTAGATTGGGGAAGTTCTCCTGGATAATATCCTGCAGAGTGTTTTCCAACTTGGTTCTATTCTCCCCGTCACTTTAAGGTACAGCAATCAGGCGTAGATTGGGTCTTTTCACAGTCTCATATTTCTTGGAGGCTTTTCTCCTTTTTTGTTCTTTTTTTCTTTTTTTTCTCTCAACTTCCCTTCTTGCTTGATTTCATATGATCTTCCATCACTGATACCCTTTCTTCCAGTTGAGTGAATCGGCTCCTGAGGCTTCTGCATTCTTTACATCGTTCTTGAGGCTTGGCTTTCAGCCCTATCAGCTCCTTTAAGCACTTCTCTGTATTGGTTATTCTAGTTATATATTCATCTAAATCTTTTTTCAGGTTTTAACTTCTTTGCCTTGGGTTTGAATTTCCTCCTGTAGCTCGGAGTAGTTTGATCATCTGAAGCCGACTTCTCTGAACTCGTCAGTCATTCTCTGTCCAGCTTTGTTCCATTGCTGGTGAGGAACTGCATTCCTTTGGAGGACAAGTGCTCTGCTTTTTAGAGTTTCCAGTTTTTCTGCTGTTTTTTTCCCCATCTTTGTGGTTTTATCTACTTTTGGTCTTTGATGGTGATGTACAGATGGGTTTTTGGTGTCGATGTCCTTTGTTTTCCTTCTAACAGACAGGACCCTCAGCTGCTGGTCTGTTGGATTTTGCTAGAGGTCCACTCCAGACCCTGTTTGCCTGGGTACCAGAAGTGGTGGCTGCAGAACCCCGGATTTTCATGATCTGCGAATGTTGCTGTCTGATCCGTTCCTCTGGAAGTTTTGTCTCAGGAGTACCCGGCCTTGTGAGGTGTCAGTCTGCCCCTACGGGGGGGTGCTTTCCAGTTAGGCTGCTTGGGGGTCAGGGACCCACTTGAGGAGGCAGTCTGCCCGTTCTCAGATATTTAGCTGCGTGCTGGGAGAACCACTGCTCTCTTCAAAGCTGTCAGACAGGGACATTTAAGTCTGCGGAGGTTACTGCTGTCTTCTTGTTTGTGCCCTGCCCCCACAGGTGGAGCCTACAGAAGCAGGCAGGTCTCCTTGAGCTGTGGTGGGCTCCACCCAGTTCGAGCTTCCCGGCTGCTTTGTTTACCTAAGTGAGCCTGGGCAATGGCGGGTGCCCCTCCCCCAGCCTCACTGCCGCCTTGCAGTTTGATGTCAGACTGCTGTGCTAGCAATCAGCGACACTCAAGTGGGCATAGGACCCTCCGAGCCATGTGTGGGATGTAATCTCCTGGTGCGCTGCTTTGGAAAAGCGCAGTATTCAGGTGGGAGTGACCTGATTTTCCAGGTGCCGTTTGTCAACCCTTTCTTTGACTAGGAAAGGGAGCTCCCTGACCCCTTGTGCTGCCTGAGTGAGGCAATGCCTTGCCCTGCTTTGGCTTGCGCAGGGTGCACTTCACCCACTGTCCTGTGCCCACTATCTGGCACTCCCTAGTGAGATGAACCCAGTACTTCAGATGGAAATGGAGAAATTGTGTCTTCTGTGTCACTCATGCTGGGAGCTGTAGATCAGAGCTGTTCCTGTTGGGCCATCTTGGTTGTCCTCTTTGTATTTTTAATAGAGACAGGGTTTTACCATGTTTCCCAGGCTGGTCTCAAACTCCCAAACTGAGGTGATAGGTCTGCTTCGCCCTCCTGAAGTGCTGCGATTACAGGTGTGAGCCACTGTGCCCAGCCTGCATTAGCTATTCTTATGCTCTCCCTCCCCCACCCCCACCACAGGCCCCAAAGTGTGAGTTGTTCCTCCAATGTGTTTATATGTTACCATTGTGGAGCTTTCACTTATAAGTGAGGATATGTGGTATTTGGTTTTCTGTTCTGTGTTAGTTTGCTGAGGATAATGGGCTCCAGTTCCATCCATCTTTGCAAAGCACATGATCTTGTTCCTTTTTATGGCTGCTTAGTATTGTGTTCATATACCACATTTTCTTTATCCAGTATATCATTGATGGGCATTATGCACATTTAAATATTCCTGTGGATGTCTTGTCTTGGACATGTGAGCTAAATTTTATTGGCTATATACCTGACAGGTGGATCACTGGATCATAGGATAGGCATCTATTCAACCTCAGGAGACAGATCAGTCTTCCTAAGATCTCCTGCCAGGGGTGTATGAGAATTGCAGTTTCATCATATCCAGACCAAAACTTACTATTTCCTGCCTTTCTTCATTTTCAGATTTTGATGAGTATGAAGTGCTGTTTTAATTTGCATTTTCCTGATGACTAATGACTCAATGCTTTTTCACATGTTTATTAGCCCTTTTTTTTTTTTTTTTTTTTTTTTTTTTTGGTGACAGTCTCACTGTTTGCCACGATGGTATGCAGTGGCATAATCTTGGCTCACTGCAACCTCTGACTCCCAGGCTCAAGTGATTCTCCTGCCTCAGTCTCCTGAGTAACTGGGACTATAGATGCCTGCTACCACACTTGGCTGATTTTTGTGTTTTCAGGAGAGAAGGGGTCTTACCGTGTTAGCCAGCCTGTTCTTCAACTCCTGACTTCAAATGATCTACCTGTCTCGGCCTCCCAAAGTGTTGGGATTACAGGCATGAGCCACTGTGCCTGGCCTATTAGCTATTTTTTAATGAAGTGTGTCTTCAGGTCTTTTGCTCATTTTTCTATCAGGTGGTTGTTGTCCTCATTGCTTTGCAGGAGTTCTTTATTTCCTGGACCTAAGTTGTTTATGCAATAGGATATTGCGAACATATTTCCCTGCCCTTGGGATTGAAGGTCGTTATTTGTATTTGCTTTCTGTTGCTGCATTAAGAATTACCACAAACATAGCAGATAGAAACAGCCTACATGTATAGCTGTGTAGACTCAGTTTATCAGAGTGTGCCTAGGTTCTCTGCTCAAGGTATTATAAAGCTGAACTGAATCCTCACCCGGAGGATATAAGGAGCAAACTTCTAAGCTTTTTTTTTTTTTTGTGGGAGAAGGAATATCCCTTTGCTGCCCAGGCTGGAGTACAGTGGCACAATCTTGACTCATTGCAACCTCCACCTCCCGGGTTGAAGTGATTCTCCTGCCTCAGCCTCCTGAGTGGCTGGGATTACAGGTGTGCACTACCATGCCTGGCTAATCTTTGTATTTTTAGTAGAGATGGGGTTTCACTGTCTTAGGCTGGTATCAAACTCCTGACCTTAAGTGACCCACTTTCCTCAGCCTCCCCAAGTGCTGGGATTATAGCCAAGCTCTTTCTTGCCACTTGCAGGGTTCTGTTCCTTGGAGCCAACAACCATGGTCCCTGTTGCCTTGCTGGTCATCAGTTGGGGTGGCAATTAGCACCTTAATGTTACCCATGTTCCTTTACATACAGCACCCTCCATCTGCTAAACCAGCAATGGGACTTCAAATCCTTCCCACACTTTGAGATTTTGGCCACTTCAATCTGTGAGCCCTTGGCTCAGGCAAGTACGCCAGGTCCCCCAGATAATCTCCTTCTGGATTAGCTCAAAGTCAACTGATTAGTAACCTTAATTACATCAGTGAAATCCCTTTTGCTTCCACATAAGGTAACATAATCACAGGAATCCCATCAGGTTCAGCTCACTCTAGAGCATCCATTGGGCTGTCAGTCAAGAAAAATGATGAGACAGGTCTCAATCATTTTAGGAGGTTTATTTGCCAAAGATAAGGATGTGTGCCTAGGAGACAAGTCTATGCCTTTCTCTGAAGATGATTTTGAAGGCTCCAAATTTAGAGGATATTAAGAAGCACACAGTTGTCATGTAAGAGCTGGGAAGGGAAAAAGTCATTTGTGCCTTTGGCTCAGTCAATCTGCGTTTTTTACATAAGATGGCAGATAATTGGGGCAGAGGAAAAATACAGGGAATCTACATGTTTACATAAGATAACAGACAAAATGGGGCAGGGAACAATCAGATACGCATTTGTTCCTGGTGGGCCCTGGGTGACTGCACCTCTGAAGATGAGCTATCAATTTACATTGCCGTGGGGACATTTTAACAGAAAGACCTTAGGGTTAAGGATCTTGGAGCTCATAATTTCTTCATGGGTAAAATACGGAAGAGGCTTGTAGCTCTTAATCTTGTCACCATCTTGTTTAAGAAGGAAAAGGGGAGACAGGTTTGCGTGACCCAGTTTCCAGCTTGACTTTTCCCTTTGGCTGAATGAGTTTGGGGTTCCAAGATTTATTTTGAGAGATGGAGTCTTGCTATGTCACAAAGACTCGAAGTGAAATTGTGCTATCTTGGCTCACTACAACCTCTACCTCCCAGGTTCAAGTGATTCTCCTGCCTCAGCTTCCCAAGTAGCTGGGACTATAGGCGTGTGCCACCATGCCCAGCTAATGTTGGTATTTTATCTTTTCATTTAATTTTTCATAGAGATGGGGTTTCACTATATGTTGGCCAGGCTAGTCTTGAACTCGTGATCTCAGATGATCTGCCTGCCTCAGCCTCTGAAAGTGCTAGGATTACAGGCATGAGCCACTGCACCCTGCCTTGTTTTGTTGAACACAGGGTCGCACTCTGTGACACACGCCTGGAGTACAGTGGCATGATCATAGCTCATTGCAGCCTTGACCTCCTGAGCTCAAGCAGTCCTCTTGCTTCAGCCTTCCGGGTAGCTAGGAGCACAGGTCTCCATGCCTGGCTAACATAATTTTTAAAACCTTTTTGCAGAAATGAGGTCTTGCTATATTGTCCAGGCTGGTCTCAAACTCTAGGTCTCAAGTGGTCCTCCCGTCTTGGACTCTCAAACTCTGGAATTACAGGCATGAGCCACCATGCCTGGCTGGATCTGGATGTATTTTGATAGGAATTGCTGACAAATCAGGTGTGTGAGGTGTGAAAGGAAGGACTGAAAGCCAACTCCAGTTTCTGGCCTACTCACTGCAGTTACTCAGGGACTCTGGGAGGGGAAGATTGGAGGTGGAACAGGTTTGAGAGCAGGACTAGGAGCTCCCTTTGGAAATACGAACTTTGAGAGGTTGAGATGCCAGGCAGCAGTGTCAAGTGAGCAATGAAAATACAGGTCAGTAGTTGTGTGAAGAACAACAGGGATAACCCGTGTGAATTTGGGGATCAATAGGTTGTGGCCTTAAGTTAAAAGCAGGAGGCTGAAGTCAGGCGCAGTGGCTCACACCTGTAATCCTAGTGCTTTGGCAGGCCGAGGCAGGTGGATTGGTGGATTGCCTGAGGTCAGGAGTTAGAGACCAGCCTGGCCAACGTGGTGAAACCTTGTCTCTACTAAAATACACACCCATACAATACTGTCTCGGCGTGGTGGCCTTCACCTGCAGCCCCATCTACTCCAGAGGCTGAGGTATGAGAATCTCTTCAACTCAGGAGGTGAAGGTTGCAGGGAGCTGAGATTGCATCACTGCACTGCAGTCTGGGTGACAGACTATCACCCCCCAGAAAAAAGGCAGGAGGGGAATGTGGAGGGTGTATATGGAAAAAACTGAGGATACTGTAGGTTATGTTGCAATAACAAACACCCCCAAAGGGCATTGTTTTCACATAATAAATTTGTTCCTTGCTTGAGGTATCCATTCAGTACAGGCCAGCTTGGGGGGCTTTGGGCACTGTGGCTCCCCTGGGAGGAGGCTGGTGGAGGGTCTCCACATGAGCTTGGTGATCATCACCCACAGCAGAGGGAAGGGAAGGTAGATCCCACACCAGCCTTCTGAGCTCACACCTGGAATGGACATAGATGACTTCCTTTCAAATGTTATTGGCCAAACCAGGATGCCTGACTACTTCTAACCTCACAGGGTGCTTAGAAGAAAACCGGAGGTATCAACAAATGGCACTCGTGAATGATACAAAAGGCATAACCTATGCTTGAAGCTTTCTGCAGATCATTCACTGAAATATTTGAGGGTGAACTGCTCTGCCAGGAAGTTATTCTAGGAGCTGAGAGGGCAGCACAGAGTAAGGTGAAGTCATCACTCTAACTCCCACTTAGCTATTTGGGAATACAGCAGTGCGTGTGGTGGTTTCAGACAGAATGATGAGGGAAAACCTCCCTGTGATGAGTTGAACAGGGTGAGGAGGATTCCATAGGCACAAGTGTTTAGGTAAGCGTCACCTTGAGCCTGGGACATGCTGGGTCTGGGGAGGAGGAGAGATGGTCGTGGTGGGCAGGAACCGGGACCACCTAACACCAGTGGGCTGCAGTGGTGGGCTAATGTTTCAGTCCAACCCTGCAGGCAGCTTTGAGTTTTCAGCACAGGGAATGATCTCTGATACTTTTTTTTTTTTTTTTTTTTTTTTGAGATGCAGTCTTGCTCGGTTACTCATGCTGGAGTGCAGTGCACCATCTTGCCTCACTGCAATCTCCATGTCCCAGGTTCAAGTGATTCTCGTGCCCCAGCCTCCCGAATAGCTGGGACTTACAGGCGTGCGCCACCACACCCGGCTAGTTTTTCTATTTTTTAGTAGAGACAGGGTTTTGCCATGTTGGCTAGGCTGTTCTCGAACTCCTGACCTCAGGTGATCCACGTGCCTCGGCCTCCCAAAGTGTGCTGCGATTACAGGTGTGAGCCACTGCCCCCAGCCTCTGATTGTTTTACAAACATCACTGGCTACAGTGGAATATAAGTGTGATAAGAGAATGAATTATTGATACATACAACACTGTGGACGAATCTCAAAGATTATGTTGAGTAAGAGAGGCCAGACGGGACTGTTTGCACACTATGCGATGTGATTTACATGACATCCGGGAATAGGCCAACTCCTCCATGGTGACAGAAATCAGGAAGCAGCTGCCTTGCTGAGTTCAGAGTGGGAATTAGCTGGAAAGGGGCGGCAGGGAACATTCTACGGTGGAGGATGCTGTATTTGGAGGAAGTCGCAAGCATATGTATGTACAGATGACATATACATACCTATACCTATTTAACCTACAGCTTATGGGGTGGGCCCATTGGCTTAGGCCTGTAATCCGAGTACTTTGAGAGGCAGAGGCGGGGAGGATCGTGTGAGCCCAGGAGCTCGAGACCAGCTTGGGCAACATGGCAAAACCCCAAGTCCACTAAAAATACAAAAAATTAGTCCAGCGTGGTGGTGTGTGCTTGTAATCCCAGCTACTCAGGAGGCCAAGATGGGAGGATTGCTTGAGCCTGGAAGTTGATAGCACCATTGCACTCCAGGCTGAGTTACAGGAGTAAGACTGTCCTAATACACACATACATATACACACATGTATATACATGTGTGTATAGTGCTTATGTGTTTGCATGTTAAATTTACATCGTATGGAGGTATATGTGTGCATATAAAATATGTGGTGTCTGATGGGGAAATAAAGGTACGGGGATAGGGCAGAGATCAGCAGAAGGCTTTTAGCGTGTCTCAGCAGATGCTCACGGTGACCTAGAAGAGAGCATGGCAGCAGAGATGGAGTGATGTAGATGGGTGTGGGTGGAGAAGTGTGTTGGGGTTTTTTTTTTCCTTGGAATAGAGTCTGACTGTCACTCAGGCTGGAGTGCAGTGGCGCAATTTCAGCTCACTGCAACCTCCACCTCCCGGGTTTAACCAATTGTGTCACCTCTGCCTCCCAAGTGCCTGAGACTACAGGCGTCCACCACCATGCCTGGCTAATTTTTGTGTTTTTAATAGAGATGAGGTTTCACCACATTGGAGAGCCTGGTCTCTTAACACCTGACCTCAGCTAATCCACCTGCCTCAGCCTCCTAAAGTGCTGGGATTACAGGTGTGAGCCACCATGCCTGGCCAAGTTAGTTTCTTTTTAGGGCTGTTGTAACGCATGGCCATGGACTTGGTGGCTTAGTGGAAGTTTGTTCCCCAGCAATTCTGGAGGTGAGAAGGCTGGAATTGCGTTGTGGGCGGGGCCCTCCTTTCTGTGAAGACCCCTTCTTTGGCTTCCTGTGGTTTCTGCCAGTCCTAGGCATTTCTCAGTGCAAGGATGTGTGGCTCCAGGTTCTATCTGTCTCTTTACCAAGACTTGGTCATCTCTATTTCCGCAGGGTCTGTCTTTTTACGGAGCCTTGGTCATCTCTATTTCCATGTTCTGCCTTCTTAGAAGGGCTCTGAGCATTAGATGGAGGACCCACTCGAATTTAGTATGACTTGACTTTAATGTAACTATATCTACAAAGACCTATTTATCTATTTCCAAATAAGGTAAAATTCTGAGGTTCCGGGAGGACCCCTGGATCTTATGGGGATATTCATCAACACATGACAGGTATTGCATGTAGAGCAGATGGGACTTGCTGATGTGTTGGGTATTGTGGGAAGTCGGTGAAGGCAGAAGAGTCAGGTATGACTCAGGTGTGAGCTTGAAATGCTGGGTGGAGGTGCCTGTACCATCATGAGAGACTGAAGGAGCAGGGTGGGGGAGGCCTCAGGGTTTCTACTTGAGCCATGTTACATCTGAGATGCCTAGGAGATATCTACATGGGAGAGTCTCAAGTGTATGGGCAGTGTTGAAAGCAGCAGATAAAACTGGGAAAGGATGTAGACAAAGGGGCCAAACACCCAGCCTTCAGTCCTTACCCTTGAGAGGTTGCCAAATAGAGGGAGACACGGAAGTACAGCAGCGTTTGTGATCCTTCAAACAGAAACAAATGCAAGCTACAGTAACAATAGTCAAAGAAAAAAGGCAGATAAGGCCTGCCGTGGTGACTCAGGCCTGTGATCCCAGCATTTTGGGTGGCTGAGGTGGTTGGATGACCGGAGGTCAGAAGTTCAAGACCAGACTGGTAAACGTGGCAAAGCCCAGTCTCTACGAAAAAACAAAAATTAGCCAGGCGTGATGGCATGTGCCTGTAATTGGGAGGCTGAAGCACAAGAATTGCTCGAACCGGGAGGTGGAGGTTGCAGTGAGCTGAGATGGCGCCTACTGCACTCCAGCCTGGGTGACAGTGAGATTCAGTCCTAACTTTTCTTTTCTTTTTTTTTTTTTTTTTAAGACATTGCAGTTGCACTGCAGAGAAATCAAAATCACTTTCCATGGGTTCATGTATCTTGATGAAGCAGCCTACTCGAATTCAACTAACTCATTTCATGCAGAATAGGGAAACACTTCTGGTTTTCAAAGAATGAAAAAGCTGTTATGGCTACTGAGGGGCTGAAGCAGGAAAATTGCTTGAACCCGGGAGACAGAGGTAGCCGTGAGCCGAGACTGCTACACTGCACTCCAGCCTGGGTGACAGTGAGATTCCGTCTCAAAAAAAAAAAAAAAAAAAAAATTACGATATTCAGTCTCAGAACATTTTGAGCCTTGGGTGGATTGGGATGTTGCTCTTGCTCTTCCTCCTCAGGGTTAAGTAACCACAGGAGGGACACTTAGGGAAAGCCCCTCTTCAGAGAACACAGGATTCCCCTGGCACAGGATACAGGGGTGTCCTAGATTTCTGCTACTATGAACCCTTGTCCTTGGAGGCCGTCTGTGTCCTTGGAGGCAGTCTCTGGGATGCTTTTCAGGGATGAGGGCAAGCTGAGATCCCATGATCCAAGGAGGCTTTCTTGCTTTTTTTTTTTTTTTTTAAGTCTTGCTTTGTCACACAAGTTGGACTGCCGTGGTGTGATTATGGTTCACTGCAGCCTCAACCTCCCAGGGCCCAGGTAATCCTAACTCAGCCTCACAAGTACCTGGGACTACAGGCATGTACCACCACACCCAGCTGTTTACTTATTATTTTGTAGAGATGGAGTCTCACTATGTTGTCCAGGTTGGTCTTGAACTTCTGGGCTCAAGCAATCCTGCCTTGGCCTCCTAAAGTGCTGGGATTTACAGATGTGAGCCACTGCACCCTACCCCAAGGAGGCTTTTGAGATCCAGATAAACCCCCATCCCCTGGTTCCAGTCCTGGTTCAGGGTTTGTAGCCACCTGAGCTGGGTTGTCTACACATGGCAGAGGCTTGGAAGACCAACATGTCACCCCCTTCCACAGAGCAGCTGCTCCCGACCAGACATGAGGCACATGCAGCCATCACTGAGACACAGTGGGTCAGGGTCTTGGCTCTGAGCTGTAACAGCTGAGGGCATAGGGTCTAGTTGGTGTTTTCACAGCCAGCCTGTCGGAAATCTCGTGGATGGCGGTGGGATAATTATGCTTTTTCACCAGGAGAGAGGGAGAGGAGCCTAACAGCAAGTAATCGTTACTTAGTTCATTCATTCACTGAATTATTCATTCACTTAACTGAGTGTCTATTATGTTCCGACAATGGTGAATAAAACCAACACGGTCCCCTCCCTCTCCAGTCCTTTGGGTGATGCTGGGGTGTGGTCAAGTGTACAGCCCACCAAGGAACTGAGCTGGGTGGGTTTTTAGTGTCACTCTGGGAGACTAGGAGCTGAGGAAGCAAAGCTGGCCGGGCTGAAGGCATGGAGAGCTGCTGCCACCCAGACAGCCTCACCAGAGTTGGAGGAGGGTGGCGGAGGGACGCAGGGTTGTCAACCTCTGGTGACTGGGTTTTACCATACTCAGTGCCTCTGTCACCCATGGTGATGATGCTGATGTTTGCGAGGCAGAAGGTGGCCTCCCTGAGCTGCAGGCTGCACTTGTGTCCCGGGGTGACAGCTTGGCAGGTCACTGCAGGGGGACTGACAAATTCCAAAGCCTGTGCACACAGGACTCACCTTACTGTTTCCCAGAACTCCTGGTTCTGTAAAGAGCAAGAACACGGAGTAATACTGCTCCTTTTAGGAGAAAGGGCGGGAAACGGAACAGGCAGACCTGGCAGTTGGGCGTCTCATGGAGAAGTAAGGACGTCCGCGACATAAAATGAATATTAGAAGAAACTAGTTTTTTTCCTAGAAAAGGCATGTCTTCGTTGAGCTGCTCATCTCTCTGTGCCCATAATACCTTGGGGAGTGAGTCAGGTGTCCTGGGGGGCAGTGGTGAGGCTGGGATACAGCAGTCTCGATTCCCCCCAACCCCAACCCCAACCCCAACCCCAACCCCAACCCCACAACACGCTGTCCTTGCACTTAAGTCCACCATTCAGTGCTGTGTGGTTTTGAGCACGTTTCACCACCTCTCTAGGCCTCAGATTCCTTCCAGCATTGCTGTAAGTCTTGTAACGGCTTTGAAGGGTAAACATCAAGGGCTTAGTAGCCCAGGATCTGACACACAGTAAGTGCTCAATAAATAAAAATAATCATTAGCAATACAGGGTGTCCTGAAATAAGTCTATGGGCCTTTGTCTGCTGCGGTGGAACGACTTAATGGGACTATCCAGTCTCCACACCAAAGAGGATCGGACTGACCATCCATTGAGCACTTACTGTATGCTTGATGCTCCATTGCCTCATTTGTTCCTCCCGACAACCGCATGAGGTGAGTAATGCTGTTGGTCCCATCTGACAAACAGGCCTCGAAGGATAGCGTCCCTGCTCGAGCCATTCTCCATGTCGTTCTTGAGTCTTTCAGCTGCTTTTAGGGTTTTTTGGTTTCTATGTAATTTACCTTCTCCAAGGCTCAGTTCCCCCGTTGGGGAAAATGGGGGTCGAGAATTCCTGCCTCGTGGGACTGAGGGTTTTAAATAAGAAAAGGTGGCCAGCGGCTCACTGGTGCGTTCACTGTCTGAGATGTTTCTGGCTCCCGGGTTGTGCCCCAGGCATCTTGCCATGGACCAGGATTGGGGTCAGAGCAGAGAAAGTGGAAGAATGAGCTAGGGGAAGAGTGTGAGGCATTGAACAACAGCTGTGTTCACAGATGTGAGAAGACCCTTCAGAAACGCTTGCTTAGAGACAAACGGTGTTCTGAGCACTCTCTACATCTTACTCATTTAATACAATGACCAGCAGGAAGGTCATTTTCCAGATTGAAGACATTGAGGCCTGGAGAGGTTGATAGACAAGGCTCAGCTCCCATAGCCAGGTGGGGCAGAGCCAGGCCTTGGTAGGAGACCCCCACCTCAAGCCCTTGACTCCCTTGCCACAGTCAGTGCCTGTTTGTTTTTTGAGACAGTCTCACTCTGTTGCCCAGGCTGGAGTACAATGGCATGCTCTTGGCTCACTGCAACCTCTGCCTCCTGGGTTCAAGCAATTCTCCTGCCTCAGCCTCCTAAGTAGCTAGGATTACAAATGTGCAACGCCGTGCCTGGCTAACTTTTTTATTTTGAGTAGAACAAAGGGTTTCACCATGTTGGCCAGGCTGGTTTCCAACTCCTGACCTCAGGTGATCTGCCTACCTCTGCCTTCCAAAGGTGCTGTGGTTACAGGTGTGAGCCATCACGTCCAGCTAGTCATGAGCCTTCTCATGCGTGGGCTTGCAAGGGGTTCCATTCTTTAATCTGATTTTTCTGGTCTGAACATAATGTTTGAGAGGGTGGCCATGGGGAACTGTGAAGCGCTGGCTGTGTCATCAGAGGGAAACCCCCTTTGCAGTGGGCTGGTTTTACGGAGGAGTCCTGCCACCTCCCCAGGGTACTTAATCGACCTCCTCATGGCTGGCAGCACATCAGAAGTCACGTGGTCCAGCCCTGTCTTGGGTGGTAACTCCCATCTATTCTGTGTGATCAAAAAGTTGACCTCTTGCCATAAGCTGCTGAACAGGCCTGTGATAAATGTTAACCTTGTTTGACTTAAAATCTCCAGCAAACTTGGTTGGCCGTCCCAACTGGTGTCAGACCCAGTTAACAGCACAGGATAGGAAAACAATCCCACGTTTCTTTCACCATCCTCCTAGCTGCCCTTTCACTCAGTGGTCAGGGCTAAGATTTTGGGATGGAAAAGCTTGGGTTTGAATCGGCAGTAATGCTGCGTCAAAGCTGTGGGCACGTGGGCAAGCTTCTTGCCCCTCTGGGCTTCAATCTCATCTGAGAAATCGGGGTGATGACTAGGGATTTCACTGTGGTAAAATACACGTAACATAAACTGTCTCATGTTACCTATCTGGTGAGGGTGCTGTTGTGTGGTATTCGGTACATTGAAGTCATTATGCAGCTGACACTGTCGTCCATCTCCAGAACTACTCCATCTTCCCAAACAAACTCTACACACATTAAACACGAACTTCTTATCTACCTTTCCTCCAACCCCTGGCCACTGGCACTCTACCTTCTCTCCCTTTGAATTTGGCTCTTCTAGGAAATGCCATATGTGTAATCATACAGAATCGCTCATTCTTTGTGACTGGTTTATTTCCGTCAGCATAATGTCCTCGCATTAGTCCGTTCTCTCATTGCTATAAAGAACTGCCTGAGGCCGGGCACGGTGGCTCCACACCTGTAATCTCAGCAATTTGGGAGGCCATGGTGGGTGGATCACCTGAGGTCAGGAGTTGCACAGCAGTTTGACCAACATGGTGAAACCCTGTGTGTACTAAATACAAAAAATTAGCTGGACATGGTGGCATGCACCTGTAATCTCTGCTACTCGGGAGGCTGAGGCAGTAGAATCGTTTGAACCCAGCAGATAGAGGTTGCAGAGAGCTGAGATTGTGCCACTGCACTCCAGCCTCGGCAACAGTGAGACTCAGTCTGAAAACCCCAACTACCTGAGACTGGGTAATTCATAGAGAAAAGAGATGTAATTGACCACAGTTCTGCAGGCTGTACAGGAAGCGTGGCTGGAAGGCCTCAGGAAACTTAAAATCATGGCAGAAGTCGAAGGGGAAGCAGGCACATCTCATCATGGTGGAGTTGGGAGAAACAGCAAAGCGGGAGGTGCTACACACTTTTAAATGACCAGATCTCGTGAGAACTCTTGCTATTGAAAGAATAGCAAGGGGGAAATCTGCTCCCATGATCCAATCACCTCCCTCCCCCAACACTGGGCATTACAATTTAACCTGAGATTTGGGTAGGCACACAGAGCCAAACCATACCAGTCCTCAAGCCTTATCCATGTGTCAGCATTGCCTTAATTTTTAAGGCTGAGCACTCCTCCCTTGTGTGGAAAGAGCCGGTGTTGTTGACCCATTCATCAGGAGGATGATTTTTAGGACGAGATGCTATGTCCTGTTTTTGCTGTAGAAAATGTAATCTAAATCCTTTAGGATAACCTCAAACTGTGAATTCTTTTTTTTCCTTCAACTTGTAGGTTGAGAGGTGCAGGTTTGTTACGTGGGTAAATTGGGTGTCGGGGGTTTGGTGTAGGGATTATTTTGTCACCCAGGTAAGAAGCCTACTCCGTTAGGTGGTTTTACAACCTACAAGGAGGCCCCACTGTCTGTTGTTCGCTTGTGTCCATGTGTACTTGATGTTTAGCTTCCACTTGTGAGAACATGTATTTGGTTTTCTGTTCCTGCATTAATTCTCTTAGGAATAACAGCCTCTAGTTGTGTTCATGTTGCTGCACACGAAGTGATTGTTTTTTTATGGCTGCATAGTATTCCGTGGTACCACATTTTCTACGTGCCATATAGTTTTTATCCAATCCATTGATGGGAACCTAGCTTGATTCCTTGTCTTTGCTGTTATAAATTCTTTAGGTGCCCTCAGCAGCATCACAGATGACACACGTCTCCCAATAGTGCACTTTGTTGTAGGTATTTGAAACACCTTTCCTAATTGCCCCTCCCCAGGCCTATCTCATTGTTTCTGGATCCCAGGGCTCAGTGTAGGGCTGGCATGGAGCAGGGGTGGTAGGGGGCGTGGAACACCTGCTGCTATGATGCTGGCCACACTGCCTCCCTCAGCCGACCACTGGTGGCTGCTTTTGAGGAGTCACTGGATGCCTGTGTTAGCCCTGGGGTTGGCACTTAAAGGGTGACATCTAGGAGGAGCATTAGTTCCCTGCCTTTTCTGGTTTCCCGAGGCTGCCTGCATTCCCTAGCTGTGAAGGCCCTTCCACCATCTTCTAAGCTAGCAGGGTGGCATCTTCAAGTCTCATACTGTCCCTTGTCTCTCTCCTTCCACCATCACGTCTCCTCTCCTGACTCTTCCAAGGACTCTTCTGATGCCACTGGGCTGCTTAGATGATCGGCGGCATCTCCCCATCTGCAGATCCTCCAGTTATTCCCATCTGCAAAGGCCCTTGCACCATGTGTATTGCTTCCTGGAGGTGCTGTCATGAGTGACCATAAGATGGTGGCTCAAAACAAACAAATGTATTTCTACTTCTGAAGGCCAGGGGTCTGAATTCCAGGTGTTGGCAGTGCTGGCTCCTCCTGGGGCCTCTGAGGGCGGGTGCCCCGTGCCCCTCTCCTGGCCTGTCATGGTTGCCGGCACTCCTGGACGCACCTTGGGTTGTAGCTGCCACACGCCAGTCCCTGCCTGTCTTCACAAGCTGTTTTCCCTCTGTCCAGATTTCCCCCTCCTGGCAGGGACACCAGTCACTGGATTGGCACTCACTCAAATACAGTGTGACCTCATCTTGATGACATTTGCAAAGACCCTCTGTGTCCAAGTAAGGCCACACTCAGGTTCTAGGCAGGCATGAGTTTTGGGGGACACTGTTCAACCCCCTGCCCCTTGTAAGGTCATACATTCACAGGTTTCGGGGATTTGGGTGTGGGTGTCTTTGGGGCCATTGTTGGGTCTGTCACAGATGGCATGTCACAGATGTATGCAGACTCTAGGAGGAACACTCCGTGTGGAGAATCCAGGCTGCCTCGGCCTGTCAGTCAGTCATCAAGGTTCTCAGAGGTCCCGCTTCACACACAATGATGCCTCAATTACCCATCACTTACATGCATGTCGGAAAGAATCCTCAGAATCCTCAGCTATAGATGGTGGGGCATTAGCGCAGGCTTTGAGGCCACTCTCAGGGCAAGTTTCTATGACAGCCCCCCACATCCCTGCCCCTTCATAGCAGATTTTAGGGTTCGGTTTTGTTTTGAGACGGGCTTGCTTTGTTGCTCAGGCTAGAATACAGTGGTGTGATCACAGCTCATGGCAGCCTCTGCCTCCTAGGCTCAAGCGATCCTCCCATCTGTCTCCTGAGGAGCTGAGACACAGGCATATGCAACCACACCTGGCGTGTGTGTGTGTGTGTGTGTGTGTGTGTGTGTGTGTACATGTGGTTGTGTTTTTTTGTAGAGATGGAATTGTTACTGTGTTGACTAGGCTGGTCAAAATTCCTGGGCTCAACTGATCCAACCCATCTTGGCCTCTAAAAGTGTTGGGATTGCAGGTGTGAGCCACTGCACCCAGCCAATACTTTTTAAAGCACTGTCTGCCACGGCAGAGGTCACCAGGAGCAGAGCAGGGCAGGAGTCCTACGGAGGATTGTGGTCGAGTGACTGATCCAAACCAATGTTAAAGGTCGCAGTGGTTGCTGCGTGGAGAGGAGCCTGAATGGCAGTGTGATGGCACGGGGGGTGACTGGGGAGGACAGTGTGGCACCCACATCATGAGAGGCAATGGCAGCTTTGACCATGGTGGTGGTGAGGCGTGGAGGGTGCTGGAAGCAGTCGGATCTAGATCTATTTCAGGGGTGGAACCAAGGGCAGTAGTGCACCTTACCTGTCTTGCTCACTGCCGTGTGCCCGGCAACTGGTATACAGTAGGTGCTTGTTTCTTAAGGAAGTGAATAAATAGGAACCTGGTCAATTACGAGGTAGGGGACAGGAAGAGGCAAGGACTGGTGGCCTCCACAGCTGCTGAGATGGAACCTCTACTTCCTGAGCTGGGGAGTCACGGGTAGGAGCACTTTTGGGGCAGAAAACAAAAGATGCCTTTTAGTTTGGTTTGAGATGCTCATGAAGTGATGCAAATGGAGTGTTGGTTAGGCAGTCAGAGATGAGGCTGACATAGGTTTGGGAGTTGGGTCCACAGAGCTCTGTTGCCCAATACGGGAAGACACCAGTCATACAGGACACTGAGTCCTTGAGATGCAGTTCGTCTGAGCAGAGCTGTGCAGTGCATAAAATAACACACCAGTTTGGCAGACTTAGTACCCAAAAATGGAAAATAAATCAGTAAGATTCAAAAGGATTGCGTGTTGAAATGGCAATGTCTTGGATGTATTGGGTTAAATGAAATAAACTATTACAATTATCACCTGCGTTTTAAAAATATTTTTAATGGGGCTACTAGAATTTGTTTTTGTGAAACAGGATCTCACTCTGTTGCCCAGGCTGGAATGTAGTGCTATGATCACTGCTCACTGCAGACTTGAACTCCTGGGCTCAAGCGATCTACCTGTCCTGGCCTCCTGAGTAGCTGGGAAGACAGGAGCATGCTACCATATGTGGCTAATTAAAAAAAAAAAAAAAAAAAAAAAAAAAACTGGGCCGGGCACGGTGGCTCACTGCTGTAATCCCAGCACTTTGCGAGGCCGAGATGGGTGGATCACGAGGTTTAGGAAATCCAGACCATCCTGGCTAACATGGTGAAACCCCATCTCTACTTTAAAAAAAAAAAAAAAAATTAGCCAGGCATGGAGGCATTTGCCTGTAGGTCCCAGCTACCTGGGAGGCTGAGGCAGGAGAATGGCGTGAACCCAGAAGGCAGAGGTTGCAGTGAGCTGAGATTGGTGCCACTGTACTCCAGCCTGGGCGACAGAGCAAGACTCCGTCTCAAAAAAAAAAAAAAAAATAAAAAAAATAAAAACAAAAACAAAAAAAACAAAAAAACCTTGTTAGAGACAGGGTTTTGCTATGCTGCCCAGGCTGGTCTTGAATACCTGGCCTCAAGCTGTCCTCCTGTTTCGGCCTCCCAAAGTGCTGGGATTACAGGCCTGAGCCATTGCACCTGGCTGAAAATTTTAAATGGCATACATGGCTCACATGGTATTTCTGCTGGACAGCGCTGATGGAGGTGGCATTGGGAGGGTCACTTAGGATGGTGCAGGACAGGAGCAGCAGCCTGAAGACTGCCTTGACGTCCCTCTGCATTCCCCTAAGTGCGGCCTCCTGACTTAATGCCCATGGCAACGCAGCTGTGGGGTGCCTGGCATAGTGCCCACATCACCCCCACCCCCAGACAGAAATGGTTACGCATCGCCTCCATCTGTGACAGCCCACAGCAGCCTTTGCGCAGCCGGGCTTTAAGAGCCACCTGCAACAATGCCCTTCATGCGGCCCTGGTGGGAACTGACTTTATGCCTGGATTCTCATCCCAGGAGCCTTTCTTTTCTCTGTTACCATAACTGGGTTAAAAATGTTGCCTATTTTGTTGCAGGGTCTGAGTACTTAAGCCAGTGTAAATTATTTGGGAGGTGTGGGGGCAGTGCAGAGTTTCTTTTCATCCTTTAGGTCTCAGCTTAAAAGTCACTTTAGCCAGCCAGGTGTGGTGGCTCACACATGTAATCCCAGCACTTTTGGAAGCTGAGGTGGGTGGATCACTTGAGGTCTGAGTTCGAGACAAGCCTGACCAACATGGAAAAACCCTGTCTCTACTAAAACATAAAACTTTAGCCAGGAGTGCTGGCCCATGCATGTAATCCCAGCTACGCAGGAGGCTTGAGGCAGGAGAATTGCTTGAACCCGGGAGGCGGAGGTTGTGGTGAGCGGAGATGGCACCTTTGCACTCCAGCCTGGGCAACAAGAGTAAAAAACTGTCTCCAAAAAAAAAAGCCACTTTAGCCAAGAGGACCCCTTGGCCTTAGCCCCATGGCTCTCCACTGGCCCCCCTCCCCCCAGGGGACCTCTGGCCATGTCTGGACATCTGTCTGTTACAACTAAAGGGGTGCCCCTGGCCTCTAACAGGTGGAGGCATCCTACAATGTACGGGACGGCCCCCCACAACAGAATCATCCAGTCCCCAATGACAGCAGTGCCTAGGCTGTTGAACGTAGATTCTTGGTTGGGACCAAGAATTTCTAATTCCTGTCACTCTTGCAATATTTACTGTGGTCTGAAATTATCCGGATGGTTGACTTCTTAAAAATCTGTCTGCTTCATGTCCAGTGCGACTCCAACAGTACACCTTACCTGTCTTACTGCTGTATGCCAAGCACCTGGTATACAGTAGCCGCCTAATAATTGTTTCTTCTAGAAGTGAATACATAGGTACCTGTAATGAGGAGTGTTTTCTGTATGAAATTTTAATGCTGCATTGCCAGTTTATCCAAATCTGCCTAATTAACTCAAAATGAGATTCTGCTCCATTTCAATTCAGTTGATCCACGTGTATTAAGTTCACCTCAATCTCCAGTTGTTGAAAAAGAACTGAGACAGAGACCATCCACTGAAGTATCTAATTTATAAAATGTCACAATTTGTGTCATTGTAAAGAGGTTGATCTCAACCAGGTTGTAACAAAATTTCCACAGCTTATTCCAAAAGAAAATTTTAATACAAGAGATCTTAAAAAATTAAACACATTTGTTTAAAAATCCTATTATGTAAACCTTAACATAAGAGGGTAGTTAAGATAATACTACAGGTTTCAGGGCGTTTCCACAGACTTCTAGACCTTATGTACACACAGACTATCAGACTCTAGATATGTGGCCTGCTTACCCTTAAGGGGGTGCACTGG
Organism: Homo sapiens; assembly: GCF_000001405.40. NCBI lineage: Eukaryota > Metazoa > Chordata > Mammalia > Primates > Hominidae > Homo > Homo sapiens. Next base: position 12,573,991 of record NC_000016.10, on the reverse strand, counting down.
GAGCCGATCATGGGCGCCCCCTAGTGGGGTTACCATCGCTCCTCCATTCAAAAAAGACTCGCTTCTCTAAGAAGTCGGTGTCAGGTGAGTAAGCGTTCTACCTGACGGCTAAGCCAGGGATGAAGAGAGGCCAACATTCTTCTTAGGATGAGTCCTGGATAATAAAAATTCCAATTAGCTCTACCCCCATCCCCTTCACTCCGGGAAATTAATGGTCTCTGGGGTCACTGAGCGTTTAGTAGCTCTGGGTGCAAATGTACGATCCACCATTCCGTGTGCTACTGTCCTCAGTCCCAATTTTTGCAAGGGCATCCTCTGTCTTACCTACACTGACAGTGAATGAGTGGTGGTTCCCCTTGCCGTTCATGGAGACCAGCGGCAGAGCTGAGAAAATTTGAGGGGAAGTGGGGGAAGCCTGGGTGAGTGGTTTTCCGGTTAGGATGGGAAAACACTTACGCACCAGTAAGAACTAAATCCCTGGGCCTCTTAAACCACCAGTGAATCTAGAATCTTCCGCCAGCAGCGCTGCTCCTTAATGTCATAGGCTCAACTATCTTATTAAGGAAGCCAGATTTCTTTTTCACTTCTCTATAGAAACTAGCTATAAGGAAGGATACGCAACTTGGTTGCTGGGATTTAGAAGTAACTGTCTACTCCATGACATAATTCAGAGTACCCAAATCGGGCCCATAAGATGGCAATGGCTCATGGCTAGAGTGAGGAATACCAGAGATGACTGATCGAGGTACATTTCAACAACCATGGGATGAACTGCGGGATCCGGTCTGCCTAGAGCCGGGAGACCCTGGATGGCTACACCCTTACTTCTATTGACCAAGGAGCTGAAGCTTTATTTTGGAAACAAGATCAAGATTGTGTATTAGAAAAACATAAAGATGAACTTTCTTGGCACAGAAATGAGATAAAATATACAGTGCTACAACTGCAGAATTAGCACGGACGCCAATCTAAAAACAGCAAATATTTAACAGTAGCTTTAATGAATTAATGCACAATATTTTGAAAAATCTTTGACCTTGCTCATAAGCAGATGCCTGCCTTGAAGAAACACTCCAAGTCTGCCGTGATTCCGAGCGAAATGCCAAGGCAGAGTCAAGACAATCATTACCTTTAGGGCTGAAACCTGGGCATGAGGCTGCCCCTTCTGGGATGCCTCCTAACCAGTCTGATGTACTGGGGAAGGAGGAGTGAGGTGGGGTCTTCCTCGGGTCCCAGAAGCTGAAAACCCAGCCCTTCCTTTGCCATCAGTTCTGTGCCAAGGCTGGAAGATGCTGCTGGAGTGCAGGGCTTCCCCCGTGTGGGTGCTGCAGCTCACACAGGAGCTTGGTGGAGGAATGAAGGATGGATTCTGGGGGTAGCCGGAGGGGAGGGGGCTCACTGGGAGCCCAGAGAACATGGCTGGACCTCCCTGTGAGGAGCCAGATGGTGTCGCAGCCCCCTGTGGGGGCTTGAGCACGTGGAGCAGGAAGGCCGAGGCCTGGAACCCCAAGAACTGGTCCTCAGGGTTGGCAAAATGTACCATGCAGAACCAAGAGAGGCAGCCACTGCCGGCCTGGGCCACAGAGCCCTGCCTCAGGCTGTTGGGATATAAGCCGCCTCCAGAAGGCAGAGCCTGCTGTCCATCAACCAGGCAGGCTGGTGGGCTTCACTCCTGTTTCCAACCTGGATTGTGATCACTGGCCCCAGTACTTGTTAGTTGCATCAGCTACAGCCATGGTATCAATCCACCTGGTGTAAACGACTTTCAGGAGCCTCTGGTTTTTAAAGCACAATACTACCTGCCATGGTTCTAAGAAATTACATGGTTATCAAAATTGATCTTAATAAGCTCCAAAGTATGAAGCAGGGCCAAGGGCTGTGATCAGACCCAGTCCACATCCCTCCCCTTCCTCTTCCTAGATCTTGCAAGATGGTTCCCTTGTTTACAACTCCACTGGATGATCCCTTTTATAGCCAGCAGCTCCCTAGATGCAACTGGTGACTGGATGTGAAGATGGCTACCACCATAGACTGTAAGAGCCTCTTCCCTGAAAGTGTCTTCCTTCACCAGGGCCTGCCAGTAGAGAAATGCAGGGGGCTTTGAACCTCAGCTCCAAACTCTAAAATGCCTTGCCAGCAACGTGATTGGAGCATACTGCTAAGTGGGAATCAAAGAAGCTGGAATTTCACACTGATTGCAGGAAGAGTGGCGGAGAAGGTTCTGTCTCAGATCAGGAGTGGATGGTTGGGCTAGGTTTCTAGCAGCCTTTAAGCTCCCTCCCTTAGAAGCTTTTGTTGTCTCTCAAGGAGAGACACCTCTGCCCAGCCCTACCGTTCCTGAGTCGTCTTTCATCTGGGGGAGAAAAAAAGATGTGAAAGATGGAACCTGCTGTTCTGTTTCAGCACAGCAGGCCATGAAGACAGAAGGATTCGGTGTGGATTCTTCCTCCCAGCAAAGGGTGGTCCCAGGAATCCAAGGCCCTTGAGAGGTGGGCCACCCTCGTTCCTCTCTGAGTAGGGGAGGGGGCTTCTGTTCTCAGATGTTGTTTGAAAATCTCCGAGTAATCTTAGAAGAAGACAGATGTGAGGTGCAAGCAATCCTTTCCTCAGGGGTGTCTTCGCCACTCATGGATAAGGTCGTGGCTTAGCCCTCAGAATTGAATCCAGGCTGACAGGCAGTTGACACATTTCCAGGGTGTGGAATTTGGGCACCAGGTTTCAGCCACAATTCTGCTAGGCCTGGGTGTTTCTGCTCCATAACTCCAGGAACTGGGAACCCTGCCAGTTGTTTGTTGCCTGAAGTTCATCCCACCACACTAGAGAGCAGGACGGGATTCTTCTGAGCAGCAAGATGGACCCAATCATTGCAGAACATTCTATGGGATTCCAAAGGGAAGGCTTCGGGGAGTTGCTGTCATGTGCGGGCCACCAGCATTTTTAGAGTGAGAATGAGAGGAGATGGTCTGGATCTGCGAGATGACTCGACTCTACGGTCTGTGCATGATCATGGGGGAGGTACCAGGAGCAGGCAGCTGGGGATGGTCCCCATGTGGCTCCCAGGAACATGCTCTCATTTTGGAGAGCAGACCAGGTTTTTTGTGAATAATTCAGTATTATAAAAGTAGGAGGCAGTTTCTCCCACCAGTTCAATACCAGCTGAGAGCATACTTGTTTCTCACGGGTTAGTATCTCTCAGCAATGGGGGACTGTTGCATTATTATCATGTGCAGAATGTCCAAGGTGCTTCCTCGTGGGGTATCTGGAGAGAGACCAATTCACATCCTGTGCTTTGGGGGCAGGTGTCAGAAAAGGTGCAGGTCATAAGCCTGGGCCCAAGGGAATGTCACAGATGGGGGAGGTTCCTTTATCCAACAGAGAACAGGGAGATGACCTCCAGGGTAGCTACCCAGGCCAGGGAGGCACTCCTGAGACAGTCTCTGAGCTGGCATCAAACACCTACTTCAAAATGACCGATGTGGCATAAACCCAACCTAAGGGGTCATGACATACAGCAGATTGAGCTTTTAGACGTTTCCTGCCTCAGTCCATTAGGGCTCTCTATTTAGAGTTGCCAGTCATGTGAGCTGATGTGCACTCTGGCCTTGGAATTTCAGATAAACCATGTGTATTGCAGCAATGTTGGCAGGTGAGTGGGAGGGAGACCAAGTTGCCTTTACAGGATGTCTCGGGTCCTCCACACTCGCAAACTGACTGCAGGGTCCGCACCTCCATACATGCTCCAGCTCATTTGGTCTCACCGGGGCAGGGCTTATCTGGCCCCAGGTCCCCTTGGAAGTCATGTAGGCTGACTCGGTTTCTCTGGGGTGGGGGGGCGCTGTGTGTGAGTGATCTCAGCCTTCCTTAAAGGCCATGAACAATCTTCCTTTTTGCTACGAGGGGAAGGCACAGTATAAACCTTCCAGATGATTCTCCAGAGATGTCCTCGAGCCTAGGAGATGCTCCATGCTCACCTGGGCAGTTCTCATTTTAAGCCACTGAGTTGAAGCAGTTCCAGGACAAGCCCATGGCTTACCATCTAACCGTCACCTTCCACCTGCTTTTCTCCTCAGGTTCTGCTGTGTCTCTGCCTCAGATTAAGGCGAAACACACAAACTTACTCTTGCATAGTCCATTTCACGACATCCTTCCTAGTTAGTTTACCCTAGAAATGCAAACTGCCACAACTTTGCTGAGCATCTGAGGACGGCTATTGCTCTGTGAGGTGCTCTGATGTGAGCTCACTGGAGGAGGAGCCCTGGGGGCTGCCCAGCTGCTGGTCCCCATCCTCCTCTCCACCTGCCAAGGTCCCTGTACTCTGAGAGCCACCTGACATGGGAGGAACAGAGGACTCTGTCTTAGGGGATGCAGAGTTCTGTTATCAAGGACAATGTCGGGGGCAGACGGGATGGAAAATGTTTTTAGTGGAGAGACACATGATCTGTTAAGTGTCCACACTGGGTCCAACTTCATAGTCATGGAGCCTGGTTTGAAAACCCTGGAACCTTCTGCAGTGGTTCCCTGACCCAAGTCTCTCATGACTGTAGGGCCAATGCTACTTTGGACACGCTGGATGACGCCGGGTTACTAGGTTGCTGCTGATGGCTGGGCCAGATGTCTGAGTCCCCCCACTCCAAGCCTGGCGAGGGCCTAGGTGGCCTCAGGCTATGGAGGGCACTGGTCCTTCCTGAAGCCAGCCATGGGGGAGGTAGGGGAAGTTCTCTGAACTCAAGTTGCACATCACTAATGGCTCCTTGCCAAAGCCACAGGAATATCCCTCTGGAAAAGTGAGCTGTGACAGTGCCAGGTGTCTAATGACTGTTGGTGGAAAATGCAGTGAAAGGAACCATGCCCCCCCCCCCCCCCCCCCCCGCAAAGCCAGCCATCCCTAGGTTAGGCCAGGTAATAACCTTAAAAAGCAAAAGGAGAGGCTAATAGTCATTCTAGTCCCCACGTGGGAAAGAGTGGAGAGGCTGGCTCTGCATGAACCTTCCTATATAGGGGATCACCTTTGCCTCTCAACCATGGCGCACCCAGCCTGACCTGGTGCCCACCCTCCTGCCAGCCCTGAACTACAGAAAGGTGGAGGAACAGCCCTTGCAGCCCAGGGTAGACCCCAGAAGCAGAAGGACTGTGTGTCCCAGTCTCTCCAGCGAGGTGCTGCCTTGGTCTCTCGGGTCACGGTATCATGCGGCTCGAAGACTGATTAGTTTAATCGGGGTGTTGTGTAACTGTTGGGAATCGTGTGCTCTCAGGATCACCAGGTGGACGTGGTTGTCACGCTGAGGTGAGGGGCCAGCGGCAGTGGCTGGGGTGGACGCAGCTGGTGCCACGCACAGGGCCCGTGGCTGCGGTTTTGTCGAGGTCAGAGGTCACCGCTCTGGGGCTCCACGTTGCGGGTCTCCCGGGGCTGACCCCGGGACAGTTTGGGGAAGCGGGAAGCTGCTTTGGGCCGGCTGTTCACAGGCTCTCCGGGCGGGGTGATGTCGCTGAAAGAGCAGGGAGAGAATCGGGTTAAGTCTGGGGATGAAAAGCAAATGACCACAGGCCAGGAAGGGGAGCCAGGTGTGAGGGCAGGAGGGATCTGATTGGCAACTGTGACTGGCTCATTGGATCTGCCTCTAACTGGTGCCACCTGAAGAAATGAGAAACCCCTATTGTCACGTAAACCTTTCCATTTTTTTTTTTTTAACAGCACTCCGAGGCTCCAACCAAGCTTGGCTGTGAGTCTGAGCTAGCTCATGGTACCACCGTTCCGGTCTACATTTTAAGGCTATGAAAGAATGTTCTAGGCACAGCTTTCTTCCCCACATTTTCCTTGATTTTCCAGCAAAGGTACGCTTCTAAGTCCAAGGCAACTTTGGAGAACACTACATAAAGCCACACAAGATGCGTAGCAAAACACAGGAGACGGACTTCCTGTGGAATTAATCCTAAGAAAATAATCAGGCCCTAGGCTAGGGGCTAGTTAAAAGGTTGTTTGGCATGGTATTGTGTTTAAGAGCCAGGAACAGTGGAAGATAACACCAAGAGGGGGACACTGATCCTGGTTCTGAAGCAACGCGAACACACAGCGTGTGTGGGTCCCAGGGCATGGGTCTGGGTTGTGTGGGAGGCCCTCGGCACATTTTTTAGGGGATAGGGTAGAGGCTGGGAGGCTTCACCGTGAGAGCAGAGGGTGCTCAGCAGGAAGTCCTGTGATGTGGTTGCATTTTTTCAAAATTGTATTTTCTGGAGACAGTCTCGACTCTTGCCCAGGTTTTACAGTGCAATCGTGTAATGATAACTTGCTGCAGCCTCGATCTCCTGGGCTCAAGTGATCCTCTCACCTCAGCCTCCTGAGCAGCTGGGACTATAGGTACTAGCCACCATACCTGAGTGTAATTTTTTGTAGAGATGGGGTCTTGCTCTTGTCCAGGCTGGTCTCAAGTGATCCTCTTGCTCAGCCTCCTAAAGTGCTGGGATTACAGGTGTGAGCCACTGTGCCTGGCCAATCCTTAATCACATCTGTAAAGTCCCTTTTGCTAGATAAGGGGACACATAAATTCTGGGGCTAGGAATGTTCTTACTCTGCCTACTATACGCTATTTGAATAGGAAGTAAATACCTCACTGGGATAAAATGTTTTAAAACAAGGCAAAAACCTAACAGGATCCATGTCCACTCCTGCGTCCGCAGCACCTCTGTGCTGCTGTGGCTTGCTGGATGTAAGTCCTGGATCCACTGGACCCTACAAGGGAAGACAGGACTGTGTCCACAGCTAGCTCTGCCTTATCTGTGGTTTAGAAAGGACCAAAGATGCCAAGTGAGAATGTCAGATCAGGAACATCCACCCCCAGCTGTATCCAAGCCCAGTTTCACAAATCATGTGAGTTAAGAGACTTGCATTCATAAAGAAATCATTCCCCTCGAGGATCCCTGCAGGGTTCCCTGAAACAGCCTAGCATCTTCATGTATCTCAGGAGTGAATCTCTTCACAATGATCTACTTTGCGTTGCACCTTTCCAGGGACATGGCCACTGTGCGAGTGAGATCCCTCGTTTCAAGTTTGACACCCTGATAAGCTAACAAAATGAAGACCCCTTTTAATGATTGTCTTTTCCTGTAAGTCAAGTTGTTGCTTTGCCTTCTGTGCATGGATGAAAAAGAAACATTTGACCTTGAACAAAGCCGGAGCTGCTCTGAATCATCTCTGAGCCCAACCAGCCTGGCGTGTGCTGTGCTTTCCTCCTTTAGGTGGGTGTCTGGCTGCAGGCCCAAAGCAAACATGATCCTCTCTTCAAAGGATGGGGGACCCCACTTACGAAGAGCCTCTTTATCCCTGAATGCTCCTTAGAGGATGGTTCAAAGATGCTGGAAGGAGGTCTTTGCTTGCAGTGTAGGGGAACTGATTCTTAGATACAGGAAGGCTTGGATGTAAAAGTCAGTTTAAAGCCATGCCCTCACAACCCCCTCCTGTCATGCTCTTCAGATGCGGGGTCTGAGCAGCCACTTAGCCTGCAACCACCATCATCATTCAGCACAGCCAGGATGAGCCCTGCCCTGCAATGACCAGAGCTTGGGGGGAGAGGCCCTGGAGGTAACAGGCTCTGAGAGTGCCTGGGAGAGGCCAGTGCCTTGTTGGTTGGGAGAGGAGAGGTAGCAGTCGGTGGGGTGACTGTTATGAAGGGGTAGGGAGAGGACATAGCTTGGAGGCACGTGTCTCTGTCCAGTCCTGCTGTGGGCAGTGCTGTCTGACCCTTGGTTTCCTTGTCTGTCATTTGGGGATGACAACCATAAGCATATCCTAGTACTGTGGTGGTAAGGATTCAAGGGCTACCTAAAGCCACCAACTAGCTGTGTTTCTGTAGGCAAATGCCTGCCCTCTGAGCCTTGGACAGAATAAAGGTGGGGTGGTTTTAAGCATCATGGGGATCAAGTGCCTAGAGAGACAATGGGCAACAGTGAACATTCAAACACATGACCTGTGTCACCACCATGCTGGGCTGGGCATGAAGGGGTGCAGAAGTGGTCTCAGGTTTGGAAAGCCACAGTGTCATTGAGGATGGGGAGGGCAGACACTGGACAGATGGCTGTGGTGGATCACGGTGGATGCCCCAATGAGAGGGAACTCAGGTTGTTCTGAGCAGGGCACAGAGGGCTTCCCGGAGGAGGCAGAGGTGTGGAGGGTGACCAGAAGTGAGCTGAGGGTTGCTGTGTAAAGGGCCCTCTAGATGTGAAAATGAAAAAAGGTGAAGGTGGCAGGCCCATGGGGAGGGGGTGGACTTGTAGCCGGGCAGACCCGGCCCAGCTGCTTCCCCTTCCTGGAAGGCAGGGTTAGCTCGGGACGTGCACTGAGCTGTCACGAGGCTATATGTGTCACATGTCTGTGCCTGGCACCTGGGAAGTCCCAGTGAGTGTAGGCTGCTGTGGTTGAGGGTGTGACAGTAGGCTTCTGTGACACAGGGATGGTTCAATCCTCGAGGCCATGTGGAGCAGAGCCATGTCTCGGGACACAGGCTTGGAGGCAGGGGTGCTGTGATGGTTTGAGAGAACCCAGGATGAGGAGGGGGCAGGTGAGGCCACGGGAGGATGGGCTTCATTTGGGACAAGTTGAGTGGATGACACCTGCGGAAATCTGGCTAGACCAGGGGCTTCAGTGAGTGCGTGACAGATGGAAAACCCAGACTGCTGAGCACAGTGGACTTGAATGGAGAGTGCTGGTGGCTGCTGGCGTATGTGAGGCTGAACCTCTTGCAACTGCCATCTTTATAGATTGAGAACAGCCTAATACTGGTAATGCTGTCTGGCTGAATAGCAGAATCTGAAGGTGGGGGGTTGGGTAGGACTGGGAGTATGTAAACTGGCAAAGGAAGTGGGGGCTAATGTGGATAAGAGACTAGGGCCAGTACTCAGAAGAGAAGACGACCCCATGTGTCCCCACTGGGCCCCTTTGCTACAGGGGAATGAAGCCAGTGCCAGGCTCATCCCAGGACTGGCGTCCAACAGTAGAGACATGGGCTGTAGTCGGAAGCTGAAACGCCTCACATTTACAATGACAGCCTTTTTTTTTTTTTTTTTAACACCAAGGTTCCCTCCAGTCCCTGCTGCAGATGCCTCCTCCCCACAGGATCCTCAGAGTGAAATTCTCATCTCTCATAGCCCTTGTTAGCTGCCGACTTCAGCGTTGTGTACCACCGAGACTTCTGGAATGACAACACCATTTCTTAGCTGGCTGCAATCATAAAGCCAATCACCAAGAAGCAGACAGTTGTTAGGCACAACTGCATTTTTATAACAAAGTGGGCTTGCAGCTCTGGGGCCTAAGCAACAGAGGAATGTGTGGACAAGATATGTTCCATTCCTGCTCCCCAGCAGGGACTCTGTTAATGCTGGGACTAGGTCTGTTACAGTTTCACAAACAAGAAAAAGGGGCGTCTGGATGGCAATCCATAAGAATGGGTTGCCAAAGGCCTTAACTCCATATTCAGAGTCAGAAAACTTGAGTTCCTTCTGTTAAGACACTCTAGACCTTGGAGAAAGATCCATAACCTCCCCAAAACACAGCTTTCTGATCTGTGAAATGAGGATAATAGTGCCAATCATACATCATTGATGCATATTTATGCAGTTGGTGGTGATTAGAAATAGATTTGGCTCCTTTGACATCCTGAAATGACTGAAATAAGGTAAGAGACACTAGTGAAGTCTAGCCAGCAACTTCATAGGAACTTTTACTGGTAGAGGCATCTAATATACCAAAGGAACTGAGTAGAGATTTTTTTCTCTTAGAGATGTGGGGGTCTCCCTATGGTGCCCAGGACGGTCTCAAACTCCTGAACTCAAGCAATCCTCTACCTCAGGCCTCCCAAGTGCTGGGATTATAGGCACGATCCACCACACCCAATCAAGGAGGATTTTACAAAGATATTACAAACTCCCAAAATACAGCATCGTTGCCAAACCACAACCTTTTACCGGTGCAACTCCTCAACTCCCTACCCTGGGGGAAGAGGGTGCTGCAGGGGCAGAGGGAACCTTATCTGAAAAGCCCTTCCTCGTCTTTCTTGAACAAGATCAGCGTCTAGGTATTGTAGGTCTTCGGCTGCCTGCTCCAGAGACGGCAGAGGCCCAAGGGGCTAGAGATGGGGAGAGATGGCTATTCAGCAGGGATATTTACAGGCAGCCTGAATAAATAAAAAGCAGCAAATGGGTGGGTGTTGCAGTCTTCAGACAGGTCGGCAGACAAGGGTGGAGAAGTTGTGGCTGTTGGGTAAAGAATGACAGTGCCATCTCTGGCTTTCCTCATGTTCCTCTTACATGAGGCCAGACCCCATCATGGGCTCTCGGGGAATTGAAAAGACTCAGTTCCTACCTTCTGGGGCCAGGACAGTCTCGTCTGTGAGATGTGGTGATACAGACATGGAGGCCTAAGCCACCACCCAAAGGGGTGGGGTAGACCCCTCAGGTAGTGGTGGGAGACAACTCAATTTTTCACATGCGGGGAGGAGTCTCCCCGTTTTAATAGCCCTATTCCTTGAGCCTTTTACCCTATTAGGTTTCCTAAATTTACCTGCAAAGGACATACCGCAAGGAACAAAATCCAGTCGCCATCTATTTTCATGGTTACGGGTAAAATATCAACGTGGCGATAAAAGACAGGCTCAGGATAATGGCCACTCCTCGACGGTGACTCTCTCCAGTCACAAAGCAGACTTTCCGAGCTGTGGATCCAGAACCCGACGTTCCTCTGCTACCTGGGCGGGGTCAGTGATGATGGGGAGGCCACTTTCAGGGTATGAGCCTCAATCCCAGCATGTTGACTGTGGGAAGTGACATCCCTGAGCCCAGAGTTGCCCCCCCTGGAGCTGGGATGAGGACGTGTGGCGACCTTTCCTAGGCTCTGTTGTTAGCGTGCGTCTTCTATGTAACATTCTGGATTTCTCTTCCAGTACCTACATTTCGAGGTGACCTTGGCCCTTGCAATGATGTAAACACGGTTTGAAAGGCGCATTGAAGCAGTTTTTCTTACGCATCAGCCCTCACCCCTTGTGTTGGGTGAATGTTTGCTTCTTACTATGCAGGTTTTTGGCAACATGGACGAATCTCAAGCACATCGTCAAATTCCCAAAACTAGAAATGACAAAGCACAGACCGGGAGCTGTCGGGTTGCCTATAGGGGAATGCTAGGAAATTTGGGGGGAAAGGAGTTGTTCCACATCTTGATGGTGATGGCTAAAGGACTCCAAGCCTTTGTGAAAACTCAAGGAACTATGCCATAAAAGCGAGAAACAGTACCACGGTAGGCTTCAATCTCGACTCCAAAGAAGGCAGTGCCTGTAAATCTAGACTTTCCCGACATAAAACAGCCCCTCAGGGAAGACCCTGATAGCCTGTAGCTCTCAAGAGCCAGCGACCTTTGTCCCCGTCTCTGGGTAAAAACTAGGGACCACGGGGACAGTGTCTTAGATGACTCCTGGCTGTGTCATTCACCAGCAGGTGTACTTGGGCTGCTCACGATGCTCCTTTCTAGGACTCGAGTTCCTAGCCTATGAAGGGGGATCAAAGTCAAACTAGCAAGCTGTGTGCACTTTAAGTGGGTAAATTGTATGGTATGTGATCTGTCTCTTGAGCTGTTTTAAAAAATGGTGCAAGCAAAAATAAAGGGGGAAATCACAGAATCTGCCCTGCAGGTTCTTGGGACAAAGCCAACGATAACGTTTGATGCTGGGATAGAGCGTGGCCCATGGGGATGCTGCTTAGTGAATGCCCTCGCCCTTCACTTCTGAACTTGGCCACCTCCAGCAGGGTTCACTCCTCTGTGAACCCTATGCTCAGGTCAGACCTCAATCTTACTCCACAGACCTGGTATTGCCAGAGCCATTTTGGGGTCACACAGGAGAGTGAACGGCCTTAGAAATGCGGTTCAAACTACTGGGCAGAAAACACGGGAAGGAAAACGGCACAGATGATTCCATCCCTAAATCCATGAGGGGCCAGGCCTCCTGGGTTGCAGGGTCCATTGTCACCAAGCTGGTAGACACTCTGGGGACATCATGCCCCCAGGGATGCACCTGGCTCTAAGCTCACCTGGAAGGCAACTGGAGAAGGAACTCCTGGGATGCCACGGTCACCTAGGAGACAGCCCATAAGTCCCCAGGGCACTGCCTCCCCTCCCCTGCAGGGAGAAGGATGTAAGCTGCGGTAATGAGCCCCCTGCCAGGCCACGCGTGGTCCTGACATGTGCTTTGGTGTTCATTTCAGAAACTCCATCTCCATCCTCCCTGCTGCTAGCAACTTAACACAGCACTGGGGAGTTGGGGAAAAGGGGGTCTGTGTGTGAGGGCACCCTCAGAGGGCCCCAGGAGTGGCTGTTCTTTTTAATAAGCCTCTTGGGGTACACTGCGTTGTGTCCTGTCACCAGCATGCGGCTGACATTAATCGGACAGCCTCAACTGCTCATCAGTGAAAATGGCTGCGAGGAGAGACTAACTTTTCACTTTGTTTCACCTGTGATCTGGGTCTGGCGAGCCGGTCAATACTCCACTTACTAGGAGCTGCCTTTGAAGCTTAGAGGGCTGGATCCCTGCAACCCAGCTAGGACTGATCTGTGTGTGTGGCGGGGATGTGGCCAGCATCTTCCACGACCTAGCTCCCTCATAAGTCTGTGAGTCTCACCACTTTGAAAACCCAGTTCTGCCTCCAGGATGTGAAGATCATGGAGAATGTTCTCCCTGTGTCTTAGCCCCTTGGATCTGTGGAGTGGGAGGGAGTGGCCTTGCTCTGCCTTCTGTACTGCATGGCTGCGGGGGTCCTGATGGGCAGTATCAGAGCATGCCAGGCTGAATAGCCTTTGAATTCATTCCTAGGCAACACCTGGGCCTCAGGACTGCGTGATGGGTGCCCCGTGAAATCTAATTCCACTGTGAACTATGCTGACATCCATCAAGGCCTTTACCTCCTACCTCTTGGTTTGAAATGGGTCTCCAAGACTTCCACCATCCACAACTGATCCAGAAATGGCTCTGGCAGTACCCAAGGGTTCCTTGAAGGCAGGTCTGGGTCTGGTTCTCCGGATCCCAACACCACGAGGTACTTTATTTTAAAAGGATTAAAAAAGCCACTGCTTGTCAAATCTTGAACTAAAGGACTAACACCAATTCTCATAACATCCTTAAGCCGGCCATGTGAAATGGGTGCTGTAATTACCATCCTAATCTTAAGGGCATGGAAAATAAAGCACAGAGGGTAAATCCTATGGCTAATCAGGAGCAGAGGTTGGTTTTGATGTTGAATGTGTGCACTCTGAGCCCAGAGTCGATGACTAGATATAAATGCATCCAAGCCCAGCCCCCAAGATGCTAGTTAGGTGGTGGCACAAGGTGGGGATGTGACAAGGCAGCTGTTGCTTGCTGCTTTATGAGAGGTACAGATGGACAGACCCCAAGGAATCACACTGAGCAACGTTTCAACCAGAAATAGAAATGGTCTTGGAAGGTGGAGGGCAGGACAGGCGTGCCCAGAAAAGCAGGAGGTAAGTGTGACTCCCAGGCAAGAACCCAAAAGACTCGGGGCTGGGGACATGGATGCCTACAGGACAGACACTGTGGCTTTTGGGGATTAAAGAACTCAAAATACTGAGCGCACAACCTGTCACCAGATGAATGTAAATCCCCCTTCGGTAAACCCAGCATTATTTTTTCATGACATTTTGAGTGTGCTTTCAATAACACTGTGACATTGCTGCTGTGTTCCTGATATTTTTAAGCTTCAGGCTTTTCTTCTGCAAGCTCTGGCTGTGTAGTTGCTCTTCTACAAGCACAAGTTAAATGGTGAATTAAAAAAAAGTGAGAAAGGCTTTACTGTTTGTTGGGGGGGGGAGGGGAACACAGAACTAGAATAGCTTGTCAACTCATCCTTTGTGGATAACCACTGTTAGGACAGTAGTTACATAGTTTTCTAGTCATTTTTCTTTGTGTATTTGTCATACTAAGTCTTCCAAAATGTAAGTGAAGTTGCTTGCAAAATCTTTTTTTCGTGGTGGAGTCTTGCTCTGTTGCCCAGGCTGGAGTGCAGTGATGTAATCTCGACTCACTGCAAGCTCCACCTCCTGCATTCATGCCATTCTCCTGCCTCAGCCTCTGAAATCTGGTATTTTAAATCAAAGCAGTCTGGCATTAGAATGCCAGAGATGATGATGGAAATGGCCTGGAAGATAGTAAGGACGAAGGTGCTGTGTAATGCTTTCAGAGTGACTGCTGTCAGGCTGGGCATCACTATTTCATCTATTTCTTGGTGTTCTCACCATGGGAGATGGGAAGCTCGAGAAGTTACTGCCCCAGGCCCATGGTAGAGAAGCAGAATGTGGCTTACATTTGGATACAGGGCCATGTGCAAGGTCACGTGGCAGCAGTCCCCAACCTTTTTGGCACCAGGGATGAGTTATGTATAAGAAAAATTTTCCACAGATGTAGGGGGTGGGGATGCTTTTGAGATACAAAGTGTGTTACATTTGTACATTCTATTATTACTACATGGAAAAAATTACACAACTCACCATAATGTAGAATCATTGGGAGCCCTGAGCTTGTTTTCCTGCAACTAGATGGTCCCTTCAGGGGGCGATGGGAGAGGGTGAGAGATCATCAGGCATGAGATTCTCGTAAGTAGCATGCAGCCTAGATCCCTCACATGGGCAGTTCACAATAGGGTTTGCATGCCTTTCAGAATGCAGTGCTGCTGCTGATCTGACAGGCAGAGCTCAGGCGGTGATGCGAGTGATGGGGAGTGGCTGTAAATACAGACGAAGCGCTGCTCACCCACTGTGTAGCCCAGTACCTAACAGGCTATGGACTGGTACTGGGCCAGGGGTTGGGGACCAGAAGAGGGATCCAAGCCTGATTTGACTACTACTCATCCTAGACTAAGGAGCACGGGGACACAGCGGTAGACCTCTACATTGCAGTTACGATGTGTGAATTTACTTAAAAGGAGTCTTTTGTCTCTCTCCCCCATAACTGTGTAAATTTCTTTAAAGTCTCTGAATCCCTCTGTTACCTGAAACATGGGGCCGATATCAACCCACCTATGAGATTAAACAAGACAATGCTTTCAGGCCCTGAAGCAAACTCAGGCACATTTTCTGCAAATGGGCTGCCTGTGGCCCTCTTGTGGCTCTTGGTGACTGTGGCCCTGCCCCTAGGGAGCCCTTATCAGGCAGATAAACTGCTTCAGGTTGTACAATGCGGGATGATCACCCAATGGGCCTGGGACAGCCTAGTGGTGAGGCTTGTGCAGCCCCCCGTAGAAACGGGATGGGGGTGGATTCAAATCCCAGCCACAAGGACCAGCAGGATTGGGTGGGATGGAGAATAGGTTTCTTTTAAGCTCGGGGCCTGCACTGTGTGAGCAGCTGTGGCAGAGAGTGACAGGTGTATGGATCCACCATGGACGGGGTACTGAGAGGCATGGCACTGTGGGGTGTGTGCATCCCTGGGGTAAACAGTGCTCATTAAAAACTAAAGATGCACTGTGCTTAACTTTAAAGGATGGCATTAAGTTCATACAGAAGTCTACCAATGCTTTCTAGATGTCAGCTTTCACCACTTCAAGGCTAACATATCACTCTATGTAAAATTCCGATGGTTACCAATGGCTGTGATGCTGAGGGGGCCTCTTTGTCTCTTTGTTGATAGCCACTTGAGGTGACCAGGGGCCATCTCGCGTTTCAGAGCTGGCTCAGCCTGACATTTCAGAAGACCTCAGATACCATCTACTGGGGGGGCTGAAGAGAGGCTCTGTGATGGTTCTGCTGGAGTAAACCGTAATTATTAAAAACTGAGATGCATTACGCCTAACTTGCTAAGGATGGAAAGGATTATCCCTGAATGCTGCTGGTCTTCTAATTCTCAGTTGCCCCGTCCCCACTTTGCATGGGATGTTCAGAGCACAATCATGTCTCTGTTGTAATCCCGGCCAATTACCTCACAGTGCTCTCCCCACTGCAGCACCCAGCCCAACCAACCGTGGCTAAAATCTTAAGCAGAAGACCCACAGGAAGACAGGGCAAGCGGTGAATGAAAATAGCAGCCTGCCTGCCCTGACGACTTGAGAATCCTCCAGTTGCCTGCAGAGGCCCTCCTCCACTCGCTGGAATGGCTATGGTCATGTCACATTGATGATGTTTTGGTGAACAACAGACTGCAGATATGATAGTGATCCTGTAAGATCGTGATGGAGCTGAAAAATATCTGTTGCTTAGTGACATCACAATGCAGTGCACTACTCCTGCATCTGAGGTGATGCTGGTATCAAACGAGCCTACTGCACTGCCACTCATCAAAAAGATTTTTTGGGCTGGGTGTAGTGGCTCACACCTGCAATCCCAGCATTCTGGGATGCCAAGGAGAATGGGTCATTTGAGGTCAGGAGTTCAAGATCAGCCTAGCCAACATAGTGAAATGCTGTCTCTACTGAAAATGCAAAAATTAGTTGGGAGAGGTGGTGTGTTCCTGTAATCCCAGCTACTTAAGAGGCTGAAGCAGGAGAATTGCTTGAACCCAGGAGGAGGAGGTTGCAGTGAGCCAACATCATGCCAAACTCAGTCTCAAAAGCCAAAGGTGGCTTGTTTCTATTCGCAAGCCCTCAACCATTCAGCATCTCCACCCTCTTCTGAGGTTCTTCCCATCTCTCTGAAGGTGACTTTGCCACTAAATTGTACAGGGTCCCAGGTCTCTTCTGCCTGCACTCCCCACTTATCTTTCCATAGATCCAAATGGTAAAGCTTCCCAAATTCGTATGTCAGCCTTTCCCTCTGGAGCCCTGGAGTCAGTATATCTACCTTGAACATAGCCAAAATGGAAATTGTGACCAGGGGCAGTGACTCCTGTGTCTAATCTCAGCACTTTCGGAGGTTGAGGCAGCTAGATGGCTTGAGCCTGGCAGACTCTGAGGCCAGCCTGGGCCACATAGCAAGACCTCATCTTGGGGCGGGGGGGGGGTAAATTAGCCAGATGTGGTGTGTACCTGTTGTCCAGCTACTCATGAGGCAGAAGTGGGAAGACTGAGCCTGAGCGGCAGAGGCTGTAGTGAGCCGAGATCATGCCACTACACTCAAGGTGAGGAGACAGACGGAGACCCTATCTCAAAAAAAAAAAATTCAATTTTTTCCACCATCAAACTTCTGTTCCTCCTCTGGGCTTCTGTACTTTAGTAAAGGGGGCAACTGTTGACTCCAATGCTCAAACCAGAACTCTGGGGGTGCCTTAATTTTTCTTTATTCACATTCCAAACAAAATCCAAGACCCACTGGCCTTTGGCTTCTGCCTCCAGACACATGACTACTGCTTCCACTTCTGTCTCTGCTGTGTCTCCTAAACCCAGACACCGTCCCTTCTTGCCTTGACCCTTCCTCAGACCCCAAACCCTTCCATAGCTTCCCACTGTGTTCAGAATCAAATGCAAATGTTTCCCACAGCTGTAATCCCATCGTCACTTCCTCTGGCAACACGGGGACTGCCTGCCATGCCCTAACTCCTCCTTGTGCTTTTGGCCTTCGCCTAAGAGTTCCTTGGAGTTTCTTCACAGCATCTGTAGCCATCTGAAGTGTCATCTTCTGTACTATATTGCCAGTGCCTACAATTACGACTGGTATACTCAACCAGGTGAGTGAAGTCCAAGTGGTCTGTCCTGGTCTAGCTCGTCTATAGCAGACCAATGCCCGCTGGCCCCACAGGACCTCGGATTTCTTGCCAGCTTTAGTGAGGTGGGGTGTGACGCCATGAAACCAACCTCACAATTGGAAGACCCTAGGTTGCATTTCAGACTCAGCAACATCTGGGATGTGTCATGGCGACAAAGCGATTTAACCACTCCAACCATCACTTTGAGAACATAAGAGTAATAACCCATACTTCTCAATGAAAGCAGAAATTAATTCTATAAGATTAATAAGAAAAGCACCCTTTAAGCGTCACTCAGCACTACGGTGGCATGGCATGAGTCCACAGGACAAGTGAACAAAAAAAACACTTGAAAATTGAAAGCCACGCAGATGGTGTTACAAGTTGGTGTGATGTAAACAGACCTGACACCATACGCAAAAATAAGGTTTGAGACCAAGAACAGGAGGGCAGAAAGCACGGCCTCTGGAGAAAATGATGGAGGTGGTGAGGGGGGTTGGTCAGTCAGCTGGAGCACCTTTCTTGCAGAGGCAGGCAGGAGTGTGCCTGCCTGGTGCCACTGAGCAGCCTGAAGGCTAGTTGGAGTTGTGGGGAGGTGGAAGGAAAAGTGAAAGGGCCAATCAGGGAGAATCTCGTAGAGTATCGGAAGGCTTATTCTCAGACTTCGTGCAGGAGTGACAGGGTCTGGCATCAGTGGGGTTACTCAGGTGTGGCATGCACACTGGACTAAGGGCAGCTGCTGGGTACAGGGAGAAATGGAGGTGAGAGATGAGGGTGCTCAAACCCACGGTATGACCTCCCAGAGAGCAGGGGCGCTGTCCAGTCAATCCCTGCGTGACTCCCCACAACGAAAGACGTCCTCAGACATGTCAACTAGGGAAACACCCTGCGTACATGAGTGTCTCCTACAAAGCAACCTGAGGGGCCAGCAGCCCAGCAGACACGCAGGGAAAGACAGGGAGCGCCTCATGGGAGAAAAGTTAACCAACATGTTTCTCAGGTGCCAAGAAACACTGGGGCTATGAGAGGGATTGACTGGACAGCACCCCTGCTCTCTGGGAGGTCATACCCTGGGTTTGAGCACCCTCATCTCTCACCTCCATTTCTCCCTGTACCCAGCAGCTGCCCATAGTCCAGTCTGCATGCCACACCTGAGTAACCCCACTGATGCCAGACCCTGTCACTCCTGGACCAAGTCTGAGAATAAGCCTTTTGATACTCTGAGATTGTCCCTGATTGGCCCTTTCACTTTTCCTCCACCTCCCCACAACTCCAACCAGCCTCTTGAGGCTGCTCGGTGGCACCAGGCAGGCACACTCCTGCCTGCCTCTGCAAGAAAGAAAGGTGCTCCGGCTGACTGACCCCCCTCACCACCTCCATTGTTTTCTCCAGAGGCCGTGCTTGCTGCCCTCCTCAGCCCCTCTCCCCTGCACTGCCTGTCCTGTATGGCATGCTGACATATCTTTGTCCTCTTTCCTGAGCACCCTGGCACCTACGGAAAGAATGGCACAGAGCAGGTGCTCAATACAAATTTCTAGAATAAACAATTGCATTCTATGGCGGGGGAGAGAGCACGTTCTAATACACTTAAGGAAAATGCAAACTGAAAGACTGAAAGACAGCTGTCACCAGGCATGGGCAGGGATGCTGAGAATTGGCATCCCTGTGGTTAGCAAATGCACAAACTGGTGAAACCTGGGGAAACTGAGGCAGGTATGTGTGAGTGAGCTCCTCTGGCTTGGGAGCTCCAAGTCTTGGTGTCAGCTTTAAGAAATTGTTGAACAAGTTCACAAAAACGTGGGCGAGAATGTTCAATGCAGCATCCTGCTGCGGAGGAAGCTTGGAAACCACTCCATGCCTATGTGCAGGACCCATGGACCTGGCATGGCAGGTGTGCGGAAACAGCAGGACACGCTGACATTACAGAAGACGATGCACACCCATGCACGGGGCACAGAAACACCTTCAAGACACAGGTAAGGGAAAAGCTACAGAACAAAAGACATCTGGTCCCATTTTAGTTAAAACTGAAACCTCATATGAAGCAAGCACCCATGTATACACAGATGCACCAAAAGGCAGAGACGATGCAGCCGAGGGAGATGTTCACGTTTTGCTCTATATATGCTCATCGTTCAAATGGTTTAAGCCAGAACTTATTCACACATTGCTCATTTACTTAAACACAGTAAAGAGCAAAGCATCCAGGCTGGGCATGGTGGCTTAGACCTGTAATCCCAAGTGCTTTTGGGAGGCCAAGGTGAGAGGATCATTTGAGGTCAGGATTTACAGACCAGCCTGGGCAACATGGTTAAAACGCTGTCTCTACTAAAAATACAAAAATTAGCCAAATGTGGTGGATGCCTGTAGTCCCAGCTACTTGGGTGGCTGAGGCAGGAGAATTGCTTGAACCCAGGAGGCGGAGATCATGCCACTGCACTCCAGCCTAGGCAAAAGAGTGAGACTCCATCTGAAATCCCAGCACTTTCGGTAGACCTAGGTGGGTGGATCACAAGGTCAGGAGTTCGAGACTAGCCTGACCAACATGGTGAAACCCTGTCTGTACTTAAGGAAAAAAACTAGGCTGGGGGTGGTGGCATGTGCATATAATCCCAGCTGCGTGGTAGGCTGAGGCAGAATTGTTTGAACCCAGGAGGCGGAGGTTGCAGTGAGCCAAGATCACGTCATTGCACTCCAGCCTGGGCAACAAGCACAAAATTCCATCTTGCAGGGGTGGGGGGTGGGGAACAAAGCATCCTCAGAGCCCACAGCTCCTGCTTAGCTCCCTGCAGTGCTCTGTGGGGTCCCTCCTCCAGCACTGTGATGGCAAGTGTGCACCTGCCCTGCCTGGTCTAAGCAGCTGGGGCTGGTCTGAGCTGGTCTACACCATGCTCAGCAGGTTGGAGTGTGTCAGACCTGGTTTTCAACCACCAGAACTACTTATATGTTCAACTTGAGAGCATGTCTGGCAAGCTCTGAGAAGACGAGCTGGTTTCTCTGCCTGCCTTGTTAGGGCGTTTCCCAGGGCCAGGTGCCCACTCATTTTCCTCTTACTCTGTGCCCCTAGGCGGCAGTGGTCTTGTACAATCTCTCTCTGTATTCTCAAGTCCCCATCTGCGAGCATGGCTACTGGAAATAACTGCAGCTGTATACTGACTTAAAGATCCAAAAATCCCAGGAAGGACCCCAGAGCTGTGAGCCAGAAGCCCAAGGCCCTCCCAGCCTGAAAGCCCCAGGCCAAGCCTGAACTATATGCAGGTGAGTGTTGCTTTGCAGTTACCATCTCCAATTAGTGTCCCCAGCCTCTTAAAGCTGATCTAATCCCACTCTCCTGATTTCAGCCCCTCAGACAGTGCCTGCTGCACTCAATACAATCCATGTTCCTGATGACGTGGCATATAAGGCCAGGAGCAATCAGCTCTGCTGCCCTTGCCTATCTCCTGCCTCCATGTCCATGTCTCCCCAGGCCCTGCCATCTGCCACACCCTCTCCTCTCTGGCAGGTCAGGTGTCACACTGTTGGCTGTTCTCTCCTCCAGGATGACTGAAAGCCCAGAGCTGAGATGAATTCATACCTTAAATCAGAAGTGATTTCACTGGAGATACCATGTCTCTTCTATCAGTCCCCCAATCTAAATCTTCCCCCGACCCTTGTAAACGCCCTGCATGGCCTGGGTCTCCCATTGCAATCCTTCCATTTGTTTGGTGTTTGGTTTTTGCTTTTTTAGTCATCCCCATGAGAATATAAACTCCATGAGGGCAGCAACTTGGCTGGCCTGTGTGCCAGTGCTGGGGACATCACTGAGAAATGAAGGCCCATTTGGCAGGCTATTTTTGAGCAAGATTCCTGAGGCCCAATCGTTGGGTGATGAGATGGACCCGAGGTATTTCACTCCAGCTCTCGAGCCAAAAGAACTGACCACGTCCTCACCACTGCTCTGCGCCAGGTACCATGCTTGCTGTCTTACACGTGTATTGGCTTATTAAACCCTCACAGAAGCCAGGAGAGGAGTTCCATTATCACCTCTTCTAGAAGAGGAAACTGAGGCACAGAAGTTAACTGGCCAGGGCTTACGAGCCCCTAGGAGGCAAAGCTGGGGCATGGTGCTGGATGTCTGACTCCACGGCCCTCCCCTGCCTTATCTGCCGTTGTTTCCCTTTCTGCAGGATTAGTAGATTAAGCTGTACTGGAATGTGGCCTCTCAGGCATTTCCGTATCAGCCATGGTTACACTCACTGAGGATAGCACAGTTGAGTGATTGAGACAGAGATTCAGTGCCCCAAAAATCCTTCCCATCTGAGCCTGGACTTGCCACGTTTTTTAGAGACAGGGACCAGCAGGAGCTACTTTGACATGGCACTGTGTTGGGCACAGCCTGGCTGGGGAATCTCACTGGATCCTCACAGTGGCTCTGTGTGGTAGGGTATAGAGATCCCTACCTTACAGATGAGCAGACAGGCTAGAAATATCACCTGCCTGCTCCTGTGTCCCCAGCAGCAGCTAAGTGACAAAACTGAGGCGGGGATACAGAAGTTTGATGCCCATGTGCTTCTGAAGCGGGCCCCTGGTATGTGTACAAGGCAGCCAGGAAGTATTTCTTGTCAGCTGTCCCCATTCACAAGTTGGCTCACCACCTGAAAGGAGGGTGGTACTTTTATCCTACTGCACAGGAACGGAAACCAAAGCTCAGAAAATACTTGCTGGGTTGATGCCTCAGACTCAGATCTAATTGTAACACCAGAATTTGTTCCAGCCTTTTGAAAGCAGGGCTTCTCAACTTTGCATGCACCTTAGAATTACCTGGGGAACTTTAAAAAGATCCTGATGCTGAGGCCCAAAGATTAATGTTGCATTAACCAGGCAGGGCCTGGCCTCTGTATTTTTAAAAGCATGCTGGGTGATCGAATGTGCAAGCTGTGGCTGAGACCCCAACTTGAAAGCAATCCTACTGTTGGGGAAGTTCTGCAAATGGAAAGACTAGCCCCCAAAAGAATGATTCCACATATCTCTGAGGTTACAAGTGGCTTTTTGGTGGGCTGACAAACTGGTTAAACATTTGACGGTGTCTGAACCTCCGGAGCAGTGATTTTTAGACTGTCCTCAGAAGATGGCAAATCTGAGTGCAGTGTGTTCCTAAAGGCTCTCTGTGGGGAAGTCTGCACGATGGTACTGAGGGTTTTCTGAGATTCTCCTGGCAGCTGTGGACCACTGTTCCATTATTTCACACCAGATTTCATCCAAGCAAAGAGAGGATCACATGGAGATGAAAACACCCCACTTCCTTCATCTGGATGACACCTTGTTTAGAAGCCCATCACTCGGCCAGAGAAGAAATATTTAGATTGAGAAACAGCTTTTTGTTGTGCCCTAAGCCCATTCTACCTTTATGATTCAACTAAAAATTTATTTCCACTTAAATAAAACCAGCAATTCTGAGCTTCCCCTCCCGTCACAGGTTTCCTCCCAGAAAGTCTATCATGAAAATACTGCTCAAAAATCATCTGTAAAAAGGTAAATTAACACATATTCTTGGCTCCCTCTTCCTTATCTCAGCTATTCAGCCTCTACACTTTTTCAACTATTTTATCACCTTTTTTAAATAGGCAACACAGGAGTGTAGAATAAGAGCATGAGGGGGGTGAATACATGAAAAAGTGAGTCTTCCCACCTTGGTCCTCCACTAAGTGACGGTTACTTTTTAATGTGTCTTTCTACAGGTATACATTACACATAGAAGCACGTATGTATGCACCGGTGGAAGTATATATCCTCATATTTGGTGTTTGGTTTTTTTTTTTTTTTTGTAGATTGAGACTGTGTCTCCCAGACTGGAATGTAATGACACAATGTCAGCTCACTCCAACCTCCACCTCCCGGGTTTAAGTGATTCTCCTGCCTCAGCCTCCCAAGTAGGTGGGAGTACAGGCGTGCACCACCATGCCTGGCTAATTTTTGGATTTTTAGTAGAGATGGGTTTTCCTCTTGTTGGCTAGGCTGGTCTCACACTCGACCTCAGGTGACCCAACCACCTTGGCCTCCCACAGTACTGGGATTACAGGTATAAGCCTCTGTGTCTGGCCCATATTTGCTATTTCTAAAATTAGAAAGGTATTGTGTGGTACTCTTCCATGCTTTATCCTCTTAGTAATAATGTCATGGAGATTTTTTCCATATCACTACATGCGGTATGGAAGGTATTCCCTTTACATGTGAGTGTACATCAGCCTCAGTATTCTAGCCCATAGGTTGGCAAACTTCCTATAAAGGGTGAGACTAAACATACTAGGCTCCAGGGAGGCATTCCATCTCAGTTACAACTCAACTTTGCCCTTATAATAAGAAGCTATACATGAAGTGTGAATGACTGGGCATGTTCCAATAAAACTTTACTTATAAAAAACAGGTGGAGGGTAAGATTTGGCCTGTGGGCCATCATTTTCTGATCTCTGTTCTAGTCTGAACCATCTTTGGCTGTTTCACCACAGTCATGCGGCCAAGGAGGCAAGGCCTGGCCACACAGGGCACAGAAGCCATGATGGGCCTTGTCTGCAAGTAGAAATCACCTGCTAATCACCAACAGGTCTCAAAGTAAATGCTGGAACACACTTTGTAGGGTGACTCTCCTGGCCCCAAGCAGCATCTGCGACATCAAGATGCCGGGCCTTGGGACTGCCTCAAGCTGGTTTCGGCAGCTATGCTCTTTACAGAGCGTGTGGAGGGCAAGGACTCTGGAGTAGAAAAAGGTGCAGGTCTTAGGGCTGGGGTCCCAGGGTGGAAGCCCACTCCATGCCTTACTGGCTATTTGAGATAGAGGATGAAAAATGGCATGAACATCTTTGTATGTGTGAGGATCTTCCTGTTGCCCACGCTGGAGTTCAATGGTGCAATCTTAGGTCACTGCAACCTCCACCTCCCAGGTTCAAGAGATTCTCCTGCCTCAGCCTTCTGAGTAGCTGGGACTACAGGTGCACACCACCACCCATGGCTAATTTTTGTATTTTTGGTAGACATGGGGTTTTGTCATATTGACCAGGCTGGTTTCCAACTTCTGACCCTGAGTGATCTACCACCTCAGCCTCCCAAAGTGCTGGGATTACAGGGATGAGCCACCATGGCTGGCAGACACAAGCATCGTGAGGGGTGCCTAGCCCCTGCAGACACTCCATGAACAGCAAATGTGATAACTGCTAAATCAAAACTACCCCAGAATTTTCCATCTGCTATGTCCCCAAGAAATGACACTGTAACAGGGAGCCGAACACTATGATGCCTGCCCAGCTGCAAGAGTGGACTCACCTAAGATACTCCACAAGCTTTTTATGCTGTTACAACGGACCCAAAGCACGGGAGAGCAGGGGCCTCACTTGTGCTGTTGCTTGAGAGTTCCCTAAATGCCAGGCCATAGCAGGTACTGAAGAATACCTACAGCCCGAGTGAGTGCTGCTATGTGTAGGGTTCAGGCCAAGGGCCCTGGCTGCAGAGCAGAGGAACTGAGAGCTAGACAGGGCTGGGCCTGCCATAGGAAAACAACAGCCCAGCTATGACCCAGCACTGTGGTGGCTGGGGGATGAGAGATGAGCTCAGCACAGAAAACACCTTGGAGCCCTGGATGTACCCCTCCTACACCAGTACAATGCCCTGCAGTGCTCTGGGCTTTAAACTTCACTTCTTGCTGAGTTGACACCAAATGAGGCCCCTGAAGAGCCTCTTCTGCTGTGGGGCTTGGACAGAGTACCCGGGCCTGGAGTGGGACTTACAGGGAAGCCAGCATCATAGAAAATCCCTAGAGGGAATTCCCAGAAGGCTGCACCCTCAAAGCATCTGGTCCAGACAAGACAACCCTGACTAGTCATCCTGAAAGCCCGGTGCTGTCCAAAAGACACAGATGCCATGGTACAGGGATGTGGCACAGTGGGGAGCCAGAGGTAGGTTACAAAGGAGACCTTAGAAGGTGTGGGACTCCCTTCCATGTGGGTGCAGAGTGCCCACTGTCATTCCCCATGGAGGCACCAAGCCAGGAGAGTAGGGCTCCAGGGACAGTAGCTTCCAGCCTTCCCAGTCAGGTCCACATCTGGTGAGCCAGAAGGAAGGAAATGTAACCTAACACTGTGGCAGGATCCAGCGTGGCCTTGTGGGAGGCGCTGTGGGATGAGCAAGAGAGCAAATGTGTGTGGCCAAGATGAAGAATGAACAGGGATAGAAAATTCCTACTTGTCCCAAGAAATAGACCTCAATGTCCCTTAGCAACATCTTTTTATGTCATGCCTGACCGTGTGTGTGCCAGGGGTGGTGCTTGCCTTACCAATATGAGCAGTGCAAAAGTCCAGGATGCCACGTTCACTCGAGACCCCTGTGCCATGCTGTCTCCCAAAAGACTGAGCACCTTGAGGGCAGACTGGGAATTGAGGTATCCCTGAACCCCTAAGAGCAGCTCCTATACAGCCCTAGAACTGCTGCTGAAGGAAGTGGCTCATTTTGCTAAACTCCAGTTTGGAATCTGGGGCTCAGTAAGGCTGTCCCTGCAGAGCATTCTTGAGCCCATTCTGTTCGGTAGCCAGGCAAGTGTGAGCAGCTGCAGCTTCACAGGAGGAGGCTTAGAGGGGCAGTGATGGGTGCCATGCTATGCAGATCCCAGACAGGAACGCGGGGGCCAGGTTTTATTACAGGAGATGGTGCTTGGGGTGGGAATCATATCTCCATCCCATGGGACAGCTTAGTGGTGCTGAGGCTGACTTCGTGGGGGTGTATTTAATCCTCGTGAGGGAGGGGGATGTTAACCACAGCTCAGGACTCTGTTCTTCCAGTTCCTCTTTCTCTCACACCCACATTGAAACCAGCAAGTTCTGGTAGTTCTACTTTGAGAATACCCCTTCCCAGGCTGCCTGAGGCACCATCCCCTCTCCCCGGGGTGCCCACATGGTCCCCTAACTACCTGTTCTATCACCCATAACAAAGCTCTACCCTTTGCTGACTCCACATGGCAGCTAGAGTTCCCTTGGCTGCAAGGCCTCTCTGTTCCTGGGCTACCCTGGCTTCCTTGCTGTTTCTCCCAGGGGCCAACTCTTCAAGGCTGCAGGACCTTTGCACCTGCTGTGTCCACTGCCTGGCTCCCTGCCTCAGGTCTCCACTTCGGGTCAAACTATCCCTGTCATCTTCCTAGACCATAAACAGCACATCCCCAGCAGGCTTCTTTCCCTCTGTGATGACTGTGATGTCATTTCCTGTCTTTTCACTGGAAATCGCCACCTCACATAGGCATGTCTGCCTCACTATTCAATGTCTGTGTCCCCCATGAAAACAGATGCTTTATCTGCTGTTGAACTATCAGGATCTGAAATGGTGCACTGTAAGTACTAATTGGAGGAATGGGTGGATGGAGGGGTGGGGAATTTATTTTCTCTTCATCCCTGCTCTCATCCTCCTAGGGCTTCCAGCTGCACTCCTAGCCCTGGAAAAACCAAACCAGCCTGATCTTACTGGTGACTGTATAATCTTAATCCCTTTATTTTCATATATTTTGAAAGCAATCCTAATTGTCTGTATTTAAAATTTCCTTTGTTGCATGGAAGGTAGCTGTTTAAATGTCTAATTTTCTCCTATCTTCTTAGTTTTCTAGTCAAAATAATAGCTTTAATCACAGTGGGTCTAGATGGATTCAAAAAGGAAGATTTATCCACTCTTCTTGGTAATTGTTTATAATTATCAATAGATCAATCTGGCATTTATGTTCCACCTGTATTATCCTTGGGTGGGGACACAGCCAAACCATGTGTCATCTTGAATTCCCATGTATCATGGGAGGGACCCATTGGGAGATAATTGAATCACAGGGGCGAGTCTTTCCTGTGCTGTTCTTCTGACAGTGAATGTGATGGTTTCATAAGGAAGAGTTTCCTAGCTCACATCGATGGTGCCATGCAAAGAGCTTAAGAAGTGACTTGCTCCTTGCCTTCCACGGTGATTGTGAGGCCTCCCCAGCCACATGGAACTGTGAGTCCATTAAACCTTCTTTCTGTAAATTGCACAGTCTCAGGTATGTCTTTATCAGCACTGTGAAAACGGACTAATACAGTTGTACGAAGGGTCGAAAAGAGGTCAAGTTTACCTCTACAGCAATGAGTACCTCCTACGTCCCTCGTTACTTTACATTCCCTGCACCAGTGCCCATCCCTATGTTACCAGGTGGAGGTTATTAGCTCTGTTTTGTGGATGGGGAGAATACATTGTCCAAAGTCACACAGTGAAGTGAGAGACTGGGGACTCAAACCCAGGACTGCTTCACTCCCATCATGTGTACTCAAGGGTGTGGGTTTTTTTGTTTTCTGTTTTTGGCATCCAGGTGTTCAAACTACAGTGCCCACTGAAGCACACATCCTGCCCTTAGTTGTCAGGATAATACATAAATATTAATAGCCCCGAACACCTAGAATGCTCCAGGTACCCCACCCCAATGCCCACGGCTTAGGCTCACCCTCTCAAGGAGAGGTGATCTGCTCCCCTCCCCCACAGGTCTGGAGAGTCAGTAGGGAGGCCCCTGTATGCCTAGTGGTGAAAGGTACTGTTTAAAAGCTGCCTCTCCATCTCAGGTTAAAATCTGAAGGCTTCATGGTGACCTCGTCTCTGGCCACCCACCTTGCACCAGCCACTCCCCTTAACCTGGAGCCTAGAAGCTGGGAAGGGCCATAGTGTAGACTCAGAACAGAAGAAAAGAGCCAGACCCTTGCTTTCTGTACCTCTGGATTCCAGAGGAAATGGGTTCCTCCATCTACTCAAACGTTTCTCCATAAGTCGTCTGCTGGCAAAGGCCCTGGTCACCCACTCTGACAGGACACACGGTCTTGCCACAGTTGCAGGAGGAGAGTCACTGGCATCCTATCCGTCCACAAGCCCTGGAAGGAACAATCCTAGGGGTGGGGCCAGGCAGGACCCGGTTAGGAAGCGGACAATACACCTATTGTGTGACAATGGGTTGTCACTCTGTATGTACTTGGAACTATGTGACACCCTTTCTCTGGTGGATGCGAGTCTTCCAGATGTAAAGAGGGCGAAGTGGCAAACCAATTTCTCAACAGTACTCTTTGGAGCCACTTGAGAACAGAGGCCCTTTCCCTGTCATTGCCTGCCCCACCCCTTCCTTTTTTGTATTGACCATATTTGTTTCTCTGACGGCTGGCAGAGTGTCTGTACTTCATAGCTGTGCTAGGTAAGTGGGGCCTCACAGAGCTGGCTACTGCAGCCTGGGTCTGATGGCTGGCACAGTGCATTTCGTGGCTATGCTACAGGAGCAGGGCATCACAGACCTGGCTACTGAAGCCGACATCTGCTGCTTCCTAGCTGTGCCACCTAGGACAAGTTACTCAATCTCTCTGAGCCTGTTTCCTCATCTGGAAATACAGTGAACAAGGGATGATGATAACATCTAATGACTATTGATTACTGGCCCACTGACCACAGGCCAGGGGCTGTGTTGACACTGGCTGCATGTGGGCATTTCCCCAAGGAGTTCTTGCTGAAGCAGTGGTCAAGAGTTTGGTCTCTAGAATCCTGGCTCTGCAGTTTACCAGCTGTGCGACCCAGAGCACGTCCCTTCACCTCTCTGGGCCGAGGTTTCCCCTCCTATTAAAGGGATGGTGGAGGAAGAGAATTCGAGTGACAGCGCTCTCAAAGGCTTCATGAGAAGTAAACAGTCTGACATGAACCTGCCGATCCCAAGGCATGACGCAGAGTCAGGAGTGACAACTCATTAAGAAATGCCTGCAGAACAATGAATCCATCACTGTAACATTCCAGAGAATGTTCCTAGGCCACACAATTCCCCACAGAAAAATGCCATCTAGACCCCAGCCGACCCCAATCATAAAATCGGCCTCTTCAGAATGAGATAGGGTAGAGAAAGAGAAACGTCCAAATCCCACCAGCTGACATAATGTTTTAGCAGAACCACCTCACAACGCCTTCCACTCCCCAGCATCACTTCTCCTTTCCAACAGTACTGACTTTTCCTGCCTCATGACTTTGGGGTCCACCTTCCCCTGTGGCCTGGATGCCGTACTGAGAGTGTAAAGTCCTGAGTTGCAATCTGGGTAAGTTAGTTTCAATCTTGGTGTGGTGAGGAACCGGCTGTCACGGTTCTGAAGCCTTGGCTGATGTGCACACCACCGATTCCCATCCCGTGTTCTTAGGAATGATGCCGGTGAATATAGGGTTATGGACTTGTTTTCCTTAACAGCCTTCCACAACCAAGTCTGCAGAAAGACCTCTACCCCTACCAATGTGATTCCTGTGGCTTTGCAATGTGATGAGTCAACGGGGTCTAGAGTCCAGGGCTTTTGCATTTAACCCATGGTGTGACCTTGGCTGAGACCATTTCTCCCAGCAGATAGGCTCCTCGCTTAGAACGAGAGGGTGCCGGATTCCACCTTCGGCAATCCAGGATGAAGGAATACGCAAGCTCTTGTAGTGTGGTAAGAGGATGTTCCACCACTGGCTTCTCTCTTCCAAATACGAAGGTGTCCCTGTCTCATGGGCTGGGAGAAATCTCTAGAGCACCAGATACATCTTGGAAAATAAACTTGGAAAATCTCCCCCAGTCAACTCCACTGCAATGCCAAAATTCATTAATTCCCGTGGTTAATATTTTCTGATACGACTGGCTTGTTGAATGCAGGCTGGAAGAGCGTCTGGAGACAGACGGCACCAGCTGCGGAGCACTGGGGCACTGCCCACTCCATCGGGGAGGATGAACTGGGACGCACCACGGAAGCGTGATCTCGTGGCTCAGTGGGCGTGGAAGTCTGGGCCAAAGGTGTCACAAGCTTCTTACACAATGACTCGCCAGCACAGGTGGCTGTGGCTTTACTGACAGCTGTTCACCAGACCCCGCAGCATGAACATATGTTTGCCCACCCACTTTCTCTCCTTTCAGTGAATCGGGCCCCCTCCTTCTGGATAATCATGTTCAGTCCATGAGCTTAGGTGGGCTGAACACCCTGCTCCTCTGCCCCAGATTTGGCTAATCAAGGTGCTCCATTCCCCGGGCCACAGGCACGGACCCAGATGCATGCGCTGATGACCCAGAGCTGCATCATTCAGAATCTCTAGAATTTCCGCTACAGCTATCAGGAGCAACGTGATGAATATGATTTTTCCTAGGACTTCTACAGGAGCTGATGAGAACACTTATGCTTCAGGGCCTGGATCTAAACCATCTATAAGATACGCAGCTGCCAGGATCCATCTTTCCACCAGACAGAACATGCTTGAGGGTGAAACCAACAGGGTCCTGGTGACACTTTTTGAGCCTCTGGATCCAGCCATTCCTGAAGCTAGCCAAGTCCCTGGACTTCATAGTTACAGGAGTAGTAAGTACTTCTTTTCTGCTTCAAGCTAATTTGAAGTAGGGCTCTATAGTTTTGCTAAGCAAAGATTCCCTACTCAAATCATGTTTCTGGGACCTCTAGAGACTCAGACATTTAGCATTTCTGAGTACTGCTCATGGGTCCACACACCTTACAGGATGCTTTAACTTCACTTACTTGCTGATTTAACTAATACTTTGTTTAAAAAAAAAAAAAAGGCAGTGATAGTCTAGTGCTTATATGCACAAGATTTAAGAGTAAAAGACTGGGACCAACACCAGCCTGGCCCCAAAGTCCATGTTCCCAACACGCTGCCTTCAAACACAAGTTTAAGTGTTAGACCCACACTGGGTGCCGTGGCTCACGCCTGTAATCCCAGCACTTTGGGAGGCTGAGGCGGGTGGATCACTTGAGGTCAGGAGTTCAAGATCAGCCTGGCCAACGTGGTGAAACCCTGCCTCTCCTAAAAATACAAAAATGAGCCAGGTGTGGTAGTGGGTCCCTGTAATCCCAGCTACTTGGGAAGCTGAGGAAACAAAATTGAACTTGGGAGGCGAAGGCTGTAGTGAGGGGAGACTGTGCCACTGTACTCCACCCTGGGTGATAGAACTTGGGTCTAACTTTTTCTTTTGAGACAATCTCTTGCTCTAACAGCAGCTCTAAAACTTACTAGCTGTGATCTTGGGCAAGTTCCTCCATTTCTCCATGCCTCAATTTCCTCATCTATAAAGGGAATAACACTAGGTCCTATCCCTCTGAGTTGCAGATTCCTTGACACCCTGTGTGGAAAAGGCTTAGCACAGGGCCTGACACCCAGCAGGAGCCCAGGTAGCGTGGGCTGAATTGGAAATGCTGGCTCAATTTAGGGATCCGTTGGGAAGAGACAATATTGCAGGATTTGGACTAACTGGTGACTAGGAATATCTTTGCCAAACTAATTAAAAAAAGAAAAAACAGAGCGGTGCTGCAAACGTGAGCCCTTCTGGACTCATAAGACAAGCCAAGTCTCTGAAGTGGATCCAGCGTCCTCTTGTGTGGGCCCAGGATGTACCGTGGGCAATCAGTGGAAAACATCTGTTGCATCATCATAAACATTCATCAAGCATTGACTGGTTTCCAGGCATGTGCTACAAAGCTGGGAGAAGAGGGGAAGAGGCGAGCTTGGTTCCTGCCCTCTGAACCTTTCCATTCCAGGGGGTTGGAAACGCAGGTCAGTATCAGGCACTGGCTGGCACAGTACGGAAAAGACAGGAGGTGACAGGAATCAGGAACCCACTCCCGCCCCAGGGTAGTGGTAAACGGGTGTCAGCACGGCTGCATTAGGAGCTGGCTGAACGAAGATGCGATGGACCCCGACAGAGATGTGGCCCAGAGTGTGACCTCAGGGTTGAGGTCTGGCATGGAGAGCAATTTGGCAGCTTGAAAAGGGAGGCTGATGAACAACTACATGCTGAAATGGTTATGACTTGGGACTCAGATCACAGAGGTCTGGGTCTGAGATCCTGGCTCCATCAAGCACTAAGCGTGGGTCCTTTGAGACATTGATGACCTTCCATGAGCCTCAGTTTCTTTATCTGTACAATGAGCCTGCACATGGTAACTGCCCTCATAGGGAATTCTGTGAAGAATGAAGAAGGTAATTCTGGCACTCAGAAGTCCTCCATCAGGGCTGACCATCCCCACTGTTAGTGGTATTCCCCTGCTCCTGTCATTCTCTCCCTGATAAGATATGATACATGGTTCCATAGTCCTTCTCTCCATGCACCAATATTCCATAATACTTCAGGATAGACAATACTGAGGAAGAGGTTCCAGGTCTGGGTATGATGTAGTAAGGTCACCTCCCCCTGTGTCTCCCCTCCAAGTCAGCTTTCAAACCTGGAGTGGATGCATGAGGCAGCTAGTCAATAACTCAGGAAACTAAATAGCAGCCAGACTACAGAGATGACCAGTTGTTGCTGTCCCAGGAAACCCGCAGTGAGCTCACCATTTTTCCCCTGTAGCATCCTCCAGCCTGAACTACAGGCAGCCTGACCCCAAAAGTGGGCAGGGGGTGAACAGACAGGGCTGTCAGAGAAGCCCTCCAGCTCTGGGTCCAGAAGTGGAAAAGGGCACTCCTGCTCAGAAAGGGTGGAGGCGATCTTGTTTCTTTTTGCCCCTTCTCTCATGCCTCAGCCTTGAGCAGTCCTCAAGCACCTGACACTCTAGGGGAGGTGGCGGTAAGATCAATGGTGCCCCAAGGATGCCCAGCTCTTCATCCCTGGAGCGTCTTCATATGTGAGCTTCTACAACAAGAGGGACCAGCAGCTGTGGTTACATTCAGGCTTTTGAGATGGGGAGATGATCCTGGACTCTTTAGGTCCACCCCATGGAATCTCAGGGTCCCAGAGTAATTGCTGGGAAGCAAAGAAGGGGCCATGGCATAGGGTGGCTGCCAGGAAGCCGCGAAACAAATTCTGCCCCACAACCTCGAGAAGGCGCCAGCCCTGCCGACACCTTGACTGTAGCCTAGTAAGACGGATCTCGGACTTCTGGCCTCCACAGCAGCTGGAGAATAAATCTGTAGTTTTTAGCCACTAACTTTGTGCCAATTTGGTAGGGCAACAATAAGAAATTAATACAGGGGATAACGTTCCTCTTTAATCATAAGAGCTGTGGTCCCAAGAGGGTGGGGCCACCCCGTAATGCCTCTAGTCCTGTCCTCCCTCCACTTGACCTTACGCTGGGGGTGGGGGGAGCGGGTCAGCCACAGGAAGTAGGTTAACCTTGACCCAATCCTTGGACCTGACACAAAAGTCCACTCAAAATGAATCGCAGATCTAAAATGTAAAGCTATAAAACTTTGAGGAAAACCTAGGAGAAAATCTTTATGACCTGGGTTTAGGCTAACAATTGGTAGACATGACACCAAAAGCATGATCTGGGACACAAAAAGTAAATTTCATCAAAATTAAAAAGGTGTCATGCAAAAGACACTGAAAAGAAGCTGAAGACTAGAAGAAAATATGTGCAACTCACATGTTCGACAAAGGTCTTGCATCTAACATATACAAAGAACTCCCAAAACTCAAATCTTTGTAAAACCACAAACAGCCTAGTTTCTAAGAACAGGCAAAATACTTGGACACTTACTTACTTCCCCAAAGAGGATGTGTTAAAGGAAAACATCCACATGAAAATATGCTCAACATCATTACTCATTAGGAAAATGCAAATTAAGACCATGATGAAATATTCTGCATCCTTGTGAACAGCCACAGTAAAGAATCATGACAGTATGACATGCTGCCCAGGGTGCAGAGCAACTGGGCCCCTCATACGCTGTGGGAATGCAGTTTCTTACATTTAGCATAGGATCCAGTCCTCAACTCTTAGGTATTTGCCGCACAGAAATGAAAACTTTTGTTCACACAAAAAGCTGCACTTGAATGTTTCCACTAGCTCTATTCAAAATTGCCAACAACTGGAACCAACGCAACTTTATTCCTTTATGACTAGATAAACCGTGGTATATCCATTTAACCAAACTCTGCTCAGTAATAAAAACACTGCTGACTCACCCAACGACTTGACGGTTCTCACACATGCTGAAAGACGCCAGCCTCAAGAGGTTGCTTACAGTATGATTCCATTTATGTGACATTCTTGAAAAGACAAAACTAGAGGGGGAGGGACAAGGGCTTAGAGGTGGGGGAGGGTGCAGCTAGAAAGGAAATGAGGGGAAAACAGCTTTTTAGGGTGAAGGAACTGGTCTATATCTTGACGGTGATGGTGGTTACTCAAATCTATGCATGTGTTTAAATTCACAGACATGAACAAGAGCAAAAGTCAATTGCACTGTGTAAATTAAAAATTTTTTGTGAAAGTAAAGGCAAGTAGGACTCTGGGCAATCTATTAAACTTGGCCCTATCCCAGAATACACAGTGATGTCTTTCTGGGCCCCATTCTGGATTCATGGATGGTTTTGGCTCGAATTACTGGTCTGTTCTATCTTCTCCCTATTTATATCACTTGCCTTAGCATTTCACAGCACTGCTACATGCCCACAGCCACCCTTTCTCCCACTTAGAACAGGTCATTAATCTGTGCAAGTGTACAAATGGCCCCATCTACCGTTCTCTGTGCCCCTCTTTGCCACGTGACTTTGCAGTGCCCTCCCACTGACTCTGGTTTCTGCCTTGTAATCCCCCTTGGCGATGTGACATGCTCACAGCTTGGATGATACCCATATGGGTGTGCTTCTCCTGTCTGTGCTCCCTGATGTACATGCCCAGGCTCGCCCACTGGTCCTGGGAGGAGGATGAAAGATCTGTGGATCTTTCTGTTTCACAGCCCAGTTTTTCCATTCTTCCTAGTCAAGGCCCTCCTGCATCCACCTACTGATTCCCAGACACAGAAGCCAGCTCAGCTAAGACCAGTTAAGCCTCCTAGCCCATCACCTCACGCATAAGCAATATGTTATCACATACCAACAAAGTATCATAGATGTATGTTACACAGCATCAACATAGGAGATACGTGATAACCAAACCAAGTAACCATTCTCAGTTATTACTCCCAGACATCATTTTAAAAGTGCAAGGGGAGGCCGGGCGCGGTGGCTCACGCCTGTAATGTCAGCACTTTGGAAGACCGAGACCATCCTGGCTAACATGGTGAAACCCCCTCTCTACTAAAAAACAAAAATACAAAATTAGCCAGGTGTGGTGGCAGATCCCTGTAATCCCAGCTACTAGGGAGACTGAGGCACAAGAATGGCATGAACCCAGAACACAGAGCTTGCGGTGAGCCTAGATCACACCACTGCACTCTATTCTGGGTGACAGAGTGAGACTCCGTCTCAAAAATAAAAAAATGCAAGGGGAAATGCAGAAAGCTGTGAATTTGCTTAGCCCACTGAGAAGAAAGCTGTCACCAAGATCGATTATACTTTAGCAGGACAGGACGATTTTGGTCTATAAATGGCAGACAATTTTTTTTTTTTTTTTTTTGAAACGGAGTTTTGCTCTATTGCCCAGGCTGGAGTGCAGTGGCACGATCTCAGCTCACTGCAACCTCTGCCTCCTGGGTTCCAGTGACTCTCCTGCCTTAGCGTCCCAAAAAGCTGGGACTATAAGCGTGAGCCACCATGCCCAGCCAGACAACTTCTTATATGCTGTGGACACACCTCTCTGATATAGGAGATATTTTATTACTTTTTTTTGTTTAAACAAACCCCACATAGGATAGAGGTCATTGTGCCAAAAATACCTACTCTGCTTCCCTTTTTCCAAAGTGAAGTTTCAGATGCTCCAATGTTTAAAAAAGACATGAAGTAGGGCAAACAACTGTAATAATATCTAAGCTGCCAACTCAATCATTTTGGGACTGAAGTGAGAGTTTGAACAAAGAAGTAAAAACAAAGTCAAAATTGCTTCCCTTCGAGAAGCTCCATAGTAGGTAATATTTCCTTTAATCCTCCCAACAAGCCTGTGAAATCTCTGCCACTATCACCAATTTTATAGATGAGGATGCTGAGGCAGAGGTGAAGTTCACAAGGCTGCTATGTAGTTGAGCTGGAATTTGAGCCCAGGTCTGTTTGGCTCAAAGTCTTGCTCTTTCTGTCATGCACCAAGTTGCCAATGAGCTCCTGTAGGAATTTACTAACAGAGCTTTGGCTTAGCCACTATACTAAAATCCAAACATGTACCACACTAACCAGTTTCCTGAGGTGAAAAGAAGGTACATTATTTTGGGTGTGCCTGGCACCTTGCAGTCTGGTCTCTAAGCTCAGCAATTTAGGGGCTGGCCAGGGGGATGGCATCTTTATGCTAACAAGATCCCAGAGTCCCAGCCTCTGAGATCCATTTCACCAACAGCTGGGAGGAAAGGGACTGACCGTGGGTGGAGATACATGGATAAATCTACATCGTCTCCTAAATATGCTCAGTGAATGTGCTTGCTGTGTGCTCCCCCGGCCCCCATGCCCTGAACAACTCTTTTTATTTTATTTTTTTAAGACGGGTTCTCTCTCACTCTGTCGCCTAGGCTGGAGTGCAGTGCTGTGATCTCGGCTCACTGCAACCTCCACCTCCCGGGCTCAAGCGATTATCTTGCCTCAGCCTCCCAAGTAGCTACAATTACAGGTGTGCACCACCATGCCTGGCTAATTTTTGCAGTTTTAATAGAGATGGGGTTTTACCATGTTGGCCAGGCTGGTCTGAAACTCCTGGCCTCCTGATCCGCCTGCCTTGACCTCCCAAAGTGTTGAGATTACAGGCGTGAGCCACCACGTCCAGCCCCCTGAACACCTCTTAATACCAGCTCTTCCCTGGATCTAAGGAACCCAGAAATTAGCTGTATACACCCCTGCTGCAGCCACAGCCAAACTAGTTAGTGCGTTCTCTGTGCTAGGTGTGAACTCTGCAACTTTCTGAGGTAGGGGCTATAATTAGTCCCATTTTACAGAGGGGAAAATAGAGGCATGAAGTCCCTAAAGGTTCTAATCCAGGATCACTGATAAAGTAAACGGCATAGCCTTGAGTCAAACCCAAGCCTGCACAACTGCCGCCCTCCTTACTGATGAGGCCATTCTGCTTGTACCTTTAATGTGAAAGTCATAAACAAGCTTTACCCCCAACCCTGACAGTACGGCTTGTTTCCTGCTGCATTAGTAATTTCTCAACCTGTCTTCCCAGAACGAGCTAGTGAGAAAAACATCCTCAACTCTGTCACAGCAAGTTCTCATGCATAAAAAAGAAAAAAACATGAAATCCTGTTCTTACTCAGCAAGCCGTAACCTCCTTTATCTTCTGAGTGATGTGTGCTAAGCCAGGAGATTCTGCGCTCACAGGCGAGTGCCAGCACCAAAGCTGGGCTGTGTTCACCCTTCTCTCTGGTCCAGGCAAAACATCCTGGGTGTGTTAGATGAATGAAGACAAAGGGCTCAGCTCATGGGCAATCAAATTAGGAACGGGATAGCTCCGAGTGCGTGTCGAACAGGTATCAAAGACCCCTTTTCTCAGCCGGGGTCAAAGCTCTCAGAAGTTCCTTAACCCTCCCCAGCCCCATTTTCTAGCCCTTTCTTCAATTAACCTCAAAGAAGGGGAGATGGGTAGGACCTTGGACAGCACCAATAGGGCTCCCATGGCCGATCTAAGCACTGAGAGGCCAAAGTGGCGGCAAGGCTTACACAGTGGCTGCGGCCTCTATACTCTGAGGACCTCCAGAGGAGACACACAGTGGTGGAAGACGAGCGTGACCAAGCCTGGCTTTGTTTACAAGGGGCACAGAGGACCCACAGTTACAATGCAGGACCTGGAAAGCCCCAGCCCTGAAGATATTCAAGACTGCTCTGTAAGTGCTTCATGTTGGTGTGACTGACAGTGACAAAGGGTAGAGGCTTGCCAATCGTGCATACCCAGCTCACACTCCCCATGCTGCCACGTCCCAGCTGTGAGACTATGGCTTGGCCACTTCACTCTGTGAGACTCAGTTTCCTCATCTGGAAAAAAGGGACAGTAACACTAACCTCAAAGAAAGGATGTGTTAATAAATGAAAAGCTGGCCAGGCGCAGTGGCTCATGTAATCCCAGCACTTTGGGAGGCCGAGATGGGTGAATCACTTGAGGCCAGGAGTTCGAGACCAGCCTGGCCAACACGAAACCTCATCTCTACTAAAAATACAAAAATTAGCTGGGCATGGTGGCACATGCCTGTAATCCCAGCTACTTGGGAGGCTGAAGCACAAAAGTCGCTTGAGCCCAGGAGGCAGAGGTTGCAGTGAGCTGAAATCACACCACTGCACTCCAGCCTTGGTGACAGAGTGAGACTCTGTCTCAAAGAAATGAAAAGCTCCTGGCCTAATACCTGGACCCTGGCGGGTGCTAAATACATGTTGGTTTCTCCTCCCTCTCTCTTTTTCTTGACTGTGGAGTCCCAGTGCTTTGTAGCTGGTTTTATAAGACCCAACGAGCCAGCTTCTCAGGCCAGGTCTGGGCTTCTCAACCTTCACACTAATGACGTTCAGGTCAGATAACTCTGCTGTGCAGGGAGGAGGCCATCCTGTGAGGTGTAGGATGCTCAGTACATCCCTTGCCTCTACCCACTAGATTCTCGTGGCACTGTCCCCCATGGTTGGGACAATCAAAAATGTCTGCATTCACTCCCAGCTGTGCCTGGAACTGGGGAGTAAGGCAAAATTGCCCTTAGTTAAAAACCAGAGGGGTAGACGCAGAAAGAAAGCCACTTGGGTTTAGTAGGGCAAGGGGCAGTGAGTGACAGGGGAGTGGCAACGCCAAGAAAAGCAGAATCAAAGATCCTCCGACAGCCCGTCTGCAGGGAACTCCTTCAGGTGAATTTTACCCATGAATGGAATTTGCTTTTTGAATTTAACAGGTGACAATACCAGACTTCTTTTTCAACCCTAATAACCTGTGACCAATTTCCCTGAACTGACACAACTGCCCTCCAAAGACCCACTTTTCTTGCTGAGCTGCTAAAAGCAAAACAAACCCCGAAAACAAAAACCAAAGCCTCCCTAATCTGCGTTCTTTCTACAGGCAACCGAGTGCAGCCGCTGGCTACACAGAGGACAAGAAGCAAAAGAAGCTGCCACAGAGAAGGTGTGAGAGGTGCAGGAAACCTCTCCAAAGACCAGGACATTTGGCTGGGCACAGAGGCCCTCATTAGGAGCACGTCTCCCACACGGAGAAAGACGGCAGGTGTGCCGGCGGTGCTTGGGCACTGAGCAGACATCTCTAGCCCGACGATTACTCCAATGGACCCTTTCTCATGGAGCCCACACTCTTATGAAGACCTCAGTCAGAACCGCAGAGGCCGCGCTGCCCTGAGGCCTGGTGTTGGAGCTGTCCTGGTTAGCACCTTGTCATCGCGATCCCCTGGGGTCAAGTGGGATCCCCTGCTGCCCTCACTCTGCACTGCTTCACATGTTAAACAGACTTATGCACCAAAGTCCCCTTTTGCCCTGGAAGGCTTTTAAGGTACAGTGGACCCCATGTGGCCCACAGATGTTTTAAGCAAACAAAGGAGTTTCCAACCAACTTAAACATCAGATTTTATATGAAGATGTGCATTTCTGCCACGTCTTGAAAAGGTCAAGGACTTCTATCCAGCTAGCTGCAGTCCTATATAACAGGAATCAGCCTGGTGAGGAGTGGCTGATCCCTTTTGATGGGGCCTATGAGCTGCACTCCACACCACTCCCTGCTGACAACTCAATGGCTTAATTCACTTATATGACCCACCCAGACCTACAGGCACCTGAGTTTGCCAAGGCATCCAGTCGACAGAGGTAAATTTGGGGTGCCTATTGATGCTGGAAGATCACAGAACCAAGGCCCCAATTTGGGGTGTCAGTCCAGGTAGCGGGGTGTCTCCTCCCTCCAAATAATATACCTGGTTGATAATGACGAGGCTAAGAAAGTAAGAAATGAGGACAAAAGGCTGCAGTGGCTGACGGGCTGCTCTCTGATGTGACAAGTCTGTCCAGGAACCCCACTGCTGGGGATGGGGGTGGGGAGGTGCAACATTAGTGTCTCACCTCCTGTGGGGTGGAAATATGCATCAACACATCACAAAAGGGGCGAAAGACTCCATGACCTCAAACAGCCTCTTAGCATCTAAGCTATCCCAGGACCCACAGGGCCACAGGTACCAGCCCACGAACAGTGACTAGGGCTGACTTTCCAGGAAGCTGCTACGGATTCTGCAAAGCACTCCACAGGAGAATCAGCTGCCCTTTGGGCAAAACAGCAGCAAAGTGTCCTCTGTGGCCTCAGATGGCTGCTGGTTCCAGAATCCAGTTTGTTCAGAGAGAGGCCCTGCCTGGCAAAGGCGGCCGTGTTTCTAAGCAGAGCTGTCGAGTTGAACCTGTCCCTCCCCGGAGGTGTGATGTGGGCTGTGGCTTGCAAAGGCACCATCGTTTCCCCTTCCTGCCCTTGATGACTTGTTGGTGGCACTCTCCCCACAGACGAGGGGCTCAGGGATGCCACCACAGCCGTGCTGCGCCACCCGCTCCCTGGGTCCGCAGCCAACTTGGCAGCAGAGGAGGACGGCCTGCTGTTCTTAACGCTCTGGGGCTAGGTGTTGATTCTGCAGCTCTCTCACGCAGGGGAAGGCTTCTCTGGGAGACACTGGCTCCCCTCGCTAGGCTGACCAGGCTGTCTTCAGCTTTCGCACCTCCTCCTGCCTCTGCCCCATGGACTCCAGGCTCCTGCCCTGTCCCCAGCTTCCATCCAAGGCCAACACCTCTTCCTGCCCTCTCTTTCCCTGGGCACCTGACCCTGACTTCGTAACCTCTGTGATCCCCCATATGTCAGCCAATTCCACGTTTTATATCAGGAAATCGCATCCCAAAGAGTGTTTCCAAATACCTCAGACAGACTGGGATTTCAGATGGTGAAGTCAGAATTCCTGCAAGTTCTTAGGAATTCTCCAAATCATAAGTTATTCTTAAACTATTACTAACATCCTTCCCACTACTTATCCATTATCATAGACATCTAAAACTGTTTGCTTAATAATATTGAGCTTAGTAGGATTTACAAAACACGACAGCCTAGAATGAATATACAAACGCTGGGAAACACAAGTGAACGCTGCTGGGAGCTGCTGAAAGAACCACACAACACAGGCACCTGCTAGCAAGGCTCATGACGCTACAGAGTCTGGTGTCCAGAATGCCAATTTAAGGACTTATTGTGCTTCCAAAACTTTTTACTTCTTGGAATGCCACTCACAGAAAGTACACAATTTACATAAACATATTAGTATTTATTTGCAAGAATGATTCATTGTTTGCAGTAGACAGAGCCAGGAACACACAGTTACAGCATGGCATCAGTGCAAGGCAATCCTGACTAATGAGATCGTGACCACGTCTCTCCCACATGTTCCTGTCCTGGTTCCTGTAAACGGCGACCCAGACCTGCAGCTCCATGTGGTGACACCTCCTGCTCCTGCCTCTCCTCTGTCGCTGTGGATTCCTCCAAACTGTGATTGCTACATCTTAATTTTCAGCAGGACGGTTATAACACACTCTCCGACCTCTTGACTGGTTTTTCTTGTGACGTGAGAGGGGAGAAGACATACATTTCCTGAGGCATG
Organism: Homo sapiens; assembly: GCF_000001405.40. NCBI lineage: Eukaryota > Metazoa > Chordata > Mammalia > Primates > Hominidae > Homo > Homo sapiens. Next base: position 12,531,869 of record NC_000016.10, on the reverse strand, counting down.
CCTGGGAGAAACTGCTACCTGAAGGCAGCTCACAGGCGGCCATCCTAGAAGACGTTCACTCTGCCCTCGCCTGGCTCTGGGCCTGCCTTCAGGATGCACGTAGACCAGTTTCTGACCCCAATGCTTCCTTTTCATCTCATCTGCTCCCAAGCGGGCTTCCCCTCCTTGTCCCCTTGACCTCTCTGCACCCAGATATTCAGCCTCAAAACTCGGCATCTTCTGCTGCTCCCCTTCCATTGCCCCAGCAGGCAGCCTAGTCACCTACTCAACTCTCACCGTCCTCATCCCAGAGAATGGCAATGCCGCTGCTGCCCCCTTGCCATGAGGACCACGGGGCAGATGGTGCTGCACACCTGAGACAGTGGGGCCCCACGTCCCCTCTTGGTAGGGCCTTCCAAACCCATGTCCCCCTTTCCTCTTGGCCATCTGGGTCAGGCCCTCCCTGCCTTCTGTCTGCAACATTTTGAGGGCACCCTAGCCCATCGCCCAATCCATCCACTATACCCAGTCCTGGCGTGCTCTTCGGAAAGCACAGCCCTGAGTTCACACACCTGCCAGGGCTCCAGCCCCCAGAGACCAAGACTTCCACCCCAGGTCCCAGTGCGCCCTGACCATAGGGCCAAGTGCCCTGTTCTCCAGGCACAGGGGATGACTTGGGGCTCCCTGCTTCTTGCAGCTGTTCTGCACACCTGGGAAGAGTGGCTTCCCCTTCGATCCAGATCAAACCCTGCATATCAAATTGGTATGAGAGGGTGGGCTTTAGTGATGTCAGGAAAAATTTAAAATGCACATACCCTCTAAGCCAGAATGGCTTCTACACATCAAGCCTGTAGCTCTACCTGCCAAAATGTGTATCCATCGAGATGTTCCAGACTACAGTCTGGGGGAGAAAAATCTGGAAACCTCTTAACTGTTCAAGTAGAGCAAGGGTGAAATAAATTATGAAACAGCCATTACGGTGGATACTATTACCTTTCAGAAGGACTGAGCCAGTTTTATTAAATTAAGAAAGGTGGCCAGGCACGGTGGCTCACGCCTGTAATCCCAGCACTTTGGGAGGCCAAGGCGGGTGGATCACTGGAGGTCAGGAGTTTGAGACACTCCTGGCCAACATGAAGAAACCCCGTCTCTACTAAAAATACAAAAATTAGCTGGGCATGGTAGCGGCCACTTGTAATTCCAGCTACTCAGAAAGCTGAGGCAGGAGAATCGCTTGAACCCAGAAGAGGGAAATTGCAGTGAGCTGAGATTGCGCCACTGCACTCTAGCCTGGGCGACAAGAGCGCAACTGTTCCCCACCAAAAAAAACAAAAAACAAAAAAAAAAAACGAAGGCAAATTTCAGAACAGTGGAGTTTCTATTTGACTTACATAAATATTGATGATTTCTGCAGTTACACAAAAGACTTGACAGTGAGTGCAAGGGTAGGTGTGCATGGGGTGGGTGCTGTTTACTTCCTCATCTTCTTTCTGTAGTGTTTTAGGGTTTTTCCACACTAGAACTTCATCACTTTCCCTAAAATATCTGCTCCCCACAATCTCCTTCCCCGAGGCTCCCTGTCTGTTGGTACAAACAGTGACACACATACAGTGCTTACTATGTGTGATGCGCTGTTCTAAAAGCTCCTAAAAGACCACTTTCCTCCTCAGTGGAAGAGCCAAAGACTATCAGCAACTCCAAAATCAACACCGCACTTTCTATGTGGCTACCAGGGGTCTCAAACTCACCTGCCTTAGAGGGCCAAGTGGTTGATGTAAGTCAGCAGAGCAGGCCAAGGGGAAAAGCAAGAGGGAGTAGTTGGAACGGTGCCGAACTGGGACACACTTGCCCATGGAAAGTCACATGCATGGACACTTTACTGAACACACACCTAACCAATATGCCTGCAGCTTTGAGATCTCTTGCATGGCATCACCACTCCTTACTGGCAACTGGGTAACGCTGAGGACTTTGGAGTCTGGAAGGTTCTGGCCAGTCCACAAAACAAGGGAAGTCAAAAGTTGCTACTTCCTGTTAGCAGTGACTTGCAAAGCAGCTTAGGTTCAAGTGACCCCTGGCAGTGCACAGGTCAGGGTGTGGCATCGCTGAGCTAAACGTAACCTGCTCACTGGGAGAACAAGGCAGCTCATATTTCAGCAAAAAATGGATATATTTCACAACCCTAAGAGAGAATGCAGCAGCAAATGGGGGCGGCGGCGGGGGAAACCCAGACTGGGTTTTCTGCTGAAAATCCAGTTGGGAATTTGTGCTGTGACCTACATTACTCTGCCACCTTCCAGCCCCCTAACTTTCTCTCTCCTCAAGGAGCAGGAGAACATAATGTATTTCCCAAAGTTAAATTACTCTGCAGAAAACCATTTTAATAATGCGCTAAATGACAGCACGGCAAATCACTGAAGCTGTCACCGATTTGCGGTCCAGTCTCACTGAGCGAATTCTTGGAGTCCGAGCCTCCCTCCACGAACGGTACCTCACATCTCCCCGGGGATCTCTGCCATCTGCAAAGTGTCACGTCTCTTAGTAACCACCCCTTCCCCAAATGTCAGACGACGAACACAGCACGGGGCTTCCCAAAGATGTGGGTGTTGGGAGGCTGGCACTCATCTGTTCCTTGTCTTGGGGAGTAGACTCTGGTCCCCCCTGGGCCACACTGATATACAGAGTTCAAAATAGAAAAGAAATGCCCCACTTCCCACCGGCCTACTTTCCAATTCAGAGCTGGCATTAGCAAGGGAGGCAACGGGAGGCACAGAGACTGGGAGGAAAAACTCAACCTCCCGATTCTTCAACTCAGATTTGTGCAGATGGCAGATTACTTAGAAGTCATGATGCCTCTTACAGAACACAGTGAAATATGGACACGTCAAATGGAATTTAAAAATGGAAGAGTGTGTGTGAAAGCAGGTTCCATCTAATACTGGACTGAAAGTTTTAAGTAATATTTGTGAGGAAAAACACAAGCAATTTCTACCCACTGGTTTTTATCTTTCCTGCCCACCTTCTCAGTTCCCAAACCAGAATGGGACCACCATTCCTGAAGCTGATCAGTGGCCCTGTTCACAGAACACACAGTGGCACAGTGTGCAAACCGAATGCATCATGAGTAACGTGGATGTCCACAGATTCAAATGGAGGGGCCGTGGGAGCAGTGGAGAAGAGCCAGGACTGCAAACTCCAGAGCCAGGTAGTCATGCAGGCAGGTGATCCACCCAAATGTATGACATAACCAGGCAAACAGCATGGAGGGGATGCTGGCTCAGTGCCCAGGAGACAACAGGAGATGGGGGTTCAGTGGACACGGGGCATCCAAGTGTGGGAGAGTGGGGGAATGGTGCTGTGACCAATTCTTCTGATTTTTCAAGAGAAGCTAGGCTGGGGGTGGTGGCTCACACCTGTAATTGCAGCACTTTCGGAGGTCGAGGTACGCGGATCACCTGAGGTCAGGAGTCTGAGACCAGCCTGGCCAACATGGCAAAACCCCATCTCTACTATAAAAAATACAAAAATTAGCTGAGCGTGGTGACACATGCCTGTAATCCCAGCTACTCAGAGGCTGAGGCGGGAAAATCACTTGAACCGGAGGTAGAGGTTGCAGTGAGCCAAGATTGTGCCACTGCACTCCAGCCTGTGCAACAGAGTGAGAACTTGTCTCAAAATAAAGAAGCTTGACGTCTGGATTTTTTTATCTGACACCTTCTAATTTTTTGATGTTGGCAAGTACTTGAATTAAGAAAAATAAATAACAGGCCAGGTGCGGTGGCTCACACCTGTAATCCCAGCACTTTGGGAGGCCAAGGTGGGGGAATAACGGGGTCAGGAGATCGAGACCATCCTGGCTAACACGGTGAAACCCCATCTCTACTAAAAATAAAAAAAAAATAGCCAGGCATGGTGGTGGGCACATGTAGTCCCAGCTACTCGGGAGGCTGAAGCAGGAGAATGGCGTGAACCTGGGAGGCAGAGCTTACAGTGAGCCGAGATCATGCCACTGGACTCCAGTTTGGCCGACAGAGCGAGACTTCATCTCAAAAAAAAAAAAAAAAGAAGAAGAAGAAAAATAAATAACAAAACAAAACCCCACTATACTGGCTAAATAAAATAAGTTGGAGAATCAGGCTCAGTCCACAGGGTGCAGGCTTCCCACCTCCATCCCAAAAACACGGGCTATGGTGCCAAACACCCTAGGATCCCCACGTGCTGGGTGGGGACCCCGGGACCAGCCAGTTCGCCCCTTTGAGCCTCACTTTCCTCAACACTATGAAATAGATTTCATTGGCTCTCCAGAAGACGAGATGAGATGGGTGCTGTGAAACACAAAGCTGACATCCACAGGAAAATGGGGGGCCCTCTCTTTAGTGAACAATCCGGTTACGTTCAGTAACTCAAATGGACTTTTTGGATCCTAAATCAACATTTGAAAGAACCAAGGAGAAAATCTGTCAAAATTTATAAGAATAATTATGCTTTGGGGGTTTATTTCCTTAGGCAGGAGATTTTTATTTTTTATTTTTTTTTAACCAGAAATCTCTCAGGCTCAGCTTTCCAGCTGAGACAGCAGTCTCGCTGCTTTCTGTGGGCAGCACATGGAGAAAGGACACGATCACATGGAGATTCGTCAGCACGGGTAAGGCTTGGCTGTGGCTGATCCATCATTACCCCAAAATGAAACAATCCGTACATTCCGACCTGTAATCCCATCCTGCTCAAAAAGGAAGAAGGAGAAGGGGGCTGTGGGATTTGGAACAGTGAGGAAAGCCAAAGAGCTTTTATTAAAAGAGCTGTTTAATTTCAACTGGGGTCTAGACCAACATGTAGTCAAAATTCCAGTGTCAACACTGTGTCATTTGCCACAGTCTCCCACTGAAATTCTCGTTTTGAAAAGTCCATAAATCGAACCCTGTGTTCTGTTCTGCGTGCTAATTAGGCACAAAAGGTTTCTCTCTCCGTGCTGACTGATGGCAACCAGCATGGCTGAGATTCATGTCACACCGACAGGCTCGCATTAACGTGCACTTTTTACAATTCGGCACGCGAATGTTTGGGAAACACTGGACCGGAGATGCCTGGGCTGTGGACCCCGCAGGGGGTGGGGGACACTGACTTGCGGATGGGGCAGCGCCTCCTGCTCACACTCTCAGCATCAGGAGTATCTTAGGAACAACTGGCTAACTCAGTTTTCACCAGGGAATTCAGTCGATGCGTGATGACTCCGCGAGAGGCTAATTCCCCCGTGCACCCTGGGCCATGGGGATGCCGCTAAGAGGATGAGAACTCCTCACGTGAACTATCGCGGCCATTTCCAAACAGTGAGATCCAGTCCCTGGCATTACAAATAAAAGAAGAAAAGAAAAATAAAGCGTTCTAGAAACTGTTTTCTATTCAGGACAAAAAGGCACCTCTTATCACAGGCAGCAGGATACTATAATGTCTTCTCACAAAAACCCCGGAACAATTAGAAAATCTAAGCAACCATCTTGGAGACAATTTCAAAGGGCCTAGGCAGGGAAGACAGGCAGCTGCTCATGTCGATCTGGATGGTACCGCTGGGCACACCCCACAGACAGGAGCACACCCCACAGAAGCCGGCTCCCAAAGGTGCACCCCACAGAGGGGAGCAGAAATGCACCCTCTGTTTTGAACCCAGCAACACCATTAGAACAACCGTTAAACAGCTACAGTGACAGGAAACTCTTATATTACCCCAGCATTTCATACAAATCACACCGACCCAGAACAGTGCTTCTCGAATAAGTCCCAATCCCACAGGTCTTCTCTATGGATTTTTACGTTTTGTGTTTCTATCACGGTAAGATTTTAGAAATAATACAATTACATTCTGTAGCATCTGAAGACCATAAAAACCAAGTCGGGCTTGATGGTTTTGGTTCCCCTAATTCCAAGGATGTAAATGTCAGCATTCCCAGGTTATGACAACAGAGTGGACTAATCAGTGGCAAGGCAGGGACGTCAAAAGGACAGCCTGACGTTTCCCAGCAATGGGACCAGAGCAAAGGGGTGGATGAAGTCAGCACGCCTGGCATGTGGCAGGCGAAAAGAAGTCACTGCATGACATTTCGAGCCAAGATTAGCTTTCTTGAAAACAGCAGCATCCGTTGGGTTAATTGACAATTTTGAAGTGTAATGATTTTTTCTTTTTTTTGGGGGGGGGGGTGGGGGGGGCGTGGAGTCTTGCTCTGTCACCCAGGCTGGAGTGCAGCGGCACAATCTCAGCTCACTGCAACCTCTGCCTCCTGGGTTCAAGTGATTCTCCTGCCTCAGCCTCCCAAGTAGCTGGGACTACAGGCGCCTGCCACCATGCCCAGCTAATTTTTGCACGGCTGGCTAATTTTTGTATTTTTAGTAGAGACAGGATTTCAACATGTTGGCCATGCTGGTCTCGAACTCCCGACCTCAGGTGATCCACCCGCCTCAGCCTCCCAGAGTGCTGGGATTACAGGCGTGAGCCACCGTGCCCAGCCTGAAGTGTAATGATTTTCTAAGTGCATAATATGTAAACTCTTTTAATTTTTTTTTTTTTTTACTTTTTTCAAGAGAGAAGAAGGCATTTAAATAATATTAATGTTCATTTTTAAGTAAAACTCATATAAAAATAATTTAAGTCAATACTGGTAGGAGTCTGGGAGAACTTTCCTTGGGTTCATTACCCAAGCTTGAGAAACACTGACACAATTTGTTTCAGTTTTGGAGCACCCGTGGGCTGTACAGAAAATTAATCTTCCCTTGATCGAAATGTGTGAAAGTACAAAATCACAGAGCCCCAAGTTTCTTTGTGAGCCTCAAGTCAACAATGCTCATTTGCAGGCCTGCTCTCTTCCCATCCCTTTAGAAGCTCCAAAGCGCTGAGACCCAACCTCCACTTTGGCACCTGGAACAGCCCCTGGAGTTCGCCTGGGTCCCATGGCGATCAGGGCATCACGGAGAGCCGCTGTGCTCCCTGACCTTCCAAAACGACCGAGAAAAAAATGCTGGCAGGGCTGGCGGCCCATGTCCGTGGGAGCAGTACTTACACGAAGAAGGGCATCAGCTGGATGAGGGTCTCCTTCTTGGGGCTGGCAGCGAACTCGGGGACCATCTGGATGACTTTGTTCATGACGCTGCGCAGGTAATTCTGGAGCTGCTTTCTCCGTTCCTCCACAAACTTGGCATCCTGAGGAAACACAAAACATCTTCGCTTTGGTACGTCTTCCTCACCTGGTCAGAAATGACCCTATAGAACAGGCGATCACCCATCAGCGCCATCCAGGCAACCAACACTGATTGAGCAACTATCTCGTATGAATGGTCCCTAAGCCCTTACATGTAGTATCACATGTAATAACAAGAAAGATGCTCACGATATTATTATTAAGTGGAGGAAAAGCAGGTCCAAGACCTCTATCTGGTGTGTTCCTATTCAAATGGGACAGTTATTTATGGGGCACCAAAATGTGCCGAATGTGGTGCTGGGGGTCAGGGTAGAACAATGAACACACTGCTGTGGCCTTCGTGGAGTTCACAGGCCAGCGAGGGAGACACAAATCAATCCAGTGACCACACAGGTCAGCGGGTAATTATCAATCACACCAAATGCCACTCCAGAGCACCGGCTTAATTTTGCCTTCAGGGGAGTTTCTCGAAATACAAAACAACTGCCACTGATTAAGAAAGAGGTTTTATTAATAAACAATTTCCGTATTCTCTTGAAAAACTAGGACGCGTGGGCCACGATGCAGACGCGGGCGGATCACCTGAGGCTGGGAGTTTGAGACCAGCCTAACCAACCTGGAGAAACCCCACGTTTCTCTACTAAAAATACAAAATTAGCCAGGCGTAGTGGCACGTTCCTGTAATCCCAGCTACTTGGCTGAGGCAGGACAATCACTTGAACCCGGGAGGCAGAGGCTGTGGTGAGCCAAGATGGCACCATTGCACTCCAGCCCGGGCAACAAGAGCGAAACTCCATCTCACACACACACAAAAAAAACCTAGGATGCATGGTAGCATGGCCCCACCCATAGGGCCATACCAGGCTGGGCTGTGCAGCGTGGCCCCAGAAGGCAGGCACAGGTCCCCAGGTCTGAGCAGTTTCCACCACTCAGTGATCAGGGGCTCTGTGATCCAGAACCCCCTCACTCATCCTACAGACCCCACCCCACCCCTGTGTCTGGTTGGTGTTTGTGGGCAGGGCCAGCTTGCTTGGTGTGCAACCCAAGCTGTCACAGAGGGTCCACACTGGGACTGCGTGGTGAGCTACTGCCCACCATTCTCATTAATTTGGAACCAGGGGCTCCACACTGTCACGTTGGCCTGGGCCCCACACATTCCATAGCCAATCCTGCTCCGTGTATCTGTGCTAGTAGCCCCTGGCTTGTAACAAAGACACCCTGGGCAGTGAGCATCGGGGCCGGGACAAGGCTTTCTCTGAGACCGTCATGCTCCTTCTGGACCGAAGACCAAGCAAGGTGAAGAAACAAAGAGCTGAGAGAAGGCAGTGGAGGAACGGGGTCATTCCAACCTCACAGAACACGAGGAGGAATGTTCTATGACGACGGCGCGTAACAGATGAGGAAACTGCTGTCTGCAGTGGGCCTCGGTACCTCGCCCAGGAGGCCCCATACATCAGGTGGGGCACTCGTCTCTGCTCTCCCTGTGCAGGCACAGAGCTGGCCCAAGGCAGGGGCTCAGTCACAATCTGTCAGCAACGAGAAAAACCACCTAGCATCACGTGCCCTGGTCCCCGGTGAAGAGCTCCCACAGGCCAGGTGTGGTGGCTCACACACCTTTAATCCCAGCACCTTAGGAAGCTGAGGCAGGAGCATCGCTTGAGCCCAGGAGTTTGAGACCAGCCTGGGTAACATAACAAGGCCCAATCTCTATAAAAAATTGAAAAAAGTAGCCGGGCACGGTGGTGTGCACCTGTAGTCCCAGCTACATGGGTGGCTGCAGCAGGAGGACTGCTTAAGCCCGAGAGGTAGAGTGCACGGTGCACTATGATCACACCACCGCATTCCACCCTGGGAGACAGTTAGACCCTGACTATATTAGTCCATTCTCACACTGCTATAAGGAACTACCTGAGACTGGGTAATTTATACAGAAAAGAGGTTTAACTGGCTCATGGTTTCGCAGGCTGTACAGGAAACATGGTGGGGGATGCCTCAGTAACTTACAATCATGGTGGAAGGCAAAGGGGACTCAGGCACATCTTACGTGGCCGGAGCAGGAGGAAGACAGTGAAGCGGGAGGTGCCACATACTTTTAAACAACCAGATCTCATGAGAACTCACTGTCATGAGAACAGCAAGGAGGAAATCCACCCCCATGATCCAGTCACCTCCCACCAGGCCCCACCTCTAACACTGCGGATTACAATTCGACAGGAGATTTGGGTAGGAACACAGATCCAAACCACATCACTGCCTCTAAAAAATAAAAACAAATCAAAAATCAAAATCAGAATAAAAAGAAGAGAAGAGTTCCCACAAAGCCTTGCCAAGGCCCCGAGCATGGCAAGAAGAGTCTTTCTTGAGAGGCACCTTTGAGCCAGGGCTGGCAGACTGAGCGAATGAGAATACACGGCACCCAGTGAAATTTGAACTTCAAATAAACAATGAACAATTTTTCAGCAAAAAGTATGTTCTATACAACGAAACCTTTCCATGCAGTATTTGCGATACACTTAGACTACAAAATTATTGGTTTATCTGAACTTCCAATTTCACTGGGCATCCTTATATTTTCTCTAGCAAGCCTCTTGCAAGCACCAGGTGGGAGATGGAAGCGTGGAGCATCTGTGCCAGCAGGGGCCCCTCGGGGCCACTCCAAAGTCACAACAAAGTCTTCTTCTCCAAAGCCACCTCCGATGAGCGGCCTCGGTGGGGGACCTTCCTCCAGAGGGGTGGCAGCTCTCAAACACTGCTGAGAGCCACTCCAATGTCACCATCAGTCCAGCTGGTGGCTAACATCTCACACCCTGGCAGGAGGCGGGCTATGTGCGAATGAGAGAAGATATTTAGACAAGGTTGTCCCAGGGTCCTCCAACCCAAGCTGGAGCCTCTGCTCACCCAGTCTGAATGCTGGTTCTGCTCCTTGGTTGCCAAGTTTCAACCCGCCATTAAACAATGAGATGCTTTTCCTTGGGAAGGTGGTTAAGATGCCTGGCTAGTGCCCAACGGAGCTCATGAAGCCTAGTTTTTAATCTGCACAAGAAACCCTCAAGGCAGCTTGATAGACTCTGCTACAGGAAGACAAGAAAGGAGCTCATCAGCCCTGCAAAAACTTGTGAAGATTTTTCTTTTTTTGGAAGGGAAATGCTCAAAACACTCTAAAGCAATAAGGAGAGATCAGAGATGGTCCTTCCTACTATATGTGGGGTGGTGCTACAGAGCCCAAGGAAAGTGAACCCCCCACCCCCAAAATGAAGGTTAGAGAATTCCATCCATGAGTCTAATCTGCCTCTCTCACCCAGGTCCCAGAGGCCCCTGGAGAAATCCCAAGTCCCTCCCAAGTGCTCACTCCTCACAATAGCTGCTTCCTGGAAACCTAAGCCAGGTTCTGCTCTAGGAATGTCCAATATGGCAGCAATTGGAATTAAAAAAAAAATCTGATTTCTTTCAATAATTTTTGCGGGTACAGGTGATTTCTGGTTACATGAACGAGTGTTTTATTTGTTTTTGTTTTTTGTTTTTTTGAGACAGTGTCTCACTCTGTCGCCCAGGGTGCAGTGCAGTGACACGATCTCAGCTCACTGCAACCTCCGCCTCCCAGGTTCAAGCAGTCCTCCTACCTCAGCCTCCCAAGTAGCTGGGATTACAGGCACACACACAGCCATGTCTGGCTAATTTTTGTATTTTTACTAGTGACGACTGTTCTCGAACTCCTGACTTCAAGTGATCCGCCCACCTCAGTGTCCCAAAGTACTGGGATTACAGGCATGAGCTACTGCACCCGGCCTTGAACGAGTTCTTTAGTGGTGAATTCTGAAACTCTAGTGCCCCCTTCACCTGAGCAGTGTGCACTGTACTCAAATATGCGGTCATTTATCCCTCACCTCCCTCCCAACCTCCCCCACGCCTGAGTCCCCAAAGTCCATTATTATCACTCTGTATGTATTTGCATGCCCATAGCTTCGCTCCCGCTTATAAGTGAGAACACACGGGATTCGGTTTTCCATTCCTGAGTTACTTCACTTAGAATAATGGCCTTTTGCTTCATCCAAGTTGCCGCAAAAGACATGATTTCGTTCCTTTTTTATGGCTGATAGTATTCCATGGTGTATATAAACCATATTTTCTTTATCCATTGATGTCTGTGACATCTTCACTCATGCTCGTTTCTCAGAGATTTCCCTGCCCTGTGTCCCTACAGCACAGCCAAGGCTGGTCACTGAATTTCAGAAAGGTGAGGAACTTGCACAAAGGGTCAAGACTAGGAGGTGGCTGAGCAGGGCCTTCCATCAGGCAGCAGGGACAGCCTCCCCAGTACAGAAGACAACTTTCAGCCTTCCAAATAAAAGCCCATGGGTTCCTCTACACCAGGCTTCCCCAAAGCGGGGTTCAGTTCTTTGAGATTCTACTTCCAGGTTGGCTTTAGGAGAAGCCATCTGCCTTGTGAAGAGGAGGAAGCCTGACACCTGGGTGCAGGGGCAGGTGGGGCTGCATGACTCATCCTCTGCCCCAGGCACTTTTCCCTCAGGTCTCACTCTGACCCTAGAGGTGCAGACACCCTGGCCTGAATCGCGGCACAGGACTCGGTAGAATGTGACCTGAGAGGTGTGGAAGATCCCAGAATAATTCATGGAAGGCTATATTCCTGCCTGTGACTGTGTTTTGTTTTCTTACTTTTTTATTATTATTATTATTATTTTTATTTTTATTTTTTGCAGGCGGGACAGAGTCTCGCTCTGTCGCCCAGGCTGGAGTGCAGTGGTGCAATCCCTGGTTCAAGAGATTCTCCTGCCTCAGCCTCCCAAGTAGCTGGGACTACAGGGGCACACCACCATGCCTAGCTAATTTTTGTATTTTTAACAGAGACAGGGTTTCGCCATGTTGGCCAGGCTGGTCTCGAACTCCTGCCCTCAGGTGATACTCCTGCCCTCAGGTGATCCACCTGCCTCGGCCTCCCAAAGTGCTGGAATTACAGGTGTGAGACATCACGGATTGCTGAAAAATTTTAAATAAGACAAAAAGCAGCACAAATTTTAATGAATCTCCACAATACTTTGTCTAAAAAGTCTTAACTCTTTTCCATATTTGTGTCATCATTTTTACCTTTTCGCTAAGGTGTTTTAAGGTAAATTATAGTCATGACATTTTACTCCTAAATACTTCAGTGTGTATTTCTGAAAAATTAACAACATTTTCCCATTTGACCACAATGGCATAATCACCTGTAACAAAATTAATGATGAGTCATTGGTGTTATCTAAGACCTAGCCTGTGTTTAAACGTTTGAGTTTTCAAATGTGCCTGCTGCTTCTGGAATTTTAAAAGACGAGTTACAGTGCACCTCTTTATCCATTCTTTAATAGGTTGAATGCAATACTGTTCAGACTGGACTCCCCCTGCGATCACCTGGGTTCTGACCTTTTGGGGGACATGGTGCCACCATTTTCACCACAAGCTGTTCACGGAGGTCCACAGACTAACTGTGACCCACAGGTATGTTTTGTATGGCCTGAGCAATGTTCTGAAACATTAAAACCGGGAGATTTCTGCATAAAACCCAGATTTCTGGCTTCCCTTTAAATAATGAGCAGCCCTGCCAGTGGGTAGGGGCTAAGCCGGGAGTGCCTGATTAGCGGACCACATAGCACCGTCACTCCCCAGGACAGCCTGCTCCCCGTCCTGGCAGCCTCCGTGGGCCAGTGCATTTGCAAGCCCTGATTTATACCCCTTGCACAGGCAGTATGACCAGCCGAGGCCCCAGAAATGCATCCCAGAGGCTACACTGCATCTACTTCACATCACAAGGTGACATTCCCTGAGGCTGTCAGAGACCTGCAGTACCATTTACCGGCTCTGTGGGAATGCAGCGAAATCCCCTGCAATCTCTGTTTCTCATCTGCAAGACAGCGATGGGGTAGCTCCTACCCCATTGGTGATAACCCAGGCTCAGCACCTGGTAGCTGACATGGCCCACCAGGCCTGTGACAGGTGCTGATGATCCACAGATGTTTAGCTGGGATCCTTTTCCTCGAGGAGTTTAAATGTGCAGGAGGGGGTAGGGACAGGCTGGGGCAAGTGCTGCGATGGAACCCACAGGTGCTCAGGGAACCTCGCAGGGAGGAATATCTACGTTTGCAGGAGGGCTGGAGAGAGCGTGTCACTGCAAGGAAGCAGCCCCTGAAGCTGGTGCTTTAGCTGGCTCCTGGAGGAAAGGCGTGTGGCCATCAGGTGGTCAAGGTGGTGCCCTGAGGGTGGGGGAAGGGCATGCCAAGTGGAAAGAACAGCAAATGCAAGAAGAAACCCCCAGGCAGAAGGAGCTTGGCTTGCTGGAACAGGAGGCAGCCGGTGTGGCTGGGTTTAGCGGCTCCAGAGGTGTAAGACTGCAGTGTGAGCAGCAGTAAAACCGTGCAGAGCCACGTAGACCAGTGAACAAAGCCAACGGGAGGTGGGAGGCATCAGGTAGCTGATCTGATCAACACTGAGAAGCAATGCTGGGGGACAGTAGGGTGTAGGAAGCTTAGGCAGAGAGAGCTCTCAAAACTCCATCACGACCCTCTGCAGTTGGAATTCTTCAATGGCTCCCATGAACTCTGTCCACCTCCCAGCACACACGACTAAACTAGCGTGGCTCATGGGAACCTTGCCGCGTGGCCGCAGCACGCCTTGCTAACCTCTCTTCACGTCACCTTCTCCCCAGTACCTCCCACCCCGACCCTCACCAACATTGTAATATGTTAGCAGCCCCAAGTTTCTTCTCATGTCCAGCACACAGTCTCCTGATGTCTCCTGTCTTCATCTGGGATGTCCCAGAAGGCCTTGCCATTTTGGTCTTCGCTCCTGTGCCAATACCTCCGAGAGACCTCTCGGGACATGCCAGTGGAGGTCGCCCAGGCCCTCTCTGATCCAGTCCTCATTCTCCTTTCTTCAAAGCACTCGTTGCTTCCTGGGATAGTCTCATTCCTTCACTGCAGGACTCTTGCTAACTCCCCCACCTCCCTTGCTAGATGGTAATTCCACCAAGGCAGGCACCTTATCTGTCTGGTTCATCCCTTTATCGCCGGAGCCTATCACAGCGCCTGGAGATCCCAAGAGGCTCCATACACATTTGTTGAGAGAACAAATACCTGTTGGGATAAAATTAGGGAAGGCCAGGCAGACCATAGGAAGAATGGCCTGGAGGATGTTGCGAAAGTCCAGAGAGAGAGAACAAAGATCCCTGGTGGTGGAGTGGACAGACTGGCCTGGAAGCCAGCTCCCTGATTCCAAAGAGAGCCGAACACCAGGGAGCAAGTGAGTGAAGACAGGGAACTAGGCCTTCAGAGGCCCCATCTGTCACATGGGGCTCCCAGGAGGAGACAGGGCATCCAGGAAGGGCCCTGACCCCCTGAGGAATGTCCAGCTCTTAAAGGGCCATGAGGGATCTGTGAGTTTTCTGGTTGGGCTCCTAGGGTGGCAGCCAAAATTCAGATGAGAAGCCACAGGACTGGAGGCAAACCCAGCGTATGGAACCTGCCAGACTTCTCTAGGGGCTGCCTAATGAGTCCTTGCCACCCACCCGTGGCTCTGCTGTCACTCTGTGTGGTATTCCTACCATAACGCCATCGTCAATGATGCCTGAGAGCTATTCATAGACGGCACTGGGAGTTGGGCCTCGCTTTCAAAAAGAACACTCGAGACAATTTTAATAGGAATATTTTTCTTCCCTCCAGAAAAGGTTAATTTTATTTTGAGCTTCAAGAAGATAAAGTTATCATCAAATGAAGAATAGCTATTTTTAAAACGATGGAATGCTGTGAACAAGACAACGAGGCTCCTGGAAGCAATGCTCAGGCCCCGCCCCCTGTATTTCCCTGAATTTTGTTTCCTGGTTTGTTTCTGACAAGTGTGTCTTTGCAACGCATGTCCCGCTCCCCAGTGGGCCCCTCCCCAGGAGCCGCACCTCGTGTCAGCTACGTGACAGACAGAGGTGATTTTGCATTTCCAAAGTTCTTTTTCTTTTCATCAAGGAACATCAAGGTATTTTGTAAAATAAAAAGGTCTTGTCTATCGGGAGTAGCAGGCAGCTCAGCCCCCTTAAGAGATATCTGCTTTGGAGTCAGCTGATATAGGAACTTGTCACTGGCTAGAGAATTCTAGAATGTTGACTAGACTACTAAGGACTCCAGCAACAAGGCCTCCTGGCTATGAGATTCCATCCTGCACCTTTTTTTTTTTTTTTTTTTCTGAGACGGGATATCTCTCTGTTGCCAAGACTGAAGTGCAGTGGTACAATCATGGCTCACTGCAGCCCTGACCTCCCAGGCTCAAGCAATCCTCCTGCCTCAGCCTCCAGTGTAGCTGGGACTACAGGTGCACACCACCACGTCTGGCTAATTTTTAAAGTTTTTGTAGAGACGGGGTCTCACTATGTTGCCCAGGCAGGTCTTGAACTCCTGGGCTTAAGCGAGCCTCCCTCCTCAGCCTCCTAGAGTGCTGAGATCACAGGTGTGAGCCACCACGCCTGGTCTCGTACCCATTCTGATGAGACTGGCTCACCAACCCCGTTTCTTCTTTCTGGGCACAAAGACAGACCAGGCTTCCCAGCATGCCTTGCAATTAGACGAGAGCCATCGGCTGACTTATGGTTAATGTAAGGTAATGGGAGTTGGGGCAGGCCACGTCTAGGCCTAGCCGAGAAAAGGAAATTCCCTGCCATCCTCCCCTCCCCTGCTTCCCCTTCCCCTTTCTCTGGGAGCATGTAGCCCACACGTGGAGAAAGGAGGGGCTGCCTGATCTGCAGTGGACTGTGACATGAATGAGAAGTTAACTCGTGGTGCACCATCGAGTTACAGATTTACGCCCAGGCTGGTTACTGGCACTCGCGTTAATTGTGCTGGCTCCTGCATGGTTCACTCAGTGACTATCTGCCGCATGCCTGCATATGTCCAAGGCACCGTGCCTTGAAGGAACGTATTGGCAAACAGATGTGACCCCTGCCCTCCGGAGCTTAGATCCAGTAGAGCCAACAAGCAGATACGTGAATACATCATAAAGAGTGCTGGCACAGAGATGGACTTGGCTTGGGTGGCTAGGACAGGAAGGCACCTGGGAGGAGGTGACTTCGGAGGTCACCTGAAGATTCAGAGGAGGCAATGCAGGAAGCAGAGAGGCCAGCAAGGATGCTGCTGCAGTCATCCAGGCAGGAGATGGTGGCGGCTGGGGAGGCAAGGAGAAGCGAATGGGTTTCAGTTCTATTTCAGAGCTGACTGATCTATTTCAGGGGTGACTTGCGGATGGGGTGCAATCATTCATCCTCTCATTCAGCTCTCCAGTCACATATATTCGTTTGTTGATTCATTCAGCATGCATTCTTTGGGGGCCTACTGTGAGCCAGGCACTTCCAGTTAAAAGATAAATGAGACCTGTGGATCCCGCCTTCGTGGAACTTACAGTCAGCTGGAAAAGACATGCAAAGCGATCATTACAAAACAGTGTGACAAAGCCACAACACACGCCTGATGAAGGGCTACACAAGGTCTTCCATAGGGGAGAATGAGGACAGGGTGCCTGATCTGAATGGGGGTTAGGGAGCCCTCCCACAGGACTATGTGACATAATAATGACCATCATCATTATTAGTAGCAGCAGCAGGAGGAGCCGTCACTAGCAACATTTTTGGAGTGCTTTCTCTGCCAGGCACTGGGCTAGGCACACCTATGCTTAAGCATCATTTCATTTATTCTCAGCAGCCCATCGAGAGAGGGGCTTTTTTCTTTCTTTCTCTCTTTCTTTCTTTCTTTCTTTCTCTCTTTCTTTCTCTCTCCCTCTCTCTCTCTCTTTCTTTCTTTCTTTGTTTTTTAGAGACCTAATTTTGCTCTGTTGTCCAGGCTAGAGTGCAGTGGCACAATCTCGGCTCACTGCAACCTCCACCTCCCCGGTTCAAGTGATTCTCCTGCCTCAGCCTCCCGAGTAGGAGGGATTACAGGTACATGCCACCACGCCCAGCTAATCTTTCTATTTTTACTAGAGACGGGGTTTCACCATGTTGGCCAGGCTGGTCTCGAACTCCTGGCCTCAAGTGATTTGCCCGTCTTGGCCTCCCAAAGTGCTGGGATCACAGGCATGAGCCACCATGTCTGGCCAAGAGAGGGGCTTTTTCATGTTCCCATTTCAGAAGAATGAAGCTGATACTCAGAGGCGCCCAGGTCCACAACTCCTTAGTTGGGGGGTAGAAACAAGAATTGGCCCCAAGAGGCCTGATTCCTGAGCCAGTGCCCTTATATCCACTCTGCTCTACGACAGTGGGAGAGAAAGGCAGCTCCAGGGCAGGGAGGAGCCTGAAGATGCCAAAGACAGTAGCTTAGGGGGACCACAAGATTCAGGAGCAGAGGCGCCTGAGGTAGGGGGAGCTAGGGCAGCCCTAGGAAGCCACATGAGAGAATCTGGACTTTCCCCAAGGAGTGACAGGCATTTTAAGCCAGAGAGTGAGAATCAGCTATTCCTTCTATGAGACTGAAAACAGCTCTGAGTCTTCAATTTTAAAAAGCCCCTCTGTTTTATCCCTGGAGCATTGAAAATCTGCCTTTCTTCTTTCAAGCATTAGCCAGCTGGGAGGTGTGGAACTCATCAAAACCACAGGCCCAATCCTGCCACCCTGGGATGCAGGGAGCAAGCCGCAATCCACGGCAAATCCATGCCAACCTGTGAACTCTGCTTTATAACGGGGGACGCCTGGGCTCCCAGCACCCAGGCCTGAGCAGTTGTTTCTGGGGAGCCCACTGTGCGGTTGCTAATTGGGAAGCTGACGAGAGCAATTCCTGTTATTGCCACTTAAAAACTCTCCACAGAGACATCTGAGAGCAACAAATAGTCGGGCATGGTGGCCCTCATAGCGGTGGCTTCCCAAATGTCACAGAGCTCCTTTTATCAGCTGCTGACTGGGCGCTGTTAGCAAAGCTTCACGAAGTGGCCTCCCCTGATTAATTTGGGGAAAATAATACAATTGCAAATTTAGAAAAGAAAACTGTTCTAATCTTTATACTGGGACTTGGCCCCAAATATTCATGAGGAAGGTCCTGAGGCTCCCATCTGGGCCAATCAGCGGGGCAACGGCGTGGCTGAGAGGCTGGAACAGGTCCTGCAGCTTGTTCATCAGGCCTTTTTCTAGGTGATCACCACCTGGAACGCACCAGGCATGGACAGAAGAGGGGAGAGATGAAGTCTTTAGCTGAAGGTGTTTTGCAAGGGTACGGAAGGGAAGGAGAGAGCAGAGGAAGGCAGCGCAGGGAAGAGGAGAGGGTAGGAGGAAAGAGAACTGAGTAGAGGGGAGGGGAAGGGAGAGCAGGGCAGGGCAGAGGAAGGCTGAGGAGAAGAGAGCAGGGCAGGGCAGGGCAGGCAGGGGAAGGGAGAGAAGGGGAGAGGAGGGCAAGGCAGGAGGGCTGGGGAGGGAGCACTAGGAAGGGGAGGGGAGAGGAGGACAGAAAACAAGCAGGGCAGGAGAAAGGCAGGCACAGTAGGGCAGGGCAAGGGAGAGGGAGGAAAGGTATGGGAGGGAGGGGAGAGGAGTTCAGAGGAAGGGAGGATGAGGGAGGGCAGGGTCAGAGAGGAGAAGAGAGAACTGAGGAAGGGGTACGCAGGGCAGGATGCATGTCAAAGACACCCTTGGTGGGACTCCCCTCCCATAAGCCTCTGCGGACACACTGCCTTGGAGGCCAGGGCCACTGCCCTCTGGGGGGACAAGGGAAGCAAGGCCCCATCGACTCTTTCACCCCAGCAACTCCGCTCTGCCACCACTTCCCAAACAAGTGCTTTGGTGACGGACTGGGAAGGAGGGAGGAGGGGAGGAAACAGGCCTCGCCCTGCAGAGGCCATCTCGCCCTCACTCCCCAGGCATTGATTGAGTCCATGGGATCGGATTCAGTTCTCCATCTAAGCAGACATCTCTTTGACTTCACTTCTGTGCCAGGCCCTGTGAGGAGAAGTGAACAGCACCTAGTTGTCCCTGAAAGCACGGACGGTCTATGGTTCATGCACGTACTCCAGCCTCCATCAGGCACCCATGGTAGAGAGAATCCATCAACCGCCTGCGTATCCATGGGATGCTCGTCTCCCTCGAGTACTGCTCATGAGTCCCACGGAAGAGAAGGGGCCAGTCAAGTGAAGAAGCAATGGCAAACTCCAAAACAACCCCATGGGAGGTGGAAAGATCACTTGAGCATGGGAGGTCAAGGCTGCAGTGAGCTGAGATCGCACCACTGCACTCCAGCCTGGGCAACAGAGGGAGACCCTGTCTCAAAAACCGAAAACTATATATATATATATATATATATATATATATATATATATATATATATATTTTCCCTGGGCCTTCCATGATGGACGTAAACAGTGATGGGGAGATTCAAGCTCCCTGCAGAGCACTCAAGGGCCCTCACCATCCAGCTCCCACCTGCCTCTCCAGCCGCACCCTCTCACCTGGCACGGCTCCACTCCCTGGGCACTTTCACACCACCAAGGAGATGCTCACACCCCAAACTTAATCTTAGGGGCCAATGCAAATGCCTCCCTACATCCCCTGGGGGACAGCTGGTTGCTGCCTGTACCACGAAGCCAGAACCAGCTGCAGTTTGGCCTCATCTGTTGAGACATCCCTGACTCTCCCCCATCCCATCCGCTGCAAGGCCCTCCAGGGTCCTCCTCACGGCTGTATCCATCTTCAGTGCCCAGCACAAAGCACACACCCCTCAGTGAACGGTCACAGCTACTGTGAACCGAGTCGCTTCTATGCGGCCCGACCACTTCCTCTGCCCTGCCCAACGCCGTCCAGTGGTTTCCTGGTCCACCTAGAATGAACTCTGAAGTTCTCAAGTCCCATAGGAGGCTGTGGGACAGCCCGAGGTTTTGAGCTCAGCCCCATTGCTTTCGAGATCTTACTCTAAAGTTGCGGGGGAGGGGGGATGACAGATCATAGCCCCAATCCCTGGGCAGCTCAAGAGAGGAATACCCATGAAAGAGCTCGGAGACTACACCACAGCATTCACGCGGTATCATTAAACTGCTAAATGTTAGAACAGAAAATAAAACCTGATCGCGCATCTACAATGACGATGTGCCTAAATCAAAACTTCACTGCAAACACAGGGAGGAAAGCATGTCTCTATTTCAGGAAAGGAACAAGGGCTCCACACGGAGCTGAAGGCCCAGTTACACTCTCCTCACACGTGTTTCTCGTAACAATAATAGGACCTTTATCACCAGATTCCTACATGCCAAGCACGATGTGGAGTGTTTGCTTCCATTATCTCAGCATACCCCTGCAACAGCTTTGGGAAATAGACAGTAATATCCCCATTTGGCAAAGCATAAACTGAGGCTCCAAGAGATTCAGTGGCTTCTCTAAGGTGACCCAGCTGAGCTTAGAGCCACGTCTGCTTGAGTTCCACACCTGAGCTCAGGAGTATGAGGCTGTCCTGCCTCTTAAGACCCATGCATTCATGACCACAGGAGACCTGCGGCTTTGCTAAAAACAGAAATAAAAAAATGAACTAGTCCCGCAGTTCACATAGGGTGAACCAAAATACCAGAGTTCCAAAAACTTTCCTCCTGGCACAGTGAGAAATCTGTGGTTGGATGAAATCTCATCTTTATGTCTCAACAGAACCCCAGCCTTGAACCCGGGACGCAGAGGTTGCAGTGAGCCGAAATGGCACCACTGCATTCCAGCCTGGGCGACAGAGTGAGACTCTGTGGGGGAGTGCTTTTGCTCAAGAAGGGCTGGATATGGCAGCCTGTCTCCCCACAGGAAGGACCCCACCTGCGATGACTCCTTCTACCCTCCACGGTGCTTGGCACAGGCTGGATGGGCCCTCAGCAGGACACAACAAATGATTCCCATGGCAGGAAAGCTGTGGGCTCTATTGTAGCTAAAGCCTATTTTTTCTTTGCTTTTGACTTTGCAGCCAACGCAAACTGCAGGCTGGACAGCTGGGGGGTGGGGGAGGAGAGGAGGAAAAAGGCTAGTTCATGCTTGTTTTGTTTTGTTTTCTTTTTTTTGAGACAGAGTCTCACTCTGTCGCCCAGGCTGGAGTGCAGTGGGGCCATCTCGGCTCACTGCAACCTCTGCCTCCGGGGTTCCAGCGATTCTCCTGCCTCAACCTCCCAAGTAGCTGGGACTACAGGCCGGTGCCATAACGCCCAGCTAATTTTTGTCTTTTTAGTAGAGACAGGGTTTCGCCATGTTGGTCAGGCTGGTCTCGAACTCTGACCTCAAGTGATCCACCCGCCTCAGCCTCCCAAAGTGCTGGTTGTATAGGCCTAAGCCACCACACCCAGCCTCTTCCTTATGCAGTTTGGCCTCATCTGTTGAGATGTCCCTGACTCTCTCTCATCTGCTGCCAGGGCCTCCACGGTCCACCTCATCCCTGTATCCATCTTCAGCACAAGGCACACACCCCTCAGTAAAACTACCATATTTTGGAGCAATCTATCAATATTTGGTCAAATTAAACACAGTAGAATACATGACCCTGTAATTCCACCTAGAGGATCTCTCCCAGAGGAATTCTCGTCCTGGGCGGTATGGGCTACATCAAAGGAGATGTCACCAATGCACACTCCAAAAACAGAATCAACAGTCCCGGAGGCAGAGTGCAGGGATGCACTGTCACATGGCTGGAGCTGCAACATGGCACTGGGCGAACCAAGCCAAAGAATGAGGACTACGGCACAATGCCATGAAGTAAATGAAAAATACATGCAATCACCCAACATATTCTGGAAGGAAACAAATTTACAGATACATGCTGAGGCTATTGGAGCAGCTGCCTGTGGCAGGGAGAACAGGGACATGAGGGAATAAATACAGGGCTTTAGAGTGACCAGTGAGGACAGCATGCCAGGAGCTGGGAACGGCATTCACTCATGTGGCGGAATGGAGGGGTGGATCTATTCATTCATTGGTTCATGGATTTTGAGAGGCAAGCTCTCACTATGTTGCTCAGGTTGGTCTCAAACTCCTGGGCTGAAGCCATCCTCCCACCTTGGCCTCCCAAAGTGCTGCGATTACAGGTGTAAGCCACTACCCTTGGTTTCACTCACATTTTTGTATCTGAGGTCCAAAGAGAAAAAACAAAAAGGAAAGATATTTTCTTGCCCACACCTGTTTACTGCCAGGACACCCCTCCATGGGACCCAAAGACAGGATACGGGGTTCCGACATGTTCTGCCCTGAAAGAGCTCCCAAGGCCAATAATTTCAGAAGCCAAGACTGAGCTGTGGAATTCCAACCAGGAATTCCCAGTGCTCTCAGACACTCTACATTTCAGTCTTCCCTGGGATCCGCTCCCCGTGCCTCCCCAGCCCTCTAAGCAACTGCTTGGGTGGTGTGGGCCCTGGACCAGCTGAGGGGCTCGCTGGGCTGACAGATGGCATGCCTGGTGCCCTTCCCTTGTGATCACCGAGTGAATGCCCTCCCCATGCCCTGAATCCCTTCACACTCGATTCCAACTGTGACGGTCACCCAGGGTCTGGATTAGAGATTCTCAGAGGCTTTAATGGCAGCAGTGGTGGCATTAGGTGGGACTACCTCTAACTGCCTTAATTGTAGCCTCTACAACCAGCATAAATTCTTCACTGCAGAGGCCACAGGCTGAAATGTCTCAGTGGGCAGAGAGACCATAATGGAGACAAAATGTTAGCACCAGCCAACGTGTGCTGGATGCCGGGAACTGAGCGGAGGGACTTATGGACACTATCTCCAACCTGAACGACATTTCACAGATGAGGCTCAAAGGAGATAAGTATTATGGCCAGGACCCCACAGTGTAGGGACTCCAGGGCCATGTTCTTTCCACTCTGCTTGGCCATTGTGTGTCCCCAAGAAAGCTCCCTCAGGGTAGGACATGGCTGGGGAGGAACAGGTACCCTTCAGAGCCAGCCAGGAGAGAGAAGGTGGCGTGGCATTTATACCCCGCCCTGGAGCTGGTGGAGATAAAAGAAACCTGGAGTGAATCAAACACCCCAAAGACAATTCCATACTGCAATGGCCACAGGCTTAACAGAGGGCACCAGGAACGTTGGTAAAGCGGGAGGGACGCTCTGGCGGACCACAGCCCTTTGAGAGCAGGAGCTCGCAGGGCCAGCTCTGTCTGCTTTTTAAGGGAAGCTGCAAATCCAGATCATTAGGCAAGATCTCTCCATTCTCAAATCAGCTAGCAGCTAATTCAAATGCCTGAATATCACAGTGCAGATCAAACAAAATATATCTACAGGCCATCCAGAAGCAACAGAAAAAAGAAATCAATGGGCCATCAAAAACAGTCTGCAAGCTTGTTGCGGCCCCGCTGCTACAGTTCATCGAGCTGTGCTACTGAGAGGTGACACCGGTCCATGCTTCTGAAGGCCAAGCACCTATCTACAGAAACAATCCAGACACGCTGGGAAGCATGGGGCCCAGCTCGCCCTCCGGAGCAGGGCCGGGGATGCGTGACCTTGCCGATTCTCTGGACTCCTCCCTGTGAATACAACGGCTACAGACAGAATAGCCACCCGCCACAGCCCACCAGGCACCACTCAAAATACGGCAGCTACTGTATCTTCAAAAACACTCTTCCCAAGAAGGTAGCGGTACCTCCCTTTTACAGGTAAGAACACTGAAACTCACAGAGATCAATTAGCTTGCCCTTGGCCACGTTAACTAGCGTCAGAGCTGGGATTTGAACCCAGGTCCACACGGCTTCCAGGCCCAGCTACTCTGCTGTCCCATTTGCACCTTTGTTTACACAGGAGAGGTCTGCAAAAGCTCCATTCAATTAAAAGCCCTTGACTTGGCCTTGACCGTGTGCCTGGTGCCATGCTGGGAACTGGAGAAAGGAGACAGCAGAGCACAGAAGCGCCACCTGTCAAGACCTTTGAGTTTAATGCAAACCACATGGATAAGGGGAGGGAGGGAAGGTAAAGGGGTTATTTTAACGTTCTACTTCAGAGCACTATATACTCTAGACAAAGGTTCTGGAGTTTTCTCATAAGAAGGAAAGTAAAAAATCAGGGCCGAAAAAGGAATCATTCCAGCTTCAGTCCAGACATGTCCCAACTCAGGCTCTTAGCTTACTATCTGGCCCTTTGCAGAAAAAGTTTGTTAACTCTTGCCCCAGGGGATGGTGAAGGCTCACTATGGAAAGATCTGGGATCTACACACAAGCCACTCATCAACCACAAGCATCCAAACAGTAACATCAACAAGAAACAGAGTCTGGCATTGAAATCTGTTACAGCAGCTAGCTCAATTCCAACATGTATGGAAAACGGAATTGGGGAGGGTTCGATTCTGCATTAGCCATTGACTGTCCAGACCTGGGACCACAGGGCTAGCACACAAATACCAGCAACGCCAGACAGGAGTCAAGCTTCTCCTTCTCTGACTATAAACAGCAGCTCGCATCTACTGAGGGCCTGCTCAATGCCAGGCACCGTGCTAAGTGCTTTGATGTGATGGGAAAGGACCCAGGCCAGGAGTCAGACCCTCTGTGCTTCAATCCTGGCTGCACCACTTACCAGGTCTACAGCCTCAGAAAGCATTTCGGTCTCATCACCTCTGAAAGAGGGATGATAACAATAGTTGCAGTGCCCAACACAAAGTGAGCACTTAGCTCACCTTAGCTATCATCATCATCTTTGTCAGGTCATTTAATTCTCACAATAATCTACAGGTTCAGTACAATAATTTTCCCCACCACAAGATAAGCATACAAGACATGGTCTTTGCTCTGCAGTTCAGAGCTTTGTCAGACAAACGAATGCAAAAATGAGTGGTGATCGGAAAACAGATACACACTGCGTTAAGGACAAGCCTGAGGAAAGAGATTTGAAAGATGAGAAGGTTTCAGCTGGATTTGGTGGGTGGGTTGGGAGGGAAGTGTGGTTAGTATAACCTTTCCAGGCCAGGCAGACAGATTCCACCTCCTCAGCTGTCTTCTTTACCACCATTCCCTGACCATAGTTGATGTTCTCAAGCCTGACTTGTCTTAAGCCCTTGATATGCTGCCTTTGCTGAACACGATTCTAAGAAATCACCTCTAGATAAAATGCTAGAAAGCTCAGTGATTTCTTTCATCTTTCTTTTCTTTCTTTTTGGGCAATCAAATAGCCAAAAGCCTTTTCAAGTCTGATGCTATTCCCTCCGTATCACGTGAGGTGCCTTTAATGAAGCTTTGGTGCTCACAATTTATAATAGATAACTTTTCTTCTTCTAACTCTTGCCTGTCCAGCATACATCCCCTTCATGGCCTTGTCAGGAGCACTAGAATAATCCTTTCAAACATCTCCCACTTCCCATTTCCAGACCAAGTAGTTGGGGACAGAGTACTCCGCCCTCCAGTTACAGGGACAGGCGCAGGATTCAAGCCCAGCTTTTTTTTTAGGGTGTTGTCCCCCTGGATACAGTGATTGGTTTGAGAATGGACACACTAGCCAGGCGCTGGTGGCTCACGCCTGTAATCCCAGCACTTTGGGAGGCCGAGGCAGGCGCATCACCTGAGGTCAGGAGTTCAAGACCAGCCTGGTCAACATGGTGAAACTCCGTCTCTACTAAAAATACAAAAACTAGCCAGGTGTGCTGGCACATACCTGTAGTCTCAGCTACTCAGAAGGCTGAGGCATGAGAATCACTTGAGCCTGGGAGGCGGAGGTTGCAGTGAGGCGAGATCACACCTCTGTACTCCAGCCTGGGTGACAGAGCGAGACTCTGTCTCAAACAAACAAACAAATGAAATCTGAAACCTGTACTCTATAGAAAAACTACAAAATATGATCAAAAGAAATAAAGAAGGCCTAAATAGAAAAAATTCCATGGTCATGGCTGGGAAGACTTAATATCATGAAGATGCTGATACTCCTCAAATTGACTGGCAGATTCAACGTCATTCCTTCTCAAAATCCCAGTTGCCTTTTTTTTTTTTTTTTTTTTGCAGAATTGACAAGGTGATCCAAAAATTCATATAAAAACTAAGGAACCCAGAGAAGCCAAACTAATGTTGAAAAAGAACAAAGCTGGAGGACTCATACTTTTCAATTCCAACAGCTACTACCTGTACAAAGCCACAGTAATCAAGGAAGCACGTGAGCTAACTATGCGAATCTGCTTCACTATAGTGACCATTTTCCTATCTCTACATATCCCACAGCATCATGTTGCAAACCTCGAATATACAAAATAAGATTTGTTTTTTTAAAAAAGGAACTGGCATAAGGATGTTTAGATCAATGAAAAAGAACTGAAATTCTAGAAATAAACTCTCACATTTATAGTCAATTGATTTTCCACAAGGATGCCAAGAAAATTCAATGTGGAAACAATGGTTTTTTTTCAAATAGGCCCTCACCAGACACCGAATATGCTAGCACCTTTATCTTGGAATTCCCAGTCTCCAGAAGAATGAAAAGTTTCTGTTATTTGTAAACCACCCAGTTTGTGATATTCTCTCACAGCAGCCTGAACAGACTAAGACACCACATGACCTGGCAGTTCCACTCCTAGATGGAATGAAATAAAGAAGATAAACGTTTGTCCACCCAAAAACATTCACAGTAGGAGTCTCTTTTTGTTTTTTCCTCTATATTTTTTGTAGAGACAGAGTCTCACTATGTTGCCCAGGCTGGTCTTAAATTCCTGAGCTCAAGTGATCGTCCCGTCTTGGCCTCCCAAGGTCCCAGGAGTATGAGCCACTGTGCCCGGCCTAGGATTCTTCACAAAAGCCAAAAAATGGAAACACCTCAAATGTCTACCAACTGACGAATGAATAGGCAAAATATGGCATAGCCACACAATGAAATATTATTTGACAATAAAAAGGAATGAAGTACAGTGGTCCCGCTTATCCACAGGATACATTCCAAGACCCCCAGGGGATGTCCGAAACTGTGGATAGCACCAAACCTTATATATACTATCTTTTCTCCTATACATACATACTTATGACAAAGTCTAACTTCTAAATAAGGCACAGTAAGAGATTAACAACAATAATCAAATAGAACAATTATAACGATATATTACAATAAAAGTAATGTGAGTGTGGTCTCTCTCTCAAAATATCTTACTGTACTGTACTGTGGGTAACTGAAACTGCAGAAAGTAAAACCTTGGATAAGGGGGGTTACTGCACTGATACATGCTATGACACAGACGCACCATGGAAACATGATCCTTCTGTGACACACAAGAGTTCACAGTGCATGATTCCATGTATACAACATTTCCAGAACAAGCAATCCTACAGACACGGAAAGCAGATGAGTGGTTGCCTAGGGCTGGGGGTTGGGGAGAAATGGGGAGAGGCTGCGTATGGATATAGAGTTTCTTTCCGGGTGATGAAAACATTCTAAAATTGCTCCTAGTGATAACTGCACAATTCTGGAAATATACTAAAAACCACTGAATTTGAGACTTTAAAGGGGTGAATCACCTGGTACATGAATTATATCTTTTAAAAAAGGAATGAAGTTCCGTTATGTGCTATAACAGGACAGACCCTTGAAAATATTATGCTAAGAAGCCACTCACAAAAGACTACATATTATACTATTCCATCGATAGGAAATGTTCAGAACAGGGAGATCCTTAGATGCAGAAAACAGATGAGTGGTTGCTAGGGGCTGAGGTCTGGGGTTTGGCAGGAGAGGATGGGGTGACTACCAAGTGGTAGAGGGTTTCTTCTGGTGGTGATGAAATTTTCTAAAACTTGGGGTGATGGCTGCACAACTCTGAATATACTAAGAGCCACTGACTTGTGCATTTTAAATGGTTAAATCGTATGGTGTGTGAATTTTATCTTAATAAAACTTTTTTTAAAAAAAGAATGGACACATGGCTCAAACAGAACAATGGAATCTAATCTTAGGACGTTTCTGGGACTATTAGAAAGGAGAAGCTCTCTTTCTGCAGCGGGTATTGCCATAATAAGTCTGGGCCTGCCAGAGGCTCTGCCTTGAAGAAAGCCTCTCTGACAGTGAATCCTACACAGAAAAAAAGTGACGGAGAGAGGGAAGGAGGGAAAGAAGGAAGAGGAGACCCCGTTCTGCTGGGATCGCTCCAGCCCTGGAGCCAGCTTTAAGCTGCACCATTTCTGCTCTTTTCAATCACAGAAATCAAATTCCTCTCACGACTTTGCTAGTCTAGGAGTTTTCCTCAGCTTCTCACTGAAATGTTGATACTCCCTGGGCATCCCCCACTTATTGTTCTGGTCACAGACCCTCCTTCCCTGGGCTGCCCATCCTGGAGCCCCATTCTGCCCCCCAACACCCTGACTTCTCAGTGCACGGGCTTATCTGCAAAGCCTCTTCCCACCACTCGGCAGCAGCCTCCCCTCAACCACTTTCCCCACCTAGACTGCACCTGGAGCAGCTGCTTAAAAATAAACACGAGCTATGTTATTCTCTCCACATTCTTCCCACCCTATTAATTATTTATCCAGCACCTGCTTCACAAAAAGGAACGTCGCAGGGAAGGAAAAGGAGGACGAACTGGAAGGAGTGAGGCAGCTCAGAGCAGCAGTGGTGGGTGGCAGCACCCAGCAGGGTATGGGCAGGGGGGTGTGCAGTTGAGGCGACCCTGGGGGTGGGGGTGGTGGATGGGAGGGTCCTCCCTGTGGCTGTAATGAAGCCTACTGGCCCCTTGTCAGAATGATGTTTTTAAGTTCACAAAACAAGATACATGGGATTAGGGAAAAAAGGCAGAAAGGCACATAGTCTTAAACACAGGTATCAGAACTGCCATGCAGCAACGTGAGTGCTTCTTTGCAGGCACATTCAATAACAAGATCTACTGGCAGCTCTAATCGCTCCTGTAATTCTAAAGTAGTGACCTTTAACCATGAGCTTTAATGATGGCTGGAAACATCGCAGCAACCGCAATGTGATACGAAAATACCTGTGATTGCTTTCCACTGGGGACAAAGGAGGAGGTACCATTACTCCTATTATAATTTGTCATCTAAGTTCACATTTAAAGTTCATGTTTCACGTAGAGGGTACTGAGAACAAAAGTGTAAATCTTTTCCATTAATCACTTGAATTTCATCCTCAGACCCCAGGATAAGAATTCCTTGGCTAGAAGATCAGGCTGAGCCCTAGAGCAGGCCACTCTGAACCTCAGTTTCCCTATCTGTAAAACAGGGCTGGGAATGAGGCCCCGGCCACCGTGGGGAAGCTGATGAGAGTCAGAGTTGGGGGGTGGCATTCAAAGGGCATTTTGGTCAGGAAATCTCAAATGTTACCTCAGCCTAGCAACCACCACCACCGGCGGCTGTGAAGCATTCCCTGTGGGCCCGGCCACATTCTGAAGCCATTCCCCGAATCACTCAATCCTCACAGCGCCCTCGTAAGGGAGATGCCACCGTCTTGAAACTTGAAGACACTGAGGCACAGCGAGGTGACATGCTGGTCTACACTAGCTCAAGATTCAAACCCAAGTACTCTGACCCCAGAACCCATGCCCTCCTCCACCGCCCCTCACTGCCACTGTCCCAAAGGAGGTAAATGCCCAGAGGAGGCCTCATCAGACCCTAGTTTGAGTTGCAGCTTCACTTCCAAGTCTCGCACATCTGGACGGAGCATGTTGCCTGCCCAGCTCGGAGGCAGTCCTGAGCCTGGACACTAAGCAGGTCCCATGTTCTCACCAAGAACTAGAACCTTTCCATTGCAGTGGCAGTAAAACCTGCATGAGTCAGAGAGAGAAGGTCCCTGACCCTATAACTAGTGTTGGCCTGGTGCAGGCCTGCATGTCCCCTGGTATCCACTCTGCCTGTTGCTTCTTAGCTTAACTGGATCACAGCCTCCACATCTCAATGTAAAGGGCCCTAACTGACCCTGGGACTAAATCAGGTTATTTGTTTAATAAGTAAACAAATAAAACCATAAAATTCTCTGCTAGGCTGAAAATTCCATGAGGGCAGGAACCATGTAGATCTTTTACCACTGCCTTTTTTTTTTTTTTTTTTTTTTTTTTTGAGACAGTGTCTTGCTCTGCCACCCAGGCTGGAGTAGTACAGTGGTGTGATCTTAGCCCACTGGAACCTCTGCCTCTCGGGTTCAAGTGATTCTCCTGCCTCAGCCTCCCAAGTAGCTGGGACTACAGGCATGCATCACCATGCTCAGCTAATTTTTGTATTTTTAGTAGAGATGACGTTTCCTCACGTTGGCCAGGCTGGTCTTGAACTCCTGACCTCAGGTGATCCACTCACCTCAGCCTCCCAAAGTGCTGGGATTACAGGTGTGAGCCACCGCGTCTGGCCTACCACTGTCTTAAACATAATTTGTTTGTTTTTAAAGAGATAGCGTTTCACTCTGTCACCCAGGCTGGAGTGTAGTGGTGCAACCCTAGCTCACTGAAGCCTTGAACTCCTAATCTCAAGCAATCCTTCTGCCTCAGCCTTCTAAGTAGCTGAAGGTACAGGGGCACACCACCACACCCAGCTAATTTTTGTATTTTTAATGTTTTTGTAGGGATGGGGTCTCACTATGTTGCCCAGGCTGGTTTTGAAATCTTAGCCTCTACCAATCCTCTTGTCTTGATCTCCCAAAGTGCTGGGGTTATAGTTGAACACAATTCTTGAATAAATCTGAATGAAGAGCCCATAGGAAGAGGCAGAAGCGGTGAGAGCCTGGAGCCTTGCCTGCAGCTGGGAGCTTCCTGTTTCATCCTGAGAGGGCAACACAGCACACAGCCACACCCCAATATGACAACATAACACACAGTCACTCTGCCCATGACAGGCGTGGCTCAGAGCCTGACAATCTGACAAGTGAGCAACAGGTGCCCTCCACTGAGGGGACCAAGGTGAGGCGGGGAGGAAGGAGACAGGAAAGGGTCTCATTGGAAGGGTCCAATCTGATAGCAACTGCAAAAATGACACACAACAGTGCTTCTCAAACTTGCTTGTGTATGCAACCCACCTGGGGGCCTGTGAACATGCAGATTCTCATGCAGCAGGTCTGGGATGGGGCCTGAAATCTGCACATCCGACAAGCTCTCAGATGAGGCTGATGTCACTGGTACACAGACCACATTTTAAGTGGTAAGATATTGAGAAAGAATAGACAGATGATAAAATTGTAGAATCATTCTTTGAGGTCTTATTTGATACTGTTCATCTCAAGCCACATTTTGGCTGGAAAGCCTGGCACCAATGCATGAAAATATTCACCACTGTGTTCTTTGCTCATCCACAT
Source organism: Homo sapiens (assembly GCF_000001405.40). Classification (NCBI taxonomy): domain Eukaryota; kingdom Metazoa; phylum Chordata; class Mammalia; order Primates; family Hominidae; genus Homo; species Homo sapiens. Next base: position 12,500,502 of record NC_000016.10, on the reverse strand, counting down.
AACGGCATGGGGTTGACAGCAAAAGGAGCCCGTGGAGGTTACAGAGAGGCGGACTCCTGTCAGAAGTCCCAGCCCTGGCTTTCTGAGTACCTATGTACCTCACTGTGTACCTGGGGCCAGTTATTTCCGCCTTCTGGGTGGTCCTCAGTTATTGGTCTGCAGGCAAGCTCCATCAGCATTATCTAAGGACCTTTCACAAATGCAGGGCCAGGAGAAGTGGCTCATGCCTATAATCCTAGCACTTTGGGAGACTGAGGCACGAGGTTTGCTTGAGTCCAGAAGTTCAAGACCAGCCTGTGCAACACAGCCAGACCTTGTCGCTGCATAAATTAACAGAAAAAAAATTAGCTAGGTGTGGTGGCATGTGCCTGTAGCCCCAGCTGCTCAGGAGGCTGAGGTAGGAGGATCCCTTAAGCCCAGGAGTTTGAGGCTGCAGTGTGCTATGATCACGCCACTGTACTCCTACCTGGGTGACAGTGCAAGATCCTATCTGTAAAAAATTTAAAATTAAAATAAAATAAATGCAGGCTGGGCACCATGGCTCATACCTGTAATCCTAGCACTTTGTGAGACTGAGGCAGGTGGATCCCTTGAGCCCAGGAGTTTGAGACCAGCCTGGGCAACATAGCAAAGCCCTGTCTCTACAAAAAAATACAAAAATTAGCCAGGCATGGTTGTGCGTAACTGTGGCCCCAGGTACTCAGGAGGTTGAGTTGGGAGAATCACCTGAGCACAGGGAGGTCAAGGCTGCAAGTGAGCCGTGATTGTGCCACCGAACTCCAGCCTGGGCGACAGAGTGAGATCCCATCTCTAAATAAATAAAGAAGTAAATGAATGCAGATTGTGGGGTTTCACTGTAGAGATTCTAATTCACCGGGTCTGGGGTGTGGTCTGATCCTGTGAATATGCTTAACCCCCAGTGATTCAGATCACACCCAGAGTGGGAAACCATCAGGCAAATGACAGCTGCGGTGGACCTGTCTTTGGTGCTGACCAGTGCAGAGCTATGTGGCCTAAGCACAGACTAAGGGAGGATCCCCAAGACGCCTTCATTTTACCACTTGCCTTGAGAATCTGGAAAAGATGCAGCTATGTCTTGCCCTGCTCGGGTGCTGGCATTACTGGCACCCCCGTCAGTCACCTGGAACTTAGCAGTGAAGCCTAATCCACCACAAACAAAAAACAGTGATGTTCAATTATTTCCAAAATCAGTGCATTGGGGGCATCTGCAAAAGTCTCCAAAACAATGTGAAATGCATGACCTGCCTGCCACCAACAGTACTGCTGAGGGAAATGCCCCAGAGAGCAAACACATTTTTTATTGGTTGTTCCAGTTTGAAGAATGCCCATATAGAACCCTAACTTGTGCCTTCTACTGCGATTTCCCACTGCAGGAGGAGGGAATGAGCGGAGGGCATAAGGGGAAGGAATGAAAGGTGGAAATGAGAATTAAGCAGAATGCCAGGTCTGCCTGGGTGGCTCATTTTTCCAGCTCCCTAAAAAGATTTATGCAGCTGTCCAAAAGGAGCTATGGCTCCATTACCCAGCATACAAAGCCCCTTCTGCTATCAAGTAGCAGATCAATCCTAGATGATAGTTCACTGCTAGCTTCTGAAAAACCTACCATCTCTCTACTTACATCCTCATCTTTCAAGCAGAACTGAGCAATTTTACTTTTGTTGGCAACAGTGGCCAAAAATTGTTTTAATTTGCAAATTGAAAAAATTCTATGCTGTTTGGTTTATAAGTTAATGCCTCCTATGACCTGACTTAGAGACAGATGTAGAGTTGAATCTCTTTTATGCTATTCAGAGATTACTAGAGACTACCTACATGTTTGCTTATGTGTGCATTATCTGTTCTCCTTCCCACTCAAAAATTGTAAGCCTATGCAAACAGAGCCCTTAACTGTTTAATTTCCCACTGTATTTTCAGTGGCTGGCACATAGTAGGTGCTCATGAAAGATGTGCAGAATGGATGAATAAATGGTGTTCTCCTTGATATGCACGCAGCCCTCTCTGTATTTACTTATTTACTAGCCCAGCGTCTCCTGCTACTGGTCATCCCCTACACTGCTTCCCAAGCAAGCATTTTTTTTTTAAATGCCAAACCAGTTTTAAAAACCATGCCACTTTTTTTGCTTTCAGGATAAAATTCCAAACTCCTTAGCTAAGCATACAAGGTAACTGGCCCTGCCTTGCTGTTTTGCCTCACCTGCTAACGTGCACATGCTCTGCCACGTGTACCTGCTGCTAGTGGGACATGCTGACTTCTCAGTGGGCCTCATGGGCCAGAGGAAGTTGCGTTGTTCCATAAACTCAGCTCTCAGAAGTGCTGTTTCCTCTGCCTGGAATTCGTCTATCTGCTTCAATAGCTGAATGCTGCTTATCCCTCAAGACTCAATTCTGGTGGCACCTCAGTTCTGACCCTTCCCCAGTCTCTCTTTCCCTTCTCCCCACAGGCTGTCTCCCCTTGATATTTTGCCTGCTTGCTACCCATGTCCTTTTCTCCTGGTGACAGTGCTACAGCCTTTCCTTGGGGAATCAACCTTGTCTGAGAGTGGACAGAAATTATCCACCCCTCCATCCAGGGATGAACCAATGACCTGGCCAATCACAGTCGCTGTGATTGGTCCTGGGACAGGCAGGAGACTCAAGCTAGGCCACAGAGCATCAGTGCTGAGACTGAAACTACTGGGAAAACAATATGCTCTTTCTGCCTGAGGCGCCTAGTGGATACAATGGAAGCCTTGAGGCAGCTGATCATCTTTGCCTTGAGAGAGGTGGCTGCCTAAGAAGGAAGCCAATTGAGAAAAAGCAGGCAGAGAAAAAAACAGGAACAGATACAACAGGCAAGACTCAGCTGATTTCTCATGTCAGCAAATACAAGAGAAGGAGACTGGTCAAGATAGAGATGTCTGATGATACTGAGCTCCCGACTCCAGCCACTCCTGAAGTCATTCCTAAGCCTCTCGTTACACAAGCCAATACATGATCTTGTTAGATTAAAAATAGTTTGACTTTGGTGTTGCCACTTGCCGTAGAAAGCATCCACGATGATACACTCTCCCGTGTGCTCCCACACCCTAATTTAACCTCCTCCATAGCACTGACTCGGAGGCCCTATGAGACTGTGAACTCTCTGAGGGCAGGAAATGTATCTTATTCGTCTCCAAGGCCACGAGACTTGGTGTATGATAGATATTCAATACAGGTTTGTGAAATAAAAAATGAAGGAATGTTTATCTAGAAATTAATGAAGCTTTTCGTTTACTTTTTTACTTCAGGGCCTTTCTGCCAAGAACTCTTAAGATGCCTTAGGATCTTGGTTGCAGCCAGGTGGCTGTCCTCCCCAGAGCCCTTGTTGTTCAGTCCTCTGAAGTCATTGGTCCTGGAGATAACAGGGAGGGCAGGTCCCGACTGCTGAGAAAGTCCAGGGCCCCGGATCCTACCATTACCATGCTACCTGTTCACTTGGGCTTCACCCAAGGCCACACTCATCTCCGGACCCCTTCCCAACAGTGGTGAGGGGCAGGAGCACCTGGACATCAAGAATCGAGTGCATGCCTGAACCTGTCCATTACCCATGCTTCTGCAGCTTTGCTCATGCTTTCCCCTCCCTGAAACGCTCTTCCCTTGTCTACTTAATTATTCAAAGCTCAGAGGAAAAAAAATCACCTGCTCCAAAATGTCTTCCCCGAACCCTGCAGGGAACCAAATTCAAAAGCCATCAGAAGGCCGAGGCGGGCGGATCACTTGAGGTTAGGAGTTCGAGATCGGCCTGGCCAACATGGTGAAACCCTGTCTCTACTAAAAATACAAAAATTAGCCAGGCATGGTGGCAGGTGCCTGTAATCCTAGCAACTCTGGAGGCTGACGCAGGAGAACTGTTTGAACCCAGGAGGCAGAGGTTGCAGTGAACTCAGATTGCACCACTGCACTCTAGCCTGGGAAACAGAGCAAGACTAGGTTTAAAAAAAAAAAAAAAAAAAAAAGCCATGAGAGCCAAGGAGGTGTGAGAAGCAGGGCAGGCTGGTGACTTGGGACCATGTGCTCCAGCGAAGGGCCCAGCCTCCATTGAGTGCCTCACAATGGTTGCAACGAGGAAGCGTGAGATAAAGAGGAAGACCAGCCTCGCTTGCTGGGGAGGCCGTGTACCCTGAGCTGCAGGCATGGGTTTATCGTACTTATCATCACCACCACCACGGAAACACAACCCCTGACTTGGGTGGAATGTGACCTGTGAGTTGCCAGCTGACTACCCCTGTGTCACAACTTTGTGCAAGGCACAATTTTAGGGCGCTCACACTGCATAGTATAGTCACCTACAAATGAGTGTGACCTTTCTGCAAGTCCCCATCTCTGCCAAGTCAGGCTCCACGTCTCCATGTCTGCTGATTCCCCTCTCAGTTCTCAGTACCTCTGCGCTCACTGAAACCTGCAGACATTTTTTTTTTGACAGAGTCTCATCCTGTCGCCCAGGCTGGAGTGCAGTGGCATGATCTCGGCTCACTAAAACCTTCACCTCCTGAGTTCATGAGATTCTACTGCCTCAGCCTCCAGCTGGGATTACAGGCACCTGACACCGTATCTGTCTAATTTTTGTATTTTTAGTAGACATGGGGTTTTACCATGTTTGCCAGGCCAGTTCAAACACCTGACCTCAAGTGATCCACCTGCCTTGGTCTCCCAAAGTGCTGGGATTACAGGCGTGAGCCACCACGCCCAACCAGCTGCAGACATTCTGTCTCTCACATTCCCCTCACAGGAGACTCCCAGCCACACTGACCCCATCCAGCTGTCCTCTACAGGGCAGTGATATCTCCAAAATACAAACTGGATTTTGTCACTACCCTGTTTAAAATCCTTCAATGGCTCCGCCGGCCAGCACACAAACACACTTACCATGTTTAAGCAAATAACTATGTTCATAAAATGTGCTAATGCTATAAAACAAAAAAATAAGGGGCAAAGAAAGAAAGCATGTAATGGAGGGAACTAACTTATTCTGGGTAGCTGAGAAACAGTTCTTCCAGGAGACAGAATTCCAGATGACGCCAGGCATGGTGGCTCACACCTGTAATCCCAGCACTTGGGGAAGTTGAGGCGGGTGGATCACTTGAGGTCAGGAGTTCGAGACCTGGACAACATGGTGAAACCCTGTCTCTACTAAAAATACATAAACTAGCTGGACGTGGTGGTGCACGTCTGTAATCCCAACTACTTGGGAGGATGAGGCAGGAGGATTGCTTGAACCTGGGAGGTAGAGGGTGCAGTGAGCCGAGACCATGCCACTGTGCTCCAGGCCTGAGCAACAGAGCAAGACTCAAAAAAAAGAAAAAAGAAAACGAAAGAATTGCCATTGAGACCTGCCAGAGGAGAAAACCAGGAAGGGTGAGGGATGGAGTATCCTAAAGGAACTGCATGTGCAAAGGTCCTGAGGCAAGAAAGAGCTTGAAGGCTTCAGGGGTCACATGAGGTGAGGCAGGGATGCTAACTCCTCGGCCCCAGGGATACTGACGAGATTAAATGAGAATGCGCAGGCAGTCCTTGGCACCCTGCCTGGCATGCAGTTAGCACTCAATAAATAGCCACCATTCTTATTAAGATGGTGCCACTGATGTGAAGCAGGGCTAGTTTATTTTCTGCGGATAGGAAAAAGGCGGCCCAGCTCACAGCGGAGAGCTAAGAGCCAGCATCAAAGGCTCCTCTGTGACACAAAACACTTCCCATTTTCACCAGCTTATGAGGATCAGGCAGTTAACTCAAAAAAGCTTCAAAACTCATTACAAAAAAGAACTTCACTTTCCCTCAGAAGGCAGAAGAGCTGAAAAATTAAATGATGAGAAAGTTCCAAGGGGGTGGTTAAGCTGAACGTGGCTGTGAGCTGGTAGAGAAGATGGGCTCCTCAGCAAGTGAGATTGGGCCCTGTACTGCCAGGACACTTAAAGCTTGCTGGACCCCGTTTTGGAGAGAGGAGCTTTGGAGTGGGTTTACTCTGGATGCAAGTGAAAGAATGCAATCTGCGGCCCAACGTTCCTTCATGCCAATACCCACAAATCCAGCCTCCACTGACGCAAGAGGCCATGCCCGTCTCTCAGTGCGCGGAGTCTGATGCGGAACTGCTCCCCCAGAAAACAAGTCCAGCGAGGAAGGAGACAATTAAACAAGCGTGTGCACCAATGCTTTGGGGGCTGCAAAGGGAACGGGGGCCAGGCACGCAGGAGGCACAGGGAGGACGCAGAGATGGTGGGGTCTAGTGTGAATGGAGCCAGAGTTGCTACTCCAATGAGGGGACAGCAAGAGTTCGCTGTTGTTGTTGAGACAGGAACTCACTGTCTTGCCCAGGCTGGTCTTGAACTCCGGGCATCAAGGGATCTTCCCACCTGAGCCTCGCATAGCACTGGGAGCTCTATCTTTGTAGACAAAGGATGGCATCCAGAAAACATAAAATGATCCTAGAAACAAATAAGAAAAATACCCCAGAAGAAAAATAGCCAAAGGACACACAAAGGCAAGAAAGGGAAGAAGAAATCCAAATGGCTAAAAATCACGAGCAGATCATCAGTCTTATCGGTAACTGGGAAAATGTGAATCAAAAACAAAATGAGGGCTGGGTGCGGTGGCTCACGCCTGTAACCCCAGCATTTTGGGAGGCCGAGGCGGGTGGATCATCTGAGGTCAGGAGTTTGCAACCAGTCTGGCCAACATGGTGAAACCCCGTCTCTACTAAAAATACAAAAATTAGTTGGGCGTGGTGGCATGCGCCTATAGTCCCAGCTACTTGGGAGGCTGAGGCAGGACAATCATTTGAACCCAGGAAGCGGAGGTTGCAGTGAGCCGAGATCGTGCCACTGCAGTCCAGCCTGGGCAAGAGTGAGACCTTGTCTCAAAACAACAACAACGCCCTCTCTCACCACTCCTATTCAACATAGTGTTGGAAGTTCTGGCCAGGGCAATCAGGCAGGAGAAGGAAATAAAGGGTATTCAATTAGGAAAAGAAGAAGTCAAATTGTCCCTGTTTGCAGATGACATGATTGTATATCTAGAAAACCCCATCGTCTCAGCCCAAAATCTCCTTAAGCTGATAAGCAACTTCAGCAAAGTCTCAGGATACAAAATCAATGTGCAAAAATCACAAGCATTCTTATATACCAATAACAGACAAACAGAGAGCCAAATCATGAGTGAACTCCCATTCACAATTGCTTCAAAGAGAATAAAATACCTAGGAATCCAACTTACAAGGGATGTGAAGGACCTCTTCAAGGAGAACTACAAACCACTGCTCAAGGAAATAAAAGAGGAACATTCCATCAAATGGAAGAACATTCCATCCTCATGGGTAGGAAGAATCAGTATCATGAAAACGGCCATACTGCCCAAGGTAATTTATAGATGCAATGCCATCCCCATCAAGCTACCAATGACTTTCTTCACAGAATTGGAAAAAACTACTTTAAAGTTCATATGGAACCAAAAAAGAGCCCGCATTGCCAAGTCAATCCTAAGCCAAAAAGAACAAAGCTGGAGGCATCACCCTACCTGACTTCAAACTATACTACAAGGCTACAGTAACCAAAACAGCATTTTACTGGTACCAAAACAGAAATATAGATCAATGGAACACAACAGAGCCCTCAGAAATAATGCTGCATATCTACAACCATCTGATCTTTGGCAAACCTGACAAAAACAAGCAATGGGGAAAGGATTCCCTATTTAATAAATGGTGCTGGGAAAACTGGCTAGCCATATGTAGAAAGCTGAAACTGGATCCCTTCCTTACACCTTATACAAAAATTAATTCAAGATGCATTAAAGACTTACATGTTAGACCTAAAACCATAAAAACCCTAGAAGAAAACCTAGCCATTACCATTCAGGACATAGGCATGGGCAAGGACTTCATGTCTAAAACACCAAAAGCAATGGCAACAAAAGCCAAAATTGACAAATGGGATCTAATTAAACTAAAGAGCTTCTGCACAGCAAAAGAAACTACCATCAGAGTGAACAGGCAACCTGCAAAATGGGAGAAAATTTTTGCAACCTACTCATCTGACAAAGGGCTAATATCCAGTATCTACAATGAACTCAAACAAATTTACAAGAAAAAAACAAACAACCCCATCAAAAAGTGGGCGAAGGATATGAACAGACACTTCTCAAAAGAAGACATTTATGCAGCCAAAAAACACATGAAAAAATGCTCATCATCACTGGCCATGAGAGAAATGCAAATCAAAACCACAATGAGATACCATCTCACACCATTTAGAATGGCGATCATTAAAAAGTCAGGAAACAACAGGTGCTGGCGAGGATGTGGAGAAACAGGAACACTTTTACACTGTTGGTGGGACTGTAAACTAGTTCAACCATTGTGGAAGTCAGTGTGGCGATTCCTCAGGGATCTAGAACTGGAAATACCATCTGACCCAGCCATCCCATTACTGGGTATATACCCAAAGGATTATAAATCATGCTGCTATAAAGACACACGCACACGTATGTTTATTGCGGCACTATTCACAATAGCAAAGACTTGGAACCAACCCGAATGTCCAACAACGATAGACTGGATTAAGAAAATGTGGCACATATACACCACGGAATACTATGCAGCCATAAAAAATGATGAGTTCGTGTCCTTTGTACAGACATGGATGAAGCTGGAAACCACCATTCTCAGCAAACTATCACAAGGACAGAAAACCAAACACCGCATGTTCTCACTTATAGGTGGGAATTGAACAATGAGAACACATGGACACAGGAAGGGGAACATCACACACCGGGGACTGTTGTGGGGTTGGGGGAAGGGGGAGGGATAGCATTAGGAGATATACCTAATGCTAAATGAGGAGTTAATGGGTGCAGCACACCAACATGGCACATGTATACATATGTAACAAACCTGCACGTTGTGCACATGTACCCTAAAACTTAAAGTATAATAATAAAAAAAAATAAGTCACATAAAAAAAAACAACAGCAGCAACAAAATGAGATACCATTTTATACCCATTGTGTTGGTGAAATATAAATAAAATTTAAGTTGAACAAAGCCAAGTGCTGTTGTGAATGTGAAACAATGGGAATTCTCACCCATGATTGAGAGTGAACCACTGGTGCTGCCATCTTGGAGTACAATTTGGCAAGAGCTAGGCAAGTTGATGACAAGCATACCTTATAAGCCAGGAACCTCATTCATGGGCACACAACCTAGAGAAACCGAGTCTCAAACATGTATACCAAGACGTGTACAAGGATGCTAATGCCACAATGACCAAATAGGGAAAAATTGCAAACGACCTAAATGTTCATCAAAGAGAGAGTACATAAATGCAACACTGAGTAGTCACACCATAGACTATCGGCAAGTGTAGCAGTTAATGCATTAGAATGCCCTGCATCTAAATGAATACATCTCAAGAAATGTGATATTGGTGAAGAACAGCAGTTGTGAAAGGCTACATAAAGAATAAGTATCATTGATGTGAAGCTGTAAAAAGAAAACCCTCTCATAATCATATGTAATATAAGGACACAGAATGATTCCGCAGAGTGGTTCCCTTCTGGGAGAAAAGGTGCAAAGAGGGTTTAGCTGTATTTACAGTGTTTAATTTCTAAATGTTAACATTGATTAATCTGGATGGTTATACGTGTGTGTTCATTACATTTTCCTGTGTATTCCAGGGCACACCTGAAACATTTCCTAATAATTTTTTAGGTGCTTGGAAGCAAATATGATAAAATGTGAACAGCTGTTAATTTGGTGTGGTGGGAACACAGGTGCCTGGTATCCTATTCTTTGTATTCTTTTTCTCTTTCTTTAAAAAATCATCACCGTATGGCTGCTTTGGGACACTGTGTGGCAGTATGCACTACAGTGGAGTATAAACATACCCTGTGACCAGCAAGTCCATTCCTAAGGATTTCATCCCACAGAAACCAGGGCTCAGAGCCAGCAGAAGAAGTATGTAAGAATTGTTAATTACAGCACTATTTGTAATTGAGCCAGACCAGAAAACATTGAACTATTCATTAATAGTAAAAGATAAATAAACTGTGGTGTATTCACACAATGGACTATTACAGAGCAATGAAAATGAACCAACAATTGCTACTTGCAACAACATGGAGGAAGCTCACAGATGTGATGCTGAGAGAAAGAAGCCAGATACAAAGGAGTACATACAGGCAAAAGCACACTATGGTATCAGAAAGCAGCACAGTGGCCCTTTAACAAGACAAGGCTCTGGAGATCTGATAATGGTCTATTTCTTGGTCTATTGCTGTTTGCCTAGGTGTGTTCATTTTGTGAAAATCCATCAAACTGTACCTTAAAATTGGAGGTATGCTATACCTCAACTTAAAAAACAGCCAAAAAAGCCCTGGCGTTGTGGCTCACGCCTGTAATCCCAGCACTTTGGGAGGCTGAGGTGGGCAGATCACTTGAGGCCAGGAGTTTGAGACCAGCCTGGCCAACATGGAGAAACCCCATCTCTACTAAAAATACAGAAATTAGCCATGCATGGTGGTGCATGCCTATAGTCCCAGCTACTCAGGAGGCTGAGGCACAAGAATTGTTTGAACCCAGGAGGTAGAGGTTGCGGTGAGCCAAGATCACACCACTGCATTCCAGCTTGGGTGACAGAGTGAGACGCAATCTCGAAAAAAAAGAAAAAGCCAAAACCCACAACAAGAAGTAGAGAAGTGAACGGGGGAGGAAGAAGAGAGAATGAAAGAAAGGAAAAGCAAGCATGCCTATGTGGGAGTTGTCACCAATCACAAAAGAAAAGAAATCAAATGAGTGCTTCCTCCCTGTAGACCTGGTTTTTATGCTGGCGTTTGAGGGCTAAGGACACACCGCACCATGGGAAATACTTGACTGGCATAAGCTTGTTCACTCTTCACCACAGCCCATGCTGTCAGTGTGCTCACCACCATGTGACAGCTGAGTGCCACAAAGGCTGAGGACTTGTCCAGGGTCACACAGCCAGTGTGGGAGGGGGCAGGATCTGAATCCACAGCCCAAGCTCTTTCCCTGTGTTGCATGGTTTCTAAAGATGCAAGTGGCCCATGACACTGCAGAGAAGGACGAGAGAAAGGGAGAGGATTCCTCCAGCCTGGGGTTGTGAACTCCAAAAAGGTGGCTTCAGGAAATAACCAACTGGTGGCAACTTGAGAGGCTGAATTTTTTTTTTTTTTCCAGCGTGTTAGAGATGAACCAAGATTGCAATACACAGTTCTCAATTTGTTTTTTGTGTTTTTCTGCCGTTTGAAGTTCTCAAATATTAATGAGAATACTGAAGGGAAAGGTAGCAATTATTCTCCAACTACTCAAAAGGGTAAGAGCCAAGAAATACTCTTCTAAGTTGTGATTTTAATCAGTTGTCTGAAAATGTGAGGAACAAAAGCAGATAGAATACGGGTTAAGTCTTTTCAGAAGGCTTTTAGAGCTGGAAGGAGAGACTAAATAAGGATATACAAGGAAACTCACAGCCCCAGAAATACTTTGGCCAACGTTTAATGCCCAACGGAGTCAAGTTGTCTTATAATTCATTCAATCACAAAACCAATGCGTTCTACCTAGAAATAGGGTCCTCGAACTCAGCCTGAAATGAGTGAAGTGGGGCAAGCTGGCCAATTCTGGTGGGTTCACTGAGAACACCAGACCCCAGAAGTGTCAAACAAATTTTCTTTGTCACCAGGAACAACTAAGGCAGAGTCTTCATGGAAATTCCTGCAAGTATCAGCTGGTCAATGTCCAGCGGGCAGGTGAGATGGCGCCACATGGGAACTGAGCATCTATGAACGACCATGAATGACAGTGTCCTGGAAGTGAAGGGACATAGGACGAGGGAGAAAGGAAATTAACCACCCAGCAAAGCCGGTGCTACACAATGACTTCCACACAGCTTCAGTTCGTTATTCAACAAACAGGTTCGACTCTGTACCCGGCACTGTGACAGATCCCAAGAAGGCAAAGACTCAAGTAAGACCAGGCTCTGCCCTCTAATTCTATGGTGTCATGGGTGCGGGGACGGGGGGGACTGCGGGAAGGAAGAACTGTCAATCAGGCAACCGTGATGCGATGGAGTATGAGAAATGAACCCAGGGAAGGGCGGCTCATGTTTTTGAAGTCAGGGAAGACTTCCTGGTGGAGGTATGAAGGCCACAATGGAGGGTGGGACCAGCAAGTTCTACAACTTGAGACCACCAAGAGGAGTCTCTTCAATTCAGCTTCTCTGTGTGCTATACCTAGAAAATATGCAGGATGGGAACAGAACAGCAAATATGCTTTCAGTGGCTGGCTCTGGATTCTTTTGTCTATAAATGACCTTAATTTTTTTTCTTACTGGATTTTAATTTGATATTATAGAAAAGTCCTCCCAAGAAACCACACTAATTAAACATATATATACCTATGCATAGGCCTCCACATACATATTCTGAGTCTGAAGCTCACCAAGGTCTCTCCCCTGAGATGTTTTTTTTCTGGCAAGATGACGTTAGTGGTTGCTCTCCTGGAAAATATCTTAAGAGGCTTTTACTGTATTAAAGAGAAACACAAATGTGGGATGTATAATGAGCCCAGTTTCTCTCTTCTTCTCGATTAATACATTAAGTACTAGGAATATTTACATGGTGGTTGGCAGAGTGTCAAATGAGACACAGGCTTGAGTTTATGGCTTCATTCACTCAGAGCTGCTTTTCGCTCCCAAATTTCTCTGTGGAGCCCTAGCAGTTGCGGGGGATGGTGTGTGAACTCCCTGCATCTCTGCTGCGAACAGGTGGGGGGAGTCCCACCATCTTCTGAATTGTCTTCACATGACGAACTTTACGGCTGAAACCTGTAGTAGGTGACTCTCTGCATCACCAGCTCCTAGATTTGGGCATGGACGTGTGCGGCTGGCTTCTCCACGGAGGGCTGGGTGGTGCGGCGGCATTTGCAGAGTTCGGCTCAATTCCTGGCTCCGGCACTTACAAGCTACGGGAGCTTGGGCAAGATGCTTATTGCCCCTCAGCCCCAGTTTCCTCATCTATAAACACTTTATATGGAGCCTGATAAGAACTGCATGATGAGAAAATAAATGCAAAGTTCCCGGTGTGTCTGGCAAGCCGGCATATGGTGGCTGGTGTTAGTGTACATGGAAACACTGGCTTTGAGGTTTTCGGCGGGACCATCCATGTCGGGCTCACCCACTGCACAGGTTCAGGGTCCTGGCATCGCTGGGGATGAGAACGCACGTGTGTGTCTGCTCGCCCCACTTCACTACCAGCCCAATGCCCCTTACCTAACAAACCTGAACACAGATCTTACCATGTGCCAGACACTGTTCTGAGCACTTTACAGATGTAACCACCTTCAATCCTCATAAACACAATACTAGAAGTGGCATGAGTATTCCTAGTATATAAAAGGGGAAACAGGCACAGAGAGGTCAAATAACGTGCCCGAGGCCACACAGATAGTACAGCCTTAAGGATCTTTTTCTTTTTCTTTGACTCTCAGTGCTTATTACAGCCTCTTACTTATAGAGTTGGTAAAGTCACATTGAAAGAATAAATGCACAAATAAATGAACGAGTAACTGTCACCCCACAAGTTTAGGATTAACAGGGAAGTTCTTACAAGCCTGTGGATGAACTATGAGGGCAGCACTCCCAACTCTAAAAATGGCCCCTAAGCAAGGGTGGAGCGGTGGGTGTGGGCGGAGAGACAGGCCATCAGAGCCCCTCCTCACCCGCCCCCTGCTCTCCACGGCACTGAGGTTGAGGAGTTGACTTAGGGAGTTAATGTGAATGTCCATCAAATGGGCAACGGCTGACTGATTCTGCCCGTCCAGCCTCCAGGATCCTCTACAGCCGACCTTCTTGTGGGATAGGCTGTGCTCACAGAGGCTGAAGGCAGATCACCTGCCTGGGCCCAGATATCAGCCTTGACGCTGCCAAGCGAGATGGCCCAAGCAAGTCACTTCACATCCCTGTACCTCTGCTGCCCCATTTGTAAAGTGGGCTAACAGTAAGAGTTGTCTACCCAGGACAAGGAAGAAGGAAGAAGGAAGAAGAGGTGTACGGTAGGCAGGATGAGGCCCACCCTCTCCCAAAGTGTCTATGCCTCAATCCCCAGAACCTGTGAATATGCTACTGTACAGGGGCCACTGCAGAGGAGGTGAAATTAAGGGCCCTGACACAGGGACATTACCCTGGATAATCTGGGTGGGCCCAATCTAATCACATTACTGCAAAGTGGAGAACTCTTCCCTGCTGTGATCGGGGGAAGATCTGAGAACAGAAGAATGGTGGGAGAGAGGCAACACGGAAGACAGAGGAAGGGGCCACGAGCCAAGAAATGCAAGCAGCCTCTAAGCTGGAAAAGGCAAGGAGAAGGATTATCCCCTGGAGTCTCTAGAAAGAAATGCAGCCTCGCTGACGCCTTCATTTTAACCTAATGAGGCTCATATGGAATGTCTGGCCTCCTGAACTGTACTAGAATAAATGTGTGTTGTTGTAAGCCACAGGAAACTGATCCGGGATGTACAGAAAGGATGCCTTGCATTGATTCTGCTGGCCCACCTACTCCCTCTCCTAGATTTCTGGCTGGGAGCCCTGTGGCCCCTCAAGCATTTCGCCTCCTGCAGGAAGCCTTCTCTGCTTCTCTCTCCTCTATCTGCAGATTGCACCAGGTTCCCTGCAGCTCATATAGCTCCTGAGGACTCATTTACATGTCATCCTCCCTACAAGACTGCCAGCTTCTTAAGGACAGAGACCGAACCTTAATTCGCCTTCAATGCCCCTGCACCCAGCACAACAGCCCTGCACTCGGTACACATTTGCCTCTGGTTCCTGCATGAGGTCCACTCGCTCCCACCTCTCCACTGACCCTGCCGTCTCGAGGGCTGTGTTTCCAATGGCACCTCCCAAGAAGTTGCAAAGGGGCTTCCCACGGCTCGGCGAGTACCAGTCGGTTCCTCTACCACACACGGGTGTATGTGTTTTTAATGAGGATTTTAATGCATAATTTCTCCAACAAGTTGAATTATCTGTGGCTCCAGGGAAAGTGATTTGCCTTGCCTTAATGCCAAATGAACTTTTGGAGACGGAATCTATTATCCTAAGAAGGAATGACAGTCTCTCTATTCTCATTCGCTCCCTGAGCCATAATGCAGACTTTAGTAACATCATCAAAAACGAGTCCTTTACCTAAGCCCTCATGCTGCTAAAGCCCATTTGGACAGGCAGCTCACCGGTCAACTCCCTCAGACCATTAGAAAGCCACCTTTCCGGTCTCCAAAAGCCTGCTTGGCCTCATGCCCACTCTGCAAAAAATATTCAGCCAAAAGTCGGGTGAGAACAACCTCCCGAGTCACCTTGAAAGTTTATGTACTCACTTTTGGAATTGAGATTTTTTGAATGTGTGCCAACACCCAGCAAAGCGAAGAAGAAAATAAAAGGGAAACTCTTCCACTGAATTTCTGTTTGTTTGTTCATTAATTTAGACCGTGAGTATCTTGGTATGTCAGGTGCTATTCTAGGAGCTGGGGACAGAGCAGTGAACAGAAACAGACTCCAGTCCTGGTTCATGAGCTTCCATGCTGGTGCAGAGAGACAGATCATATTGAAGTGCACAAATAAGTCATTTCAATCAATGGTATACACTGGGAAGAAAATTAAAGCAGAGGAAAGGGCCAGAGAGTGACTGAGGGCAGCAGAGTGAGGGGTGTCAGGAAAGGCCTCTGCCTAAGGAGGGCAAATCTGAACTGACATCTGGTGAATGGGAGGAGCCGTCCATGTAGGAATCTGGGAATGGCCATTCCAGGTACAGGGTGTGACAGGTGCAAAGGCCCCGAGGTGAGATCAGTGTAGATGTCTTAGGACACCAGTGTGGCTGAGTGGAGAGGGTGGGGGCAGGGCATGAGATAAGGTAGGAGAGGGAGGTGAGGGAGCTACCAGGGGACACCTCTGAGGCCACAGTAACGAGTCCCCATTGTAAGTACCAGGGGTGTCACTGGAGGGTCTTAATCTACAGCTGACACAATCAGATTTATGTTGTACAAATCTCACTCTTGCTACAGCGTGGAAAATAGGCTACAGGGAGGCAAAAGAGAAAAAGGCCAGCCACTGCAGGTGTCCACACTGCGGTGACAGTGGCTTGGAGTTAGAATAATCTAAACAGGAGCCAGGGGCAGTGGTTCATGTCTGTAATCCCAGCACTTTGGGAGGCTGAGGTGGAAGGATGGCTGGAGCCGGGGAGTTCGAGGCTGCAGTGAGCCATGATCGCACCGCTACACTCCAGCCTGGGTGACAGAGAGAGACCCTGTCTCAAGCAAAAAAGAGAGAGGGAGAAAGAGAGAATGACTTAAGCAGGGATGCAGGAAGCAGGTGAACTGCGACTCCTTTGAAAGTGGAGTCCATGGGACAGGCATGTATAGTTTTGGATGGGTGAAGCTGTGCTCTTACTATCTCAGTCCCGCTGAACAATGTCATTCAACAGAAACGTCATCCCAGCTTGCGTCATTAGAGCTGGTCACTAACATCTGGAGTGACTCCTTTGCTCCCTGGGCATTAGGCATGGCCAAGGAACTTGCTCTGGCCAATGAAATGCAAGTGGAATTTCCATGTATCACTTCCAGGCAGCAGCTTTAGAAGCCACCACCTGACTTGCCCCTACTCCTTGTTCTTGTTGCCACATGCATGCAGATGGAGCCTCCAGCAGCCTGGAACCCAGCACTGTGATGAGCAGAGCCCAGAGCCAACCCACGATGGACAGAGAACATGAGCCAAAGATATACCCTTGTTGGCTTAAGTCACCAAGATCTTGGAATTGTTACCTTGGCCTAAACAAACCCCACACCTGTGATATATAAAAGTTAATGGGCCAGATGTGGTGGCTCACGCCTGTAATCCCAGCACTTTGGGAGGCTGAGGTGGGTGGATCACGAGCTCAGGAGTTCGAGACCAGCCTGACCAACATGGTGAAACCCCGTCTCTACAAAAAATACAAAAATTACCAGGCGTGGTGGCACACACCTGTAATCCCAGCTACTCAGGAGGCTGAGGCAGCAGAATCACTTGAACCTGGGAGGCGGAGATTGCAGTGAGCTGAGATCACACCACTGCACTCCAGCCTGGGTGATAGAGCAAGACTCCGTCTGGAAAAAAAAAAAAAAAGAAAAGTAAATGGCCAGGTGCAGTGGCTCACACCTGTAATCTCACCACTTTGGGAGGCCAAGGTGGGCGGATCACCTGAGGTCATGAGTTCAAGACCAGCCTGGCCAACATGGTGAAATGCCATCTCTACAAAAACACACAAAAATTAGCCAGGCATGATGGCAGGTGCTGTCTCCAAAAAAAAAAAAAAAAAAAAAAAAAAAAACTTAATAACTTCAATATGTATCTATTGTGGCTTGACTCAGCTATGAAAGAATAAACTTCATCGAATGGTGAACTGATATTCAGGCCAACTATTTCAACATGATTTGAACTTGATACAGTATGTGAAGGCATGGACACCTCCAGGGAGAGCTCTGGGTATCCTGTGAATATATAATTACACACATGCATGGCATATTAAAGCAACAGATTCTTTGGTAAAGACAAATGCTGGGTCCACACACTATACAACATGCTAATTTTGTCAATTAAAAAAGATTCAAATTGGGATTAAGATCACTTTCAACTATAAAACTGTCAGACAATCACCAATGATGGCATTGTAGGGGAAATATATAGACATTCAGGCTAGAAGGATACTCATCTGACAAATGAGAAAGGCTAAACTACGCTTGCTATTTCCTTGAATAATGTCTAGGTCTATGGATTCTGCAGTGAGTCATTTAATGGGTTCAAGGCTTAAGAGTAACAAGGCATGCAAAATTCAATCAACCCTGGCCAGGAGCAGTGGCTCATGCCTGTAATCCCAGCACTTTGGGTGGCTGAGGTGGGAGTAGTTCTTGAGCCCAGGAGTTTGAGACCAGCCTGGCGAACATGGTGAAACCCTGTCTCTGCAAAAAACTGAAATATCAGACAGGCATGGTGCTGCATGCCTGTGGTCCCAGCTACTTGGGAGGCTGAAGCAAGAGGGTCACTTGAACCCAGGAGTTTGAGGCTGCGGTGAGCTACAATTGCATCACAGAACTCTAGTCTGGGTGACACAGCAGGACTCTGTGAAAGGAAAGGAAGGGAAAAGGAAAAGGAAAAGGAAAAAGGAAAAAGAAAAAGGAAAAGGAGAAAGAAATTAATTAAATCAACCCAAACACGTCTTGTCTAGACGTGTGCCACAATGGTCCAGGCGGACAAGTGAGTTATCCTTGAAGTAACCCAATCAAAGAAAAGATTCTGACGTGGCGGATTTTTCTGGGCCAATGTAGAATCAACACACTCCAAAAATTTTGCTCTTGGGATATTAAAGCAGGTGTCCTGAGTTATTAGGCCCAGTGAGGCCAGCATAAGCTTGGCCTTGAAATGAATTCACCAGTGGCCCCTGTTGGGTGTTGAAGGTTCTGAATCTTGACTCAATCCTCCTTTGGAAATGGGAAGAATCACTAAGATGTGTCCTCAGCAGCAGCCAAGGTGGATTTCAGGGAAGTGGGTATGTCTTAGCCAAATGCACAGAAAAAGAAAGAAGGAATCAAAGGACAATCATGGGGCCGGGTATGGCCCCTCCTGTTACTCACACCTGTAATCCCAGCACTTTGTGAGGCCGAGGTGGGAGGATCACTTGAGATCAGGAGTTTGAGAACAGCCTGGCCAACATGGCAAAACCCTGCCTTTACTAAAAATACAAAAATTAGCTGAGTGTGGTGGTGGGTGCCTATAGTCCCAGCTACTCGGGAGGCTGAGGCAGGATAATCACTTGAACCCAGGAGACGGAGGTTGCTGTGAGGTGAAATTGTGCCACTGCACTCCACCCTGGGCGACAGGGTGACATTTGGGGTGTGTGTGTGTGTGTGTGTGTGTGTGTGTGTGTGTGTGTGTCTATATGTATATGTACATATGTGTATATATATGTGTGTATATATGTGTATATATATATGTATATATGTGTGTGTATATATGTGTATATGTGTGTATGTATATGTGTGTGTGTGTGTGTATATATATATATATGTATAAAAGACAATCACAGTTCAACCAGCTTATTAAAAGTTAATTAAAAGTTAAAAGCTGCACAGGCGAGAAATGGAGCTGTGGCCCCAAGACTGCTCACGAACTGGGTGGTCAGATCCACCCCCACCAGTGGGAGCAGGACCACAAATCTGGTTAAGAACCAGCTGGTGCACTTGTACCAGCTGATCATTACTGGGCCAGGCCCACTAAGATGGTGTCTTTTATTCTCAAGCTTGTCTATTTGCAAATAGGGTTATGTTGGGGGGATAAAAGCACATTGCTTGGCTGACACAGGCTTCATAGGAGAAAGGTTTGCTGCTGTGAGGAATCAGCCTCGGGATGAGCAGGGACAGATTGTCTCTCTAGCCTGGGGATGAGGGTGGAGAGCATGAAGCAGACTCAGTTCTCTCCTCCAGAAGCACAGGTTGTAGTGAGTTGACACAGCGTCACTGCACTCCAGCCTGGGAACAGAGTAAGACTTTGCCTCCAAAAAACCAAACAAACAACAACAACAAAACAGTTCCCAGCTCCTGCACAGCAGAGACCCAGGACAGCTTCATGCCCTCTTTCTACAGGATGCAACACCAGAAAAACCCTCCCACTCCTCAGAGCTCAGCCTCATCTCACTAAACTCAAATCCAGTGTTTTCAGGACTGATGAGATTTATTTTGTCTTAAGTTTTGTGTAACTGGGGGGCTTGAGGAGGCAGGAGGTGGGAAGGGAGTTGTTTGAGGCTGCAGAGAAAGCATGGAGCAATGTCTAACATGTGGTGGGCGCAATAATGGCCCCCACAGATGTCCACACCCAAATCCCCAGAACCTCACATGACCAAAGGGACTCAGCAGATGTGGTTAAGTTAGGGATCTTGAGACAAAGGGTGGGGTCGGGGGATTAATTTGGATGATCTGGGTGAGCCCAGTGTGATCACAGGGAATCTAAGGGGAATTCTAAGAGGAAGAGGGTCAGAACCAGAGAAAAATGTGACTATGATGATGGAAGCAGAGGGCTGAGTGATGTCTCTGAAGACAGAAGGCCATAAGGCAAAAATGAGGGTGGCCTTGAGAAGCTGAAAAAGCAAGGAGCAAACTCTCTCCTGGGGCTCCAGAAGGAAGAGGCCTGGGTGACGTCTTGATTTTAGCTCTGTGACGCTCATTTTGGACTTCTGACCTCTCGAATTGTAAGATAATGAATTTGTTTTAGTCCCTGCATTTGTGGGGATTTGTGACAGCAGTAAGAGGAAACTAACACAGCAAGTGTTGACTTAATGTTGTTGACAGGTTCTAACTAAGACTTTAAGCTAAATACAGTACTGTATGCCCTAGGAACTGAACTCTTGTTTGTATCCATTTGTCCATGGTAAAGTTCATTTCATAACACAATATGTCATTTTGCTTAAAGCTGCAGTTCCCAGGCACCCCTGGATAATGTTAAGTCACGACTCACCCCAGACAATGTTAAGTCAGGACAATGTTAAGCCACAACCTAAGAGTTTTCCCCTTCCAAATCCCCTCATTTCCACCTTGTGCTACAATGGCTTTCCCTTAGCACAAGACACAGGCAGATTCCGTGAAGAAGCTGTCACGGAAGGGCCACTCCAGGATTGTGTTTCTTGCACATAAGAATGTCTTATAATTTGATAATACGCTGGTTAGCAGCATGTTGTTTTGTGACATTTTAGGACATTCTGAATAACTCCCAAGATTTGTATGAGCCTATGGGTCATTAGATTAAATCAATATATAATTTTCCCCTCTTTTCAAAAGAATTCTTGTACTCTTTGCTATGAACAAGTATAGAGTTTCTGTCTGCCACGTGTAGTGGTTCAGCTCTACTTTTCCTCAACAGAAAAATGAAGGACAAATGTATTCTGGGCCTGGGATAAACCTGCTTTGTAACTGTTTATGTTCAAATCGAGCAGACCTTGGCGTGATCAGGTTTCAATCTGTTTTATACATAGAAATCTACACACATGTAAATGTAAGGGTTGGGAATAGATTTCCCTATGAAATTCCCAAGTGCCAGGAGTGGGTTATGGAAACTCTTGCTCTGTGTTTCTGTGATAAAGGTCAAGGAAATGCTAGCACGGTACCTCCTGAAGACAGAAACTAGGGATTCGCCCCATATGGCATCTGCCACATGGCTTTGTCAAAAGATAGAACGGCAGTCCTCATACTTCCTCATGAACAGCATCACCTAGAGGGCTTGTTAAACCCAGACTGCTGGGTCTCAGCCCCAGAGCGTGTGAATCAGCATGTCTACGGTGAGCCCAAGAATGTGCATTTCTAACCAGCTCCCAAGGGCTCCTGCTGCTGCTAGCTGGGGTCACACTTTGAGAACAACCATGGCAGAGAGATCATGCTCAATACAATGCCCGATGTCTTACACATCCTGAGAAAGGTCATGGCTCTACCTTCCAATCAGACTGTCCCTGCCAAGCTATTGAACACATACCGAAATTGATGAAGTGCCCCTGTCTCCTTCTTGACTCTAAGCCAAAGATTCTCCAGTTTGGTCGCAGAGTGCAATCACTTAGAGAACTATTCATCCCCTCCATGCCCAGGCCTCCCTTCAGATCGATTCAATCAGAATGGGGATGGAGGTAGGGCACAGGCAGTCCTCAGTGGTTTTCAAAGCTCCCCAGGGGATCCAAAGCACGGCCATGACAGAGAACTGCTTCCTAAACAAACATGAGGAGTGACATCATGATGCCGCCTGGCTGAAGCTGACCATTTGACAGGGCTCCAAGCCCGGTCTAGACCCAGGTCTGTCTTCTCCAGGGCTGAACCCAGCCCCTTGCACAATGACACACAATTGGAGCCCAATTAATGACTGCTGAGTGAATAATATTAATCAACCAATGAGCTTGCAGAGGGCTAGCACCTCCTTCCTCAAGGGAACCGGGATGAATAAACAGCGACAAATTGGGTCATCATAAATCATTAACCTTCATGAGGTGAATAACCATATAACAACAACAACAACAAACTCCTCTGAGAAAGTTCTACTCCACAGTCACAAGTTGAAGTGAACATCATGACAACTACGGATGAAAACTAGAAAAGCATTTTTTGGTCCAGAACAGGGGTTGGCAAACTAACCTATAGGCCAAATCCAGCTGCTGTCTATTCTTAAAAATAAAATGCTATTGGCACATAGCCATACTCATTTGTGTCTGTACTGTCTACGGTTGCTTACACAGGACCCCAGCAGAGGTGAGTATTTGCCACTGAAATGGTAAAGTCCCCAAAGCCAAACATATTTACTCTCTGGCCCTTTAAAGAAAAAGTTTTCCAACTTCTTGCCCTAGAGAAATAAGAGGACATACACACACACATGACGTAATGGTGACCATCTTTAGGTGGTGGAATTATGAATGGCTATTTCTTTTCTCTATTTTTTTCTTATCTCCACCAACTTTTCTTTAAGGAGCATGTGTTTTTAAGCAACGGACTAAAGAAGAAGAATAAATAATCCATTTTAACGCAGGCAGTGACAAGTGGGCTTCCCAGCACGGGATGGTACCTTGTTTCCAATGGCCTTTTTGGGTGGGAAGTTGTAGGCCCTCACTTGAGGGTACTTGTTTTGTAACTTGTGGTGCAAACTCCTGAACTCTGTATACCGGCGATAAATATTCCATTCATCGTCTTTTATCCGGATGTAGACCTGTCAAGAAAGAGAAAATGTGAATTCCTCTTAAACCCTTATTATAAAGGAGTAGGATTTCGGCTATGCTTTCCCCATGAAAACCAACTGCAGCAAGAGTCACATCTGTGTCACACACCACTGGATGCCCAGTTCCTGGCATAGAGCAGGGATTTATTAGTGCTAGCTGAACAGATGGGTACAGGCAAGAATGACTAAATCAGGCAAGTTATGGGAAGAACATACTGTATGCTATTTTCCCAACATCAACAGAGATCCACAGCCCAATTAATAGCAGAGATGCATGTTTCATGTTGCTGTCATGTGTGTATTGCAGCACTAACAGCGTGCTGGTGAGAGGCTAGTCAACCTTTCTGGACACTTGTTTCCTCATCTGTAAAACAGAGCTGAGAGGAGCACCTCGCTCCAAAGGTGGTTTGGAGGGCAATGTGGTGGTGCCTGGGACCACACCGACCACCACACAGATGAGGTGGAATTCAGTTTCAGAAAGAAGGGAGGGGGCAAGAGCTGAGATCTGCCCCACTAGACCGAATGCCGTGTCCAGATGGGATAAGCATAACTGGGACATAGAATTTCTTTATTTTAATCAAGTTATGACTCCTTAGAGAATACTCTGGGGATACAGAATGTAAGGGCTGTTTCATCAGCTTTTTGCAGGCCTTAGCACCTTCCAGGGGCAAGTAGCAACTTCATCACAAGGAAAAACAGAGAAGCAGGAGAGACATCAATCCACTTTTTAAAATTACATGAGTTAAGAACAGCCCAGAGAGAAAAGTCCCCAAGGATAAAGGGCTGTTGTAATTTACACTCCATGAGTGTCAATACACATCTTTAAAACCTCTATGACCATGAAAACAGGCATCTCTAATGTGAGTGATAAATTCTGTTCCTACGTGAAAGCCACCCATCAACCCCAAACACAGACATTATGTGTTCAAACTCTAGTATGGCGACCATAGAATGTCTCACATTATTCTGTGAACAGGAGGAAGGACTAGAGACTAAAACCACGACATTTCAATTAGCGAATGGATAGATGTTTCCGATGGAGTGAGATGGAGAAACAGAATGCCTATCAAGTTTACAGAAGTCCCGGGGTCTCTGATGACCTTAAGGAGCAATAATGTCATTCCATTATTGCTGACGTCACATCACCAAACCTATAATCAGATCAGTTACTCAAGGCTTCTTCAACAAACGAGAAATACCCATCTCTAATTTGTTCAAGCTAATGTTTTAGGGGTCTTTTATGAGCAACTGAATGCAATTCTCATCATATATATATATATATATATATATATATATGTATATATATATATATATATATATATATATTTTTTTTTTTTTTTTTTTTTTTTTTTTTTTTTGAGAAATGTCGCTGTGTCCTTTGCTCACTTTTTTTTTTGAGACGAAGTCTCACTCTGTTGCCCAGGCTGGAGGGCAGTGGCACGATCTCAGCAACCTCCACCTCCAAGTTCAAGCGATTCTCCTGCCTCAGCCTCCCGAGTAGCTGGGATTACAGATGCCCACCACCACACCTGGCTAATTTTTTGTATTTTTAGTAGAGACAAGGTTTTGCCATGTTGGTCAGGCTGGTCTTGAACTCCTGGCCTCAGATGATCTGCCTGCCTTGGCCTCACAAAGTACTGGGATTATAGGCGTGACCCACCACGCCTGGCTGTCACCCTATATATCTTGACTGGCCCATACCTGCTTATGATATATTCTTATAAAAGTCCAAACTTCCCTTGGAGAGTGGCAAGTACAATCACTTCTCTGATCATCATACATAATACTAATTATCTAGATCGGGGTGGGCAAACTATGGCCCATGGGCCAAATTCAGCCACATTCATTTGTTTTGGCCGCTTTTGAAATACAGACAGTCCCTCACTTAGGCTGGTAATTGTCTTGCAATTTTTCAAGTTTATAATGGTACAAAAGCAATAAGCATTCAGTAGAAACCACACTTCAAATTTTGATGTTTTTTCCAGGCTAGTGATGTGCAGTATGATACTTTACATGAGCTGTTCAACACTTTATTATAGAATAGGCTTTGTGTTAGATGATTGTGCCTAACTATAGGTGAATGTAAGTGTTCTGAACAGGTTGAAGGTAGACTAGGCTGAGCTATGATGTTCACTACATGAAGCCTATTAAATGCATTTTCAACTTACGATATTTTCAACTCACAATGGGCTTACCGGGACATAACCCCATCATAAGTCAAGGAGCTTCTGTACAGCAGAGTTAAGAAGCTGAAATAGACCATACAGCCTGCAAAGCTACAAGTATTTTTTCTGGCCTTTACAAAAAGAGTTTGATAACCCCTGATCTAAATAATCAAGAAGTCATTATTGTTATTTTTCCACCAACATATCCAAGATCTGGTGTGGAGAAGGTAGTCCTTTCCAAATCTTACCAACCACTGGGTGGGTGGCATTAACCATCTGAGGCCCAGGAATCCCGAATGCAACCAAAGCTTCTCCAGTGATTCTGACGAGTGGGCAATTTCAGGAACCCCTGATGTAATGCACAAACTCACCCATCAGACAAGCAGTGCAACCTTTCTGGCCATTCATTTCCTCATCTACAAAATGGAGCTGAGAGCAGCATCTCCCACCCAAAGTGATATGGAGAGAATTCAGGTCTACGAATAGCGCAGCTATGCCAGGATCACATGGACCACCCCACAGATGGAGAGGAACTGGACTTGGGTTAGGAATGAGTAGGCTGAGGTCAAGATCCGGACTTGCAATTACCAGCTCAACTGAACAAAAGGTCACATCCAGATGGGCGTACCAGCACACGTGGGCGTACTCCTTCTTTATTTTAACCAAGTAGAGAAAACATGAGCACTGCTTCACCAGCCTTTTACAGGCCCTAGCACCTTCCAAGGATACACAGCAACTATAATACATCACAAGGGAAACCACGGAAGTGGGAGAGAGATCAATGCACTTTAAAAAAATTACCCGAGTTAAGAACAGCCCACAGGGTAAAGCCTCCAATGATAAATTGCCATCGTAATTTGAATCAGTGAATACCAATACACATCTTTAAAACCTCGTTAATGTAATAATAAATACAAGTCTCTCTCCTGTGAGTGATAAATTCTGACTCTACATTTTTCATAATGTATATGCAAGAGCCCACTGTTTTTGCTCCCTGGAGGCCTCAGTCTCCCTCTTCTCCAACTGCTCTCTCTCCACCTTCCACATGGGCACCTCCTCTCCTGCCCACGCCCTGCCTCTCCCCGGAACACACATGCGCAATCCCAGGCCTGCATGTTTCATGTTTAGGCCAATGACTCCAAAATCTGTATCTCTAGTCTGGACCTCTGATACAAACTCCAGACCAGGACGTGATATTCCCTAGGTACCTAAAACTCATGAGGCCTAAATCTGCACCCAGGATCCGCCCACCTATTATGTGTTGAGTCCTATCCCAGGCACTACGCACCTCACTGCCCAGCCGCAAGTTAATCTGCAAGGCAGATGGTACGAACACTCCCTTTTCAGCTGAAGTAATGGGCTCAGAGAGGTCAGATCACTTGCCCAGGGCAGGTGGGGAGATAAGGAATTTGAACCCACGGCTACCTGCCCTCTGCCCTCTAACACTTTCTATCACAGTGTTACCAGACAGGGGCTCCAATCCAGACCCCAAGAGAAGGTTCTCGGATCTCAAGCAAGAAAGAATTTACGGCGAGTCTGTAGAGTAAAATGAAAGCAAGTTGATTAGGAAAGTAAAGGAATAAAGAATCGCTACTCCATAGACAGAGCAGCCCCGAGAGCTGCTGGTTGCCCATTTTTATGGTTATTTCCTGACTATATGCTAAACAAGAAATGGATTATTCATGCCTCCCTTTTTCAGACCATATAGAGTAACTTCCTGATGTTGCCATGGCATTTACAAACTGCCACGGTACTGGTGGAAGTGTAGCAGAGAGGACACCCAGAGGTCACTCTAGTAGCCATCTTGGTTTTGGTGGGTTTTAGCCGTCTTCTTTACTGCAACCTGTTTAATCAGCAAGGTCTTTATGACCTGTATTTTGTGCCAACTTCGCATCTCATCCTATGACTTAGAATGCCTAACCGTCCGAAAATGCAGCCCAGTAGGTCTCAGCCTCACTTTACCCAGCCCCTATTCAAGATGGAGTTGCTCTGGTTCAAACACCTCTGACAACAGCAGGCTGCTCTGCTGCAGTGACCCAGAATCCTGAAGGCACCAGGAACCCCAGGCCAGCAATGTGGGTAGCTGGGACCAGAAGCCCTTGCCTCGTTCCCCTGAAGCCCAGGCACCTCTTTGCAGATCCTGTGTTCTCAGAAAGGTCTCCTTGCTGTCAGACATTCCAGTCTCACCTCATTTGTGCCTCTCCCTTTGGATCTAATCGAAGCTAGTCTAATGCCATTAAAATTACTCAAAATTACTCAAAATTACCCAAATGGCTGATCCACAACAACAGTGCTTCAAACATCCAAAGTTAGGAAACTTTCTCTGCAAATTAAGTTGTCCTTGAATTACATATACTTAACTAAATCATGGACTTATTTCACTAAGGATTTCAGAGGGCTTAGGCCCAAAATTGTTAGAATTTTTTGTTTTGTTTGTTATTTTAAAAGCCTCTCCCCTCCAAATTAAGTTCGATCAGCTCCAATTCCTTCTGCTTGAGCCATAAAGATAATAATTCCTTGGAGGGATAAAAAGAGTTGACCTCTTCTGACACAACCAAGTTTCCTTTTAAAACAAGCAATAAAAAGCCACTTTATGTCGGATCTCCTTGACTCAGCAAAAGAAGATTAAATAGGAGGGTAATATCTGTAATCGGGCATCGGGGCAAACCCTTTCTTCTTCATTTTAAGAGGAAGTTCAAATCTGAAGATTTCTTTTCCACTGAGAAGAATTACCCTCATGATGTCTGTAATAACAGTGGAGGTAAAGGAAGGTTAAGGGGAGAAAAAAATGCAAAAACCTCAGTCCGTCAATGAACAGAATCCAAAACAAGCTCTAGTAGAGATAAGGTCTCAAGGAGACGCTTTCTTTTAGAAGATGAAGAGCGTCTACCAGAGTGTTCCTATGAGACTTGACTGTGCCCTGTTCTAATCAATAGTGCTCTCCCGCAATGCTAAGCACTATCCCCTAGATTTCCTCCCTGTTTTTTTCTTTTTTTTTTTGTTTTTTTTTTTTTTGGTTTTTTTTTGAGATTTAGACTCGCTCTGTCACCCAGGCTGAAGTGCAGTGGCATGATCTCAGCTCACTGCAACCTCCACCTCCCAGGTTCAAGTGATTCTCCCGCCTCAGCTTCCTGAGTAGCTGGGATTACAGGTGCCTGCCACACGCCTGGCTAATTTTTGTATTTTTGTAGAGACGGGGTTTCACCATGTTGGCCAGGCTGGTCTTGAACTCCTGGCCTCAGGTGATCTACCCACCTCGGCCTCCCAAAGTGCTGGGATTACAGGCGTGAGCCACCACCCCCAGCCTTCCCCTGTTTTTGAACTTGACCTAAACGGAACCAGTGTGTGCTCCTCTGGGTCTAGTTTCTTTCACTCAGTACTGTGGACGTGAGATGCAGCTGTGTTTCTGTGTATGGCCCTCATGTTGCTTTGCACTAATGAATAGTATTCCACTGTATGAATATTTCCCTGTTTGTATCCACCTGTTCTGCTGGGGTGGACATTTAGGTTGTTTCAAGTTGAGACTTTCATGAATAAAGCAACTATGAACATTTGCGTGTGTGGCTTTTGCACTTGTGTCTTTTGCAGTCATAGACCTCAGTGTGAAAAGTGAAATCATAAAGCGAGGAGGAGAAAACATGGTAGAATGTCTTCATGACCTTGGGCGGGAGAAAGGATTCTTGTGCAGGGCACAAAGGAGTCTTCTGGGTGCTGGAAACATCCAGGATCTATATCTGGGCAGTGGTTATAAAGGTCTATACAGAAGTAAAATTAATTGAACCATAAACTTAAGATTGATACACCTGATTGTATTTTATGTTAATCCTGAATTTAAAAGCAAAAACAAAACATAGCCCTGCCTTCGCTGTCCTCGGGAGAGTGAGCTTTCACCCTAACTTGTGGGGCAGGGATGTCTAAGCCAGGCCGTAGATGGGGCAGGAGGTAGTGCCAAGGCTCTGTGGGTACACATCCACGTGGACCTGACACATCGTCATACGTCAGCATCGGGAGGGAGCCCAGACACTGGATTCTGGCCTCAGTGAGAAATGGGTTCGAATTCCAGCTGCACCCCTTGCCAGCCAAGTGATCCTAGGTAAGTTAATTCACCTCTTCAAGCCCTGAGTCTCTATTTGGATAAATGAAGATAGTGCTAGAGGCTAAGTCTTTGGAAGAGGAGGAGAATTAAGCAATTATATTCAGGACAACATTTTGTACACGTACTAAAACATCTAACCACCAAGCAGTCAACATTCCAGGGTAAAATTTATCTCAGACACACACACAAACATGCACTCCCATAAGCGGGTGGAAAAGAAGATGTGGGGAGGGAGTCAGGCAGACAGACAGAAAGAATGAAGATGTAAAAGCTTCCTTTAAGTGGCTGAAGCCCTCAATCTGGTTTAAGGGTGTGCCAAGCATAGGAACGGGCGTCTTTAGCCCAAAGCATGTCAGATCTCGGGTGCTCCTGCAAGAGGCAGAACGGCAGTGTGAAGGCGCACAGCTACATAGGGAGGGAGGCCTGGGTTCACGTCCCCACAGTTATCCTTTTCGGCTGCTGTGACCCTGGGGATGACACCCCACATTGAGACTCAGCTTCTTCATCTGTAAGGCAGGCCAATGCCAATGTCACTGGGTGGTTGTGAGGTGTCGTGCCTCGCCCATGCCTGGCAGGCAATAAGCAATGGCAGCTGTTAATATTGTAACCCTTATCACCTTCATCATCGGCTGCCTTTGTGTATATGAACTTCCCTATTACAGAATTAGGGCTAATTATAGGATGTGCAATCATGAAATTAAAGCAGGTAATTACCATGGCTAATTAATTGTCAAATGCTAGGCAGGCGGGGAAACACAAACATAAAGCGTGCTCTGTGGATTGGACAGCTAAGCATCCCCTCCGCTTTCAGAAAACTCAACAGAAACAGCAGAGTTCAGGAAATGACCTTCTCGAGTGGGTTTCTGAGTGCTAAAACAAAACCCGGGAAGCGTTCCCCGGGCTTCTGACTCAGAACAAGCTCGGTGCACCTCTCTGCTGGCTGCAGGCCGGCCTGGGCATTTATCCAGTCCCTGCCACGCAAGCCCCCAGGTTCCCGGGCAAGAGTGCTATTTTAGGAGGAGGACCTCGTAGGAGATACTTGATGGATGTTACAAACCCCTGCAAGGATCAGACCCCACAGAGAAACCCGCTGACATGAAGGCGGTGAGAACTCAGAAATAAACATTCACTGACACACAGCGAACGTGGAACCAACATGTCAGGCTGCCCCTGCTTCCTGCAGCATAGACCAAATGCCTCCCTCTCCATTTCAAACTTCACTAACTCCTTAATGATCCAAAGTCCTGCATCTCAAAACTAAATACTTTTTTCTGCATGTTGTAATATTCAAGAGTGAAAACTAGTATTAGCTGGAACTTTCTTGGACGTACAGAAAAAGCTGTACCATTTCACAGCACCTGTCAGGTGCCAGACATGTTACGCACAATGTTCACAAAAGCCCTGCGATTTATTTATTTATTTATTTTATTTTTTTGAGACGGAGTTTTGCCCTTGTTGCCCAGGCTGGAGTGCAATGGCGCGATCTCAGCTCACTGCAACCTCCGCCTCCCGGGTTCAAGTGATTCTCAGCCTGCCTCAGCCTCCTAAGTAGGTGGGATTACAGGCACAAGCCACCATGCCTGGTTAATTTTGTATTGTTAGTAGAGACGGGGTTTCACCATGTTGGCCAGGCTGGTCTTGAACTCCTGACCTCAGGTGATCCACCTGCCTTGGCCTCCAAAAGTGCTGAGATTACAGGCGTGAGCCACCCTGCGCCCAGCCAGCCCTGCAGTTTTGTATGCCTTAAAACAAACCTGGAGCAACTAAGAAATGCGCTCTCTATTGCCCGAGGAGTGAGCAGCGGAACTAGCACCGGGCCTTCAGTGAATGCTGCCCCTAAAGCCTATACCACATCTTTTCCACCTCAGAGAAAAACAAGTGTTATCAACTCCTTAAAACCCTGATCCCCTTTATGCTGACTGTTGAATGCAGAGAGAATCAGATGACATGAGGATAACAACGATTCTTCAAAAAATGGCTTCAGGTTCCCAATTCATTTTGCTTCCTCAATAGCCAGGGAATGAAATGATTTGTGTTTTGGTTCAAGGCCTGTGTTAATGTATCCTAACAAAACTTTCCTTTTAATGAAATGGCTTCATGTGTTATTAACTATAAGTGTCCTCACTGCTAGAACAAAATGCCTGAATTATTGTATGGCCATGCCGATAGACGGATATTATTGCAGCCAAATGCCAAGAATAAGATGAATAACTTGGCCCAAGAAAAACGACTTTTCAGTTCACTGGGTTATGTAAATGAGGCAGCCTAGTACAAGAGGAAATGCATTATTTACTAAGAATTGCCAGCACCATTCCACAGATCTTTGAAAGAAGGATGTAGCATAAAGGTCTGGATGTGGCAGAGACCCAGCCAGTCTGTGCTTTACCTGGAACCGTGGTACCGTAACTGTAGCTGAAGAGCAGCCCCTGTGTCTCGGAGAGAACTGAGGTGCACAGATTACGTTCACTCCATTTCAGCCCATGCTCTACTGTCTCTGGACATTTGACTCAATGCTTCTGAAACTGGCATGGCCGGAAGTGCCCAAAGACCAGCCTTCCCACCCCGCTGACACTGCCTGTGCTGTTTTATTAGTTTTTAGACATGATGAGAACTGGATGCTAGGTTGAGGGTGTGTACTCCTCCTTCAAGACCCTCCTCAATTTTCCCAAACCCCGCTGTCCCCCAGGCAGAACTGCGTGTTCCCTCCTCAGTCACCACCAGGTGGCCTGTTGTATACCAAGCTCCGGGCTGGGCCCTGGGGCTATCATGGAGAACAAAACCAGGCAGGATCCCAGCCTCCCAGGGCTCAGTCCTTGGGGACCTCAGCTGACCTGATGCCAATAATCACCCATAGAAACACAGGCTTTCAAAGGGAGATGAGGGCTGCGGGAGGGGGCCTGGTTCTGCCAGGGGCACCACGCCTGGGAGTGGGGTTGGATTAGCTGAGCTTTGATGTTTGATCTGCAACCAAAATATTGAGTTGGAGGTTGCGCGTGGTGGCTCACAC
This sequence comes from Homo sapiens, assembly GCF_000001405.40. Taxonomy (NCBI): domain Eukaryota; kingdom Metazoa; phylum Chordata; class Mammalia; order Primates; family Hominidae; genus Homo; species Homo sapiens. The sequence continues at coordinate 12,468,441 of NC_000016.10, read as the reverse complement.
CTGTAATCCCAGGCTAAGGCAGGCAGATCACTTGAGGTCAGGAGTTTGAGACCAGCCTGGACAACATGGTGAAACCCCGTCTCTACTAATAATACAAAAATTAGCGGGGCATGGTGGCGGGTGCCTATAATCCCAGGTACTCGGGAGGCTGAGACATGAGAACTGCCTGAAACTGGGAGGCAGAGGTTACAGTGAGCTGAGATCACACCACTGCACTCCAGCCTGGGAAACAGTAAAACTCCCCCTAAAAAAAAAAAAAAAAAAAAAAAAAAGGAGTCAGAGTAGACAGTCCTGGAAGGGGAACAGCTGTAGGGCAAAGGGCAGGGCAGAGGGAACATGTGGCAGGGGCTCGTGTAACAGGGGACAAGTGAAAGGAGGCTGGGGCAGCTGGGGCAGGGAGGACGAGGGATCCAAGACGATACTGGAGGTGACCAGGGCCCGGTCCGGGATGTTAGAGGATGATGAAGTGGGTGGAGCCACAGAGCCGGAGCTGGAGCTGTGGCTGTTCCCTCTGCCTGGAGTGCCCTGTCCCTGGACAGCCTCGATGCCTATCCCCTCACTCCGTGAGGTTTCTGGCTCAACTGTCAGTGCTGACCCCAGCACGACCACCATCTGGCATGCTAGGTAGACCTGTTTGTTGTCTTTCTCCTTCAACCAGAGGAACAGCTCCATGAGGACATGGATCTGGTCAATTTTATCCACAGGAAGTACAAAAGAAACACTCAGTATATATTCCCAGGACTAAACTTTTAAGAAGGACAGAATGAATGAATGAATGAGTGAATGGAATGAATGAATGAATGAACGAACGAACGAACTAACGAACGAACAAACGAACAAACGAATGAACGAACAGGTCAGAGTGGATGCAGGCAGTGTATTTGCCCGTCCATGAGAGCACTGCCAGGGAGTGTCTTACTGACAGGTCCTGCCCCTCTCAATCCCACAGAAGCAGGAAGTCACCCGTGTGTCTGTGCATGTGCCTGATGGATACATGTCAAATACAATAACCGGGGGCTGCTCAGAGCATGGGACTGTCATCTACAGCTCTTATGGATTTGGAAAAGGAAAAGGAGAGCATGGATCTTCGCCCTAGTGAGCGATAGCCATTTATATACAAATGGGTTTTCTTTCACTCACTTTTAGATTACTGGAGAGAGAACACAGATGTATGTCTCTAAGAGAAAAGGAAATATTTTTAGCACTACTGGCCATGGACCATGGTTGGCCCATTCACTTTTACTTGCCATAAGCCCTGATGGAGAAGAATTTGCAACTCTCCCTTACTGAGTCTGAGCCACTGGTCTAGCAAAGAGCTAGTTAGAAGTGAAACAAGGACTGAAGCCCAGGTCTGCCCGACTTCATGGCCCACATCTTCGCATCACTGGCCACTGCCTTTTCCTTCACACCTAGGAAAGCCAGGGGAAAAGGTGGGCACTCTTGTTCCCCTAACTCACTGAATTTCTGGTCCAGGTGCCCACCCTTTGGCTCTAAAACAAAGTCTATGAGTAGATATGCCATGGACTGGACCATTTCCACCAAAGGAAGATGCAAATGGCCTCTGTTAGAGGACTCATGGAACAGTCTCCACTTTATGTCACCCTGCTAAGTTAATGGACTTTCCAATCCCCTCGGAGCCCACCGAGGACCCAAGAGCCCAGGCAGCCAACTGCTATGGCCTCTTTCAGTCCCAACTGCTGCCAACACCAGCCCCTGCCAGAAAACTAAGGAGGACACAACTTAAGCATGAAACTATCCATGCTTTGGTTCATGGCTGTTGGGCTGGGGCTCCAGGTAGATCATGGTGAGGTAGGAAGCTGGCCTTTTCAAGGGAGTGGTGGACACAAGCAAGGCATGAAGGCCCCTTTCAAAGACGCTCTGAAGACAGGCCGCGACTCTGGAAGGGGGGGTGCCACATCTGACGGCAGGTTCATCTGGTAGTAGCCACTAAAAGTTGTCCCCCTGCTGTATCTCTCTCCCATGATCACTATGCTGCTGTATATAAAGTTTTATTAAAAGTTCTAGCCTGATGTTATTATAAATGGGACTTTTCTAAATTTGTGTTTTCAGATGGTTCATTGTTAGTGTATATAAACACACCAGATTCTGTATGCTGACTTTGTATCTGACAACTTTACTCAATTTACTTATTAGTTCTGGCAGTTGTGGGTTTTGTTTTGTTTTGGTGGCATCTTTAAGGTTTTCTATATGACATGATATCATCTGCAAATAGAGAGAATTTAACTTCTGCTTTTCCAATTTGGATGCCTTTTATTTCTTTTTCTTGTCTAATTGCTCTGAATGGGACTTCCAGTACTATATTGAACCAAAGCGGCAGGAGTACACATCGTTGTTTTGTTCTTCATCCTAGAGCAAACGCTTTCAGCTTTTCACTGTTGAGTATGATGTTAGCTGTAGGCTTGTCACATACAGTTTTCTTATGCTGAGGTACATCCTTCTATACCTCATTCATTGGGGGGTTATCATGAAAGGATGTTGAATTTTGTCAAATAAAATACTTAGGAATAAACTTAACTAAGGAAGTGAAATATCTATATGCTTAAAAGTATCAGACATTGATGAAATAAACTGAAAAAAAAAAACACAAACAAATGGAAGATATCCCAAGTTTATGGACTAGAAGAAATAATATTGTTAAAACGTCCATACTACATAATGTAATCTCTATCAAAATTCCAATGACATTTCACATAAATACAAGAACAACCTTAAAACTCATATGGAAACACAGAAGACCTTGAATAGCCAAAGCAATATTGAGAAAGAACAAAGCTGGAGGTATCACAGTCCCTGATTTCAAACTATACTACAAAACGACAGTAATCGTTTGCTGCTGTCATTAAAAACAGACACATAGACCATGAGAACAGAACAAAGCCCAGAAGTAAATCCACACATATATGGTCAACTAATCTGTGACACAGCCACCAAGAAAACACAATGGGGAAAAGACTGTCTTTTCAATAAATGGTGCTGGGCAAACGGAATATCTACCTTCAAAATAATGAAATTAGAGCCTTGTCTTACACCATATAAAAATTATCATGAAATAGATTAAAGACTTAAGTGTAAGATCTGTAAAACTCCTAGAAGAAGACATAGGGAATGAGCTTGTAGACACTAGTCTTGGCAGTAATTTTTTTGAATATGTTACCAAAGCACAGGCAATATAAGCAAAAACAAAATAAGTTGGACTACATCAAACTAAAGAGCTTCTGTGCAGCAAAGGAAACAACAAAATGAAAAGAACCTACAAAGTAGAAGATATTTGCAACCCCCATATCTGATAAGGGGTTAATATCCAAAATATATACAGAAATCCCAAATAATCTGATTTTAAAATGGGCAAAGGATGTAAACAGACATTTTTCCAAAGAAGACACACATAGCCTACAAGTAGATGAAAAGGTGCTCACATCACCACTCATCAGAGAAGTGTAAATCGGAACCACAATGAGATACCACTGCACACCTGTTAGGATGGCCCTTCTCCAAAAGATAAGAGACAAGTGTTGGTGAGGGTATCGAGAAAAGGAAACTCTTGTACGCTATTGGCAGGAAAGTAAATCATAGAAAATAGTATGAAGGCACCTCCAACAAATAAAAATAGCACTACCATACAGAATCCAGCAATCCTACTTCTGGATATATATCTAAAGAAAATAAGACAGGGTGTGATGGCTCAGGCCTATAATCCCAACTCTTTCGGAGGCTGAGGTGGGAGGATCCCTTGAGGCCAGGAGTTCAAGACCAACCTGGGCAACACAGTGAGACTGTCTCTACAAAAAAAGTTTAAAAATTAGCCAGGTGTGGTGGTACATGCCTGTAAGTCCCAGCTACTCAGGAGGCTAGGGTGGGAGGATCGCTTGAGCCCAGGAGGTGGAGGCTGCAGTGAGCTGTGATCGCATCACTGCACTCCAGCCTGGGTGTCAGAGCTGAGACCCTGTCTCAAATTAACTAACTGAAAAATAAAATGAAACTTTAAAATAAAAAAGGAAATTAAATTAGTACCCTCAAGAGCTATGTGGACCCGCATATTCACTGCAGTATTATTATTCACAAGATATGGAAACAAACTAGGTGTCTGTCAACAGATGAATGGATAAAGAAAATGTGGTGTGTCTATATATTTATATACACACACATAAACATGCCACATATGGAATATATGTGGTACACACACACACACACGCCATGGAATAATATTCAGCCATAAAAAAGAAGGGAATTCTGTCATTTGTGACAACATGGATAAACCTGGAGGGGATCGTATTACACCAAATAAGCCAGACACAGAAAGACAAATATTGCCTGACTTCACTTACAGGCGGACGTGAGTGAAGTTCTATGGATAAACTCATAGAAGCAGAGAACAGACGGGGGTTGCCAGGGGCTGGGGGGATGGATAGGGGAGATAGGTGATGTTGGTCAAAGGGTACATCTTATAACTTTCTCTTAGAAGATAAGTTCTGTGGATCTGATGACAGCATGGGGACTCTGGCTAACAATACCATGGTACTGTTTACTCAAAATGTGATGAGAAAGCCAACTTTAAGTGTCATCTCTCACACACACACACACACACACACACACACACACACACTCACTTCGGGAGGTGGTGGATATGTTAATCTGATTGTGGCAGTCATTACACGATGTATATGTACATCAAACCATCATGTTGTATGCCTTGAATATATACAATTTTTATTTGTCAATATTTAAAAATTTAAAAACAATTTTTAATAATAGAGGTTGCTATGGTTTGGTTCTGTATCCCCACCCAAATCTCATCTTGAATTGTAGCTCCCATAATTCCCACGTGTTGTGGGAGGGGCCCGGTGGGAGATAATTGAATCACAGGGGCAGGTCTTTCTCATGCTGTTCCCTTGTTAGTGAATAAGTCTCATGAGATCTGATGTCTGTATAAGGCAGAGTTTCTCTGCACAAGCTTTCTTTGCCTGCCGCCATCCATGTAAGATGTGAGTTGCTCCTCCTTGCCTTCAACCATGATTGTGAGGCCTCCTTAGCCATGTGGAACTGTGAGTCCAATTAAAGCTCTTTCTTTTGTAAACTGCCCAGTCTCGGGTATGTCTTTATCAGCAGCATGAAAACCGACTAATACAGAGGTGATTAGGCAATGAAAAACTTCTAGCCTCACCTCAGTTGTGTTGTGTGGATATACGGCACAGGCCCAGCTGTCACATCTGGGTTTGAGTAGCAATGCAGAGAAAGTGCCTCCGCCTCCACCCCAAGTCAGAGCGACAACGACCGCTGACGGGCAGCAGTGCCCAGGAGCCTGGCGTCCTAATAAGGGGCATCTTCAGCATGGGCAGCAGCAGCAGGGGCCACAGAGAAAATCACAAGGGGCGAGTCCCTGAGTCCACGTGAGGCAGCTCCTGGGAAACTCAGAAATAGCTGGAGTCACTGCTATGGGAGCTAATTTCCGGCAATCAAGCTGCTGGGGGATCCAGCGATCATAGCAGGGGGATGTAAAAGGAAGTATGACTTCATCCTGCAGTCACATGTTGCAGTCTGGATATTTGAGTCATGCACATGATCCCCCCTTAGCCATGTGCATTGCTAAACAGGCTGCTCCATTTGCGGCACTGATATTCTGCATAGAGCTTTTTATTTCCCTGTGAAGGTAGAGCAGGCTTCTGCTTCTCTCTTCATAGATACAAACACCTGCCAAGTCTTCCTGGGTTTGGGGGAGGCAGTGAGGAATAGAAGCTGGACCCTTGTTTATTCTGAAATCATGGAATTAAGACACTGCTTATGATATATTGATAAGTATGACTCCAGTCACGTGTGTGTGTGTGTGTGTATAATGAAATCCCCAGAAATAAGACTGGGATACAAATTAAAACATTAACAGTGGCTGCTATTTCTGAATGGTGATAGATTTTTATTTTGTTTATCTTCTTTCAAGATTTCCAGATTTCTTTCTTCTACTGAACAGACTTTGGTAACAGAAAAATTAAATGCTATTTTTCAAGTTAAGTGGGACTCCTGGTTGGCACTGTGAAGACAACACACCTCCAATCCTCCCTCTTCTCCCCAGATACAATTGGATGAAGACTAAACTGTAGAGGTACTTGAAAAGGCAAGTCACATCCCAAAATGAAAGGCACGTCTCTATCCTTCAGGAAAAAAGAGGCAATGTCCAAGAGTGAATGGCGGAAAGTGAAGCTGACCATGGAAGCAGGGTCCAGCCCAGGCTGCAGGGCCAGGACTGAGAGCTCGCTGGGGACTAGACCTATGGCAAGAGATCGAGCCCAGCACCCAGAGCGAAGCCACAGCTGAGGCCCAGGGTGTTCAGGGTGTTTGAGATATTGATCTCCACACTGGTCTGGATATTTTCTCATATATAAGAGTGTGTGTGTGTGTGTGTGTGTGTGTGTATACATATATATATATATATATATATATATATATATATTTTTTTTTTTTTTTTTTTTTTTTGAGACAGAGTCTCGCTCTGTCACCCAGGTTGGAGTGCAGTGGCGCAATCTCAGCTCACTGCAACCTCCGCCTCCCATGTTCAAGTGATTCTCCTGCCTCAGCCTCCACAGTAGCTGGGATTACAGGCACCTGCCACCATGCCCGGCTAATTTTGTATTTTTAGTAGAGACAGGGTTTCACCATGTTAGCCAAGCTGGTCTTGAACTTCCGACCTCAAGTGATCTGCTCGCCTTAGCCTCCCAAAGTGCTGGGATTACAGGTGTGAGCAATGGCACCTGGCCAGCCTGAATATTTTCTATCATAAAAAATTTAAAGGAAAACTCCTCTTGGAAGACGCGATGCTTCAAATTGTTTTCCAACCCGAAGCAGAATTGCTGTGACGGATGGGAGGTTACTTTTCACCCTGCAGCCTCAGCACCAGAGCCTCTGAAAAAGCTTCTGATAGAGGAGACGAGTTTTAAGAACAGAATAAGTTTCCATTTGTCTTGGAGAGAAGGAGTGAAGGGCTGCGGTTAGAACTTGCTCTGACTGCAAAATTCCATGCAGGCAGGAAGCCAAACGTGCCTCTACCCCTCGTCACAGTAATAGAAGCAGCAAAACCACCTCTGGAAATTCCTTCCAAGTCAGCCCAGCTGCACATTCACAGGTATCCAATCTCTTGAAGTTCACCCAATGTTTATTGAGCACCTACTAGGCACCAGACTTGTGGTGGCTCCAAGGAGAGATACTGAGCTGAGCCAATAGTTTGGAGCAGTGGTTATGGACACAATAAGACTAAGGCTGCCTGAGATAGAATCTTGATTTCATATTCTCATTAGTTGTATGACCTTCAGTAATTTGCTAAAGCTCTCCACACATGCTTCAATTTCTTAATGTAAAATGTGGGCAATTATCGCATCTAACTTCTAGGACTGTGTTTGAAAATCAACTACTTTGCTTAACATTTAAATATTTAACAAAAGTCGGCTATTATTAGCAAAAGCAATGTGCCTGTTCTAAAGAAGTTCACACATTTGGCTGGGTACGGTGGCTCACGCCTGTAATACCAGCACTTTGGAAGGCTGAGGTCAGGCGTTCGAGACCAGCCTGGCCAACATGGCGAAATTCTCTCTACTAAAAGTACAAAAATTAGCCGGGCATGGTGGCATGCACCCTGAGTAGTCCCAGCTACTCAGGAGGTTGAGGCTGGAGAATTGCTTGAACCCGGGAGGCGGAGGTTGCATTGAGCTGAGATCGCACCACTGCACTCCAGCCTAGGCAACAGAGCTAGACTCTGTCTCAAAAAAAAAAAAAAAAAAGAGTTCACACATTTGTGAGGCAGCCAGCCAGCCAAAAAGTTATAGTCCAGTGGAATAAGTGTTATGGCATAGGGATGCACAGGAGGCCAGAAGGAGAGGTGACATGGAATGCAGTTTCCTGGAGGAGGTGATGGCTGAGCAAAGCCTTGAAGGATGAAGAGGAGCTGGCCAGGGGGAGGAGGAGGTAACAAGAGGGAAGACCAAGCTAAAAATATAGAAGGAGTTTTCTACTTTGGTTACACTAAGACCTTTCCAAATAAAATGTTCTTGACAATAGGAAATCAGTGAGAATATAATGGACTTAAAAATAATCTTGGCATTTGAACAAGCAAGGCACTCAACTCTGAAAATACTAAAGAAATCACTATGCCCAGCAGACAGTTTTAGGGTTTCCCCCTCTGAAGGAAAGTTTCAGCCGCACTAGGCCTGTTCGGCTGCGTCTGGCTGCGAGCCGTGGTTGGGTGATGAAGTCTCATTCGGCAAAACAGCTCTTGTGAGAAGGAATGGGCTGGGGAGGTCGTGATTCAGCCAGGACGGCCACTAGCATGTCACCTTCTGATGTGATCCTGAATGGCCCTCTCCCTCCTGCCACAGCTAACTATGCTTTACAGAATCAGGAGCTTCTCTGGCTGCATGGAAGCTGAGCCATGCTTCTGTTCGGTATATTTCCAACCACACTGGGAGCCAGGCACTTCTCTTCTGGAGAGGAACTCTGTGAGCTAGGCCGATGGTGTCGCTGGTCCTTCTATCTTCTTAGTCACAGACTCTTTGATTACCAGGAAGAAAGGCCAGTTCACTATGGCTTTGGGGAAATGGGGTATTACTGGACGGGTACAAGGGTATCTCAAAAAAAGCAAGAGCTGGAAAGACTGCTGGGCCTCCTGAGGGGCAGGACCAGTGACCAGAAAGCCACCCAAGTCCAAGGTTAGCTGCGAGGCCATGCTGCTCTGCTCCTCTGCACACCCAAGGGATCCTGCTTCCTCCCTGCAAGTTTGCTTTCTCCACCTCCCGAGCTCAGGGTCTAGATATGACACTCCCTCCACCCAGCCCCACGTGCATGCAGACTGACCCAGGCTCTGAGGCATAATCCCGCATGGTCCAGGAGGAAGCCTCCGTGCGAACAGTGGTTGTCTTTCTCTGCCTGCCATCCACTTCCTCTTCTTCAGTTCTCCTTTAGGGACCCACTCTCCACCCAGCCTGTCTCTGGGCTCCCTATGGGTCCCGCTCCAGCTCTGACCCTAGAGTAGGCATGAGATCAAGGCTGGGAAAATCAAAGTCCTGCATGCACCACCGTGAGGGTGTTCCACCCCATCCAGGCCCATCAGGAGCCTGTATGACAGGGAGAGAGCTGAGGGGTTTCATAGCCACATTTCTTGGCCTGTGAGGATCTAAGCTCAGAGCTGCTGGTGAGCCCCACAGGAGAGGAACCTACTAGAGAACACAGTACAGAGACGCAGAACCTAAGGGGGAAAAGGCGGGTAGGAGGATAGGGGAGGAGGGGAAGTGGAGAGGGGGAGGAGGGGGGAGTGAAATGGGAGGAGGAGGGGAGAGTGAAACGGTGGGAGGAGGGGGGAGTGGACCGGGGAGGAGGAGGTGGGGGAAGAAGACAGCAGGAGGGGGCGGAGGAGGAGGAAGGGAGAAAGGGAGGAGGAAGGAGAATAGCTGAGACCCTAGATCAAGCTACAACAGAATGTTTTACTTATATAAGGCAAAAAATTGTTTTGTTTTAGCCAGCTCAAGGTAAGATTTTGCCACTTGTAGTGAAAAGACCTGAGACCAACAGAGAATCTGATTGGGCCAGTATCTGGGTAGTTTTCTCCTGTGTGAGTGCTCACTCTGGGCCAATGAGCTGTGGCCAGAGCCTGCCTCTGCGCATGTGTGCGGCGTGTGCAGGAAGAGAAGGGGAGTGGATTGCGACACACTCCAAAGGCTACCTCCTCCTTGGTGCTCACAGCATTGCCCTTTCTGGGTTTAACTGGCCTTCTAACTCATCTACACAATTCAAAGCTCCTTCCTGTATCCTTCGCCGTGACTGGGAATTGTTGGCTGGGACAACCTTGCAGCCAACACCAAGAGTATAAATACTTCCTTTCTCCCTCTAGAAACAGGACCAGTGATAGCTGTCTAACAACAAAATGTACATAATAAATACAAAACCCTCAAATAACTACTGATCTTTAATCAAAGAGCTGCAACTTCTCAGGCAGCCACAGAAGCAAGACCACTCAGTGTCTGCATAGGGCTCGCGTTTGATGCTTCTTCCTCCTCTGCAACCAGGCAAGGTTTCCGTCTGGTTTCTCCAGAAGACTTCTGCCTCCCTGTCCCAGTGTTATGGAGACCTGTCCCCCGCCGAAATGCATTTAAGAGGTTTTAAATAATGCCAAGCAGATGGTGGTCAGCTCGGGGCAGATATGCTACAAAATGCCAACTAAGGTCCCTCTGGGCTCACAGATGGAACGTGGCTGCCACTTCCCAATGGGCCTGAGGTTTCTCCACGTGCAGTGCAGAGCCCAAGGTGAAGCTGTTAAGGCTCTCCATCCATCTACAGATGCACAGTCTTTTTTGCACAGCTGCAAGACTGTGCTTATGGTCTTTAATCTTCCTCTTTGAAAAGCATCCAATTTAGGAATTTTTGCAGTAATCATTTCAGAGTAATGAAAAACAAACAGAACAATAGAACATTTCAGATGTGATAGGCACACTCTCTGCACCTCTCTCTAATGTATGTTTAAAGAGATGTATTAGTCATCACGAGGAACCCTCTTTTGTCTCCCCACGCAATCAAATTGCACCCGTATGCAGACCACAAACATCGTAATACAGTTAATTTACCCAATGTACTCATTTCTCTCTCATAACAATGCCCGTAAGATAGCATTCAATTTTGTTTTAAAATTTCCTCACATACAAGATGGGGCTGGGATGAACATTTTTCCATCTTGCAGGCTTGCAAAGCACCACGGCAGAGGCTAACGTGTGCCATTTTGCCTGGTCCAAGTCTTTTTATGATGGGTAAATGAGGTGTGAACAGGGCCTTGCCCAAAGACCCAGAGTGAGTGGTGGAGACGTGATTTGAACCTTTGTCTTTTCCCCCACCTAATCTGTGTTCTTCCTCCAGACCACCCTGTCCTGAAGCAGTAGAGAAAGAGCTCAGGCTCTAGACAAGGCATTGAGGTATAGTGTGGGCCATTCTTGAGACCTGCCGTATCTCTGCAAAACACAGACAGATGCCTCCCAATCACTAAGAGTGGGGAGGCCCCACTCCAGAGAACAGAGGTTAAAGTGCAGGCTGTGGGAACTGCTGCCTCAATTAACCCCCGACTCCACCACCTGCCAGCTGGACAACCCTGGCCAACCTACCTTACCTTTCTGAGCATCAGTTTTAGCATCTATAGAGCGGGGATAGTATTAGCACCCACCTAAGAGGGTTGTGACATAACACATGCATAAAGCATGACCGGTGTTTATTGTACTGTTATTAGCAATTCTGGAAAGGGGTTGAACTCTCCTTAAATGCTACATGAACACACAATGTGACTTGACCTGCCCTGAATGTATTGCTACTTAGTAAGGAGAAGAAAAGGGTAAAGGGGTCTGGTCTGACATCACAGCTTACTGCCCACTAGAAGAGGGTGGCATTATGGCAAAGGAAGCCTCGAGTATCACAATCAACTCTGTCAATGCAACTCAAACACTGCTTTGGTCCTGAGATGCACAGTGTTCTCTCTGGAGGCCATCGGCAGACAAGATGCTAATGCCCCGGGCCTTCTGGGAGTTCAGAGGGTGCTCCTGAGCAGCTCCCATCAACCTAGGTACGTCTCTGTGAAGGCCAGCAGCTCAGAACCTTTCCACCTTTGGAAAAGCTCACAATCCCAATGCATCCTCTCCCTGAAAGGAGGCAATTTCACACATCCCCCCAGGCACACATGCACATACTCCACCAGATACATATACATACACATGCTACCGGGTGCACACACTATCAAGTACTCACACACGTATCCCTTCAGGCACACATGCACACACCCCATCAGATGCTCATCCATGCACACACTACCAGGTGCACACACTACCAAGTACTCACACACTGCCCCACCAGGTATACATCACTTTCGCCAGATGCACATACACACACACACACACACACACACGTGCACACATGCCACCCAGTATACACCCTTACCCCACCCCAAAACTATCCTCTACCATCATTCTCTCTCTGCTTCTTCACAGCATTTGGTATAATGAGCAATTATCTTGCCTAGTTTTTTCCAGTATCGTGCTGTATTTATTGATGCCATAGGTTGACACTGTCTGTTTACAAGATGAATCATTTGAAATGGCAGGCAATCGCAGCTGCTGACCTCAATCTGTGGTACATATCAAGACTTTATTTATTGATGGCTTGCTGTCCTCTCTCCACTGAACGTAAGCTCTGCACATTTTAAGATTTTATTCTTTTAATTGACAAATACTAATTATACATATTCTTGGGAGTACATGACCAGAGTCTTATTCACTATGCCCTAGTACCCAGACCAGTGCCTGGAAATAATGGATATTCAATACTATGAATGAATGAATGAACAAACAAATGAACAGATGAATAAATGAACATCACCTGAACATTTACTTGCAATTGTACCTTTACAAGTCTTCATCTTTACTATGCAATGAATTCCTTGAGGGCAAGAACCAAGATGGAAACCCCTAGGAGCCCTCAGTTCCTGGAGATGCCCAACGGGTGCTAGATGGGTGGGTAGGTAGATGGATGGATAAATGGAAGGAAGAGAAGGAAACAAGAAGGCAAGCAGGAAAGAAGGAAGGAGGGAGGGCTTACCCTCCATACCGGGCCACCTACATCTCATCTATCCTTGCTTATAAGCATCTGGCAGTGAGCAAAGGATGGACGCTTCTGACAGTCAAGACCAAGGTCTGCATATGCAAGTCTCTGTGTGTGGCACTGTGACACCTCCTCCAGCCTTCTGCACAAATAAAGACTTTGCAAAGCCTACTGGATGAAGTTACCGACACTCATAGCAGCGAAAACTGGGAAGTCAGAAAAGTCTCACCTAAGACAGAGGAAGAAACAGGTAGGTCCCGGGATCCACAACTCAGGGAGGGAAGAGACAAGGAACACTGGCTAATGTGGGGAGAAAGAGGACTTCCTTGGCCAGGGCTCTGGGAGCCAGAGTGGCAGCAGGTGGCCACCGCCACCTAGAGGTCAGTTACAGCCACGGCGGGTGCTGGCCAAGCCGGTATGCAGGGCTTGCCTGGTGTGTGGCTGACCAGGAATGCTGGAGGTTCTCAAAAAAAAAGTCCTTGATGGGGTAGACCCAGGGTCTGGAAGTCCCAGCCAAAAGGGCCACGAGGTGTGGGGGCTTTAGAAACCCCAGGCGTAGACCAAGCTCTAACTTGCCACCCAAATCAGACTCGGTGGGGTTCTACCAAGGAGAAGGGCGTCTTGGAGCTGGCTAACAGACTCAGGTCGTCTAGAAGGAGGAGGAAACCTTTGTCAGGAGGGACAAAACCAGCTATCTTGCCTCCTACTCCTTTTCCACACCACAGCCAGAGCAATGGTTCCCAAGTGTAAATTAAAGTCCTCCAACGGGCCAGGCGTGATGGCTCATGCCTGTAATCTCAGCACTTTGGGAGGCCGAGGCGGGTGGATCACTTGAGGTCAGGAGTTCGAGACCACTTTGGCCAAAATGGTGAAACCCCATCTCTGCTAAAAACACGAAATAATTAGCCAGGCATGGTGGTGCATGCCTATAGTCCCAGTTACTCGGGAGGCTGAGGCAGAAGTGCCTGAACCTGGGAGGCTGAGGCAGAAGTGCCTGAACCTGGGAGGCAGAGGTTGCAGTGAGCCGAGATCACGCCACTGCACTCCAGCCTGGGTGACAGGGTGAGACTCCATCTCAAAAAATAAAAATAAAAAATAAAAATAAATAAATAAATTCATTCCTCCAATGATGCGCCACTGCACTCAAGCTCAAGTCTAAATTCCCAGACGTGGCTTGCAGGGCCCTGCCTGATCTGTTCTTCCTCACCTCTCTCTTCGGGTTATTTTCGATGTTCGCTCTTCAACTGAGCAGCAAGCCACATTCGCCAGCAGCACCTGTGGCCCATGGAAACTCATAACTAGCTGTTGACTATAAGTCCCTAAACGCCATGTGCTATGTCACCTCTAGAGTTCTGGGCAGCAGTTCTCTCAGCCTCTACTCAAAGAGCTCTTTGCATCAGGTAGGAATCGCATTTGGTTCCAAAATAGCTGGGGTCTAATCACTTGGGGCTTCTTTTCTGATGGACAAGCAGTCTGCAGGGAGGCAGTCCAGAATTGGGATGGCTGCTCTCCTTAGTCATCAGGGACTGAGGCCGTCCATCTTTCTGCTCTGCGATCTTAGCTGCAGAGTTGCCATCCCCCAGGTTACCACATGGCCCAAGGCGGCTGCTGGAGTTCCACCTATCATATCTCAATTCTAGGCAACAAGAAGCAGAAAGGCAAGGCATGTACCACGCAGATGAGGTATAAGCAGCCTTTCTGGGAAGCCACAACCAATACATCTACCTATATCTTACTGGCCAGATCTTAGTTACATGGCCATATGTAGCTGCAAGGGAAGCTGAGAAATTTACTATTTTCTATGTGGGCATAATGCCCAGGGCTCTGTTACTAAGAGATAAGGAAAAAAACAACAACAAAAAAAACCCATGGCTATTTTCAGCAAGCAACTAGCAGTGTCTGCCACACTCCTATACATCCAATTACCACATCTTGATGGAAGGCCAGGGGACAAAAAAAATTCCAAAGATACCTTCCCTGCCATCTAAATGCCTACAGTCTTATTGAGGACTCAAACAAATACAGCTGAAAAGATAAATGACAATATCAAGCAGAATTAAATGAACCACAAGTCCCACTGCAGTCTTTGAAGGGTAACTTTTATGCAAAAAGCAAGAAAAGGAACAATTACTGAGGGCCAGCGAGGTGGCTCATGCCTCTAATCCCAGCAATTTGGGAGGCTGAGGCACAAGGACTGCTTGAGACCAGGAGTTCAAGACCAGCCTGGGCAACACAGTGAGACCCCATTTCTTAAAAAAAAAAAAAATTACTGAGCCCTTACTCCAGCTGGACTCCATGACAGCCACTTTGTTTGTTTTTACTTCTCTTCGTTTTCACAACAACCCTGCAAAGTAGGCATTAGGCATCTGCATTTTGTTTAAGAGGAAATAAATTGGGGTTATATGATGTGCCCAGGGTCACACCGCCAGTAAGGATTTCCAGCAAGGATGGCAAACCTGCCAAGTCTAGAGCTACCTGCCTACTCTAGTGTACAGTGGTGGTTGCCTGGGGAAGATGGTGGTCATGTGGGGGATGATTCTGAGAATGCATCTGAGTTCGATGAGAAAGTCTGTGATTGATTGGCCACGTCTGCCATGGACAGGTGAATAGGGCCAGGTGGCATGAGAGCCATATATGTAACATTCCTGTTTCAGAGGCTTACAGCAGTTGGTTCGTCTGTGGAAATGCCACACTGGCACTCTGCTGTCTATACGCCTGGGAGAATGAAGGGTGGGAGGGGAGGCACATGCTGCCACCAAGTGAGACAGCCCCAGGTCTTACTGCTGGGGATCCTTTTTGCATCTAGGGCCCCGTGCCTTGAGAAAGTGGGTGCCTAGCAACTAGCCAAGACGAAGTCCACCTCCAAGCTCTAAATTATTCCTCTTACTAACAAACGGCCTCAGAAATAACAAAAGAAATGACAGCTGCAGTCAGAACAAGGAGCAATTTTATTTTAAAACCCAACTTGAACAGGATAGATAGACCTGTGATCTCATGTCGGAGCAGAGGTGACAGTTCCTGTCCCACAGCACCATGCCTGCCGACACCTTCACCACCCGGCTCCTCTCCTCACACCCATGGGCCCATGTGACCTCACATTTGGAGGGGTCTGGCAGTCACAGATGCAAGCTACCTCTTCCCGACACCAGTCCCCAGGGCTGGTGACCCTCCCTCACATCCACTGAAGAAGGAGAGAAAATGATTGGAGCAACTTCCAGACTCAGCTCAGATGCCCTCCCCATCCACAAAGCCATCCTTCACCCCCTCACCCCATCCTGCCTCCAGGCTGTATGAGGCAACTCTCCTCTGAACTCCTCTGGTCTCTACGGAGCGGTGTACTCAGCGGTGGGCATCTGCCTCTGATCTCTGACTTTCTGCATTTAGCACAGTCCCTGGCACAGAGCACTTACCATTTGACGGCTACCCGCTATTGAGAACACAGTCTTGTATGGGAGCTGTCCTGTGCATTGTGAGACATTCCACTGCATCCCTAGCCTGCACCCATGAGATGCCAGTAGCAGCCACCCCAGTTGTGACAATAAAAAATGCTTTCAGGCATTGCCAAATGTCCCCGTAGGGACAAAACAAAACCACCCCTGGCCAAGAATCACTGAAGGGCATTATCTCAGAGTTGCCCAGGGCCACTCAGCTAGAACTTGCACTGAGCTCCCTACAGCTGTTCTACCTCATTTAAGCCTCATGATAATCCCTCAGGGTGGGTCCAGCACCCTATCCCACAGATGACAGGTCTGAGCTTCAGTGGGGCTCAATAACTGTCCAAAGCTAAACAGCTGAGCATGGGCCCTTTCTAGAGCTGAATCCAGAAGAACCATATGGCTCAAGCTGCTTATCCAGGCCAAAGACATCACTCCCTTATTTTAAGAAAGAGAGAACTGGAGGTATCCGGTAAGGCCAGTTTGGTTAGAAACCATCTGTTTGTTTATTTATTTTTAGATGAAGTCTTGCTCTGTCACCCAGGCTAGAATGCAGTGGCGCGATCTGGGCTCACTGCAACTTCTGCCTTCCAGGTTCAAGCGATTCTGCTGCCTCAGCCTCCCTAGTAGCTGGGACTACAGGTGTGCATCACCATGCCCGGCTAATTTTTTGTATTTTTAGTAGAGATGGGGATTTCACCCCATTAGCCAGGATGGTCTTGATCTCCTGACCTCATGGTCCACCCGCCTCAGCCTCCCAAAGTGCTGGGATTACAGGCGTGAGCCACCGCACCCGGCCCCATCCGTTTCTTGAATGCAACCAGTGCATGGCAGCCTTTCCTATTTCTGTTAATGCTAAAAGGCTGCTGCATGGAATCTCTTTGGTTGGTAAATAGAACAGAGCAGGTCACAGGTCATCCCACACATTGGGCAGCCACCGGATCATTAAATGGTTGGGGACAAGAGGAGGCTCCTACTCGGCAATCAGCCTCTAATACTCCCAGCTCCATGGATTGCTTTCTCTCCCCTACCAAGAATACTGCCATCCAAGGAGACGAAACATAAACTTGGTGGAGCTGGTGGGGAAGAAGCTAATTTTCTATTACAGAGCATCTCCATTTCGCACAGAGCCCTGAAATTGTGTTTATGAACCTAATGTGTACTTTAGAGGAATGTGGTTGGCAGTAATGAGCTCATAACTCTCAGGAGTTTGGAGGCCAGCGAGTAGCAGATTGTTGAATCAATAAAAATAGCAGTAAGTACCTCTGCGGCTCTTCTGTTCAAGGACAAAAGTGGCTACTTTGGGGGCAGGAGACGTACTTTCTCCCTTGCTTGTAGAAGGTGCATATTCTGTGCAGAGCCATGGTCAGAAGCCTTGTTATTCCCTAGTACTGGGTCCCTGACTCAACTGCTTGGTGGAGCTCATCTCGGTTTGCTTACTGGGCAAGCAGGGGGATGCTGTATCAAGTCCAGGCACTTCTACCTCCTCATGTGTTCTGGGTTTTCTCCACTCCTGCCCTTGGTCCTTCATCAGCTGTACTTGCCAGGACCTCCAAATGGTCCCTGATCGACCCTAGGTTCCCCAGTGCCACCACAATGATTGGCCTAAAGCTCCAATCATACCATGTCACTCCTCCACTTAAATTCTCTGGGTCAATGCCCAAGCTCTTCAGCAAGCAGACAAAGCCCATCTGACTAGCTCATCCTTTGGGCCACCTGGTTCATATTGCACCCTCTTTGGTAACCGTGGCCTGACCACTCTCCGGGAAGCCTCCGTCTTCCCTTCTCTCACACCGTGTGTGCTGGACAGAGCCTATGATTCGGGCCTCAGCCAATCAGAGCACCTCATTCCCTTGGCCACAGCAAGCGGTTCAGGAATGGGCACATCATTGCCTATGATTGGGTGCAGCTTTTCCAATTAATGGGATAGAGAGCTGTACCCTTTTCTCACTGACTTGAAGTCAAGTTGATCCCATTTGCAGCTTCCACAGTTGACTCCTGCCCATGAGAAGAAAGGCTGTTTGAGAATGTGCCCAAACAAAAGCTAGAACAGCCCCACCACTCAAGAGCCCTCTCTTCCCTGCACCCTGCCCCTCTCAACACACAACTGAGTGTCTCCATATATCATGGGAATTGTATTAGTCTGTTCTCACTGCTAATAAGGACATACTGAGACTGGGTAATTTATAAAGAAAAACAGGTTTAATGGACTCACAGTTCTACATGGCTGGGGAGGCCTCAGAATCATGGCAGAAGACAAAGGAAGAGCAAAGCCACCTCTTACATGGTGGCAGGCAAGAGAGAACAAGAATAAGCAAAAGGGGTTTTCCCTTATAAAACCATCAGCTCTCCTGAGAATTACTCACCATCATAACAACAGTATGGGGGAACCGCCCCCCATGATTCAGTTGTCTCCCACCGGGTCCCTCCCACAACACGTGGGGAATTATGGAAGCTACAACTCAAGATGAGATATGGGTGGGGACACAGCCAAATCATATCAGAAATCATGTAAAAACATTGTCAAATGTACAGCTGTTGTCTGCCCCTGTCACCACCATCTGTGACCAAAGACAGGGATTTCAGCAATGGGATTTAGGAAAGTTCACTGGAGTTGCAAGGAAGAGAAGGGATAGTGGTCAGCAGGAAACCCACAGGCTCTGAAGTGAGACAGGCCTGGATGCAACCTGCGTAACCTCAGACAAATAGCTTCTGAAGTGATTGTGACTTCTAAATGCAGAAAACAGAGCAGGGAGATGCACAGCTGGAGCACGGGAGGTGCTGCATTTGAGCCCCTGATCAACCCGTGCCTGCAGCCAGGTTACCCCAAGACTACTGACTTACAGAGAGTAACAAATTCCCTTTTTCTGTAAGCCAGTTTGGTTTGGGTTTTCTGTCACTTGTGAGTTAAGATGCCAAATACAAACATCATTACCTGCTTTGCACTGCATAATCCACCTAAACCAGCTCACTCCAAGCTCACACATATGCCATGATCCCTGTCCTTGCCGTGCCTATTCTCAAGCCTGTTCCCTCTGCTTGTCCCCACCGTGCCTTCTTTGCCTGGCTAAGTTCTACTTATCTTGGAGGGCTTGCCTCCAGCATCTTCACCCTGCAACATCCTTCCCTGGTCTCTTCTCCTCTCCTCAATTCTACCCAACTTCTGTGTTCCTCCAATGCCCTAGACCAAGGTCTATCACTATTCCTCCTCCCTATCCCCTGCTGCTGTGCCTGCCTTCCCTAACCACCCCAACTAGACTGAGCACCACCTGAGGGTAAGGAGCTATGTCTCATCTCTCTATCCCCAGTTTTGGGCACCATATCCAGCAGAAATTAGGTTGCGTAGTACATGTACGTTGAAACTAAACTGAGTCTTCTTCCTCAATGCAAACCTGCCCTGCAGCCAGCAACTCTTCCCCTAGCTTGGAGAGATAATCACTGGGAGTCAACCTGGTACCTATGGGTAGAGCCTAGTGAATGCGAAAACCAAAGCAAATCACTACCGTCCAAAAGGCAAAGAAAGATGCTTAGTTAGAAGAAAATGGGTAGAGCTGGATGCAAGGCAGTTTGATGCACCTGATCAGGACAGCTTGTTGTCTTGGAGAAAGACTGACAGACATGACTATGAGCCAGACACTTCAGGGAAAGTCTCAGTTCTGTCTCTGAGCACTGGGCAGCCACTCCCATAATTAGCAGGGTGGAATGCGATAAAGTCAGG
The DNA here is from genome assembly GCF_000001405.40 of Homo sapiens. NCBI lineage: Eukaryota > Metazoa > Chordata > Mammalia > Primates > Hominidae > Homo > Homo sapiens. Next base: position 12,448,662 of record NC_000016.10, on the reverse strand, counting down.
CTTTTCCAGCCAACAATGAGGGCAAGAGGATTTTCTGGAAAAAAAAGAAGTCATCTGCTCTTTTCTCATCAACTTCTCAGAACCTTTAGTATGCCACCAGATGTTGGGCTGTACATAAGCAGGAGGTGTCACCATGAAAAATAACTGCAGTCAAACAGGATCACTGACTTGGTGGCCTAAAAAAAAAAAAAGAGTTCCCAATTGCCTTGAACAATTTAATAATCTGCACTTTATGAAAAACATGTTCACCAGCAATTGAAGATATGGCAATGTATCATGGGAATCAGGTAAAAACGCTGTCCAATACTCAGCTGGTGTCTGTCACCATCACCACCATCCTTGACCAAAGACAGGGATCTGAGGAAGGGGATTCAGGGAAGTTCACTGGGGTTGCAAGGAGGACATGGAAAGGTGGTCAGCTGGAAACTCACAGGCTTTGAAGTGAGACAGACCCGGACGCAAGCCTTGGTTTTGTCACTTACAAGCTATGTGTCCTTGGTCACCTTGCTTAACCCCTCTGAACTTCAATGCTCATCCATAAATGGGGAGATAATAACGTCATTTTTGCTGTTGCCCTGGTGGGGCCACTGCGAGACACAGGCCTCATACATCCACAATCAGCACAATCCCGGGAACGCCACCATCATCATCATTCCCAAGCCCCAATCCTAGGCCTTCCCGGTGCTAGATGTGAATGATCTCAGCTACCATCAGCTGATTTGGGGGAGGTTTTTATCCCATTGGATAAAAGCCCTTCCCTAGTGTCTTCCTGACAACCGTGCCAGCAATGGAGACACTCAGATGTGTGTTGAGAGGGGCAGGGTACAGGGAAGAGAGGGCTCTCTGAGTGGTGGGGCTGTTCCCGCTTTTGTGGGACACATGAAGCACTCTCGCCAAGTGACAAACACAATCTCAGGAGAGAGCTTTGAAAAATAACACACGAGCTGGCAATCTTATCTGTTAACCTGCATCTCAATTCCAGCCAGGGAATTTTCAAAAGGCTCCAATTAGTCCCCTCAGCCAACTGGTTTCCACCATTCGGGTCTCACAGCAAGGGAATATTGATTTTGCTGTAAGACCTAGGAGAACAGGCTGCTGGTTTACACTGTCTTCTTCCCATTTATGAAATCTCGGCTCTGTCCGGGTGGTTTCTCTGGACTTTTGTTATTACAGATTAAAAATGAGGTTTAGAAAGGTGAAAATTGATCCAGAAAGTACTGATTGAGAATCTTTGGGGGTATCCAGGATTAGGCTGGACACCAGGATAGTTTTTAGTTTTGATTTTTAGAATTCCGCTAACAACAAAAATCCATCATGTATACTTTTGTCCATCTGCAGAAAAAGGTAAGACAGAAAGGTGCCCAAAGCTCATGCTAAGCCGATGGGACTTCTTCAATTGCCTGGATGCTTTCAGAATCAAAGTTTGTATTTAAGAAATGGTGCTGGTCTGTAGCATTTATTTTACTTTTTTTTTTTTTTTTTTTTTTTTTTTTTTTTGAGACAGAGTCTCCCTCTGTCGCCAGGCTGGAGTGCAGTGGCACCATCTCGGCTCACTGCAACCTCCACCTCCCAACTTCAAGTGATTCTGCTGCCTCAGCCTCCCAAGTAGCTGGGACTACAGATGCGTGCCACCACACCCTGCTAATTTTTTTTATATTATAGTAGAGACGGGGTCTCACCATGTTGGTCAGGCTGGTCTTGAACCCCTGACCTCAAATGATCCGCCCACCTTGACCTCCCAAAGTTCTGGGATTACCATGTGAGTCACCACACCTGGCTCCTATTTTACATATGTCAATCCTGCCCTTAGAAAATAAAGAACATGAGGCAGCTCGTTGGGATCCAGTTAATAAAACAGGTGAATAACGGCCATTTCATATTGAGAGCTTAGTACATACTGGAGCCGATTCTAAGTGTTTCCTATAGGTTAAATCATTTAATCCTCATCCATGTTAAGTGTTGAGTATACCTAACAAGGCACAGAGGAAAGTCAACAGGAGCTCCACTGCCATGAAACTCTGCAAGGAATCCCCTCCACAGGGCCAACTCTTTCCAACTAAAACATCGATACTGGCTCCTATTCTGAGCAATGTTCTTGATAAGCTCCTCTGACTCCTCTCTATTCATTGAGCACACAGTGGGTCCCTCTTGGAGTGCTAGATCAATCCTGAATTACCCACTCAATTAGAGGCAGTTACTACATTAAATATCCCACCAGATGATAAAGAACAATTAATGACTCTGCTGAGCTTTTAAGATTCTAGGCAGAGACTCTGAAAGGAGTTTCCTTGTCTCAAAAACAAATGGGGCCAGGCACAGTGGCTCACGCCTGTAATCCCAGCACTTTGGGAGGCCAAGGCGGGTGGATCACTTGAGGTCAGGAGTTCGAGACCAGCCTGGCCAACATGGTGAAACCCCGTCTCTACTAAAAATACAAAAATTAGCCGGGCATGGTGGTGCACGACTCTAGTCCCAGCTACTCAGGAGGCAGAAGCTGAACAACTGCTTGAGCCCAAGAGGTGGAGGCTGCAGTGAGCCGAGATTGCACCGCTGCACTCCAGGCTGGGCAACACAGCAAGGCTCTGTCTCAAAAAAAAAAAAAAAAAAAAAAAAAAGAATGAGAAGCTACTGTTTCAACTGCACGTCCAGGAGCTGCATGGAAGCAGGTGTGCAGCGCGAAAGCGTGGACTCGGGAGCTCCACCTCTTGGGTTTGAATGCACTCCCTTTTCACACACATTTACTAGCTTAGTGTCCTTGGGGAAGTGGCTTAGCCTCTCAGGTGTTCGATTTCCTCATCTGTAGAATGGGGGCAGCAGCAGGAGTTTCTTCCTAGCGTTGTCCCGAGGCTTGAATTGGTTAATATCTGTAAAGCACTCAATCCAGGGCCTGGCATACAGTAGACGCCATGCTGAGTGTCAGCCATTTTTACTGGTGACACCTACTTGTGAGGTTGGAGAGGAAGCTGATGGGCTGCAGAAAGAGAAGTTCTGAACCCACTGTACACTGAGGCTATTTTTTTGTAAGTGAAAAAGCTTAGCTTAGGTGGACCTGGGAAGAACTCCATCTTGATTTACTATTTCATGTTTATTTCATTCTTTCATTCATTCAGCCAGCCAGTCATCTATCACTTCATAGGTATTGAGCACCTACTATGTGCCTGTGTTGTGAGCAAGGTGGGCACCTAGGATGAGAGAGCCCTACCCTCAGGGAGCCCCAGCCTCCTGGGGAGATGCACACAGGAGAGTTGCTCAGTGTACAGAATGAACAGCGTAGAATGGAGGACGGCTCAGCATACAGGAGCCCTGAAGCGGGGGCATCTCGATAAGGCCTCAGCAAACGTCTTCTGCAGCCAGCCAGATGATAAATGTTTTAGGCTTTGTGGATAATACGGGCTCTGTCCTAAAGACTCACCTTTGTCTTTGTTGTATAAAAGCAGCCACAGACATTAAATTAATGAATGGACATGGCTGCACTACAATAAAACTTTATTCAAAAACAAAAAAAAACTGTCAGCCAGGCACAGTGGCTCACTTCTATAATCCCAGCACTTTGAGAGGCCGAGGTGGGTAGATCACTTCAGGTCAGGAGTTCAAGATCAGCCTGGCCAACATGGTGAAACCCCATCTCTACTAAAAATACCAAAATTAGCTGGGCGTGGTGGCAGATGTCTATAGTCCAGCTACTTGGGAGGCTGACGCAGGAGAACCCCTTGAACTCAGGAGGCAGGGGTTGCAGTGAGCTGAGGTCGTGCCACTGCACTCCAGCCTGGATGACTGAGACTCTGTCAGAGTGAGACTCTGTCTCAAAAAAAAAAAAAAACAAAAAAAAACACTGTCGAGGGGACAATGTGGCCCACAAGCCACAGTTTGCTCACCCCTGATCTAGAGGAAGGGGTTCTGGAGATGTGATGAATATGACCTGTAAATGGGGTGGGGCCTACAAGGAAGAGACAGAGGGAAGGACCTGTAGCCTGGGGAGTGAGGCTTGGAGGCCATGGAGAAAAACGCTCTCCCTTGTTCAAAAAGTCCAGGAAAATGACTCAGGTACCTGTGCCAGAAACAGGCCACAAATGCTTACTCTGGTATGGAACAAGAATTCCCCCTACACCCACCTAATCCAGCTCAGGCAAAGAAGAAAAGTCAACATCTACTATGTACCAGGATCTGGGGCCAGTACTTGAGTATCTGTGTCTATTCCTATGCTGCAGATGAGGCTGCAGGCTCAGGGAACCACCATGGGCTGGAAGCAGCCACCTGCATCTCCCTCAGCATCCAGTGCAATAAGGGATGCAGTGGGAAGAAACAGCAGCACAGCAGCAAATAGCTTTGACTGAGTGCTTACTACATGCTAGGTGCTATACTGAGTGCTTACTACATGCTAGGTGCTATACTGAGTGCTTACTACGTGCTCGGTGCTATATTGAGTGCTTACCACATGCTAGGGGCTATACTGAGTGCTTACTATGTCCTAGGTGCTATATTGAGTGCTTATTACATGCTAGGTGCTATACTGAGTGCTTACTACGTGCTAGGTGCTATACTGAGTGCTTACTACGTGCTAGGTGCTATACTGAGTGCTTAGTATGTGCTAGGTCTTATACTGAGTGCTTACTACGTGCTAGGTGCTATACTGAGTGCTTACTACGTGCTAGGTGCTATACTGAGTGTTTACTACATGCTAGGTGCTATACTGAGTGCTTATTACGTGCTAGATGCTATACTGAGTGCTTATTACATGCTAGGTGCTATGCAAGTTTCGAATGCTCACATTCCCCAGTGAAGAAGGTACTCACTCATCCCATACCCTTTTTGCAAGTGAAGAAACTGAGGCTCAGACAGACTAACTTACTAGACCAAAGTCACACATGACAGCCATCCGGCAGAGTTTGGACTGGCTTTAAAAGTCGTGCTTGGCCGGGTGCGGTGGCTCATGCCTGGAATTCCAGCACTTTGGGAGGCCAAGGCAGGTAGATTATCTGAGGTCGGGAGTTTGAGACCAGCCTGGTCAACATAGTGAAAACCTGTCTCTAATGAAAACACAAAAGTTAGCCAGTCATGGCGGTCCATGTCTGTAGTTCCAGCTAATTGGGAGGCTGAGGCAGGAGAATCGCTTGAAGGGGAGGCAGAGATTGTAGTGAACCAAGATAGCACCACTGCACTCCTGCCTGGGCGACAGAGCAAGACCCTATCTCAAAAAAAAAGCCATGCTCCTCTTAGAAAGATTTAGAGCTGATGTTTTGGGGTGCAGTGAGGATTGTGTGTTTTTCCAGAAGAAAAGGTAAAACATGTGGCTGGCATCCATTGTAGTTTGATTTATCAGAGTATCTGCGCAAAGACTCTCTCTGCTGCCTTGGCCAGGGGTTGGTAGAGTAGTCAGGGAGGAACAGCGTGGGCCCCTCTAGTAGCACACAGGTGACCCTGCTCTGATGTCTCAGTGCCGCAATGCCATGTCCCCAGCAGGATCTACTGAGCAGCTTCCATAGGAAGGAGCATGACAGAGAAAGCCCACGCAGGCCCTAGGCCCGGCAGGATTTAGGCAGATGCTCCATCTTCCTCTGACACACTGTTCCCTCCAGACGCACTCCTCTCAAACCAGGCTGGACGCCTGGCCTGCTGGCTGTTTTCATACGGCCCACAGACTAAGAATGATTTTCACATTTTTAAATAGCTGGAAAAAAATCAAAAGAAAAGTAGTATTCTTTAGCATGGGCAAAGTATATGAAATTCAAAGTTCAGTGTCAAACCAGAAAAAAAAGTTTTTTTTGAACACAGCCAGGTATGGTGGCTGACACCTAAAATCCCAGGACTTGTGAGGCTGAGATGGGAGGACGGCTTGAGCCCAGGAGTTGGAGACCAGCCTGGGCAACATAGTGAGACCTTGTCTCTGCAAATAATAAAGAAAAAATTAGCCAGGTGTGGTGTCAAGTGCCTATAGTCCCAGCTACTCGAGAGGTTGAGGTGGGAGGATCACTTGAGTCCAGGTGGTAGCAGCTACACTGAGCCATGATTGTGCCACTGCGCTCCAGCCTGGGTCTGGGTGACAGCCTGAGACCCTATATCAAAAAAAAAAAAACAAAAAAACACACAGTCACATCCATTCATTACATATAGCCTATGGCTGCCTTGACTCTGTAAGAACAGAGTTGCATCTGAGATGGAGGCTGCACGGCCTACAAAGACATAAAATATTTACTATCTGGCCCTTTACAACAAACACTTGTAATCTCTTGCCCTAAAGATTGCACAAAAGATAAAAGGAGAGAAGGGAAGAAGAGAGAAAAGAAGAAACAGGGTTAGGAGAGTGAATAGACACTTCCTGATTCCAAGACGTCCTAATAAGCCAGAGTAATCAAGACTGAGTGACACTGTCAGAAGGACAGGCATAGAGATGCAAGGGACAGAGTCAAGAGTCCAGAAACAAACCCATTCATCTATAGTCAACTTGTTTTTGACAAGAGTGCCAAGATCATTCAGTGAGGAAAGAACAGTTTTTTTTTTAAACAAACTGTGCTGGGACAACTGGGTATCCACAATAAAATGAAGCTGGATCCTTACCTCATACCATATATAAAAATTAAGTCAAAGCCAGGCGTGGTGGCTCACACCTGTAATCCCAGCACTTTGGGAGGCTGAGGTGGCCAGATCACCTGAGGTCAGGAGTTCAAGACCAGCCTGGCCAACAAGGTGAAGCCCCATCTCTACAAAAATTAGCCAGGCATAATGGCAGGTGTCTTTAATTCCAGCTACTTGGGAGGCTGAGACAGGAGAATAGCCTGAATCCAGGAGGCGGAGGTTGCAGGGATCTGAGATCACGCCACTGCACGCCAGCCTGGGTGACAGAGTGAGAATCTAACTCAAAACAAAACAAAACAAAAGTCAAAATGGATCAAATAACTAAATTTAAGAGTTGAAACTATAAAACTCTCAGAAGAAAACACAGGGCTAAATCTGTGTGTCCTCAAGTAGGCAAAGGATTCTTAGACATGATATCAGAAGCACAAGCAACAAAAGAAAAAACAGATAAATTGGACTTTACCGACATTAAAAACTTTTGTGCTTCAAAGGACACTATCAAAATGGAAGGACAACCACAAAACGGGAGAACTGAAGACAAACGTTCACACAGAGACTAGTATAGGAATGTTCATAGCTACATAATTCGTAACAGCCATAAATGGGGAACAACCCAAATGGCCATCAGGAGATGAATGGATAAGAAAAATGTGATCTACCCAAACAATGAAATATTATTCAGCCATTAAAAGGAATGAAGTAGGCCAGGCGTGGTGGCTCACACATGTAATCCCAGCACTTTGGGAGGCCGAGGTGGGTGGATCACAAGGTCAGGAGATTGGTACCATCCTGACTAACACAGTGAAACCCCGTCTCTACCAAAAATAAAAAAAAATCAGCCGGGTGCAGTGGCAGGCGCCTGTAGTCCCAACTACTCGGGAGGCTGAGTCAGGAGAATGGCGGGAACCCAGGAGGCGGAGCTTGCAGTGAGCCGAGATAGCGCCACTGCACTCTAGCCTGGGCGACAGAAACTCCATCACAAAAAAAAAAAAAAAAAAAAGGAATGAAGTAGCGATGCATGCTACAACACAGATGAAACTTGAGGATATTACGCTAAGTGAAAGAAGCCAAGCATAGAAGGCCACGTATTGTATGATTTCTACGATTCTAAGTCACAAAAGGCAGATCTAGAGAAAAATCTGCAGAGAAAAATATAAATCATTCTATTATAAAGACACATGCTTAGCACATATTCACTGCAGTACTATTCACAATAGCAAAGACGTGGAATCCACCTCAATGCCCATCGATGATACGCTGGTTAAAGAAAACGTGGTACATATACACCATGGAATACTATGCAGCCAAAAACAGAACGAGATCATGTCCTTTGCAGGGACATGGATGGGGGTAGAGGCCATTATCCTTATCAAACTAACACAGAAACAGAAAATCAAGTATTGCATGTTCTCACTTAGAAGTGGGAGCTAAAGGATGAGAACACGTGACACAGAGGGAAACACCACACACTGGGGCCTTCTGGTGGGTGGAGGGTGGGAGGAGGGAGAGGATCAGGAAAAATAACTAATGAGGACTCGGCTTAATACCTGAGTGAAGAAATAATGTGTACAGCTAACCCCCATGGCACAAGTTCACCTACGTAACAAACCTGCACTTGTACTCCTGAACTTCAAATAAAACTTAAAAAAGAAAAGAAAGTCGATTACTGGCTTCCAAGGGCTAGGAGGGGAAGGGTTGTGGGGGTGATGGAGACTGCCTGCTAACAGCCACAGAGTTTCTCCAGGGTGATGAAAACCTTCTGGAATTAGAGTGGTGATGGTTGCGTAATCTTGTGAATATCCTAAAAAGTGACTGAATCGTACACTTTGAAAAGGTGAGTTTTATGGTTTGTGAATATCTCTTTTCTTTTGTTTTTAAGGACAGGAGAAAGAGAGAAGGCTGAAGCTCAAGGCAAGGGGAGGGAGGATGTGACAGGTGCTGACTCCTGCTCTGGGCCGTGTTCCAATTTATGCCCTTTGCGAGCACAGCTTCTTTCAGTCTCGAGTCAATCCGGTGGGGTGGGTGACATTCCCATTTTATACATGAGACTCTAAGAGGCGAGGCTGGCCCAAGGCCACGCAATTCCAGGAGGCAGAGTTGGGCTGCATCCCCACGTCCCCTGCACCCACACACCAGCTGGACGGTTTGGCCAGCCAGCTGAACCCCACCAGATACTCAGGGAGAGCCAGGAAAATACCACTTGGCATCTGGGGAGCACCCACCCTGCACCAAGCATGTTAGTGCTCTTCCCCCACTGCAGGGGTGAAGGTGTACTACTGCCCTAGCAGAAAAGTGGGAAACTGAGTCTCAGAGAGGCAAAGTAAGTGTACCAAGGTCACATGGCTAGTATGTGACTGGTATGGTTTAGCTGTGTCCCCACCCCAATCTCATCTTGAATTGTAGCTGCCATAACTCCTTCATGTTGTGGGAGGGACCCAGTGGGAAATAACTGAATCATGGGGGTAATTTCCCCTATACTGTTCTCGTGGTAGTGAATGAGTCTCACGAGATCTGATGCTTTTATGAGGGGAAACCCCTTTCGCTTGGCTCTCATTCTCTTGTCTGCCACCATGTGAGATGGGACTTTCACCTTCCGCCATGATTGTGAGGCCTCCCCAGTCATGGGAACTGTGAGTCCATTCAACCTCTTTTGTAAATTGCCCGGTCTCTGGTATGTCTTTATCACAAGTGTAAAAACAAACTAATATAGTGGCTAACTCAGAAGCCAAGCCCTGACTCCACACCGGAAAATCAGGACCCACTACTCCCCGCTGGCCTCTCTGGTGACTTCCAGTGGCTCTTAGGTGTCACTATCTTGTCACCAGGTCATGGTAGACATGCAGCTGCTGGCCCACTAGCCGTCTCTCAGCTCTCTTCCCTGCCTACAGAGGCTGCTTCCCATTGCAAGGCTGGCAAATGACACTTTCTCAGGTGCCCCTGCAACCAGGACAAGAGCAGGTGGAGGGCCTCTGGGAAAGACTGGCTTCACTGATGAGGGAGGCTGGGGAAGGGAAGCCTTCCTTCTCACGTGCTCTGAGCCCTGCCTTGGAAGCCCGGGCTGCCATGTGCAACCACGATGGAAGACAATGGTCTACATGGCAGGTGGACAATCCTGTCCGGTGCCTTCCTCTCTACCCTCACCTTACATCATTCTCCCCCTTCCCTGCTGTGTTTCCCTCTCTGCAGCCAGGTAGATCTTCCAGTTCTTCCAACAGGCCCGGCTCCTGTCCATCCCAGGCCCTCAGCCCAGAACCTTCCCTGAGTCTAGAACGTTCCTTCCACCCCTACACCTGGTTAGCTCCAACTCAGTCATCAGATCTCAGTTCAAATGTGACCTCTTCTGATTTTAATGTGCTCAAAAGTCCCTGGGCTTTCTGACTGTTCATTCATGATTATGGTCATTTCTTCAACAACAAGCTCTTACCTCTGAGCTGAAGTTCTGAAAGTCTGTGAGTCTGGCTATCCTTGCCACCACAGACCAGGCAGCCTCACTGCCTCTACCTGGCACCCAGCAAGGCGCAGCCTCAATGCTGGTCTGTGTTAAAAGAATGTCCAAATCTAGGCTGCTACCTTTTCCTGCTTGGACAGAGGTTGAGATCAAATGATCACTGAAAAGACAGGGTCTGCCAGAGTAAAGGGGTCCTGGGCTGGAGTGAGCGGGTAAATGAAGAAGGGGAGAGGTAAACTGGGTGGTAAGGGGGAAAGGAGAAGGACACCAGCAGAAAGAAAATAAAGGGAGAGGGGAGAGCGCTGAACCCAGCTGAGCTCTCAAATTAGGTCAAAGTTTCCCAAGGAGGGCTGATGCCTTGGCTAGAAACCAGGTGGGGCTGGGACGCCTGCAGTGAACTGCCTGCCTGGCCTCATGGGACTGGTGGCTGCCTTCAAGTCACCTGATGCATCAAGTAGGTCAGAATAAAGATAGTCCAGAGATGCCCCCCTACTCCTGCCCCCTCACCTCCCCACTCCTGCCCAAGCTAGGCCAAGAGGTGAATCTCTGAGGCTGCTTGGAAAGGTCAACAGGAAACTCTCAGTAAGCCAGCAGCCCCTGGCCAAGAGTGGACGTGTGCTCCCAAGTCCAAGTCCAAGGTTCTGCATCTGTGCCACATGGGGTGAGGAGCCCACACCAGGCAGAGCTGGGCCTGGCAGTGCAGATGGACCGCTGGGGCCCTGGGCTGTGGGCAGCTGCAGCAAGCCCAGCATGAAGATGCCAGGCAGTGGCCCTGGGCTGGGGGGAAGGGCACCCCCCAGAGTGGTTTGGAAGGCCAGCCCTGCTTCACTGATGGTGCAGCCGAAAAAGACATTAAGTGCCAGCAGCCAGCGTGCATTTTTGAGATTTCACCTGAAGCAACAAGGGGAAGATGGTGGAGATAAATCTGGGTGCCGGTGTGCTCCTGACCCCTCCCAGGGACTCTGGGTCCTGGGGCTATGAAGGAGGAGAGGGCAGCTATGGGTGGGGAAGGAGCCAGGGTCAAGAGGGGAAAGGACTCAGAACAGCTAACCAGCAATTCGGGGAGACAGAGATGTTGTCTACCTGCCAGCCCCATTCTGCCCCTTGATGTACTTCATATGTATGTCCTGAGACTCAGTTCAGATGTCACCTGTCCTCCGCAAAGGCCACCATCTCCCATGCCTGGCACAGGCAACCCTCCTCTCACACTACCCCCTGACCCATTGCCTCACAGCCATCTGAACCTGACTCTCCCCGCTATGAGACAGGGAATGCGGTGGGCAGGGCCTCAGGCCCATCCACTCCATCCTGAGCTGAGAGCACAGTGTGTGACACCTTGCCAGGACTCAGGTGAAAGAGAGAAAGAGAAAAGAAACAGACCAAGAAAGGAAGAAAAGCAAAGTGAGAGAGAAAGCATGAAAAATAGGAGGAAAAGCAAAGAGAAAGAAACATACCACATTCATTTGGGCTACCCTGAAAAATTACAGGATTTCAGTAACAGTTTTAAACCCCCATGATTCTTTATGCACACGCTGTTGCTTTCTCTGTCTCTCATTCTAAGCTGGAACACAAACTGTCTTTCAGAATCTCAGGTTTGCTACTTTCCTTTCATGTATTCAGAGATGTCAGGCCTGGACTGGGACACTGGAAATACCCTAGCGATACCTCAAGTTCAAAGACAAGGAAAGAGGCCGGGCGTGGTGGCTCATGCCTGTAATCCCAGCACTTTGGGAGGCCGAGGCAGGCAGACCACTTGAGGCCAGTAGTTCGAAACCAGCCTAGCCACTATGGCAAAACCCCATCTCTACTAAAATACAAAAATTAGCCGGGCATGGTGGCAGGCACCTGTAATCCCAGCTACTAGGGAGGCTGAGGCAGTACAATTGCTTGAACCCGGGAGGCGGAGGTTGCAGTGAGCCACTGTACTCCAGCCTGGGCCACAGGGCAACACTGTGTCTCAAAAGGACACAGCCAAAGTCCCCCGGTCAGAAAGTGCCTAAAGATGATGGCCCTCATGGCAGGCCAGGGGCTAGGACCCTGAAGAGTCCTTCCAGGCACCAGGGGAGCTCAGAGAGGCCCCTCAGCCCTCCTGAATCCCAAGCCAGGCTGCGCCTGAGCAGTCAGGGGTATGAATGCCTGAGCAACAAAGGCGATTTCCTGAAATGGCATCTGGCAGGGAGGAAAGCAGCCAGGTGCTCGCGCGCCACTCCACCAGGCAGCAGCACACCTTACACACGGAAATGTCACGCATCGCACTGACGCCAAGCTGTCGCTGTCTCCTGGTACTAAAAACGGTGCTGTGTTCCTGTCTTCGTTCCTTCCCCTCTCTCCGAATAGAAACGTCTGTGAGCTCCTTAAGCTGCGGCCTCCTGTGGAGAGCCAGCGCCTGATGCCTGGGCCCAGGGAGGAGGCGTGGCCCTCACCTGTGCCAATACTGTTCCGGGGGCTGCAGCAGAGCATAGCAGGGGTCTCGGGCATCGCCAGGAAAAGAGCTTTAATCCCCTTTGGAAAATCAACCTTCAGCTACGTCTGCATCACCAACATAAAACTCACGGTGTGTGCGGCGCCCCAATTGAGTGCCATTGACACCCGCCCCCACAACATTTGATCCTAGCAGCTGCCCCAGGAGCAAGGCAGACCCAAAATCCAACCCCAAGGCCCAGACCCTGGGCCTACGGGAAGTAACGCGCGGCACGTGTGTGGCGTCGCTGTTCCCACAGATAGCGTGCTGCTCCCTAGCTCTGCTTCCTGCCATCCCCTCTCTCAGGATGCCCTGCCCAGCTGGGACTACACCTGCCATTTCAACCTGCCCAAGGCCCAGAAGCCAGGGGAACCAACAAAGTGCATCCTCACCATGGAGTGGCTGGCTCTGCTGCAAGGAGACCCAGGATCATGGGTAACAACATTCCAGCTGGGGCCTTCTAGGAGCAAAGCAAAAGAACCCCACAAGGCTGAGGACCCAGACTGGGCTACTGGATGCAGCTGCTGAGAACTATGCTCATCAAGGAGGAAATACATATCTAAACTGGTGTTTTCTAAACTGCGTCCTCTGGTGTTTTCTAGACTGTGTCCTGAAACAGCTATGTCCCAAGAGATGTCTAGAAGGATTCATAAAAATGGAAGTAGCCAAAGCCATGCCCAGGACCCCTCAAGCAGGGCAGGTTCTCAGAGCCTCGTACCCGCCTGCCTGTGGCCTGAGTCTTAGGTGCCCTAAGGAGGAGCTGCTCCCTTCAACTAAACTACCTGACCGTCTCCTCGCTGGTCATCAGTTTAATAAATGGGATCTTTTTCTGATCTAGAGAACACTTCAGAATTTTAAGAAACAGTTGTAAGGCAGAAGTGTGTCCCTGCAAAATGCCTTTATTCTCAATACTGGCTAAGACCAGATGGGTCCTATCAGCTGATGCTTGTGCTGATTTCTTGGGATGGGAGGAATAGAGGGAAACGGGAGGAGACAGAGGAAGAAAGACGGAGAGGCAGAGGGCAGCAGGGTGCACACATTCTCTGCAACTGAAGAACAGCTGCAAATGGCAAAGTGATGTGATCCCTCCAACCCTCTCCTGGGCCTGGGGATGGACAGACTGGCCCAAGGTCAAGCTCCTGGTATATGACCTGGTCACAGATCACAGCCTCTTCCCCATGAAGAGATGACCAAACCCCCCCCACCGCCCCCCATAACAGGACTGACACCAAAGACACCAAGTGCCAGTTCCCTTTTCTCTGGGACCCCAGAAGGCTGAATTTATACTTTGTAACAGACGTCTGTAACGTCTGTTACAAAGTGGCAGCATGGAGGGACTTCCCATGCTAGATGTCAGGCCTGGCATCCCCCCGTTCTAGCCTTTCCTTACAGGTTAACATCAGTGTGCTCATGGGACTGGAGCAAAGGCCTGTCTGACCTGTACTGTCCTGGATGAGGTCAGCAGGGCCTTCGGTGTCAGATGCAGGAAGTTAAGAAAGCCCCCAGCCGTTGTGCAGGGGTGTTGGCGGGTCCCTAGCACTTGGAGGAACTGTCTTTGGGTGGGTTATGGGAAGGCCCTGCTTTGGGGGTTGCAGGGTACACAAGGCTGTTTCAGGACACAGTTTAGAAAACAGTGGTTTAGATACATATTACCCCCGACTAGCACTTCCAGGCATATCACTCTGGCTCTGAGACAGGACACACAAAAAATGGATGAACATCGGCTCCCTCGCCCTGCTCCCCCTTCTGCTGCCTCCCACCCCACCAAACACCCTGCTTTGCAGTTTTCAGGGTACAGGCCTGTCCCCAGGGCCCAGGTTTCTGATCTTAGAGCTCACAGATCAGCTACTTCCTATTTCAGGCAAACAGAGAAACAAAAACAGCCACTGAGAGCTTACTACTTTGTACACACTCTGGTCAATAATGAGTATTATCTTACCGATTTGTTCCTGTTATAATATTATCCCCATTTCACAGAGAAGGAAACTGAGGCCCAGAAAGGTCAATTAAGTTGCCTGAGGCCAGGCAGAAGCATGTTTCAATCCATAGTCCAAACTCTCCACCCCAGCATGTCAAATGGCATGAAATAAACACCACCCAGTAAACTTGCCCATCAACCTTGATCTAGGTCTGGGCAAGAGAACAAGCATGGGAGGTTTTAAGAAGGATGCCCCATGTGAGGACCTCAAAACAGGGGGCAGGGGACAGATACTCTGGCCAGCAAGTTAAGCAGAGGAGACTGACCCTTAAGCACTGGCATAAGCATCAGGAATGAAAACAGCTATGAACTGGAATGGGTCCAGAGAAAGCTGAATAGGGCCTTTGATCATTAGTTTTCTGGGTTTTTGTTTTGTTTTGAGACATGGTCTCACTCTGTCGCCTGGGCTGGAGTGCAGTGGCACAATCTCAGCTCACTGCAACCTCCGCCCCCCAGGTTCAAGCGATACTTGTGTCTCAGCCTCCGAAGTACCTGGGATTACAGGCACGCACCACCATGCCCACCACGCCCACCACGCCCAGCTAAGTTTCCTTTTTTTTTTTTTTTTTTTTGAGACGCAGTCTTGCTCTGTTGCCCAGGCTGGAGTGCAGTGGCATGATCTCGGCTCACTGCAACCTCCACCTCCCGGGTTCAAGCGATTCTTCTGCCTCAGCCTCTTTAGTAGCTGGGACTACAGGCATATGCCACCACGCCAGGCTAATTGTTCTATTTTTAGTAGAGACGGGGTTTCACCATACTGGCCAGGCTGGTCTCAAACTCCTGACCTCAGGTGGTCCACCCACCTCAGCCTCCCAAAGTGCTGGGCTGACAAGTGTGAGCCACTGCGCCCGGCCAATCGTTACAGTTTTATGATCCTGTGAGCCGAGTTTCTAAATGGGGTGTTCCAATCAGTGGACGTTAAGGCAGAGGAAGAAGGCTCGTTACATCGACATTATCTCCCCTCAAGACATTTCTTTTCTCTGTTTTCAAGGTGACAAAAGCTGCCCAGAACTGTGGCTAACCAAGATGTAGACAAATGTAATGACTCGTGGTGGGAGTGGACCTCCACAGGGTCTGAAAGGAACGGGACACACACAACTTTTCAGAAGCATGTGATTGGTTTTGTTTCCCTGGGGCTCCTTCCACTCAGGAACCCGCTCCACATTCTGCATATTCCTAGTGGCTCTGCCACAGAACCCACCTCTACCCACACCCTCACCCCCATGCCATGGCCCAGGCCCGGCATCACACTACCCCATGCACCAGGTCCGGTCCACCAAAGCCCTTCCCTAAAACCAATGCACAGTCAACACATGGGGAGAAAGTCTTCTGCCCCTGGCAGTTGCATAGTGGGGAGCCCTGCTCCCCGGCTGCAAGACCCAGCCTCTCACCCCTACACTTCATTCTGTGAGCTGCCATTGAATTCTAGCAGAATGAGCGCCTCTCCTCTCGTCAACTTTTTTTCCCTCCCACATAAACTAGCCAAGCTCCTGTCACTGTCAAGTGAAGGCATGGACCTAGACAGCCCTGTACTCGGACATCACAGTTAAGGCAGGGTCTGCCCCTGGGCCTACAGGAGGTGACGCGCGGCACGTGTGTGGCGTTGCTGCTCTTATACATAGCGTGCTGTTCCCTGGCTCTGCTTCCTGCCATCCCCCTTCTTAGGATGCCCTGCCCAGCCTTCTCTGCCTGATCCTCCTGCCACCAGCCCAGGCCACCTTTTCTCCAGAAGATGTGTCTTCCTGAGCACTCCCCATACCAGCCTGGGCTAAGTGCCCAAACCCTGGACTTCTACAGTCCTGGTGTGTGCCCCTTACTCATCATGAATATTTACAGTGACAGCCTGGACCCCAAAAATGCATCTGTTTCCTCCACCACACCACAAGGTTTCTGGAGAACCAGGGTCAAGTCTTAGAATACAAGATATACAAACAGCCATGACTAACGGTAATTGGCGAATGCGTAAATGCGGAGGACCGATCTGTTCAGTCTGGGCTGCCAAAAAGCCCAAGGACTATTCCTGCCCCAATCAATGAAGAAAAATGAAGAAAGGCCTTCCCAATGACCCAAGATAAAGCAGCCTCCACCCCTGTGTCCTCGTCCCCTCCACCATCACCAGGTCTTATTTCCTTCCCAGCACTCATTGCTGAATAAAAGTAAAGTGCTATTTGCTGAACTGTTTATTAAGCCTGCACTCCTTGGGAGCAGCCATCTTATCTCTCTGGCCTCCTGAGTATATCCCCAGGGCACAGAAGAGGCCTGCACAGAAGGTTCCCCGTAAGTCTTTGTTCGTGGGTTCACTGGTTGCCTGGTTAGCTGAAAGAAAGAATGAATGAAAGAACAAATGAATGAAGGAACAAGACTTCAGAAAGCAGCTTGTGAGCTAAAGCTATGTCGTGAGCATTACCCGACCTCACAGCACCGGCTGTGGGTTTAGGTAACAGCTCAGAAGATGCTGTGACCAAGAGCAACACCCCTCAATTCTTGACACTCTGAAGCAGAAGTTTTCTTCATGATCATTTCCTGACTTCATTCAACTCAGAGAGAAAACTCACACTTTACGTAACACAGATGGACCCATTTTCTGACACTTTTTGCAAAAGGTCAACTTTTTTTTTTAAGGGAATGAGTTTATTTCACTTTTTGATGTGTTCTATCAGAGCTGACTTTTTTCATTAGACCACAGAGCAGGAGAGCATCATTCGTACACTGTGGATCAATAACTTCAATGCAAAAAAAACAAAAAAACAAAAACAAAAAAAAAAAAAGAAGAAGAAGAAGAAGAAAAGCTCAAGCCCCTAAATGAAAAAGCAAAAGACATCACAATATAATAAATCTAATACTCTCCTCCTCACAGACCCCTGGGGCTGTTAATTGGAGGGATGTTCTCAGGATCTGCACTGTTTCGACCTTCACAGCAGGGGGCCATTTCTCCTACCTGCCCGCTCTTCCCCTCTTCCCCCTTTGCCCAGACATCTCGTCTTGGGGCCTGGGAGAGCTCACAGGGCCCCCACCCCACTCACTCCCAACTCCACATTTAAGACTGCTTCAGGCCAGGCGCAGTGGCTCACGCCTG
Organism: Homo sapiens; assembly: GCF_000001405.40. Classification (NCBI taxonomy): domain Eukaryota; kingdom Metazoa; phylum Chordata; class Mammalia; order Primates; family Hominidae; genus Homo; species Homo sapiens. The sequence continues at coordinate 12,431,126 of NC_000016.10, read as the reverse complement.
TAATCCCAGCACTTTGGGAGGCCGAGGTGGGTGGATCACCTGAGATCAGGAGTTCGAGACCAGCCTGACCAACACGGTGAAACTCCGTCTCTACTAAAAATACAAAAATAGCCGGGTGTGGTGGCAGGTGCCTCTAATCCCTGCTACTCGGGAGGCTGAGGCAGGAGAATCATTTGAACCCAGGAGGCAGAGGTTGCAGTGAGCAGAGATTGTGCCACTGCACTCCAGCCTGGGCACGACAGAGTGAGATTCCATCTCAAAAAAAAAAAAAAAAGACTGCGTCAAGAATCACCCCCTCCTGGAAGCTTTTATGACTGTCACCACTTACAAGTGGACTAAGGTGTCTCTCTTTATTCTCCCACCGCAGCTTCTCTACAGCCCGCTTCCAGCATGGATAAGAACAATGAGGACAACAAAAGTAATAGTAACAGTCATAACAATAAAGCCTGTCATGTATTCAGAATGAGCTATATTACTGGGACTATATAAGTGCTTTACAAGTAATAACACTTTATTAATTTCATTTGATCCTAATAACTACTTTATAAGCTTTGATGCACTATGCTCATTTTACAAATGAATAAACTGAGGTTAGGAATGTTAACTTGCCCAAGGCTATAGATCTCTGAGGGCAGAGCTGGGATGCAAACTCAGGAATGACCAATTCCAAAGCAGGTGTGCCTGATCCCAAGGTCACTGCCCCTCAGGTCTGTTCTTGGAGAAGAAAACACAGCAACTGATGTAAGTGTCCCCCACAAGGCCGGGAACCTCACAGTCATTATCCTTCACTTCACAACCACCCTCCAAGTTGGGTGGCATTGCCCCCACTGTGCAGACAAAGAAAATAAAGCAGCAGTTCCCAACCATTTTGGCACCAGGGACCAATTTCGTGGAAGACAATTTTTCCATGGACTGGGGCTGGGGGGGGAACTGATGGTTTGGGGATGAACTGAGGGTTCCCCTCAGATCTTTGGGCATTAGATTCTCATAAGGAGCATGAAACCTAGATCCCTTGTATGCACAGTTCACAATGGGGTTTGTGCCCCTATGAGAATCTGATGCCACTGCTGATCTGACAGGAGGCGGAGCTCAGGCAGTAATGCTTGCTGGCCCACGGCTCACCTCCTGCTGTGTGGCCCGGTTCCTAACAGGCAACAGCCCAATACCAGTTTAGGACCCTTGAATAAAGCACAGCAGTTCAGTAAGCTGCCTGTGGTCAGAGAGCAAGAAAACAATAGTCAAGATTGCAATCTGTATCCATCTACTACAAAAGTCCATGCCCTTTCTAAGACAGCACACTGCTACCGGCTCCTCTAACCACAAACCTATTCAGGAAAAGAATGTAACATACAAAACAAGCCTGAAGAGCAACATGGTTCCCTACAACTGTTTGACAAGGAGAAATTAGAAAAAAACTTAAATGTTGAGCAAAAGGAACAATCAGAGAAATGATATGACAGCGTGATGGTGGAACACTGTGCACCGCAAGAGATGGTTTTGGTGTAAAGTGTAGAGTAACATGAGAAAAATCTCACGTTAAATTAAAAAGCAGATGCAGGGCCAAGTACAGTGGCTCACATCTGTAATCCCAGGGCTTTGGGCAGCTTAAGCCCAAGCATTTGAGGCTTCAGTGAGCTATGATCTTGTCATTGCACTCCAGTCTGGGTGACAGAATGAGACACTGTCTCTTAGAGGAAAAAGAAAAGCAGAACACAGACGTTTACATGTGACACGATTCCAACTAAAGAAAAAAATGCACAGAAGAAAAGCTAGAAGGAGATATCAACTGCAATCGTATCTATGTGTTGGGATTAACTACAAGGAGATATTAATTTCAGTTGTGTCTGTGTGGTGGGACTAACTAGAAGGAGATATTAATTGTAATCATATCTGTGTGTTGTTACTAACTAGAAGGAGATATTACTTGCAATCATATCTGTGTGGTGGGACTAACTAGGAAGAGATATTAATTGCAATCGTATCTATGTGTTGGGACTAACTAGAAAGAGCTATTAATCGCAATCGTATCTGTGTGTTGTAATTAACTAGGAGATATTAGTTGCAATCGTATCTGTGTGTTGGGATTAACTAGGAGATATTAATTGCAATCGTATCTATGTGTTGGGACTAACTAGAAAGAACTATTAATCGCAATCGTATCTGTGTGTTGTAATTAACTAGGAGATATTAGTTGCAATCGTATCTGTGTGTTGGGATTAACTAGGAGATATTAATTGCAATCGTATCTGTGTGGTGAGACTAACTAGAAGGAAATATTAATTGCACTCATATATTATGTGTTGGAATTAACTAGAAGGAGATAATAATAATTGCCATCGTATCTATGTATTGGGCTAACTAGGAGGAGATATTAATTGCAATAGTATCTATGTGGTGTGATTAACTAGAAAGAGATATTAATTGCAATCGTATCTGTGTGGTGGGACTAACTAGAAGGAGATATTAATTGCAATCAAATATCTATGTATTGGGATTAACTAGGAGATATAAATTGCAATCAAATATCTATGTATTGGGACTAACTAGGAGGAGATATTAATTGCAATCATATCTGTGTGGTGGGATTAACTAGAAGGAGATATTAATTGCAACTGTATCTATGTGAGTCCTTTGTTTTCCTTCTTTCTAACTTTATTTTCTGAATTTTCTATAAAGAAGATGTACTACTTTTAGCATTTTTTAAAGTTATTTATTTATTTATTTTTTAAGAAACTGGCTACTACCAGCTAAGACTGGTCTTACCTTATTTTAATCTTTGGAATGGACACCACCCTGAGTTCTGTTTAAGGATAATTCAAGCCATTCCAATGTCCAAATTGTCTCTGTTGATTTTTTAAGGAGAATAATTACATTTTATACTAAACTTATTTGCAGTCCAAATGCAGCTTAAAGCCCTGTTTTGATTACTTGTTTAGGGAAAGAGTAACATTAGAAAATGTCTAAGAATCACATTTGCATGATGGGTGATGAGGCAGGGAATTACAGTTGGGGGAAAAATAAAATAAAATAAAACCCTGAATATTCAACAGTGTGTATTGAATCTAAGGCCTACTCTTACATTCACATTTATATCCAACAAATTATCTTTCTCTGCTTCATGCAATCTCCTGTGTCTTTAAAGGCAAAAGGCACATTTGGCAAATGAAGCTGCTGCAGGGAGCTGTGCTTCGGGTAACTGCTAAATTGGAGTTTAAGTGCTTTGTCTGATCTTATTTAGCAACTGCTCTGGGAACTTGCCCTCAGAAGGTTTCTCCTTTCTCCCACCAAGTCAGCTGGCATCTTCCCAGTCATGGGGTCATTTTCAAGAAGACACATCAGGGCTCTGTGTCAACAGAAGCCAACATAGAGAATCCTGATGTTCAAGGTCAGCAAGACATCAAGGGCGCTCTGCACCCTCTTCCCACTGTGACTTCCTCTTGGGGTTCAGCCTGTCCTGGCACAGGCATTGTCTCTGGCCGTTTTATTAACCTCCAAGCATGGCCGATGCTTTGGGTCACTGTTGTTTGATTAAATACCAACAACCGAATAGAGAATTACAAAGTCAAGAGCAATTCCTATACCTAAAGTATTTTTTTTCTTTTATCAGTTCCCCAATTACTATTTGTCAAAAGGAAATACCTGGCTTCAAGGTAAACTGAGAAAATACAGATAAATAAAAAAAAGAAAAACAAAACATACAAAATCTCACTACCCAGAGAAAGCCATTGTTGGTTCCTATCAGAGGTGGCAAACTGGTAATTCACGCAGGTTAAAACATCTAATTGGTTGCCAACATTTAAAAATAAGAGGTTTTAACATTGAAATCAAGATTTTCATCACAAAAAAAAACAACAGCAACGACAAACAAACCTGGAAGATGAGGGAACACAGAGTCTGAAACCCTGCATGGTGACAGAGGGTTGGCACCGAGAAGAAACCACCTTGAGTCATTTCCCAGCTAGGCTCTGCAGACCCCAAGGGGTGCTACATCTGGCCTAGATCTTTCCATGTCTTTTCCTATGCTAATATATACATTTTAATTATAATTTTTAAAAATGAGCCTAAACTATCCATTCTCTTTTGTTACCTGCTTCTCCCTCCCCCATTCTGGCATATATAATAAATAGCTTTCCAAGCTGACATATTAGATCTACAATACTGGCCAGGCATGGTGGCTCGGGCCCTGTAATCCCAGCACTTTGGGAGGCCGAGGCAGGTGGATCACTTGAGGTCACAAGTTCAAGACCAGCCTGGTCAACATGGCAAAACCCCATCTCTACTAAAAATACAAAAATTAGCTGGGCATGGTAGCATGCACCTGTAATCCCAGCTACATAGGTAGCCAAGGCACAAGAATCGCTTGAACCCGGGAGGCAGAGGCTGCAGTGAGCTGAGATCGCGCCACTGCACTCCAGCCTGGGCGACAGAGTGAGATTCTGTCTCAAAAAAATAAATAATTTTTAAAAATTGAGATACAATTCACATACCATAAAATTCACCTTAAAAAGAATTTTAAAAATTAGATCTACATCACCATTTTTATTGGCTACGTAACACATATCTATCCTTCCTGGGGTTTTCTATAGTGAGTATTACTTGTGAAGGCACATTATATTTCTATTCTACCAGATGTTCCCATTACCCTCCTGCAGGGCTCCTCCCTGTGAGAGGATTATACTTTCCGGCTCATTATCTTCAGGCCTGACCATGTGTTTTGAGGGAGTGACGTGTCACTTCTGAGCAGAAGCTTTCAGGATCAGAGCAAGGCCTGCCACTGTCTCTTACCCCCCTGCCAGGAGAGCTGCAAGCCCCGGCTAAAGGCTGTTGCTTCTTCCTGGATCCTGGCATAGAGACAGCGTGAGCACAGGCCACAGCTGACCCATGATGGATGTGTGGCATGAGTGGGAAACAGATGAATAATAAACTTACTGTTGTAAGCTGCCAAGGTTTGAGGACTGTTTGTCACAACAGTATAACTTAGCCCAAGCTACCTGATATACCAAAGTATTAAAACAGTACTGTATCTTTTTAAAAAAAAAAAATAAGATAACTAAAAAACCAAATATTTTTTTTGTCCCAGTAAGCCTTTAGTACTCCTATAAAATAATTTTAAAAGGTCTCTGGCCAATGCCCAAGGCCTATCCCTGAAGGTCTTGGCAGGCTGTGGCTGGGTGATGGTTCTGTCTGCCTGCAAGAGAGTCCAGGTTAGCCCTGCAGAAAACACACCAAGTTTTGTGGGTACAGCAGAAATGGTTATTTCTGTCAACAGTGCCCAAGGGTAGAAAAAAGCAGCATGAAAAAACATGTAGCTCTCAGCACAAGATGCTCACAATAGGAGAGGAATTCCGAGAGGAATTCAGAAATGAATTCCTGGCTGGGGAAGAGCAGACCCTGGCCGCCCAAATCATCTGTGCAAACTCCAGGACACACTCTATTTGAGTAGAACTGGCCCAGGCTGCCCTGGGATTTAAACCAGATACGTCTGTCCATCCGTGTTGGATTTTTTTCCCCTTGTCTCTATCTGCCTCTTCTCTACTTCCCACCCTGCCTCTGTTTTCTATTCCCTCTTTTTATTTTTTTTATTTTTTTTTTTTTTTAACTCTGGTCATTTGGGTAGTGTGGACTTGACCAAACTGAATCAGCGTGCAATGGAATTACGTGTGCAGCCAGGGCTCCTGGGCCTCCTTCTAAGATCTGTGCTCCGGTGACTAAGTGATAAATACATGGGCATCATCCAGAGACCAGAGGCCTCAGGGGCACTCTGATCTTATGGCATCTGTTGAGCTAATGATTATCCACAGTTTCAATTTGCTTAACCCGCCACATCCACGTTGCCATCCTGGTTTCTTAGCATGTGCGGGGTGATCCAGCTTTCTGCTCTCTCCTGACCCCTCACTTTCACCCTGAGCACTGAAAACCTAAGTGACCCACATCAGCCGAGCTGCACCATACCCCCAGAGGACAACCTCCAAGAGCACAGATCGGTCTCACCCGCTTTTGCGTTTAGATTAATGCAATCACCTGGGTGTGTTTTGTTTGTATCTTTTTGTACCTAGTTTCTTTCACTCAACATTGTTTATGAGATCCAGCCATACTGTTGCCTGTAGTTACACATCTTTAATCTCCTTGCAGCCCAAGGTTCCACTGTGTGAATGTACCCCAATTTATTTATCCATTTGTCTATGGACGGGCATGTTAGGGTTATCCTCCATTTATTGATGTGGTTGATTAGTATTAATTTTCTCCTCACTACAGACTGTAATTCCATGATGACAAGAAGCTAGTCTACTCTCTCATTACTATAACCTAATCCTTAACACAGTGTCTGATCCATAATAACTGAGGGAAGGAAGGTATAGAGAGGGGAGAGACGGAGGAGAAGATACTGTCTGTTACAGGTATCCCCCCAGATAGAACTCCACTCGGAACAACAAGGTCTATTTCAACAATCAAAATAAATAATAGCCTGATTCCTGCTTGCTTCATAAGCTACTTCTCTCCTGCATATTTCACATTTAATTAAGCCCCTAGGCTCTGAAGCTATTTCTGCCTCTTACTGCTAATAAAGATTTTTAGATGTAATTAGTAATAATTTGCAGGTACCAGCAGTCTCCAGCTCTCTCAAAGCAGGTTGCTTACCATGGTTCTAGTCGCCCAAGGAAGGGCCCTAAGACAGAATATTATCATCTCCATGATATTAGCACATTCAAGAGATAAAACCTCCCTATTCAATTATCTCTTCAATTTTCCATATAAAGTATGCAGTGGAAGAGAAAAGAAACAGCAAAATCAAAACTCTTATGCAAGGAAAAGAACAGAAACTGACCATGGGGCCTCCTGGTCAAAGACTCTGGCCTTGGGCAATGGCCACACCCTAGACAGACCCACACTCTGCTCTTGAAGGGCTCTTCATTTTACCCGTGATAGAGATCGACAAGAGAAAGTCGCTGCACTGCTACCTGGGAAGAGAAATTGGCTTCTGAAATCTGAAAAGTACAAAGTCATCCTCTTAAAACTAAATCTTTCTGATCACGCCTCTGAGGCTCTAACGTAGACATGTGCAAAGCTAAGGCTGCCAGTAGCCCTGATTCCCTCTGGCCAACCAGCTCAGAATATGCTTAGAACTTCACTTCATGGACCTCACACTCTCTGGTGAGAAACAGGACTATCCCCGACACCAGGCCCCTTGTCCACCTCAACAGTATCACCTTTTGGCCACAGGCCCTGACATGCACTCTTCTTACAAAAACTTGTAGGCTGGGCACGGTAGCTCACGCCTGTAATCCCAACACTTTGGGAAGCTGAGGCTGGTGGATCACTTCAGGTCAGGAATTCAAGACCAGCCTGGCCAACATAGCGAAACCCCATCTCTATTAAAAATACAAAAACTTAGCCAGGCTTGGTGGTGCGCGCCTGTAACCCCAGCTATTCGGGAGGCTGAGACAGGAGAATGGTTTGAACACGGGAGGCAGAGTTTGCAGTGAGCCAAGATGGCGCCACTGCACTCCAGCCTGGGCGACAGAGCCAGACTCCATCTCGAGAAGAAGAAGAAGAAAAAAAAGCATGTCCCAAATGCACTTGGCACCTGTTACCCCAGCCTTCGTTCCAAAGGTTTCACATTTGGATACAGTTATCTGCCTGTCCCTCTGTGCTCGTAGGGTTTGCCTGAGCCCCAAAGCCCTGAGCTGGAGGGGAGGCTCTGAGCTGAGTGATGCCGGCTGCAGCTTCCTCATCTGGAAGTGATGCCATTGCTCATGCCCGATGTTCATCCTGAGGTTGACGGGAGGCAGTGGGTAGAGACGGTCTGTGAGCCATCAGGCAGCTGTTCAGTCATCAGCTCTTATGATCTACGTTTATGTGATGAATGTTTTCCCAGGGCCTGCGGCATGGGAATAATAAGCATTTTATTTCTGTGTTTAAAAAAAAAAAACAACCCCATGCATTGGTGAGTAAATGCTTCTCCTGGCTTTAGCGAGCCGAGGGTCCATCTTTGGAACTTGCATTGTGCCTGTAGCATGAAGGCTTGGTATCACCTCGTATTCACCTCAACTGCTGCATGACACTATGAGGCTGGGTTTTTGTGTGTGTGTTTGTTTCTTCCTGAGCTGGGCTTTGAGAAGCCTGAGTCTTATAATGAAGTAGACAGGGTGGGGCTGTTCCTTTAAGCTTCGGATGTTTCTTTCCTACCTGTTCCAGATACAGAAATGCATTTCCAGTCCAACCTTTAAAGCCTATCTCCGTACACCACCAGCAGCCTCATCCTGAGAGACTGTGAATCCCAGCTCCATGCCAGGCTTCACAAAAGTGAAATTGTCAGACTGCTCTGTCGGGGGCTGAAGGAAGCAGCTGAGCTGGCGGCCATGTGGAGGCCTCTTCTCAGGGGCTGGGAGAGAGAGGTGTGTGAAAGTGTAGTTTGCTGATTGGGTTCTCAGGAAGTCCCTGAGGATGGTATTATAACCTTGAGAGCATGGGACAGTGGAGATGGGACGAGGAATCTCAACTCTGCTGCTGGACTGACTTGGCCCAGACAACAGGAGGTGGGTGTTGGGACAAGGAGCCCAGGGAAGACGAGGAGGGAAGCAAAGTTCAAGCATCTCACTTGCCAGAAGAAGCTGAGAGGGAAACAAGCTGCTTTTTGCAGCAGGGGATTTGGAAGAAGTTACTTGCTAGACTGTCGAAGTAACAGTTATGTTACCAAGTCTGCCCCACCCCGCCTAATTTTGCATTAATTAAAAACACCAGGGGAAACAGATACACAAGGGCTGTGGTAACAGGAAGCATGGCTATTTACTGAGCCTTTCATATTACAGCTCTGATTCCTCTCTGCCACCTCATGAGGGGAGGTATTTTCATCTCTGTTTGCAGATGGGTAACCTGAGGCCCAACAGGTGCAATAACCTTCCCAAGGTCACACAGCCATTGAGTGGCAGAGGAAGCTGCAAACCTAGGTCTAGACAGCCTGCCAGCTGTATGTTTTTAAGGAGAAAAATGCTGCCTCTTTCTTAAATGAGTTTCCCTAAGAAAGGAGAGAGAAGATGAAATACTGTTGATGACAATGTTTGATGATGGTGAGGATATGGATGATAGGTGATGATGCTATGGATGGCTGACGATGAAAGGGATGGATGGCTGATGATGGTGATGGATAGATGATGCCTGTGATGGGTGGTTGATGATGGTGATGGATGATGGACGGATGATGATGGTGATGGACGGCTGGTGATGGTGATGGACGGCTGGTGATGGTGATGGACGGCTGGTGATGGTGATGGATGGCTGGTGATGGTGATGCATGGCTAGTGATGGTGATGGATGGTTAATAATGGTGATGGTTGGTGATGATGATGATAACTGGTAATGATGGTGATGATGATAATGATGGTGATGCTTCTGATTGAGGAGGAAGGAGGAGGGGAACTAATGATGACAATGGTGATCATGGTTGATGACAGCAGTGGCAGCAGCTATAATGTTTCCTAAGAACTTCCCATGTGTCAGACATTGCGTCAAGTTCTCTCCATTCTTTACCTCCTTAAATCTAACAGCACTCTGATAGGAAAATTCTAGTTACGGCTGCAGTTACAGAGTAAGAGGCCAGTGTTTTCCTTGAACACCCTATATGTGTTAAGGGAAATCAAATCAAGAAAGATCTAGGAATATTTCCACTGTTTACAACACAGCTGGCTTTTAAGTATTCATGGTCAAGGGCCTGGCAGAGCCTGGGGAACTGAAGCCCCATTTGGTCTCCAAACCTCCTTTGAGACCTTGGTTTTTACTCTCTCCCTGGCTAAATCTTTGTCTGGACTTGTTAAAGGGCAGAGCAGCCTACTCTGAATTTCCACCTCCTTGGCTCTTAGGAGTAGCCTCCATTACTTTTGGCTTCTAACTCTTAGCATGAAGAATAAAGCAGTGGCTGCTGGCTTGGCTTCTCAGTCTGTGTTTTCAACACCTTGGGTTTCGAAAGATTGTGGATCAGAGTGCAAAGCCCAGCTCTATTATTTCCCAGCTATGACCTTAGGCAAGGCACTTAACCTTCCTGTGCCGTAGTTTCCTTATCTGTAAAATGCAGCTACTGACCACCTCATGTCTCGGGCTGGCATGAGGATTAAGTGAGGTATCGCAGAAAAAGTACCCCGCATAGCACCTAGTACACAGGACTAACAGGCATTATCTCATCTGTGTTCCCATCTTGCTGTCAAACTGCGGAGGAGACAAGAAGGTGGTGCTCTCAGCAGCGCTGGTGGCTCCCTCCTTCCCTCGCTCATCACTTCCCCCAGGGCGGACATGGGGCCTTGTGGGCGAGACTATCAGTGTTCACCCTGAAGCATGAGCTTGGTGACTCATGCGTCCATCATTTCCCTGAGGCTGCCTCTTCATCTCATCTCACCTTGACTGAGTACTCAGTAGGGGCCAGTCCTACTAAGTGGCTTTACCTCTATCATCTCATTTAATCCTTATATCAACTCTGTGAGGTCAGTGCTATGATTATCTCCTTGTATGGAGACAGAAACTGACATGCAGAGATGTTAAGAAACTTCACAGCACATACAGGTGTGAACTCGGGTTTCAGTCGACTCAACACCATACTCCATCTTGAGAATCCATGTCAAACACTTGCCAACACCAGGATGTGCCTCACTGCAGAGGTTTGATTCCTCCAGCAGACCCACGGGCTTCCCACCACCCTCACCTCCCAGGCCTCTGGAAGAGAAGATGAAACACCCTGATTTTACTGATTCTGAGACAGGCATTATCTTCACATGTGACATCTCTGAAATCAGGATGGGTCTAACACTTGACGGTGTCTTCGATTCTGTGAAATATTGGAAATAATGGGCTATCAACTCATTCATTTCTTTATTCATTTCAGTTGTCTATTCATCAGTAAGTATTAATGTGAAACTTCGCAAGAAGGCAGTTTTGCCTCCCAGGTGACATGTGTCAATGCTGGAGACATCTTAGCTTGTCACAACTAGGGAGTGGATGTGGCTGCTGCTGGGTAGAGGCCAGGAGGCTGTTCAACATCCCATAATGCACAGGGGACCCCTTGTAACCCAGAATTACCTGGCCCAAAATGTCAGCTGTGCTGCAGTTAAAAAACCCTGGTGTGGAGATGCACATATTTCACCAAACTGGCCCTAAGCCGAGCCTGAGCTGTGGGCAGCCTGCAGGCTTCAGTGGACGTGGGCTGATTTTGGCCAGTTAAACACCATCTCCCTTCTGCTAGTCAGAGCACCCTCATTTTCTTTTGGGGAAAACATCTTTCTCCCACCGACCTATGGCTTTAGGAGTAGGTACACGACACCGACCCAGTATCACACCTACCCAGGCACTGGGGTCAGCAGACACGTGGTATGGCCTAGACCATTGAGAGTCAAAGACAGTCACTTCCAGGACTGTTGTCAGCCTCAGAAGAAACAGGGGCCTTTCCCCTGGGGGCAGCATGGACATTTCCAAGACGATGCAGGCCTGGAGCTGCAACCCACCACCCCTGCCACCACAGCCTGGGCGTGAACACAGCCAACACAGAGCAACGCAAATCGACAGAAAGATGGGGGGGGGGGCTGAGTCTGATGACACTAAGCCCCTAAAATTCAAGCTGTACCCTTGGTCTTTTCCATCAGGCAAGTCAATGAATGTCATCTGTTTCCTGTCAATCTGAGCTGGATTTCCTCCTCCCGCAACCAAGAGCGTGCAAGTGTCAATGGGGAATGAGTGTCTTGATGAGAAGAATGAGGTGGTCAGCTGTCTCCCACACTGTCCCCATTGGAGGAGCCCTGCCTTAAATAGGAACAGGAATCACATTACAGGGGCAGGCCGGGTCCTGCTGAGGAGATGGCTGCATTGAGAGGATGCTGTCACACAAGTATCTGGGCAGGCACAGATTCAACCCCTACCACCAGCCCTCGGACCAAGATGCAGCTCCTCACATAAACCTGCCTACAAAGAATCAAGCACAAGGACAGGGAGAAACATCGGAACTAAACAATGCTTACACTGTTGACTAGAGACAAGGGTTTCTCAACGGTGGCGCTGTAGACATTTTGGGATAGGATATTCTCTGTTGTGGAGGGATGTCCTGTGCACTGTAGGATGTTGAGCAGCACCCCCGGCCCTGCCCACTACAAGCCAGCAGCCCCTTCTTTCCACTCAGTCTAGCAAGGGAGGCATCAGACAGGTTTAGGCAGATGTATAACTGCCGCTCCTGGCAAGGAGAGAAAGCTTCATGGAGAAGGGGACTTCTGGGCTGACTGTGTAGGAAACTGCAAGATGGGAACTGACACCAGGCATGTGAAGAAAACTTGGAAACATGGCCAGGTGCTGTGGCTCACATCTGTAATCCCAGCACTTTGGGAGGCCAAGGTGGGTGGATCACTTGAGGTTAGGAGGTCGAGACCAGCCTAACCAACAGGGCAAAACCCCGTCTCTACTAAAAATACAAAAATTAGCTGGGCACGGTGGCAGGCACCTGTAATCCCAGCTACTCAGAAGGCTGAGGCAGGAGAATCACTTGAATCCGGGAGGTGGAGGTTGCAGTGAGCCAAGATCGTGCCACCGCACTCCAGCCTGGACAACAGAGTGAGACTCCATCTCAAAAAAAAAAGAAAAGAAAACCCAGAAACACAGAAGGACAGAAACTGGTGCAAATGACCACACCATGCCCAGAAACCCTAAGACCACAGCCAGACTGAACAGGTCCCTTTCTCCTTCTCACCCACTCCACTAGAAAAACAGCTTTCTAGCAAAAAAAAAATAAATACAATCCTCATCGTCAACATGAACATCCTACATCTGATGTGTGTTGTGGCTCCAGACTGTTTTCTCTCCTGATCAGGTTAATCTGGAGGAAGGACGCTAGCAAACGGTTTTGCGGCAATTGGTGAAAAGTGGTATTTAGAGTTAAGGCTGTCTTAAATATGAAATATCACCAGCCAATTAACATCAATTTTAAATCTGTACTACAACAATAATTGGTCATTAAAAGTTCTGGGTGAATACTATCAGGAGTGACTCGGTAGTCATGTCAGGGAAGCACTTTCCCGACACGTGGGAATCCTCCAATGTAAGACAAATCCCACATGCATTTGCATGTGGTTCCCAGAGAAAAACGTGCCCTGCGGCTTTATCTATTCCCTTCCCCTTCCCAGGAGCTCAGAGACTCAATGCTGCGGCCAAAGACAGACAGTGCGGAGTACCAAGAAGCCATCCAATTACTGCAGGCAGAGAAAGCTCACTCGCTGTCGGCATACAGCGCTTCTCTTCCCAGGGCTCAAGAAAAACAGGGAGAGGCAGGAAATTATGAATTTCCTCTCCACATCAAGGACTAAGAAGGAACAAAGAGAAAGAAGGAAAGGGGAAGGGAAAGGGTGAGGAGGGTGAGGAGACAAGAAGTGGGAGGAAGGAAAGAGAAGAGAGGAAAGAGAAGAGAGGACACAGAACAGGAGAGAGGCAGTAAGAGGAGGAAGGGAAGAGGGAAATGACAGGGAAAAGGAATGACAAGGAACAGGGAAAAGGAATGATGAGGAATAGGGAAAAGGAATGAGAAGGAGGAGGAAAGA